>NC_000024.10:226351-1426351 GCF_000001405.40 Homo sapiens | reverse complement strand
AAGGAATAAAGGTGGTTACAGCACATTCCGTCTGTGCCTCTAATTTACCAAGTGGTGATTATTAAATCACCACCAGGTGGTTTATAAACAACAGACATTGATTCTCCCACAGTCCTGGAGGCTGGAGGTCCAAGATCAACGTGTGGGCAGGGCTGGTTCCTCCTGAGGCCTCTCTCCTGGGCTTGGAGATGCTGTCTTCTCCCTGTGTCCTCACAGGGTCGTCCCTGTGTGTGTGTCTGTGTCCTCATCTCCTTTTCTTATAGGGACCCCAGTCCTATTGGATTAGGGTCCACCCAAATGACCTCATTTTACCTGAATCACTTCTTTAAAACCCTGCCTACAAATACAGTCACATCCTGAGGGACTGGGGGGATTAGGAGTTCAACATCTGGGTTTTGAACTCAGTCCATATCGGCAGCATGTTGATTTTTCTCCCATGGGCTAGTTTTTCTGCATGATATTCGTTGATGTGCTTTTTCCTTGTGTACACCTTGTTTTATAGCTGGGGACTTGATCCTATAAATCCCCACCGTTCTCTGTGAAAGAAGGCTCAATGGCCAAGTTGTATACTTCCGACAGCGTTGGCCTCCATCTTTTGAGTCTGTGGGAGTAGAAAGTACTGGACAAGGGACTTAATGAGTCTCTCTGCACTTGCTTTTAACAGGGCCTGCTCACCGCTTGCAAACTGAAGGTGTTCGATTTGTTAAAAGATGAAGCACCCCAGAAGGCTGCGGATATTGCCAGCAAAGTGGACGCCTCTGCGTGTGGAATGGAGAGGCTTCTGGACATCTGTGCTGCCATGGGGCTCCTGGAGAAGACAGAGCAAGGTGACAGGACCCAGCGGGTTTTGCTCTGAGGATCTTTGCAGGTGGAAGTCACTGAGGGAAGGTGACCTGGAGCCTGGGCAGAGCGAGGAAGGAGGCCCACACCTTCTGTCCCTCTGCCCTCAGGAATGCTGCTTTTCCCGAAAGGTTGAGAAGCAGAGGGTGAATGACAGAGAGGGAACAGTGGCAGCCGCGAGCACATAGGAGAAGCGTGACCTCCTTATGGGCTCTAGTCTCAAAGGGGCTGTATCAGTCCATGTTCTCCTGAGAAACAGAACCCAATACGGTGTACACAGACATTGATTTAGTTGCTTATTTATTTTTATAGACAAATAACGTAGATGGATGGGTAGACAGATACATAGATAGATGATAAATGCATAGATACATTGATATAGATTGACGATAGAGAGATGACAGATACATAGATGATGGGTAGAGTTGATATATAAATGGATGGATGGATAGATGGATGGATGGATGGTAGGTGGATAGATGGGAGGAAGGATGGATGGATGGATGGATGGATGGTAGGTGGATAGATGGATGGGAGGAGGGATGGATGGATGGATGGATGGACAGATGGATTGATCAATGGATGGATAGATACATGGATGGGAAGGTGGATGGATTGGTGGATCAGTGGATGGGTGGATGGATGGGTGGGTGGGTGGATGGATAGATGGATGGATGGAGAGGTGGATGGATAAATGGAAGGGTGGGTAGATGGGTGGGTAAGTGGATGGATGGGTGGATGGATGAGTGGGTGAGTGGATAGATGGATGGATGTGTGAATGGAAGGATGTGTGGATGGATGGGTGGATGACTGGATGGATAAAGGTGGGTAGATGGATGGATGGATCGATGAATCGGTGGATGAGTGCATAGATGGGTGGGTAAGTGGATGGATGGGTGGATGGATAAGTGGGTGAGTGGATGGGTGGCTGGATGGATGGATGGACGGACAGATGGATGGATGGATGGATGTGTGGATGGATGGGTGAGTGGATAGATGTGTGGATAGATGGATGAGTGGGCGTGTGGATGGGTGGGCGTGTGAATGGATGGATGAGTGGATGGATGGGTGCACGGCTGGGTGGATGATTGGGAGTGTGGGTGAATAGACGGATGGGTGGGTGGACAGATGGATGGGAGGGTGGATGAACAGATATATCAGTGGATCGGTGGTTGGGTAGCTGGGTGGGGGAATGGATGGATGAATGGGTAGGTGGGTGGTTGGATGGGTGGATGGATGAGTGGGCATGTGGATGAGTGCATGAATGGATGGACGGGTGCATGGCTGGGTGGATGATGGGGAGGGTGGGTGAACAGATGGGTGGGTGGGTGGGTGGATGGATGGATGGATGAGTGATTGGATGGGTGGGGGAATGAATGGATAAATGGATGTGGATGGATGGATGCATGCATGGGTGGATGGATCAGTGGATCCATCAGTGGATGGGTGGATGGATGGGTAGGTGGGTGGGTGGATGGATGGATGGATGGACAGATGGATGGATGAGTGATTGGATGGGTGGGGGAATGAATGGATAAATGGATGTGGATGTATGGATGCATGCATGGGTGCATGGATCAGTGGATCCATCAGTGGATGGGTGAATAGATGGATGGGTAGGTGGATGGATGGATGAGTGGGCATGTGGATGGGTGGGCGTGTGAATGGATGGATGAGTGGATGGATGGGTGCATGGCTGGGTGGATGATTGGGAGGGTGGGTGAATAGATGGATGGGTGGGTGGACGGATGGATGGGAGGATGGATGGATAGATGTATCAGTGGATTGCTGGATGGGTAGCTGGGTGGGGGAATGGATGGATGAGTGGGTAGATGGGTGGATCGGTGGATTGGATGGGTGGGGGAATGCATAGATGAGTGATGAATGGGTGGATCAGCAGATGGGTGGGTGGATGACTAGATGGGTGGGTGAGTGGATAACTGGATGGGTGGGTGAGTGGGTGGATGGATGGATGGATGACAATGTGTTTTCTGAATTGAACAGAACTCTTCAGCATGGTGCTAGAATAGAGAGCACATGACCAAGTCCTTGAGTAGCCTGGGAAGGGCAGGACAACAGATGACACCTGGGCAGAGGTGGCTGTGCTTCTGTGATTAGGAGACAAAGCATGCCCTGGTTGAGGCTCCAAAGGCTGTGCCCTTACCACAGAGACATGTGACTATATCCTTAGAGGCTGGAACATAGAAGCCAGAACATCTTCCCCAGCCAGAGCAGTTCAGGACCATTCTCCCGTATTGAAAATAATGATGAATAGGCCACGCCTGTAATCCCAGCACTTGGGGAGGCCAAGGCAGGCAGATCACGAGTTCAGGAGATCAAGACCATCCTGGCTAACACGGTGAAACCCCGTCTCTACTAAAAATACAAAAAATTAGCCGGGCACGGTGGCGGGTGCCTGTAGTCCCAGCTACTCGGGAGGCTGAGGGAGGACAATGGCATGAACCCAGGAGACGGAGCTTGCAGTGAGCTGAGATCGTGCCACTGCACTCCAGCCTGGGGGACAGAGTGAGACTCCATCTCAAAAAAAATTAAAAAATTAAAAGAAAGAAAATAATGATGAATATGGAGAAAGGCTTTTCATCACCGGCACCATGCAAGCTTGTTCCAACTCCTTTTGACAACGCTTTGTGCAGTTGAGTCCTAGGAGCAGTTCCACGTCTGCAGAGGCTGCTCCTGCTTCACCATAGGTCTCATCATTTATTCATGATGAAAATAAATGTCATCTATCTGACTATAGCAAACCGTACACTCAGGGTCAGCTCGGTGGGAAAACAGTAACATTTCATCATTAACATGAACACAGGGCTGTTTCTTACATAGGAGGACCGGAGTGGTGCGAGGCCATCTGTTTCCATATACGGGTCTCCACCAACAACTTCTCCACCTTCCAGCCTCCCATTCTGTGGGAGGGGGCATCCTGGAAGGGAGCTTGGGGACTGGGTCTATGGACAGCTGACCTGGGCATGAAGTGGGTGGAGAATGAAGTTCCCTGTATCATTTGGGGCTCTCCAGGGTAACAGAACCCCTAGGATATAACCTAGGAGATTTATCTTGAGGACTTACGTGATTGTGTAGGCTGGCAAGTCCAAAATCCACAGGGCAGGCCAGGAGGCTGGAAGCTCAGGCAGGAGCTGCTGCTGCCATCTTCAAGTGGAATTTCTCCTCCAGGAAAGCCCAATGTTTGCTTCTGGGGTTTTCAATGAGCTGGATGAGGCCAATGCACATTTTGGGGGGTTAATCTCCTTAAAGTCAAACTGATGGTAGATGCAAACGCCAGCTACAGCACACCTCCACAGCCACATCTAGATGGGTGTTTGCCTGCATAACTGGGAACTTGAGCGTGGCCACGATCATGAAGAAAGGATCAGCCTCAGTGGGTAACAGTTACAGCAGTTGACAGCTGGGGCGTGGTGGCTGCTGTTTTCCTGCCCAGCTGACCCTGAGTGTACAGTTTGCTATAGTCAGATGGATGATGTTTATTTTAACATCTCAATGATGCATCCCCTATGGTCAGGTTTCCTTGAGTGTACGGTTTGCTATAGTCAGATGGGTGATGTTTATTTTAACATCTCAATGATACATCCCCTACGGTCAGGTTTCCTTGGGTTTTCTCGTTAGGAGGTCACACGACTGTCCCCATTTCTCCAGGTTACAGTAACACAGAGACAGCGAACGTCTACCTGGCATCGGATGGCGAATACTCTCTGCACGGCTTCATCATGCACAATAATGACCTCACATGGAACCTCTTTACATACCTGGAGTTTGCCATCCGAGAGGGAACAAACCAGCACCACAGGGCGTTGGGGAAGAAGGCGGAAGATCTGTTCCAGGTAGCATAACACCCCCGCGGACACCTTTCCGTCTAGCGTGCATTTTGCTAAAACACTTTGACACACAGATCAGTAGGCACCTTGACCAGTCTGTCTCCAGTCTGACAGATCCCAAAGGCTTGGCTCGTTCTGCCTGGAGAACTTAGTGCCGTGGCTCTTGTGTCACTCAGCCCTGGAACAGGTGCAACTTAGACATCCTCCACTGTTATCCAGCAGCTGATGAAAATAGAATTTCCTCCTAGAAACAGGTTTGAAGGCCATGCTCAGGGGCTCACACCTGTCACTCCCAGCACTTTGGGAGGCCAAGTTGGGAGGATGATTTGAGCCCGGGAGTTTGAGACCAGCCTGGGCAACATAGTGAGACCCCCATCTCTACAAAAAATTAACAGTTAGGCTGGGCATGGTGGCATGAGCCTGTAATCCCAGCTAGTTTGGGAGGCCAAGGTGGGCTGATCACCTGAGGTCAGGAGTGCGAGACCAACCTGGCCAACGTGCTGAAACCCCATCTCTACTAAAAATACAAAAAAAAAATTAGCTGGGGATGATGGCGCGTGCCTGTAGTCCCAGCTACTCAAGAGGCTGAGGCAGGAGAATCACTTGAACCCGGGATGTGGTGGTTGCAGTGAGCTGAGATCACGCCACTGCCCTCCAGCCTGGGTGACAGAGCGAAACTCCATCTCAAAAAAAAAAAAAAAAATTAACGATTAGCCAGGTATGATTAGGCAGCTACTTTGGGAGGCCCAGGTGGGTGGGAAGATCACTTGAACCTGGGAGGTCAAGGCTGCAGTGTAAGCCGTGATGGTGCTGCTGCACTCCAGCCCGGGTGACAGAACAAGACTCTGTCTGAAAAATAGAAATAGGAAGGAGTTGGACAGGCTGCCTTAAATGAATGCCCTGTTTCTTCTTTGCTTCAATGGAACTGACACTTGCTTATCTGAGGCCGCTGTTTGCAAAGCGCTCCCTGCATCCTCTCGCCCCTCCTTCCCCTTTCCCCGCCCAGAACCTTCCTGAGGTGGACGTGTGAGATATGGTGGGGTCCGTGGGGCCTGTGCAGATGGGTGGGTCTCGGTCTGCAGGGCTGTGCCAGCCAGGCGTGGGGAGTCTGCTGTGGGCTCGGCTGGCCGTGGCCTCATGCCTCCTTGGCAGCGCTGGCCGAGCTTCTGTGGCAGTGAGCACGGAGTCAGGGTGTGTGTGTGTGATGCAGAGATGAGCCCCAGGGAGCCGGGGGCTTCCTGCAGATGTTGGGGAGAGACATACAGACAGGGAGACACAGAGAGAGAGATAGGCAGACAGAAAGATAGAGGGAGACAGAGACAGACAGAGATGGAGGCAGACAGAGACAGGGAGATAGAGGGAGACAGAAACAGGGAGACAGAAAGACAGAGACAGAGATAGAGTGAGACAGACACGGAGATGGGAGACAGATAGTGAGATAGGGAGAGAGATGGAGAGACAGGGAGACTTGAGAGACAGAGGGAGGCGGAGACAGAGATAGGGAGACAGAAACAAAGATGGAGACAGACAGACACATAGAGGGAGATGGGAGACAGAGACAGGGAGGCTTGGAGAGACAGAGATAGAGGCAGATAGAGACAGAAACAGGAGACAGACATAGAGACAGAGACAGAGGGAGATAGAAAGAAACAGAGACAGGAGACAGAAACAGAGAGAGAGAAAGAGGAAGACAGAGACACACAGACGGAGACAGAGACAGACAGACAGAGACCAAGGGAGAAAGAGTCAGAGAGAGAAGCCAGTGGTGGAGAAGCCGAGAGGCACGGACAGGGGCCCTGAGCTGGCGTGAGCAGCCAGCGTGGGCATCGCAGAGGACAGATCCCTGAGCCCCATGATTGCCACCCACGCAGGGGAGGGCCGGGGAGCCCCCGCGAGATTTAGGGAGCCAGGATGGAGACCGGCTGTCCTGCTGGGAGCGGGGCTCAGAAGCATCCTCAGCTGGGCTTGCTTGCCCTGCAGGGACGGGATGTCCAGGCGAACCCTGGACACAGCACTGAGCCAGGATGAGCCTGGGCTCCTCTGGGACCCGGGGTAGGTGCCACTGGGGGGACTTGGAGAAGCTCGGAGGAGCTTCTCCTCTGCACACCAGAATTCTCGGAGGAGCCCCCTCTGCACACCGCACCATTGTGGTGAAGGCTGAGCCGGGGCACCTGCAGAGACATTGTGGCTTCTCTCCTGGTTTTCTCCAGTGAGGTGTTTGTGGGCCACCCGGAGCCTCCAGGGTGAAAAGCTTTATTGTGAAAAGCCTACTGCGAAAGTCAGACGCTTGGAGTTCAGGCTGTGGTGTGGACCAAGTGATTCCAAGGAGATCGTCCACCACTTTGGGGTCCTCTGTCCCCAGCCAGCCCAGCCCCCACACAGACAAGAGTAGCCCACACAGCTGTGGCATGAAGCCCGCTCTGCAGCCCAGGCGCGGCTGAGCCCCCACGCTCTGGAGCCCTGCACTTCTCCCCCCGACCCCCAGGGAGAGGCTGGGCGAGCCCTCGCCCCGTGTTCTCTGGTGCCCCTAAGCACCTGCTGTGTTCCAGGATGCGTACTACCAGAGCCCGGAGACGCGGCTGAGGTTCATGCGGGCCATGCACGGCATGACGAAGCTGACTGCGTGCCAGGTGGCCACGGCCTTCAATCTGTCCCGCTTCTCCTCCGCCTGCGACGTGGGAGGTGGGTGGCCCCCCCGCCAGGGCTCTCCTTACTTTCGTTTATTAAGCCACAGGTATCTTCCCTGCTCAGGACACCTACCAACTGCCTTTTTCCATTGACAAACCTGATAACGACCTGAACCGGGCCAGGCTGAGTCCCAGATCATGGGTGGATATTCCCAAGTTCCAGGAGGACCCCGGGGATGCCTAAATGCCCCCCTAGAAACTCCGGGGCCCTCTCTTTTGGCTGCGGAGCTGAGGCAGAGCACCTTGGAACCCCTGGATTCCCCTCAGCAAGTCTGATTATATCCTGACTCACCCTCCACCCCACCCCAGCCCTGGACAGTGGGTGGAGCAGTAGACACATTCCCAAGGGCTGCTGGGGGATCGGGGCCTGGGACGATTCTCACACCATCAGCTTACATTTCCCCAACCTCTGAATGCCTCTCCTCCTTGTGGTCCAGAGTGGCTGCTGTAGCACCAGCCATCGTGTCTGCATCCCCATGGCAGGAAGGAGAAGGGAGGAGTACAGCCCCCACCCCTGGGCAGAAAGGATTTCCCTGTAGGTCTGTGCCCCCTACACGTGGCCCAGAGTGGCTGCTGTAGCACCGGCCATTGTGTCTACATCCCCACGGCAGGAAGGAGAAGGGAGTACAGCCCTCCACCCCTGGGCTGGAAGGATTTCCCTGCAGGTCTGTGCCCCCACACTCACCTGCTTGTACAGTCTTGTCTGGGATACCAGCGAGCTCCCCACCACTGGCTTTCCCTTCCAGCATGGGAATCAATGCCATGCCCTTGAACATTACTTCTGCCCCAGTTGAGCTTTGGAGAGTCGTCAGAGTTCCATAGACGACCCAGCCACAGAGCATGCATTTGCTTCCCCGCAGGCTGCACGGGTGCACTGGCCCGAGAGCTGGCCCGTGAGTACCCTCGTATGCAGGTGACTGTGTTTGACCTCCCAGACATTATCGAGCTGGCCGCCCACTTCCAACCCCCCGGACCGCAGGCAGTGCAGATCCACTTCGCAGCAGGTGAGCCCTCCTCCTGTTCACCCTGCTAACCTTTTCCAGACTGCAGCATCTCTTTCTAGACAGAGGGCATGGCTGTGTGTGCACCTGTGTTTCTGCCTGGGCGTTTCCATGGTGGGTATGTGTGTGCAAATGGGACTGTCTACGGTGCTTGTGTGTGTGTGTCTCTCTGTGTGCATGTGTGTGGTATGCCCTGGAGCATACCTGTGACATGGAGCATGTCTGTGCGTGAGCATGTCTGTGTGTGTGTGTGTCTGCATCCGCATGTGTGTGCACGTCTCTGGTGTGTGGTTGCATATGTTTCTGTGAGAGTATGTGTGTGTGTCTGTGTGGGTATATGTGTGCATGTCTGTGTGTGTGTGTCTGCATCTGTGTGCATGCTGTGAGCCGGTGGGTGTCTGTGTGCATATGACTGTCGTGCTTGTGTGTCTGTGTGCATGTGTGTGTGTGTGCATGTCTGTGTCTGTATCTGTGTGCATGGTGTGTGTCTTCCGTGCATATGTAACTGTGTGTGCACGTCTGTGTAGTATGTCCTTGTGTGTGTGTCTGTGCATGAGACTGTGTGTCCACGTGTCTGCAAGTCTCTGTGGTGTGTGGTTGCATATGTTTCTGTGAGGTGATGTGTGTGCATCCGTGTGGATATATGTGTGCATGTCTGTGTATGTGCGTCTGTGTGCCCGTCTGTGTCTGCATTTGTGTGTATGCTGTGTGCTGGTAGGTGTGTGTGTGTATGTGACTGCTGTGGTTGTGTGTCCCTGTGTGCATGTGTCTGTGTGTACGTCTGCATCTGTGTGCATGCTGTGGGCCGGTGGTTGTGTGCATATGTGACTGCTGTGGTTGTGTGTCTGTGTGCATGTGTCTGGGTGTGCTTGTCTGTGTGTCTGCATCTATGTGCATGGTGTGTGTCTGTGTGGATATGTGAGCATCTGCTGTGCTTGTGTCTGTGTCTCTGTGTGTTTCTGAGTCTGTGTGTGCACATCTCTGTGTGGTATGTCCTTGCATGCGTGTCTGTACGTCAGAATGTCTCTGTGTCTGAGTCCGTGTGTGTGTGTGCACCTCTGTGGTGTGTATGTCTCTGAGGGTATGTGTGTCTGCGTGTCTGTGGATATATGTGTACATGTCTGTGTGTGCATGTCTGTGTGCCCATCTGTATCTGTGTGCATGGTGTGTGTGCATGTCACTGCTGTGCTTGTGTGTACGTCTGTGTGTGCATGTGTCTGTGTGTGCATGACTGACTGTGTGTGGTATGTCCTTGTGTGTGCGTGCGTAAGAATGTGTCTCTGTGTCTGCATCTGCGTTTGTGTGTGTGCAACTCTCTGTGGTGTGTGCTTGCATATGTGTGAGGGTATGTGTGTTTCTGTGCGTCTGTGTGGGTATATGTGTGTATGTCTGTGTGTCTGCGTCTGTGTGCCTGTTGGGGTATCTCTGTGTGTCCGTGCGTGTGCCCATCTGTGCATGTCTGCATCCGTGTGTGTGTGCCTGTCGCTGTATCTGTATGTCCATGTGTGTCTGCGTGTCCATCTGTGCATGTCTATGTTTATGTGCGTGTGCCTGTCTGTTGGTGTATCTGTATGTCCGTGTGTGTGTGTGCCCATCTGTGCATGTCTGCGTCTGTGTGTGCCTGTCACTGTATCTGTATGTCCGTGTGTGTGTGTGTCCAGCTGTGCATGTCTGCGTCTGTGTGCGTGCCTGTCTGTTGGTGTATCTGTGTGTCCGTGCGTGTCTGTCTGTGCCCATCTGTGCATGTCTGCGTCTGTGTGTGCCTGTTGCTGTGCATGTCTGCGTCTGTGTGTGCCTGTCGCTATATCTGTATGTCCATGTGTGTGTGCCCATCTGTGCATGTCTGCGTCTGTGTGTGCCTGTTGGTGTATCACTGTGTGTCCGTGCGTGAGTGTGCCCATCTGTGCATGTCTGTCTCTGTGCGCGTGTGCCTGTCACTGTATCTGTGTCCGTGTGTGTGTGTGTGCCTGTCTTGCTGTATCTGTGTGTCCATGTGTGTACCTGTCAGTGTATCTGTGTCCTGCATGTGTCCGTGTGTGCATGTCTTGTGGCGTGTGCTTGCATGTGTGCCTTTGTGTCTGCATTTCTGTGCATCTGGATGGGTATATGTGTGTGTGCCTGTGTCTGTGTCTGTGCGTCCGTGGGTCTGCCTGTGCGTGTCTCTCTGCGGGTCCACACAGACACGAGGGCATCTCCAAACAGGTGGACAAGGCTGGGCACAGTAGCTCACGCCTGTAATCCCAGCACTCTGGGAGGCTGAGGCGGGCGGATCCCCTGTGGTCAGGAGTTCGAGACCAGCCTGGCCAACATGGCGAAACCCCATCTCTACTAAAAATACAAAAATTAGCCGGGCGTGGTGGCGGGCGCCTGTAATCCCAGCTACTCAGGAGGCTGAGGCAGGAAAATCGCTTGAACCTGGGAGGCGGAGGTTGCAGTGAGCTGAGATCTCACCACTGCACTCCAGCCTGGGCAACAAGAGCGAAACTCCATCTCAAAAAAAAAAAGACAATGATAATAATAATGATAAATAAAAATAAACAGGTGGACGACTGTGTGAAGTTATCATCAGTGCAAGTAGCCGAGACGTGAGGGGAGTGGAGATGGGGAACAGCCGAGATCAGCATTCATGGGCATCCACGGTGCCGAGGTCACGGAAGGAACTGACCCGAGAGCCGTCACAGTGTGGCCTTAGGTTAGACTTGAAGGAGAACTTCCAGGTGGCAGCTGCTGAGGCCAGGACGGATTGACAGGAGACGCCTGGAATCCCAGCCCTCTGGGAGGCTGAGGCGGGTGGATCACCTGAGGTCAGGAGTTTGAGACCAGCCAGAGCAACATGGTGAAACCCCATCTCTACTAAAATTACAGAAATTAGCCAGGCATGGTGGCGGGTGCCTATAATCCCACCTATTCAGGAGGCTGAGGCAGGAGAATCGCTTGAACCCGGGAGGCGGAGCTTGCCGTGAGCCGAGATCGCGCCACTGCACTCCAGCCTGGGCAACACAGCAAAACTCCATCTCAAAAAAAATAAAAAAATAAAAAAAGAGACAGCTGACGTGCTGTAACTCAGCACCATCCGACAGCGGCCAGGCCTGTGGGCACAGGTGCTGGGGACCTCCACAACCCTCCCCCAGAGGTTCCTGGATGCTTTTCTCGTTTTTAAAAAAACAAAACGCAACCACCCTACAGCTCCTCCTGCAGGACATCATGATAGCTGTGCTTCTGATTTGCCAGATCTGCAGAGACAGAAATGCTGAAATTTATTTATGTTTGAATGGTGTCTCGCTCTGTCACCCAGGCTGGAGTGCAGTGGCGTGATCTTAGCTCACTGCAACCTCCACTTCCTGGGTTCAAGGGATCCTCCCACCTCAGCCTCCCGAGTAGCTGGGGTGACAAGTGCCCGCCACCACGCCTGGCTAACTTTTGTATTTTTAGTACAGATGGGGTTTCACCATGTTGGCCAGGCTGGTCTCGAACTCCTCACCTCAGGTCATCCACCCGTCTTGGCCTCCCAAAGTGCTGGGATTACACCCCGCCCGGCCGGAAATGCTAAAGTTTAAAATCATGAGCCCTGAAAGAGCACCTTCTCCTCGCAGCTGGGGGAAAACAGCTCTGGAGACTTCCCACCGCACACTCTCCCGCCCCTTCTTTCCCCTCATGCAACTCACAGCTTGCTATTTATCCTCTCCCTGTCCTGCAGACCGGAGGTCTGAGATCAAGGCATCTCAGGGCTGTGCTCCCTCTGGAGGCTCTAGGGGAGGATCCTTCCTGCCTCTCCCAGCTCCTGGGGGCTCCGGGTGTCCCTGGGCTTGTAGCCGCATCACTCCAGTCTCTGCCTCCATCTCCACGTGGCCTTCTCCTCTGTGTGTCTCCTCTTCTGTCTCTTAGAAGGACACCTGCCATTGCATTTAGGGCCCACCCTACTCCAGGATGATCCCATCTCCAGATCCTTAATTACATCTGCAAAGAAACTTTATCCAAATGAGGTCCCATTCCCAGGTTCTGGGGCTTAGGACTTGGACAGATCTTTTGGACGTCACCACCCAACCCATTGCAGTTGTGTTTGATTCTTTCTGAGAGGCTCTAGGGGAGGATCCTTCCCGCCTCTTCCAGCTCCTGGGGGCTCCAGGCGTCCCTGGGCTTGTGGCCGCATCACTCCAGTCTCTGCCTCCGTCTCCACGTGGCCTTCTCCTCTGTGTCTGTCTCCTCTTCTGTCTCTTAGAAGGACACCTGTCATTGGATTTAGGGGACACCCTACTCCAGGATGATCTCATTTTGAAATTCTTTACTCAATGACATCCATAGAGACCCTATTTCCAGATAAGGTCCCATTCCCAGCGACTGAGGGTCAGCACCTGAATATATCTTTTAAGGGGACACCATTCACTGCACTACAGCAGACCATCTTTTTATTTCAGCAATTACAGAGGGGCGTGCAGCTACATGCGCCCCCCGCAACAGGCAACCCTCCTGGGGCGCCTGAATCAGGGGATCACCAGAGAAGGCCCTGCCATTGCCCACTCACCGGCAGTGCGGCCCCGACTCTCCCTGGCACACGCCCATGTGCGCCGACTCTGCCTGCCTCGCCCAGGTGCTGCCCCTGAATTCCCTGCTTTTTTCCTCCCTTGCCTTCTTGTCGCCCAGGCTGGAGTGCGATGGCGCGATCTCGGCTCACTGCAACCTCCACCTCCCAGGTTCAAGCGATTCTCCTGCCTCAGCCTCCCGCGTAGCTGGGATGACAGGCGCCCGCCACCCCTGTCCAGCTAATTTGCATTTTTAGTAGAGATGGGGTTTCGCCGTGTTGCCCAGGCTGGTCTCGAACTCCTGAGCTCAGACAATCTGCCCACCTCAGGCTCCCAAAATGCTGAGATTACAGGTGTGAGCCACTGTCCCCAGCGTTTTCTCAGCCCGAGTCAAACCGCACGGGCGTGACATCACTAACCAGCTCCTCATGGAGCTCTGTTCAAGTCCCCACGGGGATGTACTTCAGGAAGACCCATTCCCGCCCACACCCCTCTCTTCTCTGTCCCTGATTTAGGATGCGGGTGGCCGTCCCAGGATCTGTCCGGGGAGGACTGCTTCTTCCATACCTGACGGACGTATCTCGTTTTGTCTTTAAACCAGGTGACTTTTTCAGGGACCCCCTCCCCAGCGCTGAGCTGTACGTCCTGTGCCGGATCCTGCATGACTGGCCAGACGACAAAGTCCACAAGTTACTCAGCAGGGTCGCCGAGAGCTGCAAGCCAGGTGAGAGCCCATCGTCAGGTTAGCTGTTTTTGTTAAGACGTAGTATTTTGGGTTCAAGTTTTACAAGGAGGCCGGGCGCGGTGGCTCACGCCTGTCATCCCAGCGCTTTGGGAGGCCGAGGCGGGCGGATCACCTGAGGTCAGGAGTTTCAGACCAGCCTGGCCAACGTGGTGAAACCCCATCGCTACTAAAAATACAAAAATTAGCCAGGCGTGGTGGCTCATGCCTATAATCCCAGCACTTTGGGAGGCTGAGGCAGGTGGATCACCCGGGGTGAGCAGTTCGAGACCAGCCTGGCCAACATGGTGAAACCCCGTCTCTACTAAAAATACAAAAATTAGCCAGGTGTGGTAGTGCGCACCTGTAATCCCAGGTACTTCAGAGGCTGAGGCAGGAGAATCACTTGAACCCGGGAGCTGGAGACTGCAGTGAGCCGAGATCGCGCCACTGCACTCCAGCCTGGGCGACGGAGTGAGATTCGGTGTCAAAAAAGAACAACCACAACAAAAAAAGAATTGGCTTATGTGACTTTGGAGGTTGGCAGGTCCAGCGTCTGGGTGAGAGGCCCGCTAAATTGTGGAGGGTAAATCTGCTGTATTTAAAGTTGGCCAGTGTGGCCAGGTGTGGTGGCTCACGCCTGTCATCCCCGCACTTCGGGAGGCCGAGGCGGGCGGATCACCTGAGGTCGGGGGTTTGAGACCAGCCTGGCCAACATGGTGAAACCCCGTCTCTATTAAAAACAAACACAAAAAATAAGCCGGGCTTGATAGCGGGTGCCTGTAATCCCAGCTACTCAGGAGGCTGAGGCAGGAGAATCGCTTGAACCTGGAGACGGAGGTTGCAGTGAGCCGAGACTGCGCCACCGCACTCCAGCCTGGGTAACAGAGCGAGACTCCATCTCAAAAAAAAAAAAAAAAAAAAAAAAGAAAATCCTAAAGAGAAAATATATTTACTATTCGTGAAGTTGAAGTGGCTCATGATAAAAGTCTTCATTCTTGAGGAGGTCTTCACACTGAGGAGGCTGCAGAGGAGGAAGCCGTGGGCTGGTGTTGCTGTCTCAGGGGTGGCCGAGGCAGAGGGAAATCCACGCATGAGTGGACTCTGCAGCTGGATCTAATCTGTGTGTTTCTACGCAGACACACGTGCACACACACACAGCACGCACCATCTCGGCTCAAAGCCTTCACATCAGGTTTCTCCCCCGTCCACCCAGGCTGCTCCTGGAGCCCAGTGGGGCTGCTGGAAACCCTGGCTCCAGGGGTTCGGGCCAGGGCTGCATATTGGGTTTCCACAGTTGAACCAGCTGGCCCTGAGGGAATCTGACGGGCACTCAGCCTCCCTCAAGAGTTCAGCGTTGTTGCTCCAGTGAGAATTCCTGGAATATTTGCAGACAACGGTTAATTATCTTCACAGAGCCAGGGCCTGGCACCTGCGCGTTGAAACAGGACTCCCCATAGGCTCAAATGGTCAAGAGACTTCCATTCTTCTCTCCCTCTGTCTCTCCTTCTTTCTCTCTTTCTCTGTGTATCTCTCTTCTTTTTTTTTTTTGAGACGGAGTCTCGCTCTGTCGCCCAGGCTGGAGTGCAGTGGCACGATCTTGGCTCTCCGTAACCTCCACCCCCAGGGTTCAAGTGATTCTCCTGCCTCAGCCTCCCGAGTAGCTGGATTACTGGCACATACCACCACGCCCGGCTAATTTTTTATTTTTAATAGAGACAGGGTTTCTCCATGTTGGTCAGGCTGGTCTCGAACTCCCAACCTCGGGTGATCCACCCAGCTGGGACTCCCAAAGTGTTGGGATTACAGGCGTGAGCCACCTCGCCCGGCTCTATTATATTTTTTGAGACGAGGTCTCACTCTGCTGCCCAGGCTGGTGTGCAGTGGAGCAGTCACAGGTCACTGCAGCCTTGACCTCCTAGGCTCAAGCTGTCCTCCCACCTCAGCCTCCCGAGTAGCTGGAAGTACAGGCATGCATCATGCATCACCATGCCCAGCTAATTTTTTAAGAAGTTTTTTCTGAGACCGGGCACGGTGGCTCACACCTGTAATCCCAGCACTTTGGGAGGCCAAAGCGGGCAGATCTCGAGGTCAGGAGTTCGAGACCAGCCTAAGCCACGTGGTGAAACCCCGCCTCTACTAAAAATACAAAAATTAGTCCGGCGTAGTGGTGCACGCCTCTAATTCTAGCTACTCAGGAGGCTGAGAGAGGACATCACTTGAACCTGGGAGGCGAAGGTTGCAGTGAGCAGAGATCGCGCCACTGCACTCCAGCCTGGGCAACACAGCAAGACTCCGTCTCAGAAAAAAAAAAAAAAGTTTTTTGTGGAGATAGGAGTCCCCCTCTGTCACCCAGGCTGGAGTGCAGTGTTGTCATCATAGTTCACTGCAGCCTTGACCTCCTGGGCTCAAGCGATCCTCCTGCCTCAGCCTCCCGAGTATTTGGGAGTACCAGCATTTGGCTGGAGGGCAGTGTTGTCATCATAGTTCACTGCAGCCTTGACCTCCTGGGCTCAAGCGATCCTCCTGCCTCAGCCTCCCGAGTATTTGGGAGTACCAGCATTTGGCTGGAGGGCAGTGTTGTCATCATAGTTCACTGCAGCCTTGACCTCCTGGGCTCAAGCGATCCTCCTGCCTCAGCCTCCCGAGTATTTGGGAGTACCAGCATTTGGCTGGAGGGCAGTGTTGTCATCATAGTTCACTGCAGCCTTGACCTCCTGGGCTCAAGCGATCCTCCTGCCTCAGCCTCCCGAGTATTTGGGAGTACCAGCATTTGGCTGGAGGGCAGTGTTGTCATCATAGTTCACTGCAGCCTTGACCTCCTGGGCTCAAGCGATCCTCCTGCCTCAGCCTCCCGAGTATTTGGGAGTACCAGCATTTGGCTGGAGGGCAGTGTTGTCATCATAGTTCACTGCAGCCTTGACCTCCTGGGCTCAAGCGATCCTCCTGCCTCAGCCTCCCGAGTATTTGGGAGTACCAGCATTTGGCTGGAGGGCAGTGTTGTCATCATAGTTCACTGCAGCCTTGACCTCCTGGGCTCAAGCGATCCTCCTGCCTCAGCCTCCCGAGTATTTGGGAGTACCAGCATTTGGCTGGAGGGCAGTGTTGTCATCATAGTTCACTGCAGCCTTGACCTCCTGGGCTCAAGCGATCCTCCTGCCTCAGCCTCCCGAGTATTTGGGAGTACCAGCATTTGGCTGGAGTGCAGTGTTGTCATCATAGTTCACTGCAGCCTTGACCTCCTGGGCTCAAGCGATCCTCCTGCCTCAGCCTCCCGAGTATTTGGGAGTAGCAGCATTTGGCTGGAGTGCAGTGTTGCCATCATAGTTCACTGCAGCCTTGACCTCCTGCACTCAAGCGATCCTCCTGCCTCAGCCTCCCGAGTATTTGGGAGTACCAGCATTTGGCTGGAGGGCAGTGTTGTCATCATAGTTCACTGCAGCCTTGACCTCCTGGGCTCAAGCGATCCTCCTGCCTCAGCCTCCCGAGTATTTGGGAGTACCAGCATTTGGCTGGAGGGCAGTGTTGTCATCATAGTTCACTGCAGCCTTGACCTCCTGGGCTCAAGCGATCCTCCTGCCTCAGCCTCCCGAGTATTTGGGAGTACCAGCATTTGGCTGGACTGCAGTGTTGTCATCATAGTTCACTGCAGCCTTGACCTCCTGGGCTCAAGCGATCCTCCTGCCTCAGCCTCCCGAGTATTTGGGAGTAGCAGCATTTGGCTGGAGTGCAGTGTTGCCATCATAGTTCACTGCAGCCTTGACCTCCTGCACTCAAGCGATCCTCCTGCCTCAGCCTCCCGAGTATTTGGGAGTAGCAGCATTTGGCTGGAGGGCAGTGTTGTCATCATAGTTCACTGCAGCCTTGACCTCCTGGGCTCAAGCGATCCTCCTGCCTCAGCCTCCCGAGTATTTGGGAGTAGCAGCATTTGGCTGGAGGGCAGTGTTGCCATCATAGTTCACTGCAGCCTTGACCTCCTGCACTCAAGCGATCCTCCTGCCTCAGCCTCCCGAGTATTTGGGAGTACCAGCATTTGGCTGGAGGGCAGTGTTGTCATCATAGTTCACTGCAGCCTTGACCTCCTGGGCTCAAGCGATCCTCCTGCCTCAGCCTCCCGAGTATTTGGGAGTACCAGCATTTGGCTGGAGGGCAGTGTTGTCATCATAGTTCACTGCAGCCTTGACCTCCTGGGCTCAAGCGATCCTCCTGCCTCAGCCTCCCGAGTATTTGGGAGTACCAGCATTTGGCTGGACTGCAGTGTTGTCATCATAGTTCACTGCAGCCTTGACCTCCTGCACTCAAGCGATCCTCCTGCCTCAGCCTCCCGAGTATTTGGGAGTAGCAGCATTTGGCTGGAGGGCAGTGTTGTCATCATAGTTCACTGCAGCCTTGACCTCCTGGGCTCAAGCGATCCTCCTGCCTCAGCCTCCCGAGTATTTGGGAGTACCAGCATTTGGCTGGAGGGCAGTGTTGTCATCATAGTTCACTGCAGCCTTGACCTCCTGCACTCAAGCGATCCTCCTGCCTCAGCCTCCCGAGTATTTGGGAGTACCAGCATTTGGCTGGAGGGCAGTGTTGCCATCATAGTTCACTGCAGCCTTGACCTCCTGCGCTCAAGCGATCCTCCTGCCTCAGCCTCCCGAGTATTTGGGAGTACCAGCATTTGTTATCATGCCCTGTTAGGGTTTTTTAAATTTTGTAGAGATGGGATCTTGCGATGTTGCCCAGGCTACCCTTCCTGGGCTCAAGCGATCCTCCTGCCTCAGCCTCCCAAAATGCTGGGGTTAAAGACATGAGCCACTGCACCCGGCCTCTGTCTCTCTTTCTCTCTCTTCTCCCTCTTCCTCTCTGTCTCCTCCTCTCTGTGTCTTTTTAGGTATCTCATCTATCATCATCAATCTCTGTTTCTCTTCTCTCCTCCTTCCTCCTTTATCTTCTCTGTCTCTTCCTCCCTCTCTCCACCCTGTCTCTGTCTCTCTTTATACATCTATCATCCTTTTTTAAAAAAAATAAAATAGAGACAGGGTCTCACTATGTTGCTCAGGTTGGTTTCAAACTCCTGGGCTCAAACCATCCTCCCACCTCTGCCTCCCAAAGTGCTGCGATTACAGGTGTGAGCCACTGCGTCTGGCCTTCTAACAATGCTCCGTCACCTGTCATCTGTCTATCATTTATTATCTATCCATCCATCCATCATCTACCTACCCATCATCTACCATATATTCACCCATCCATCCATCTCATCCATGCATCCATCTATCCATCTATTCATCTATCTACCTATCATCTACCATCTATTCACCCATCCATCCATCTCATGAATGCATCCATCTATATCCATCCATTCATCTACCTACCTGCCCATCACCTACCATCAATACACCCATCCATCTCATCCATCTATCCATCCATTCATCTACCTGCCCATCATGTACCATCTATTCAGCCATCCATCCATCTCATCCATGCATCCATCTATCCATCCATCCATCTACCTACCTACCCATCATCTACCATCTATTCACCCAGCCATCCATCTCATCCATGCATCCATCTATATACATCCATTCATCTATCTACCTACCCATCATCTACCATCAGTTCACCCATCCATCCATCCATCTACCCATCATCTACCATCAGTTCACCCATCCATCTCATCCATGCATGCATCCATCCATCCATCCATCTACCTACCCATCATCTACCATCTATTCACCCATCCATCCAATCCATGCATCTATCCATCCATTCATCTACCTACCCATCATCTACTATCTATTCACCCATCCATCTCATCCATGCATCCATCTATTCATCTATCTATGTACCCATCATCTACCATCTATTCACCCATCCATCCATCTGTTCCATGCACCCATCTATCCATCCATTCATCTACCTACCCATCATCTATTATCTATTCACCCATCCATCCATCTCATGCATGCATCCATGTATCTATCCATTCATCTACCTACCTACCCATCATCTACCATCTATTCACTAATCCATCCATCTCATGCATGCATCCATCTATCCATCCATTCATCTACCTACTTAACCATCATCTACTATCTATTCACCCATCCATCCATCACATCCATGCATCCATCTACCTACCTACCTATCTATTCACCCATACATCCATCTCATCCATGCCATCTATCCATCCATCCATCCACCTACCTACCCATCATCTACCATCTATTCAAGCATCCATCACATCCATACATCCATCTATCCATCCACTCATCTATCTACGTACCCATCATCTACCATCTATTCACCCATCCCTCCATCCATCTCATCCATGCATCCATCTATCCATCCATTCATCTACCTACCTACCCATCATCTACCATCTATTCACCTATCCATCCATCTCATCCATGAATCCATCCATCCATCTACCTACCTACCCATCATCTACCATCTATTCACCCAACCATCCATCTCATCCATGCACCCATCTATTCATCTTCCTACCTACCCATCATCTACCATCTATTCACCCATCCATCCATCTCATCCATCCATTCATCTATCTACCCATCATCTACCATCTATTCAGCCATCCATCCATCTCATCCATGCATCCATCTATACATCCATCTACCTACCTACCTACCCATTTATTCACCCATCCATCCATCTCATCCATGCCTCCATCTATCCATCCACCTACCTACCCATCGTCTACCATCTATTCACCCATCCATCACATCCATACATCCATCTATCCATCCATTCATCTATCTACGTACCCATCATCTACCATCTACTCATCCATTCATCCATCCATCCACTCATCTACCTACCCATCATCTACCATCTATTCACCCATCCATCTCATCCATGCATCCATCTATCCATCCATCCATCTACCTATGTACCCATCAGCTACCATCTATTCACCCAACCATCCATCTCATCCATGCATCCATCTATTCATCTTCCTACCTACCCATCATCTACCATCTATTCACCCATCCATCCATCTCATCCATACATCCATATATCCATCCATTCATCTATCTACCTGCCCATCATGTACCATCTATTCACCCATCCATCCATCTCATCCATGCATCCATCTATCCATCCATTCATCTATCTACCTACCCATCATCTACCATCTATTCACCCATCCATCCATCTCATGCATGCATCCATCTATCCATCCATCCGTCTACCTACCTACCCATCATCTATACACCCATCCATCTCATGCATGCATCCATCTATCTATCCACTCATCTACCTACCTAACCATCATCTACTATCTATTCACCCATCCATCCATCACATCCATGCATCCATCTATACATCCATCTATCTACCTACCTACCTATTCACCCATCCATCCATCTCATCCATGCCTCCATCTATCCATCCACCTAACGATCCATCATCTACCATCTATTCACCCATCCATCACATCCATCTATCCATCCACTCATCTATCTACGTACCCATCATCTACCATCTGTTCACCCATCCATCCATCTATCCATCCATTCATCTATCTACGTACCCATCATCTACCATCTATTCACCCAACCATCCATCTCATCCATGCACCCATCTATTCATCTACCTACCTACGCATAATCTACCATCTGTTCACTCATCCATCCATCTCATCCATGCATCCATCTATCCATCCATTCATCTATCTACGTACCCATCATCTACCATCTATTCATCCATTCATCCATCTATCCATCCACTCATCTACCTACCCATCATCTACCATCTATTCACCCATCCATCCCTCTCATCCAT
Source organism: Homo sapiens (assembly GCF_000001405.40). NCBI lineage: Eukaryota > Metazoa > Chordata > Mammalia > Primates > Hominidae > Homo > Homo sapiens. The sequence goes on along the minus strand of NC_000024.10, from coordinate 1,404,946 downwards.
GCATCCATCTATCCATCCATACATCTACCTACGTACCCATCAGCTACCATCTATTCACCCAACCATCCATCTCATCCATGCATCCAACTATTCATCTTCCTACCTATCCATCAGCTACCATCTATTCACCCATCCATCCATCTCATCCATACATCCATATATCCATCCATTCATCTATCTACCTGTCCATCATGTACCATCTATTCACCCATCCATCCATCTCATCCATGCATCCATCTGTCCATCCATTCATCTACCTACCCATCATCTACCATCTATTCACCCATCCATCCATCTCATCCATGCATCCATCTATCCGTCCATTCGTCTACCTACCTACCCATCATCTATCATCTATACACCCATCCATCCATCTCATGCATGCATCCATCTATCCATCCATTCATCTACCTACTTACCTAACCATCATCTACTATCTATTCACCCATCCATCCATCCATCTATACATCCATCTATCTACCTACCTACCCATCTATTCACCCATCCATCCATCTCATCCATGCCTGCATCCATCCATCCATCCATCCACCTACCTACCCATCATCTACCATCTATTCACCCATCCATCTCATCCATGCATTCATCTATCCATCCATTCATCTATCTATGTACCCATGATCTACCATCTATTCACCCATCCATCCATCCATCTCATCCATGCATCCATCTATCCATCCATTCATCTACCTACCTACCCATCATCTACCATCTATTCACCCATCCATCTCATCCATGCATCCATCTATCCATCCATCTACCTACGTACCCATCATCTACCATCTATTCACCCAACCATCCATCTCATCCATGCACCCATCTATTCATCTTCCTACCTACCCATCATGTACCATCTATTCACCCATCCATCCATCTCGTCCATGCATCCATCTATCCATCCGTCTACCTGCCCATCATGTACCATCTATTCACCCATCCATCCATCACATCCATGCATCCATCTGTCCATCCACTCATCTACCTACCTACCCATCATCTACCATCTATTCACCCATCCATCCATCTCATACATGCATCCATCTATCCATCCATCCATGTACCTCCCCATCACTTACCATCTGTTCATCCATCCATCCTTCTCATCCATGCGTCCACCTATCCATACATCTTTCTACCTACCTACCCACCCATCATCTACCATCTGTTCATCCATGCATCCAGGAGAACCGGAAAAGGCCCAGGTGATGCATCCATCTATCCATCCATCTTTCGATCAAATCTCCTTCTCCCTGTCTGTCCGCCCTGCATCAAGTCTCTGTCTCTCTCCCCTCCCCTACCTGTGTGGGCCCCCTGGCCAAGGGTTCTCAGCAGCCTCTGCTCACCGTTCTGAGCTCCTGTTGCCTGCTGTGTCCCCTGTGTCCTGCTGAAGGATCCCCGCCTGGCTGGCCAGGACTCCAGCTCTCTGCTGTCTCCCTCAGGGGCCGGCCTGCTGCTGGTGGAGACGCTCCTGGATGAGGAGAAGAGGGTGGCGCAGCGCGCCCTGATGCAGTCACTGAACATGCTGGTGCAGACTGAAGGCAAGGAGCGGAGCCTGGGCGAGTATCAGTGCTTGCTGGAGCTGCACGGCTTCCACCAGGTGCAGGTGGTGCACTTGGGGGGTGTCCTGGATGCCATCTTGGCCACCAAAGTGGCCCCCTGAAGCCCAGGCAGCATGTTCATTATAGGGATGTCCTCCCCCAGGCTGCAGGTGGACCGCCCGGTCCCCAAGTACCATAGGACAGTCACATAGGAGCGTGTAGTCGTGACTGAATAAAGAAAGCAAAAGCCTGTCTCTGCCTCCTCCATAGGGGTTTTGATGAGGGAGACGGCTGCATTTAGGGAGGAGGAGACAGAGGCTGCATTTGGGGAGTGGGGGAAGGAGGCTGCTTTTGGGAAGGAGGAGACAGAGGCTGCATTTGGGGAGGAGGGGAAGGAGACGGCATTTGGGGAGGGGGGGACAGAGGCTGCATTTGGGGAGGACAGGAGGCTGCATTCGGGGAGGAGAGGATGGAGGCTGCATTCGGGGAGGAGGGGAAGGAGGCTGCATTCGGGGAGGAGGGGAAGGAGGCTGCATTCGGGGAGGAGGGGAAGGAGGCTGCATTCGGGGAGGAGGGGAAGAGGCTGCATTTGGGGAGGGGGGAAGGAGGTGGCATTTGGGGAGGGGGACAGAGGCTGCATTTGGGGAGGAGGGGAAGGAGGCTGCATTTGGGGAGTGGGGACAGAGGCTGCATTTTGGGAGGGGGAAGGAAGCTGCATTGGGGAGGAGCGAGGAGAAAGAGGCTGCATTTGGGGAGGAGGGGAAGGAGGCTGCATTTGGGGAGTGGGGACAGAGGCTGCATTTTGGGAGGGGGAAGGAGGCTGCATTTGGGGAGGAGGAGGGAAAGGAGGCTGCTTTTGGGAAGGAAGCTGTATTGGGGGAGGAAGGGAAAGAGGCTGTATTTGGGGAGTGGGGACAGAGGCTGAATTTTGGGAGGGGGGAAGGAGGCTGCATTCAGGGAGGAGGGGACGGAGGCTGAATTGGGGGAGGAGGGGATGGAGGCTGCATTTTTAGAGGAGGAGATGGAGGCTGCATTCGGGGAGGAGGGGACGGAGGGACAGCCAGGAATAACTGTTCAGCCCACGGATGTTCTGGGAACCAGCAGCCTTCCAGAGTAGCCAGTGGGGACTCCCGGGGAGGGCGGTGGGGACAGGGCTTTCTCCTACCTCCTAGCAGGCAGACGGCTGCTGTGACGGTGCCGTCTACCAGGCAGGGTCTCAGTCCTTCTCCGCACTCCAGCCTGCATCTTCCCATCTTCTGCACGATTTCCAGTGTGTTTCCTCCATGGGGCGCCATCGCTGCCGCTCACCCCTGGATGCCCACAGGCTATGGAGTGGCAGTTCTCTGGGCGGCTTCCATCTCTCCTGCCTTGGTGCAGAGACTGTCACGAGCGGGACCTCCCCAGCCCCTGCTGCGGGGCTGAAATGCGTCTGTAAACACCCCCCACCCCGAGCCCAGGCAGGCCAGACTCACACCCACCCCGTGAGGCCCTCCTGGGCACATGCTCACTGCGGTTGTAGGGAGCTCAGCGCATCCACGTTTCCCCCGTGCTCCGCTCCCAGCTGCTGTTCCCGGCCTGTGTCCCGACCCTCAGACCTCAGTTCACCCTCTGGTGCCCACACAGCCCCCTTTCCTCCCTGGCCCCTCCACCAGGGAATGGCTGGGCCAACCTGGGGCTGGGCTGGGGTGGAGCCCTTTAACTCACAGCCTTGACCTTAGGAGGCACTGAGGTTCAGGAGGCATCTGCAAAGCGAGAACCGGAGCAGGCCTAGGTGCTGTTTTCACGGCGCGTGCACCCAGCTTACCTGTTCCTGGGCTGGGCGTCAGTCTCCTATATTTCAGCTGTTTTCCTTTTTCTGAGACAGACTCTGGAGTTTAGCTCTTCTTACCCAGACTGGAGTACAATAATGCAATCTCGGCTCACTGCAACCTCCGCCTCCTGGGCAGTCTATTTCAAGGTGCAAACTCCGCCTCCTGGGCGGCCTATTTCAAGGTGGAAGCCCCACCTTCTAGGCCTATTTCAAGGTGCAAGCCCCGCCTCCCGGGCGGCCTATTACAAGGTGCAAGCTCCGCCTCCCAGGCGGCCTGTTTCAAGGTGCAACCCCACCTCCCGGGCGGCCTATTTCAAGGGGCAAGCCCTGCCTCCTGGGCGGCCTATATCAAGGTGCGAGCTCTGCCTCCCAGGCAGCCTATTTCAAGGTGCAACCCCGCCTCCTGGGCGGCCTATTTCAAGGGGCAAGCCCCGCCTCCTGGGTGGCCTATTTCAAGGTGCAACCCCGCCTTCTGGGCGGCCTATTTCAAGGTGCAAGCCCCGCCTCCCGGGCGGCCTATTTCAAGGCGCAAGCTCCGCCTCCTAGCCCAATTTCAAGGTGCACCCTCTGCCTCCTGGGCGGCCTATTTCAAGGTGCTCACTGCACAGATGGGAGTGGTTTTCTGCAATGGTCACGGATGATCTCAATAACACCAAAGTCACATGCTGCTCCACCCTTACAGTGGCCTGGTATCACAAAAGAATGTGTAGGTTGCTTTGTGCTTTAAGAAAACAGCTGAAATAGGCTGGGTGCAGTGGCTCACGCCTGTCATCCCAGCACTTTGGGAGGCTGAGGTGGGCGGATCACCTGTGGTCAGGAATTCGAGACCAGCCTGGCCAACAGAGTGAAATCCTGTCTCTACACAAAATACAAACACTAGCCGGGCATAGTGGCAGGAGCCTATAATCCCAGCTACAGGGGGGAGGCTGAGACAGGAGGATGGCTTGAACCCAGTAGGTGGAGGTTGCAGTGAGCCGAGATTGTGCCACTGCACTCCAGCCTGGGCGACAGAGTGAGACTCCGTCTAAATAAATAAATAAAAGAAAACAAAACTGATCTCTATATATTTTATGTAATATAAATTATGTGTTCCATAAATTCTGTAAATTATGTGTTCTATCCGTGTACAGGCACGTGTGTAGAGGTGTGAGTGTTCAGGTGTGTATACATACACATACACACCCATCTGTGCGCACACACACACACACACACACACAGTCACGTGTGTCACTGAATGACAGGGACCTGTTTCGGGAAATGCATCCTTAGGCAATTCTCTTTGTGTGCCCATCACGGGGTGCACTCACACATACCGCCGTGGCACATACAGCCTGCTACTCACCTGGGCTGTGCGGCAGGGCCCCAGGCTCCCGGGCTACAAACCTGGACAGCAGGTGAGTGTGCCCAGTGCTGCAGGCTGCTGTAATACAATGGTAGGGATTTGTGTGTCTACAAATAAAGGCACACGAAAACTACTGTATTACCATCTCCTGGGACCTCCGCTGTCTAGGAAGGCCGTTGTTGACTGAAGGGTTGTTACCTGGCACAGGTGACTGTGTATAATTCTGGACAGACTCCGTTTTTTTTTTGGTCTGTTTTTTTCTTTTTTGAGACAGAATCTCACTCTGTTGCCCAGGCTGGAGTGCAATGGCACGATCTTGGCTCACTACAACCTCCACCTCCCGGGATCAAGTAGTTATCCTGTCTCAGCCTCCTGAGTAGCTGGGATTACAGGCACCCACCACCATGCCCGCCTAATTTTTGTGTTTTTAGTAGAGATGGGGTTTCACCATGTTGGCCAGGTTGGTCTGGAACTCCCGACCTCAGGTAATCCGCCCACCTTGGCCTCCCAAAGTGCTGGGATTACAGGCACGCACCACCAAACCCAGCTAATTTTTGTATTTTTAGTAGAGACGGGGTTTCACCATGTTGGCCAGGGTGGTCTAGAACTCCTAACCTCAGGTGATCCGCCCACCTCGGCCTCCCACAGTGCAGGGATTACGGGCATGCGCCACCACACGCGGCTAATTTTTCTATTTTTAGTAGAGACGGGGTTTCACCATGTTGGCCAGGCTGGTCTCGAACTCCTGACCTCAGGTGATCTGCCCACCTCGGCCTCCTAAAGTGCTGGCATTGCAGGCGTGAGCCACCGTGCCCGGCCTGACTCATTTTTTTTTTTTTTTTACAATCACACATGGTGTCTCCATGGGAGGCCTAGATGAAACAAGAAGAAAATTTGGCTTTGATGATGAAAGGGGGAGTCCAGTGCGGTGGCGCATGCCTGTGGCCCTCACCGCGTGGCAATCAAGAAGGATGAGGCTTCCAGGCCCCTCCATCACACTGGCCTCAGCGTGGGGCCAGGCAGGACCTGACAGCCACCAGGAGATGCCACGGAGCCCAGCCCTGCAGAGCAGCCAGGCCTCTGTCCCTCCTACCTCCCTCCTCCCTCCCTTCCCACGTCAGCCTGGCCCGTAACTGTCCCTCCTTCCTCCCTTCCCACATCAGCCTGGCCCAGAGCTGGGGCGACAGCATCCCGGTCACCTCGGGCTGCCCCAGCCAAACTCCTCTGTCCTGTTCTGAGAAAGCAGGCAAAGTCCCTGCCTACAGGGTTCCCCCACGTACCTGCAGGACACCGTCTGTCTTACGGCACGAAGCCCAGGGCCTCCGTAGGGCTCACAGGCGGCTTCTAGAGAAGATGCCCGCCACAGGTGCTCTCTGCTCCATCTCAGGTGACCACTGGCCATCTCGGAAGAAACCTGCTTTGATGGTTTTGAAGCCTGAAGCTCCTTCCTCTCCAGCCCCTGCCACCCGGGGCGGGGAATGGGGACGGGATGCAGACAGAGGTGGGCCCAGCCCTCCAGGAGTTCTAGGGGCTAGGGACAGATTCCCACCACTTGGATGCCCAGGGAAGGCCCCACCCCAGATTGAAATGTTCATGGGTCCAAGAAGGTTCTGGGAGTCACCCCAGGAAGAGGCCGGCATGGGAGGTGCCTCTCGGTGGAGAGAATCAGAGGCGCCTGCCCTAGGGGGAGCCCAGGCCCCCCTTCGTCTTGGCTGCTGGGAGTGAGCTGGGGGGCCGCATGGTTGCAGCAGGGACCTCCGGCATGGCCTCCCTGTGTTCTGGTGCCCTCGCCATTTGCCCTTAAAGCAAGGGCCCGTGGAGGGAGTCCCCCAGGTGGAAGGAAGTCGGATAAAGGGTCCCTGGGGCTTGTTCCTCTCCCTCTCCCTTCAGTGTCTGCTAGAAATTTTTTTTTTTTTTTTTTTTTGAGACAGTCTCACTGTCGCCCAGGCTGGAGTGCAGTGGTGTGATCTCGGCTCACTGCAACCTCCGCCTCCCGGGTTCAAGCGATTCTCCTGCCTTAGCCTCCGCAATAGCTAAAATTACAGGCGCCCACCACCACGCCCAGCTAATTTTTTTGTATTTTCAGTAGAGACGAGGTTTCACCATGTTGGCCAGGCTGGTCTTCAGCTCTTGACTTCAGGCAATCCACCCCGCCTCGGCCTCCCAAAGTGCTCGGATGACAGGCGTGAGCCACCACGCCCAGCCCGTCTTTTTATTCATTGGAGTAACTGTGCAAAAACAGGACCTCTGGACTCTTAAGAGTCTGTGTGTGGCATGCACAGAACATCCCGAGGATTGTGATGATTTAAAAACCAGTGGGGTGACAAGGCTGGAATTCTGTGCAGGGCAGCCTGGCGGGCCGGGTTCACCCACTAACTCCTCCTCTACTCAGCGAGCACTGCACTATGAGTGTCTGGTGCATACCAGGAGTGTCCGTCTGGCTCTAAAACAGCCTCTGGATTCATCTGGGGGCCGGGGCAGGGGAAGCGGGAGGACAACAGATCCTAAGGATGATGTCGAGTACACAGCTCCTCCCTACCTGCCCAGCTCGAAGGCGCACGTCCAGGGAAGCTTTGCAGAGAGCCCTTTTCCAGGGTAAAAGTCTTAGGGGGCTCTTCTAGGGGGAGAGGTCTTGGGGAGCCCTCTTCCAGGGGGCAGGTCTTGGGGGGCACCTTCACGGGGGAAGTCTTCGGGGGCCTCCTTCAGAGGGCAGTCTTGGGGGGACCCCGTTCGGGGGGCCTTTTGAGGAGCCCTTTTCAGGGGGGTGACCCTGGGAGTCCCTTTTCAGGGATGAGGTCTTGGGGAGCCCTCTTCAGGGGCAATGCCTTTTGGGGGCCCTCTTCTGGGGAAAGGGGTCTGTCAAGCCCCCTCATCCTGCAGCCTCATCAGCCCTCCCCGGACCACACTTCGTACAGGCAGAGCCTCGGCAATGATTAATTACAAAAGATGTGCTGCTGCCCCCACCCGACACAGAGCCTGGCACCCCACCCCACCCCGCACAAAGCCAACCTCACCCCTGCTCTGATTCCTTCCCGGCCGTCCGATGAAGCCTGAAGTCTTCCCGTTAAAACACCTCTGCTTCTGGGCGGGGCGCGGTGGCTCACAGCTGTCATCCCGGCACTTTGGGAGGCCGAGGTGGGCGGATCACTTGAGGTCAGGAGTTTGAGACCAGCCTGCTTGGGCCTGGCACCCAGGATGTGCTTGCCAAATGCTTCTGGAATGGATGGATGGAACCCCATCTCTACTAAAAATACAAAAATCAGGCGTGGTGGTGCACACTTGCTATCCCAGCTACTTGGGAGGCTGAGGCAGAAGACATGCTTGAACCTGGGAGGCAGGGATTGCAGCGAGCCGAGATCACGCCACTGCACTCCAGCCTGGGCCACAGAGCAAGACTCCGTCTCAATAAACACACAAACAAAAAAACCCACATCTACTTCTATTATTAACCCACCTACTTTTCTGAGCCCCAAGGGGCTTTCTGGACAGATTCCAGCAGAGCGGCTGCTGGTCAGGCAGCAGTGATCTCTAAAGCTACGCAGGTAATTTTATCAGATGCTGGCAGAGAAGGGGTTCTCATGGGTGGGTACCTGGCAGGCGGATCGGGGCTCATTCCTTTCTTCTTGGTCCTTGGAGGGGCAGGGCAGTGAGAGACACAGCTCTACCCCCACTACCCAGCAGCTGTTGTCTCTCCCACTTCCAATTCCTGGGTGTGAGGCCCACCTGATCCTCCTTTCCCAAGGAGGCTGTGTGGCCCCAAAGGCCTCCCAGGTCATGCCCTAGTCAGGCATAGCAACTGTGTTGTTCCCTCCCAGATACGAGGGGCAAAGGAGTTAGTGTCCAAGGCTAAGTCCCACGTGCAGCACTCTGTATGGAAAAACAGCCCCAATTAGCAATTCATTCATCCATCCATCCATCCATCCATTCATCCATCCATCCATCTATTCATCCATCCATCATCCATTCATTCCAGAAGCATTTGCTGAGTGAGCACATCCATCTATCCATGCATCCATCCACCCACCCATTACCCATCCAATTATCCATCCATTCCAGAAGCATTTGCCGATCGAGCGCATCCATCCATCCATCCACCCATCCATTCCAGAATCATTTACCAAGCAAACACATCCATCTATCCATCCATCCACCCACTCATTGATTATCCATCTATCCATCCATTATCCATCCATCCATCCCAGAAGCATTTGCCAACAGAGTGCATCCATCCATCCACCCACCCACCCATTCATTATCCATCCATCCATTCATTCTAGAATCATTTGCCAAGCAAACATATCCATCTATCCATCTGTCCATCCACCCATTCATTATCCATCCACCCACTCATTATCCATCCATCCCAGAAGCATCCATTATTCATCCATCCACCCATTATCCATCATCCATCCACCCATTATCCATCCATCCATCCATCATCCATCCATCTATACATTATCCATCCATCTATCCATTATCCATCCATCCATCCATTATCCATCCATCCATCCATTATCCATCCACCCACCCATTACCCATCCAATTATCCATCCATTCCAGAAGCATTTGCCGATCGAGCACATCCATCCATCCACCCACCCATTCATTATCCATCCATCCATCATCCATCCATCCATCCATCTATCCATTATCCATCTATCCATTATCCATCCATCCGTTATCCACTCACCCATCCATCCATCCATCCCAGAAGCATTTGCCAAGCACATCCTGGGAGCCAGGCCCAAGCAGGCGGGCATCCTCCTGGCTCTGAGAGGAGCTTGAGCAGAGCCCACAGACAGCACCACCCTGCTGGCGGGTCACCAAGCCACCAAGCCAGTGCAGGCTGAAGGCTGAGCACACAGAGCACCGGTCTCAGTGTCTGGACATGGTTAGCCGTCCCCACCCGCATGGAAGGAAACTTCTTCTCTCCCCTAAGACAGGCTTTGCAGACTTGGAAAGGGAACGCCGTGTTGCAGGGCTCAGGCCTGGAGCCCCGGCCAGAGCAGATGCGAGCCAGCCTCATCTGGAAATAGCAGCTCTGGTCCCGGCCTCGCTGAGGCACTGAAAACCAGCACCAGGGCCCCGTCCAGCCCGGCCTCGCTGAGGCTGGGAAACAAACACAGGTCTGTAAGGCGCAGCTCCCCAGCAAACTCCCCACCCCTGCCCAGCACCCACAGCGCTCCTGGCCTCTGTCCTCTATTCCAGGACCCCTGTAGCGAGCCTGGCTTGGTCCTGGGTCCTCAGGGGACACTGTCCACCCCCGCTGCCCTGGCAGAGCCTCAGGAATGTGCTTGGTCTCCACAGCCCTCCCCACAGCAATGTCCCAAGGTTAGACCTACCCATGCCTCAGTGACTTCTGAGACACCCGTCCCGCCGCCCAGCAGCCACTCCAGCCTCCAGAGCTGGCCCCAACCTCCAGCCCCAGGCTGAGCCGCCCTCCCCAGAGGTCAGGAAAAGCCTCAGGCAGGGCTCACAGCTGCACCCAGGAGTCACCCAGGGTGACCCCGCTCTCTGGGGCGGGTCACTCCTGCCCACCCACAGCCGGGGACTGTCATTTTCTCAGTACACAAAGGAGAGAAAGGAAAAACAAGAGCGAGAAAGACACAGGGAGAGAAAAGGAAGAGAGAAGGAAAGAAAAAAGAAAGACACAGGGAAAGAAGAGGAAAGAAAAGAAGGGAGGAAGGAGGGAGAGTGGGAGGAGAGGGAAAGAAAGGGAGAGACAGGGAAAGGCAGGAAAGGGAGAGATGGGGAAAGGCAGGAAAGAGAGAGGCAGGGAAAGGCAGGAAAGAAAGGGAGAGACAGGGAAAGGCAGGAAACGCAAGGAAGCAATGGGAAGGGAAAGAAGTGAAAAGGAAGGCGGGGAGGGAGGGACGGGAGAAAGGGAGGAAAAGAGCAAAGGAGACAGGGAGACAGGAAAGAAAAAGGGGAGGGAGGCAAACGGGGAACGGGAGAAAAAGAAAGGAAGGGAGAGGGAATGATGGAGAAAAACAGGAGGGAGGGAGGAGAGAAGAAAAAGGAAAAGGAGGGAGGAGAGAGGAAAGAGGCAGGGAGGTAGGATAGAAAAAGACGGAGGAGAGAAGAAAAAAGAAAAGGAGGCGGGACGCAGTGGCGCACGACTGTAATCCAGCACTTTGGGAGGCCGAGGTGGGCGGATCACCTGAGGTCAGGAGTTCAAGACCAGCCTGGCCAACATGGTGAAACGCCATCTGTCCTTAAAAAAAAAAATAGCCGGGTGGGGTGGCTGGCACCTGTAATCCCAGCTACTTGGGAAGTTGAGGCACAAGAATCTCTAGAACCTGAGAGGCAGAGGTTGCAGTGAGCTGAGATCACGCCACTGCACTCCAGCCTCGGTGACAGAACAAGTCTCCATCTCAAAAAAAAAAAAGGAAAACAGGGAGAAAGGGAGAAACAGAGAGGAAGGAAAGAACAAGACAGGAAAGAATAAAAGGAAGAAGAAAAAGAGAGGCAAAGGGAGAGAGGAAAAATGAAAAAAAAATTAAAAAATGGAAAAGAGACAGCTAGGCGTGGTGGCTCACACACCTGTCATCCCAGCACTTTGGGAAGCCGAAGTGGGCGGATCCCCTGAAGTCCGGAGTTCGAGACCAGCCTGACCAACATGGCGAAACCCCGTCTCTACTAAAAATATAAAATTAGCTGGGCGCGGTGGCGCATGCCTGTCATTCCAGCTACTTGGGAGGCTGAGGCAGGAGAATCGCTTGAACCCGGGAGGCGGAGCTTGCACTCCAGCTTGGGCAACAAGAGCGAAACTCTGTCTCAAAAGAAAAAAAAAACGGAAAAGAGAGAGGGGAGAAAGGGACGAGAGGAAGGGAGACAGGAAATAAAGAGGAAAAGGAAAAGAGAGGGAAGGAGGGAAAGGCAGAAAAGGGAGGAAGGGAAGGAAAGAGGAAAAGGGAAGGAGAGACGGAAAGAGGGAGAAAAAAGAGGGAGGGAGCAAAGAAAAAACAGAGGAAGGGCGGAGGGAGAAAAGCAGAAAAAGGAAGGAAAAAAATGAAAAAGAGGGAAGAAACGTAGCAAGAAAGGAAGGAGAAAGGGAGAGAGAAATGAAAGAAAAAGGGAGGGAGGGAAACGAAGGCAGAGACGGAAAGACGGAGAAAAAGGAGGGAGGCGGGAAAGCAGCAAAAAGCAAAGGCAAGCAGGGAAGGAAGAGACGGGGAGAAAAGGGCGGGCGGGAGAGAGCCGGGAAGGGAGAGGAGGCGGGAGGAGGGAGGAGGGAGGCGGGAGGGAGGGAGGAGGGAGGCGGGAGGGAGGGAGGGAGGGAGGGAGGAAGGGCGGAGTGGGAGGTCGCGAAGGAGGACCCCGGCCGCAGCCCCCGCCGGGCAGACACGGGCACAGACACGGGGAAATAGGGGAGCCCGGGCGGGTGGGCGCGGCCCACGGAACCCCCAGCCCCGGCGCGGAGGGCACCGCGGGGTCAAAGAACGGAGGCCCAGAGAGATCCCCCCCCCACCAACCTAGGCCGGGCGCGGAGGGCGGCGCGGAGTCACGGATCGGCAGCGGGACTGAGCCGCGCCCACGTGGAAGCCGCCGCAGGCTTCGCGCGGGGCCCCCCGGGTGCACGCGGGCAGGGGCCGGGGTCTCCCGACGCACGACCCCGGAGAGTGTTGAAAGGGTCGGAGCTGCCCGGAGGTCAAGGGTCAAGGGTCGGGGGTCGGGGCACCACATGTCGCACATCCCGGCGGGGTCGCCGCGGCCTCCGGGAGAAAGCGGACGACGCACTCGGAGCGAACTGGGCATCAGGGTGGGCTTCTGACTCCGCAGCTGCCCTCCCGCCCGCTCGGGTACTGGCAGCGGCCTGACCTTCACAAGGTCAAGGCTGCCGCGGAACCCCCAGCGGCCCCTACGGCGCATGGGCGGGGCCTGGCTCCCGGCATACCTAGGGGTGCGGGGCGGGACGTCTCCGGGGAGCGCAGCCAATGGGCGCGGTTCGCTGGAGTGCGGGGCGGGACGCAGCGGGATTCCCGGCAGCCCTCAGAGGCGAGGCACGCAGGCTGGTGTGGGGCGGGGCCTGGCGGCGCAGCCAATGAGCGCGGCGCGAGGAGGCGCGGGGGCGGAGAGTGGGCGTGGCGTCGGCGTCTTAGCGGCTGCGCGGTGGCTGCTCCGTCCTTTCGGTCCAGGCGGCGGCAGGGCTGAGCCAGCGACGCCCTCCATTCACTCTCCGCGCCCGTTCTCCGGCTGTCCTCCCGTTCCGCTGCCCGCCCTGCCACCATGACGGAACAGGCCATCTCCTTCGCCAAAGACTTCTTGGCCGGAGGCATCGCCGCCGCCATCTCCAAGACGGCCGTGGCTCCGATCGAGCGGGTCAAGCTGCTGCTGCAGGTGGGGACGCGGGCGCGGCCGCTCCGGGGACTAGGGGACGGGAACCGAGTGGCCGGGTCGGGCGGGGACGTGGGCAGCAGAGCCTTGCAGGCGGGCGCCGGAAGTGGAAGGCCGCGATCGCTTTGTCCACGCGCCGCCGGCTTCCGGGGGCCGCGTCACGTGACCGCTGCTGCAGGGCGTGGCGACGTCCACGCGTGCGCACTGGGCCCGGCGGGCGGGGGGAAATGCGGCACGGATTGGAGGGCGCATGCGCGCTGAGCAGGGCCCATGGACGGACCCTGCGGCTGGCGGGCCTTGACCTTGAGCTCAATCCTGCGGGTCCCCCGGCTGGGACCAACCCTTCCGGTGGATGCCTGGCAGGTGTCTGCTCTTGCTCCCTCCACCGTGAAGGGTAATTCTAAGGCCAATAGGGCAACGAGCCTGCCCGCAGGTGTCCTGGAATAACCAGGATATGGTTATTGGTGGTTCTTACCCCCTTCTTAGCTCATTTGTGCAATTCTGATCCAGAGCAATGCATTTTTTGTCTTTTGGGAGAGGCTTATAGAAAGTAGCATGATGCCTAGGAACATTGCCGCCAGGACGTCCTTGCTAACGTTGTACTCCGAGTGACAGCTCGGTGATGGGAATGAATAGGCTTGGCTGCAAGGACAGGTCACGCCCGCGATCCCAGCGCTTTTGAGAGGCCCGGGGAGTATTGCTTGAGGCCAGGAGTTTGAGAGCAGCCGGGGCCACACAGCAAGACCTCACCTCAAAAAAAATTATTTTAACTTAACGAAGCAGGACGTCCCAGTGCATTGAGAGGCCCGGAGAGGATCGCGTGAGCTCAGGAGTTTGAGACCAGCCTGGGCAACAGAGCAAGACCGCATCTCTAAGATAATTTTTTAAACCTAGTACAGGGTGGCGTGTCCCGGGAGTTTGAGACCAGCCAGGACAACATAGCAAGACCCCATCTCTAAGAAAATTTTTAAAACTTAGCAGGCGGGGTGTCCCCGCACTTTGAGAGGCCCAGGGAGGATCGCCTGAGCTCAGGAGTTTGAGACCAGCCAGGGCAACATAGCAAGACCCCGTCTCTAAGAAAAAGTTTTAAACTTAGCAGGGCGGGGTGTCCCAGCACTCGGAGAGGCCCAGGGAGGATCGTTTGAGCCCAGGAGTTTGAGACCAGCCAGGGCAACGTAGCAAGACCCCGTCTCTAAGAAAATTTTTTAAACTTAGCAGGGCGGGGTGTCCCAGCACTTGGAGAGGCCCAGGGAGGATCGTTTGAGACCAGCCAGAGTAACATAGCAAGACCCCACATCTTAAAAAAACCTTTTTTTTTTTTTTTGAGATGGAGTCTCTCCCTGTCGCCCAGGCTGGAGTGCAGTGGCACGATCTCGGCTCACTGTAGCCTCCGCCTCCTGGGTTCACGCCATTCTGCCTCAGCCTCCCTAGCAGGCACCTGCCACCACACCTTGCTAATGTTCTGTATTTTTAGTAGAGACAGGGTTTCACCGTGTTAGGATGCTCTTGATCTCCTGACGTCGTGATCCACCCACCTCAGCCTCCCAAAGTGCTGAGATTACAGGCATGAGCCACTGTGCCCGGCTTAAAAAATTTTTTTAAACTTAGCAGGGCGGGATGTCCCAGCGCTTCAAGAGGCCCAGGGAGGATCACCTGAGCTCAGGAGTTTGAGAGCAGCTTGGTCATCGTAGCAAGACTCCATCTCTAAAAGTAATTTTTCAACTTAGTGGAGCTTGATGGTTGTGCATCTGTAGACCCGGGTACTCGGGAGACTGAGGCGGGAGGATGGCTTAATCCAGGAGTTGGAGGCTGCAGTGAGGTGAGATCGCACCACTACACTCAAACCCGGGTAACAGCATGAGACCTTGTCTTTTTAAAAAAAGAAAGAGCCGGGTGCGGTGGCTCACGAGGTCAGCAGATCGAGACCATCCTGACTAACATGGTGGAACGCTCGTCTCTACTAAATAAGCAAAAAAATTAGCCGGGCGTGGTGGTGGGCGCCTATAGTCCCAGCTACTCGGGAGGCTGAGACAGGAGAATCACTTGATCACCCCATTGCACTCCAGCTTGGGCAACAAGAGTGACTTGTGTCAAAAAAAGGATGCACCCTGTAGCTGGGATGTTTCTGGGTGGTTGGCCCTGGGTCTGGTCTGAACACCCTCTGCGTCCCCCAGGTCCAGCACGCCAGCAAGCAGATCGCCGCCGACAAGCAGTACAAGGGCATCGTGGACTGCATTGTCCGCATCCCCAAGGAGCAGGGCGTGCTGTCCTTCTGGAGGGGCAACCTTGCCAACGTCATTCGCTACTTCCCCACTCAAGCCCTCAACTTCGCCTTCAAGGATAAGTACAAGCAGATCTTCCTGGGGGGCGTGGACAAGCACACGCAGTTCTGGAGGTACTTTGCGGGCAACCTGGCCTCCGGCGGTGCGGCCGGCGCGACCTCCCTCTGCTTCGTGTACCCGCTGGATTTCGCCAGAACCCGCCTGGCAGCGGACGTGGGAAAGTCAGGCACAGAGCGCGAGTTCCGAGGCCTGGGAGACTGCCTGGTGAAGATCACCAAGTCCGACGGCATCCGGGGCCTGTACCAGGGCTTCAGTGTCTCCGTGCAGGGCATCATCATCTACCGGGCGGCCTACTTCGGCGTGTACGATACGGCCAAGGGTACGTGTGGCTGCCATCGCGAAGTCCCAGAGACGGGCTCAACACACAGACGTTCCCCCAGGGTCCTGTGGGCTGAAGGTCTGAGATAAGGTGTGGGCAGGGCTGGTTCCTCCTGCGGCCTCTCTCCTGGACTTGGAGACGCCGTCTTCTCCCTGTGCCCTCACAGCATCATCCCTCTGTGTGTGTCTGTGTCCTCATCCTCTCTTCTTATGGGATGTCTTAATCCATTTCAGGCTGCTATCACAGAATACCATAGACTGGGTGACTATAAACAACAGACATTGATTTTCCTACAGTCCTGGAGGCTGGAGGTCTGAGATCCAGGTGTGGGCAGGGCTGGTTCCTCCTGCGGCCTCTCTCCTAGGCTTGTAGATGCCGTCTTCTCCCTGTGCCCTCACGGGGTCGTCCCTCTGTGTGTGTCTGTGTCCTCATCTCCTCTTGTTATGAGATGTCTTAATCCATTTCAGGCTGCTATCACAGAATACCATAGACTGGGTGGATTGTAAACAGCAGACATTGATTCTCCCACAGTCCTGCAGGCTGAAGGTCTGAGACCAAGGCATGGGCAGGGCTGGTTCCTCCTGAGGCCTCTCTCCTGGGCTTGGAGATGCTGTCTTCTCAGGCTTTTTCCTGTGTGTGTGTCTGTGTCCTCATCTCTTGTTATGAGATGTCTTAGTCCATTTCAGGCTGCCATCCCAGAACACCATAGACTGGGTGACTTAGAAACAACAGACATTGATTCTCCCACAGTCCTGGAGGCTGGAAGTCTGAGATCCAGGTGTGGGCAGGGCTGGTTCCTCCTGAGGCCTCTCTCCTGGGCTTGGAGACTCCGTCTTCCCTGTGTCCTCACAGGGTCGTCCCTCTGTGTGTGTCTGTGTCCTCGTGTCCTCTTCTGATGAGATGTCTTAGTCCATTTGAGGCTGCTATCACAGAATACCATAGAGTGGGTGGACTGTAAACAACAGACATTGATTCTTCCATAATCCTGGAGTCTGGAAGTCTGAGATCAAGGTGTGGGGCAGGGCTGGTTCCTCCTGAGGCCTCTCTCCTGGGCTTGTAGACGCCGTCTTCTCCCTGTGTCCTCACAGGGTCATCCCTCTGTGTGTGTCTGTGTCCTTATCTGCTCTTCTTATGAGGTGTCTTAGTCCATTTCAGGCTCCTAAAACAATACTATAGACTGGGTGGCTTATAAACAGCAGACATTGATTCTCCCGGAGTCCTGGAGGCTGGAAGTCTGACATCAAGGAGTGGGCAGGGCTGGTTCCTTCTGAGGCCTCTCTTTTTGGCTTGTAGACACCGTCTTCTCCCTGTGTCCTCACAGGGTCATCCCTCCGTGTGTCTGTGTCCTCATCTCTTTTTAGAAGGACACTGGGGTCGTAGGATCAGGGCCCACCCTACTGGCCTCCTTTAGTCTTACCTCTTTCAAGACCTTATATCCAAGTACAGTTGCATCCTGAGGTCCTGGGGTGGGGGTGGGACTTCAGCATGTGGATTTTGAGGACAGAGTGTAACTCCCATAGTAACGGTGACCCTTCAGAAGGTCAGGGCCCTATTCCCTTCCCCAAACAGGCCTAACCCCGGCCTCTGGGACTGTCTTGCTGGGCTCCGGTAGGTGGCAGGCGGCCTTTTCCCCTCTGGCCCTGCCCCGACCTCTCGTGTTGTAAACGTCAGCTGGCACTGAGCAGCCACGTGGAGGGGGCACTGGTGGTCTCGGAAGAGCTCGGCACCACCTCAGGGGGCCGTGAGCACACCCTGGGGGCCGACCCTGGTCTCGGGTGGCCGTGCAGGCGCTGGAGACGGTGACGTGCCGTTCCCGCGCAGGCATGCTCCCCGACCCCAAGAACACGCACATCGTGGTGAGCTGGATGATCGCGCAGACCGTGACGGCCGTGGCCGGCGTGGTGTCCTACCCCTTCGACACGGTGCGGCGGCGCATGATGATGCAGTCCGGGCGCAAAGGAGGTACTCGGGGGGGCGGGGGACCCTTGCTGCCGGGAAGGGGAACCAAGCTCCTTGCCCTAGGCCCGTGGGAGGTCAGGAACCATCAAAGGAGGCACTTCCAGGGCGTGTGAGACAAGCAAGTGTGTCCGAAAGTAACCTGGCTGTGTGGAAGGATTTTCCTGAACGATGGGCTTCTGATCTTTTTGGGGTTTCATGGTCCGGGCGGCAGTTTCTAAATCCCCGCCTCCTAGAACCTCTGGTTGCACCCACACCCTCGATCCTGCCTTCTCTGCATGGACCCCGGGGTGGAGATGGGGGACACCCAGGGCGGGGCCTGAAGTCCTGTGTCCAGCCCTCCCTGAGACAGTGGCTTAGGAGGAGGGCTTGAGCTGGGGGAGCCTCAGGTATCCCTCCTGTAATCAGAACTGTGGCTCAGGCGTCTGGGGTGTTATTTCTGTGAAACGTCTTTGTGGGTGCAGGTGGCGTCCGTGTCTTGAAGAGCTTGGCGGCGAGGCCCTCACTGTCTCCCTGTCGTTGCAGCTGACATCATGTACACGGGCACCGTCGACTGTTGGAGGAAGATCTTCAGAGATGAGGGGGGCAAGGCCTTCTTCAAGGGTGCGTGGTCCAACGTCCTGCGGGGCATGGGGGGCGCCTTCGTGCTGGTCCTGTACGACGAGCTCAAGAAGGTGATCTAAGGGCCGCGGCCTCCTCCACACACACACACACACCAGGGGAACCAAGAGAACCACGTAGAATCCTCAACCGTGCGGACCATCAACCTTCGAGAAATTCCAGTTGTCTTTTTCCCAGCCGCATCCTGCCTGTAGATGGCCGGGGAAGGCTCTAGAAAAGGGGCGCATTGCGATCCAACCATCGGCAGCCGATTCCGTGTCTTGATCACGGGGTGGGAGGGAACCGTGGCGTCCCTGCGTGGGGCCCATGGGTGAGACACTCCAGTACTGAGACCTAGAGTCCAGATGCTTGTAGGAGCCAAGTCGTGTTCTAAGTATTTATTTAAAACAAAAGAATCACGTTTTCCCATTTGTACTTCAGCGCTAGCCCCTGTTTTGCACAGCCGAGTACTGGCGAGTATGTTCTATGTTGGGCCTCCTGCTGCAAAACAATAAACAGAGGACGCAGAGGTCCTCCTGCCTGGCCACGCACCTCTCCACAGGGCGGCCTGGGGTCTGGAGATGGGCGCTGGGCCCACGGGACGCAGATGGGGCCACGCTCTGCCCGTGGCTGGCCCACGTTCCTGGTCTGCAGTGCTGCCTCCTCCCCAGCACCCCTGGGGCACAGAGGGCAGGGTCACAGCTGGGAAGAGGCGGGGGGTAGAAACCAAGGCTGGCAGAAGTGTAGCCGGGCTCCCTGATAAATGCTGGAGGACCCCAGGGCACCTGCACTTACTGTACCCTCTCTGAGAGCATTTGTATGATCTCATGTCTCAGCTCTGGAGGCTGGAGGTCCCAGAAAACCAAGGTATGGTAGATTCAGTCTCTGGTGAGTACCCAGTTCCTGGCTTCTAGATGGCGCCTTCTCCCTGTGTGTCCTCAGATGATGGATGAGGCCAGGGTGCTCTCTGGAGTCCTTTCTGTAAGGGCACTGATCCCATCCATGAGGCCTCATGACTCCCAAAGACCCCCACTTCCCAACGCCATCACTTGGGAGAGGGGCGTTTTCAGCGTGAATCTTGGGGAAACTGAAACAGGCGTGACACCCTGCGTTCCTCTCCACCTCCTGTAGCTCCCGAGGGCCACTCCAGCCCCCATTCCAGCATGAACAGTGGAGTCGGTCGGGGTCCCCAGAGTGGCAGCTGTGTGTCCGCGGGTTCACCCGTGAGAATCCACCACAAGGGGTACCCACCGCGAGGCACGACAGCTTCCTTCAAGCTCTTTCTGCTCAAACATTCATTGCGGGGCAAGAAAAGCCGTGTTGAATCTCTACCGGGCCGAACCTTGGGCCTTGGTGTCAGCGCACGGCAGGGCCACAGAGACTACAGCCCTGGGGTTCCAGAGCCGGCTCTCCCGTGCTCTCCAGAAATCCCAGCCATAGTAAAAAGAATCTGTTTTTTGAGATGGAGTCTCGCTCTCGCCCAGGCTGGAGTACAGTGGTGCAACCTCTGCCTCCCAGGTTCAAGCAATTCTCCTGCCTCAGCCTCCCAAGTAGCTGGGGCTACAGGCATGCGCCACCACACCCGGCTGATTTTAGTATTTTTAGTGGAGATGGGGTTTCACCATGTTTACCTACCTGGCTGCTCTCGAGCTCCTGGACTCAAATGATCCGCCCACCTAAGCCTCCGAACATGGTGGGACGACAGGTATGAGCCACCGCTCCTGGCCCGAAAGGCAGACTCTACATCTCTGCACTTGGCCAGGTAGAAACCCTCATTTGTGTCCCGATGATATCAGAGATCAGGAAAGCTCCGTGAGCCCTCGTCTTGGTCACGTGACTCGGCCCAGAGGCAAGTGGCAAAGCAGGACCTTCCACCATCAGCCCTGTGGGTCCTGCACACCCTCCACAAAACAGCCTCGACCCACGGGGACCTGGGCTCCGAGTTCCTGCCTGGAGCTGTGGTCACTGCTTCATTCACTCTTGGATGTATTTTCACTCCTGATACTTAATAGTTTTTTATTTTTATTTTTTTATTTTTTTTGAGACGGAGTCTTGCTCTGTCCCCCACGCTGGAGTGCAGTGGCGCAATCTCAGCTCACTGCCACCTCCGCCTCCTGGGTTCAAGCGATTCTCCTGCCTCAGCCTCCCAAGTAGCTGGGATTACAGGCAGCCGCCACCATGCCCGGCTAATTTTTGTATTTTTAGTAGAGACGGGGTTTCACTGTGTTGGTCAGGCTGGTCTCGAACTCCTCACCTCAGGTGATCCACCCTCAGCCTCCCAAAGTGCTGGGATTACAGGTGTGAGCCACCGCGCCCGGCACTTAATAGATTTTAACCTAGTAATTGGGGCATGGTTTCCTCCGCGGATCAAGTGAAATCCTACATGGTACACTGGACTTTGGGGAATTCGGTAGTGGCGGGGAGGTTCTCCAAAGTTACAATTCAAAGACCAACAAGTTTACTCCTTGATTTTTTTTTTTCTTTGAGATGGAGTCTCTTGTCACCCAGGCAGGACTGCAATGGTGTGGTAACGGCTCAACTCTACTTCCATCTCCGAGGTTCAAGCCATTCTGCCTCAGCTTCCCACGTAGCTGGGATTACAGGTGCCCGCCACCATGCCCGGCTAATTTTGTTTTTTTGTTTTTGAGACAGAGTCTCACTCTGTCACCCAGGCTGGAGTGCTGTGGCGCAATCTCAGCTCACTGCAAGCTCCACCTCCCGGGTTCACGCCATTCTCTGCCTCAGCCTCCTGAGTAGCTGGGACTACAGGCGCCTGCCACCACAGCCCGGTAATTTTTTTTGTGTATTTAGTAGAGACAAGGGTTTCACCGTGTCAGCCAGGCTGGTCTCAATCTCCTGACCTCGTGATCCGCCCGCCTCGGCCTCCCAAAGTGCTGGGATGACAGGCATGAGTCACTGTGCCTGGCCAGTCCTGCACAATCTTGAAATGCTGAGGCTCTCAGCAAGCTGAGTGTTGGAGATAACTTCATAGACAGTAATACATGGTGGCATAGCTGTTTTTAAGAGAATCCTGCCTTGTGGGTACTATCAAAATCACAGTTCCAGTTGGGCTCAGTGGTTTACCTCTGTAATCCCAGCACTTTGGGATGGTGAGGCAGGTGAATCACCTGAGGTCGGGAGTTCAGGACCAGCCTGACCAACATGGAGAAGCCCTGTCTCTACTAAAAATAAATGTTAGCCAGGCATGATGGTGCATACCTCTAATCCCAGCTACTCGAGAGGCTGAGGCAGGAGAGTTGCTTGAACCCAGGAGGCAGAGGTTGCTGTGAGGTGAGATTGTGCCACTGCACTCCAGCCTGAGTGACAGAGCCAGACTTTGTCTCAAAAAAACAAACAGGGGTGGTGGGGGGCCAGACTCGGTGACTACAGGCCAGCCTGTAATCCCAACATTTTGGGAGGCCGAGATGGGCGGATCACATGAGGTCAAGAGTTCCAGACCAGCCTGGCCAACATGGTGAAACCCCGTCTCTACTAAAAACACAAAGCTAGCCGGGCGTGGTGGCATGTGCCTGTAGTCTCAGCTATTCGAGAGGCTGAGGCAGGAGAATCGCTTGAGCCCAGGAGGCAGAGGTTGCTGTGAGCTGAGATGGTGCCACTGCACTCCAGCCTGGGTGACAGACCGAGACTCGGTCTGAAAAAAGAAAAAAGGCCAGGTGTGGTGGCTCACGCCTGTAATCCCAGCACTTTGGGAGGCAGAGGCGGGCAGATCACAAGGTCAGGAGTTCGAGACCGGCTAATATAAAAATTAGCCAGGGGTGGTGGCAGGTGCCTGTAATCCCAGCTACTTGGGAGGCTGAGGCAGGAGAATTGCTTGAGCCCGGGAGGCAGCGGTTGCAGTGAGCTGAGATTGCATCACTGCACTCCAACCTGGGAGACAGATCCTGACTCCATCTCCAAAAAAAAAAAACCGGGGAAACAGTCTCTCTAGTAGTGTTGGAGGAATGGGGCTGAATCCAGAGACCGGGACCAGTGAGTGGGTTAAAAAAAAAAAAATCACTTTATCATGAAATAAACACACAAAGTTCTGTTCTTCTTCCTGGCAGCTTCGGACGAAATTACACAGGCATCTCCCATGCCCACCACCCGTTAGGAATGTCCATTCCTGGGCTGCGTGCGCAGGTCCAGCAGCCAGTCTGTGCAGGCGCCTGGCCCGGCCAGGGAGATTGAGGCAGACCCCCACAAGCCCTGAACCCCAGTCTCAAGTTTTCTGCACGACCTGTACTTCAGTCACCAGACACTCCTCCAGGCCGGCTTTGCCCGCCTCCCAGACCACCTGCAGAGACGAGAGGAGGCAGGGTGAGTCGGCCACCCCCCAGATAACAGAGCCCACGTCCTGATCTGCGGGGGCCTGTCCCATCTCAGATCTGCTCTGTGGGCCAGGCATGGTGTCTCACGCCTGTCATCCCAGCACTTTGGGCCAGGCGCGGTGGGTCACACCTGTAATCCCAGCACTTTGGGAGGCCGAGGCGAGCGGACCATAAGGTCAGGAGATCCAGACCATCCTGGCCAACATGGTGAAACCCCTTCTCTACTAAAAATGCAGAATTAGCTGGGTGTGTTGGTGCATGCCTGTAGTCCCAGCTACTTGGGAGGCTGAGGCAGGAGAATCGCTTGAACCTTCAACCGGGAAGGTGGAGGTTGCAGTGAGCCGAGATTGCACCATTGCACTCCAGCCGGGGCAACGAACAAAACTGCGTCTCAAAAACAAAAACAAACAAAACAAAACAAAACAAAAAACTCTGACAGAGATGTCTGCCTCCTTTTCCTCTGCCCTTCCTTTCTCTTAGGGACACAGGTATCACTAAAAACTTGTTGAAAACTAGGCTGGGCATGGTGGCTCATGCCTGTAATCCCAGCACTTTGGGAGGCCGAGGCAGGGGGATCACAAGGTCAGGAGATCGAGACCATCCTGGCCAACATGGTGAAACCCCGTCTCTACTAAAAATACAAAATTAGCTGGGCGTGTCGGTGCGTGCCTGTAGTCCCAGCTACTCGGGAGGCTGAGGCAGGACAATCGCTTGAACCTTGGACTGGGAAGGTGGAGGTTGTGGTGAGCCAAGATCGCACCATTGCACTCTAGCCTGGGCAACAAGAGCAAAACTCCATCTAAAAAAAAAAAAAAAAATCTGCTCTGCTCTGGTGTGCAGGGTGCGGAGACGGCCCGTGATCACGGTGGGCTGGGAGCCCAGTGTCCCCCCACTCCCTTCATCCTGCAGCTTTTCCCAGCCGCCCACCAGCGCCAGCAGACAGGTGTCCAGCCTCCTAGTCCAGGCCATTTCACTCTTGTCGCCCAGATGGAGTGCAGTGGCTCGATCGTAGTTCACTGCAGCCTCCACCTCCCGGGTTCAAGTGATCCTCCTCCCTCAGCCTCCCGAGTAGCTGGGATTACAGGCGCCCGCCACCACACCCGGCTAATTTTGTATTTTTAGTAGACACGGAGTTTCTCCATGTTGGCCAGGCTGGTCTCCAGTTCCTGGCCTCAAGTGGTCCGCCCGCCTGGGCCTCCCAAAGTGGCCACCACGCCTCCAGACCCGTCCCAAGGCAGAAAAAACAACATACCAGCTTGTCGTTTTGGAAGCTGTCACCGATGGGGTCTTTCATGTGAGGGATGCGGGGAAAGAGTCTCTGCATCACCAGATACCTCGGAGGAAAGAGAAATGGCCCAGCTCTGAACCCAAAACCGACCAGCTCATCATCTGGGACACAGCGTGTCCAGGACAGACAGTGCCAGGACAGAGCAAAAGACTCAAGTCATCTACTCGAGGGGTCTCTATTTTCCCGGCCCCTGAGGCCCTGACACGCCCCCGACCATCATCATAGGCAGGCGCTGGTGTCTAATTAAAGGAGTAGGGCGCTGGTACCGGAGCCACCCAGGGGTGCAGCTGCAAAGACAGACCCCTGGTGCCTCAGGTCACTGAGTTTACGACCTGAGACAGCTTGCAGGAAGGGCCTCGTCCCCCTCTTCCTCCCCCTTTTCCTCCCTCCTCCACCCCTTCCCCCCTACCCCTCCCTCTCCCCCTCCCCCTCTCCCTCCTTCCCCCTCCCCACTCATCCTCCCCTCTCCTCCTCCCCCTTCCCCCTCCCCCACCCTCCCCCTCGCCTCTCCTCCCCCTCCTCCTCCTCCCCTTCCCCCTCCTCCCCCTCTTCCCTTCCCCCTCCTCCCTTCCCCCTCCTTTCCCCCCTCCCTTCCCCCTCCTCCCTTCCCCCCTCCTCCCCCCTCTTCCCCTTCCCCCTCCCCCTCCCCTTTTCCCCCTTCCCCCGGGAGACAGAAGTCACCATGGCACCCATTTGACAGATTGTGAAGCTCTGATGCCCAGCAGGAAGGAAACAGGGCCTGGCTGGTCATGGTGGCTCAAGCCTGTAATGCCAGCACTTTGGGAGGCCCAGGCGGGCAGATCAACTGAGGTCAGGAGTTCGAGAACAGCCTGACCAACATGGAGAAACTCCATCTCTACTAAAAATACAAAATTATCTGGGCATGGTGGCACACGCCTGTCATCCCAGCACTTTGGGAGGCCCAGGCGGGCAGATCAACTGAGGTGAGGAGTTCAAGACCAGCCTGATCAACACGGAGAAACTCCGTCTCTACTGAAAATACAAAATTATCCGGGCATGGTGGCTCACGCCTGTCATCCCAGCACTTTGGGAGGCCGAGGCGGGTGGATCACATGAGGTCAGGAGTTCAAGACCAGCCTGACCAACACGGAGAAACCCCATCTCTACTAAAAATACAAAATTAGCCAGGCGTGGTGGCACATCCTTGTAATCCCAGCTACTCAGGGAGGCTGAGGCAGGAGAATCGCTTGAACCCAGGAGGCAGAGGTTGCAGTGAACCGAGATGGCGCCATTGCACTCCAGGCTGGGCAACAAAAGCAAAACTCCTTCTCTAAAAAAAAGGAGACAGGACCTGGGGTGACCCAGCTGGTGACCAAAAACCTCGAGTTGGTCTGCATGACGGATCCTGGCCCATCCAAGTGGACAGCTGTGACGTTCGCCCAGGCCCCTTCCCGACCAGAAAGCCTGGCCTTTCGCCCTCTGACTGTGTCAGGCCCGCTGGGCAGGGCAGGGGAGGACCGGCCCTGCTTCCTCCACCCTGGGGACACCCTTGGTCCCACCAGAGCCCTCAGCTTTGGCTCTACAGACCTCCTGGCAGGGGGCAGCTAGCAGAGAGGACCTGGCCCCTGGTCTTTTGTGAATAATTCTCAAGGGGCCAGGTGCGGTGGCTCACGCCTGTAATCCCAGCACTTTGGGAGGCCGAGGCTGGGGGATCACTTGAGGCCAGGAGTTCAACACCAGTGTGGCCAACATGGTGAAACCCCGTCTCCACTAAAAATACAAGAATTAGTTGGGTGCAGTGTTGCACACCTGTAATCCCAGCTACTCGGGAGGCTGAGGCAGGAGAATCACTTGAACCCGGGAGGTGGAGGCTGCGGTGAGCCGAGATCGAGCCACTGCACTCCAGCCTGGGTGACAGAGCAAGACTCAAAAAATAATAATAATCATAACAATAATAATAATATGGGCCAGGCGAGGTGGCTTACGCCTGTAATCCCAGCACTTTAGGAGGCTGAGGCAGGTGGATCACCTGAGTCCAGGAATTCAAGACCAGCCTGGCCAACATGGCAAAACCCCGTCTCTACTAAAAATACAAAAATTAGCTGGGTGTGTTGCTGGGTGCCTGTAATCCCAGCTACTTGGGAGGCTGAGGCAGGAGGATCGCCTGAACCCAGGAGGCAGAGGCTGCAGTGAGCCCAGATCGTGCCACTGCACTCCAGCCTGGGAGACAGAGCGAGACTCCATCACAAAAATAATAATGATAATTCTCAGGATGGTTCTGTGAATAACTTTCAGGGTCACACTGGAAACAAGCGACGCTCGCGGACGCCCTCGAGGGCTCACCTTCTGCAGATCACGAAGACACAGACCAGGGCCAGCAGCGTCCCCAGCGCGATCAGCAGCGACGTCCGCCAGGCACGTGTGTTTGCGCCCTCCTCCTGGTCGCACTCTAGGGGTAAAGGGTGAGAGGGTCACAGACCGGGGGCCGTCCTGGGGGGACCAGGGACTGTAAGCTCTCCCCGGGGCCCTGGGAAGCAGAGAGGTGGCTGCCATATGGGGTGGCGTCCAGGGGGGGACACCCCAGTAGTGCCACCTGCACAGAGACCGTGACCACCTGCGGGCCACCTGCAGGCCACCTGAGTACCAGGACCGGGAGCGACTTCCGGACCTCCCAGCCCCAGTCTGGAACCCTAAGGGAGCGGAAAGACCACCAGGGATCCCTGTCTGCCTGGTGCTCGGGACACGGGGAGCGCCAGGGACTTCCACTGTGCCCAGCAGGCCGGCAGGTGCTTTGGGTGTGGGCAGCATGGAGGGGCAGCAGAGGCAGCACTGGCGTGCGTGCTTTGAACTTGATTTTGTGTTTATCATGGAATTTGTGTGTGTGTGTTAATTTTTTCTTTTTCTTTTTCTTTTTTTTTTTTTTTTGAGATGGAGTCTCGTTTTGTCGCCCAGGCTGGAGTGCAGTGGCACGATCTCAGCTCACAACCTCCACCTCCCAGGTTCAAGCGATTCTCCTGCCCCTGCCTCCCGAGTAGCTGGGACTACAGGCGCCCGCCACCACGCCCGGGTAATTTTTGTATTTCTCATAGAGATGGGGTTTCACCATCTTCGTTAGGCTGGTCTTGAACTCCTGACCTCAAGTGATCCACCCGCCTCGGCCTCCCAAAGTGCTGGGATTACAGGCGTCAGCCACGCACCCGGCCTATTTTTTTTCTTTTTTCTTTTTTTTTTTTTTGAGACAGAGTCTCGCTCTGCAGTGCTGTGGTGCTATCTCAGCTCACTGCAACCTCTGCCTCCCGGATTCAAACGATTCTCCTCTCTTAGCCTCCCGAGAGGATCGCTTGAGCCCAGGAGGTCGAGGCTACAGTGAGCCGTGATCGCGCCACTGCCCTCCAGCCTGGGCAATAGAGAGAGACTCTCTCTCCAAAAAAAAAAAAAAACATACATCTATGACCTCACCCCCAGAACCTATGACGATAACCTTATTTGGAACGAGGGTGGATCTGTCTGCTGGGACTGCCATAAAAAAGTCCCACAGCTTGGTGGCTTCAGAAAAAAGGAATTTGGCCGGGCGCGGTGGCTCACGCCTGTAATCCCAGCGCTTTGGGAGGCCAAGGCGGGCGGATCACCTGAGGTCGGGAGTATGAGACCAGCCTGGCCAACATGGCCAGAAAGCCCGTCTCTAATAAAAATACAAACAGTAGCCGGGTGTGGTGGCGGGCGCCTGTCATCCCAGCTACTCAGAAGGCTGAGGCAGGAGAATGGCCTGAACCTGCGAGGTGGAGGTTGCAGTGAGCCAAGATCACGCCACTGCACTCCAGCCTGGCGACAGAGTGAGACTCCATCTCAGAAAAAGAGGAAAAAAAAGAAAAAAGAAAAAGAAAAAAGGAATTGATTCTCCCACAGTCCTGGAAGCTGCAGGTCCAAGATCAAGAGATGGGCATGGGCAGGGCTGGTTCCTCCTGAGGCCTCTCTCCTGGGCTTGGAGACCCCGTCTTCTCCGTGTCCCACAGGGTTGTCCCTTGGTGTGTGTCTGTGTCCTCATCTCCTCTTCTTATGAGATGTCTTAGTCCATCTCAGGCTGCTGTCACAGAATACCAGAGGCTGGGCGGCTTAGAAACAAAACACATTGATTCTCCCACAGCCCTGGAGGCTGGAGGTCTGAGATCCAGGTGTGGGCAGGGCTGGTTCCTCCTGAGGCCCCTCTCCTGGGCTTGGAGACGCCGTCTTCTCCCTGTGTCCCACAGGGTCGTCCCTCCGTGTGTGTCTGTGTCCTCATCTCCTTTTTATGGGATGTCTTAGTCCGTTTCAGGCTGCTGTCACAGAATACCAGAGGCTGGGCGGCTTAGAAACAAAACACATTGATTCTCCCACAGCCCTGGAGGCTGGAGGTCTGAGATCCAGGTGTGGGCAGGGCTGGTTCCTCCTGAGGCCTCTCTCCTGGGCTTGGAGACGCCGTCTTCTCCCTGTGTCCTCACAGGGTTGTTCCTCCGTGTGTGTCTGTGTCCTCATCTCCTCTTCTTATGAGGTGTCTTAGTCCATCTCAGGCTGCTGTCACAGAATACCAGAGGCTGGGCGGCTTAGAAACAAAACACATTGATTCTCCCACAGCCCTGGAGGCTGGAGGTCTGAGATCCAGGTGTGGGCAAGGCTGGTTCCTCCTGAGGCCTCTCTCCTGGGCTTGGAGACGCCGTCTTCTCCCTGTGCCCTCACAGGGTCGTCCCTCTGTGTGTGTCTGTGTCCTCATGTCCTCTTCTTATGAGATGTCTTAGTCCATCTCAGGCTGCTGTCACAGAATACCAGAGGCTGGGCGGCTTGGAAACAAAACACATTGATTCTCCCACAGCCCTGGAGGCTGGAGGTCTGAGATCCAGGTGTGGGCAGGGCTGGTTCCTCCTGAGGCCCCTCTCCTGGGCTTGGAGACCCCGTCTTCTGTGTCCCACAGGGTCGTCCCTCTGTGTGTGTCTGTGTCCTCATGTCCTCTTCTTATGAGATGTCTTAGTCCATCTCAGGCTGCTGTCACAGAATACCAGAGGCTGGGCGGCTTAGAAACAAAACACATTGATTCTCCCACAGCCCTGGAGGCTGGAGGTCTGAGATCCAGGTGTGGGCAGGGCTGGTTCCTCCTGAGGCCCCTCTCCTGGGCTTGGAGACCCCGTCTTCTCCCTGTGTCCCACAGGGTCGTCCCTCTGTGTGTGTCTGTGTCCTCATCTCCTCTTCTTATGAGATGTCTTAGTCCATCTCAGGCTGCTGTCACAGAATACCAGAGGCTGGGCGGCTTAGAAACAAAACACATTGATTCTCCCACAGCCCTGGAGGCTGGAGGTCTGAGATCCAGGTGTGGGCAGGGCTGGTTCCTCCTGAGGCCCCTCTCCTGGGCTTGGAGACCCCGTCTTCTCCCTGTGTCCCACAGGGTCGTCCCTCTGTGTGTGTCTGTGTCCTCATGTCCTCTTCTTATGAGATGTCTTAGTCCATCTCAGGCTGCTGTCACAGAATACCAGAGGCTGGGCGGCTTAGAAACAAAACACATTGATTCTCCCACAGCCCTGGAGGCTGGAGGTCTGAGATCCAGGTGTGGGCAGGGCTGGTTCCTCCTGAGGCCCCTCTCCTGGGCTTGGAGACGCCGTCTTCTCCCTGTGCCCTCACAGGGTCGTCCCTCTGTGTGTGTCTGTGTCCTCGTCTCTTCTTATGAGATGGCTTAGTCCATCTCAGGCTGCTGTCACAGAATACCAGAGGCTGGGCGGCTTAGAAACAAAACACATTGATTCTCCCACAGCCCTGGAGGCTGGAGGTCTGAGATCCAGGTGTGGGCAGGGCTGGTTCCTCCTGAGGCCCCTCTCCTGGGCTTGGAGACCCCGTCTTCTCCCTGTGTCCCACAGGGTCGTCCCTCTGTGTGTGTCTGTGTCCTCATCTCCTCTTCTTATGAGATGTCTTACTCCATCTCAGGCTGCTGTCACAGAATACCAGAGGCTGGGCGGCTTAGAAACAAAACACATTGATTCTCCCACAGCCCTGGAGGCTGGAGGTCTGAGATCCAGGTGTGGGCAGGGCTGGTTCCTCCTGAGGCCCCTCTCCTGGGCTTGGAGACGCCGTCTTCTCCCTGTGCCCTCACAGGGTCGTCCCTCTGTGTGTGTCTGTGTCCTCGTCTCTTCTTATGAGATGGCTTAGTCCATCTCAGGCTGCTGTCACAGAATACCAGAGGCTGGGCGGCTTAGAAACAAAACACATTGATTCTCCCACAGCCCTGGAGGCTGGAGGTCTGAGATCCAGGTGTGGGCAGTGCTGGTTCCTCCTGAGGCCCCTCTCCTGGGCTTGGAGACGCCGTCTTCTCCCTGTGTCCTCACAGGGTCGTCCCTCTGTGTGTGTCTGTGTCCTCGTCTCTTCTTATGAGATGGCTTAGTCCATCTCAGGCTGCTGTCACAGAATACCAGAGGCTGGGCGGCTTAGAAACAAAACACATTGATTCTCCCACAGCCCTGGAGGCTGGAGGTCTGAGATCCAGGTGTGGGCAGGGCTGGTTCCTCCTGAGGCCCCTCTCCTGGGCTTGGAGACGCCGTCTTCTCCCTGTGCCCTCACAGGGTCGTCCCTCTGTGTGTGTCTGTGTCCTCATCTCCTCTTCTTATGAGATGTCTTAGTCCATCTCAGGCTGCTGTCACAGAATACCAGAGGCTGGGCGGCTTAGAAACAAAACACATTGATTCTCCCACAGCCCTGGAGGCTGGAGGTCTGAGATCCAGGTGTGGGCAGTGCTGGTTCCTCCTGAGGCCCCTCTCCTGGGCTTGGAGACGCCGTCTTCTCCCTGTGCCCTCACAGGGTCATCCCTCTGTGTGTGTCTGTGTCCTCGTCTCTTCTTATGAGATGGCTTAGTCCATCTCAGGCTGCTGTCACAGAATACCAGAGGCTGGGCGGCTTAGAAACAAAACACATTGATTCTCCCACAGCCCTGGAGGCTGGAGGTCTGAGATCCAGGTGTGGGCAGTGCTGGTTCCTCCTGAGGCCCCTCTCCTGGGCTTGGAGACGCCGTCTTCTCCCTGTGTCCCACAGGGTCGTCCCTCCGTGTGTGTCTGTGTCCTCATCTCCTTTTTATGGGATGTCTTAGTCCGTTTCAGGCTGCTGTCACAGAATACCAGAGGCTGGGCGGCTTAGAAACAAAACACATTGATTCTCCCACAGCCCTGGAGGCTGGAGGTCTGAGATCCAGGTGTGGGCAGGGCTGGTTCCTCCTGAGGCCTCTCTCCTGGGCTTGGAGATGCCGTCTTCTCCCTGTGTCCTCACAGGGTTGTTCCTCCGTGTGTGTCTGTGTCCTCATCTCCTCTTCTTATGAGGTGTCTTAGTCCATCTCAGGCTGCTGTCACAGAATACCAGAGGCTGGGCGGCTTAGAAACAAAACACATTGATTCTCCCACAGCCCTGGAGGCTGGAGGTCTGAGATCCAGGTGTGGGCAAGGCTGGTTCCTCCTGAGGCCTCTCTCCTGGGCTTGGAGACGCCGTCTTCTCCCTGTGCCCTCACAGGGTCGTCCCTCTGTGTGTGTCTGTGTCCTCATGTCCTCTTCTTATGAGATGTCTTAGTCCATCTCAGGCTGCTGTCACAGAATACCAGAGGCTGGGCGGCTTAGAAACAAAACACATTGATTCTCCCACAGCCCTGGAGGCTGGAGGTCTGAGATCCAGGTGTGGGCAGGGCTGGTTCCTCCTGAGGCCCCTCTCCTGGGCTTGGAGACCCCGTCTTCTGTGTCCCACAGGGTCGTCCCTCTGTGTGTGTCTGTGTCCTCATGTCCTCTTCTTATGAGATGTCTTAGTCCATCTCAGGCTGCTGTCACAGAATACCAGAGGCTGGGCGGCTTAGAAACAAAACACATTGATTCTCCCACAGCCCTGGAGGCTGGAGTTCTGAGATCCAGGTGTGGGCAGGGCTGGTTCCTCCTGAGGCCCCTCTCCTGGGCTTGGAGACCCCGTCTTCTCCCTGTGTCCCACAGGGTCGTCCCTCTGTGTGTGTCTGTGTCCTCATCTCCTCTTCTTATGAGATGTCTTAGTCCATCTCAGGCTGCTGTCACAGAATACCAGAGGCTGGGCGGCTTAGAAACAAAACACATTGATTCTCCCACAGCCCTGGAGGCTGGAGGTCTGAGATCCAGGTGTGGGCAGGGCTGGTTCCTCCTGAGGCCCCTCTCCTGGGCTTGGAGACCCCGTCTTCTCCCTGTGTCCCACAGGGTCGTCCCTCTGTGTGTGTCTGTGTCCTCATGTCCTCTTCTTATGAGATGTCTTAGTCCATCTCAGGCTGCTGTCACAGAATACCAGAGGCTGGGCGGCTTAGAAACAAAACACATTGATTCTCCCACAGCCCTGGAGGCTGGAGTTCTGAGATCCAGGTGTGGGCAGGGCTGGTTCCTCCTGAGGCCCCTCTCCTGGGCTTGGAGACGCCGTCTTCTCCCTGTGCCCTCACAGGGTCGTCCCTCTGTGTGTGTCTGTGTCCTCGTCTCTTCTTATGAGATGGCTTAGTCCATCTCAGGCTGCTGTCACAGAATACCAGAGGCTGGGCGGCTTAGAAACAAAACACATTGATTCTCCCACAGCCCTGGAGGCTGGAGGTCTGAGATCCAGGTGTGGGCAGGGCTGGTTCCTCCTGAGGCCCCTCTCCTGGGCTTGGAGACGCCGTCTTCTCCCTGTGCCCTCACAGGGTCGTCCCTCTGTGTGTGTCTGTGTCCTCGTCTCTTCTTATGAGATGGCTTAGTCCATCTCAGGCTGCTGTCACAGAATACCAGAGGCTGGGCGGCTTAGAAACAAAACACATTGATTCTCCCACAGCCCTGGAGGCTGGAGGTCTGAGATCCAGGTGTGGGCAGGGCTGGTTCCTCCTGAGGCCCCTCTCCTGGGCTTGGAGACGCCGTCTTCTCCCTGTGTCCTCACAGGGTCGTCCCTCTGTGTGTGTCTGTGTCCTCATCTCCTCTTCTTATGAGATGTCTTAGTCCATCTCAGGCTGCTGTCACAGAATACCAGAGGCTGGGCGGCTTAGAAACAAAACACATTGATTCTCCCACAGCCCTGGAGGCTGGAGTTCTGAGATCCAGGTGTGGGCAGGGCTGGTTCCTCCTGAGGCCCCTCTCCTGGGCTTGGAGACCCCGTCTTCTCCCTGTGTCCCACAGGGTCGTCCCTCTGTGTGTGTCTGTGTCCTCATCTCCTCTTCTTATGAGATGTCTTAGTCCATCTCAGGCTGCTGTCACAGAATACCAGAGGCTGGGCGGCTTAGAAACAAAACACATTGATTCTCCCACAGCCCTGGAGGCTGGAGGTCTGAGATCCAGGTGTGGGCAGGGCTGGTTCCTCCTGAGGCCCCTCTCCTGGGCTTGGAGACCCCGTCTTCTCCCTGTGTCCCACAGGGTCGTCCCTCTGTGTGTGTCTGTGTCCTCATGTCCTCTTCTTATGAGATGTCTTAGTCCATCTCAGGCTGCTGTCACAGAATACCAGAGGCTGGGCGGCTTAGAAACAAAACACATTGATTCTCCCACAGCCCTGGAGGCTGGAGTTCTGAGATCCAGGTGTGGGCAGGGCTGGTTCCTCCTGAGGCCCCTCTCCTGGGCTTGGAGACGCCGTCTTCTCCCTGTGCCCTCACAGGGTCGTCCCTCTGTGTGTGTCTGTGTCCTCGTCTCTTCTTATGAGATGGCTTAGTCCATCTCAGGCTGCTGTCACAGAATACCAGAGGCTGGGCGGCTTAGAAACAAAACACATTGATTCTCCCACAGCCCTGGAGGCTGGAGGTCTGAGATCCAGGTGTGGGCAGGGCTGGTTCCTCCTGAGGCCCCTCTCCTGGGCTTGGAGACGCCGTCTTCTCCCTGTGCCCTCACAGGGTCGTCCCTCTGTGTGTGTCTGTGTCCTCGTCTCTTCTTATGAGATGGCTTAGTCCATCTCAGGCTGCTGTCACAGAATACCAGAGGCTGGGCGGCTTAGAAACAAAACACATTGATTCTCCCACAGCCCTGGAGGCTGGAGGTCTGAGATCCAGGTGTGGGCAGGGCTGGTTCCTCCTGAGGCCCCTCTCCTGGGCTTGGAGACGCCGTCTTCTCCCTGTGTCCTCACAGGGTCGTCCCTCTGTGTGTGTCTGTGTCCTCATCTCCTCTTCTTATGAGATGTCTTAGTCCATCTCAGGCTGCTGTCACAGAATACCAGAGGCTGGGCGGCTTAGAAACAAAACACATTGATTCTCCCACAGCCCTGGAGGCTGGAGGTCTGAGATCCAGGTGTGGGCAGTGCTGGTTCCTCCTGAGGCCCCTCTCCTGGGCTTGGAGATGCCGTCTTCTCCCTGTGTCCTCACAGGGTCGTCCCTCTCTGTGTGTCTGTGTCCTCGTCTCTTCTTATGAGATGGCTTAGTCCATCTCAGGCTGCTGTCACAGAATACCAGAGGCTGGGCGGCTTAGAAACAAAACACATTGATTCTCCCACAGCCCTGGAGGCTGGAGGTCTGAGATCCAGGTGTGGGCAGGGCTGGTTCCTCCTGAGGCCCCTCTCCTGGGCTTGGAGACCCCGTCTTCTCCCTGTGTCCCACAGGGTCGTCCCTCTGTGTGTGTCTGTGTCCTCATCTCCTCTTCTTATGAGATGTCTTACTCCATCTCAGGCTGCTGTCACAGAATACCAGAGGCTGGGCGGCTTAGAAACAAAACACATTGATTCTCCCACAGCCCTGGAGGCTGGAGGTCTGAGATCCAGGTGTGGGCAGGGCTGGTTCCTCCTGAGGCCCCTCTCCTGGGCTTGGAGACGCCGTCTTCTCCCTGTGCCCTCACAGGGTCGTCCCTCTGTGTGTGTCTGTGTCCTCGTCTCTTCTTATGAGATGGCTTAGTCCATCTCAGGCTGCTGTCACAGAATACCAGAGGCTGGGCGGCTTAGAAACAAAACACTGATTCTCCCACAGCCCTGGAGGCTGGAGGTCTGAGATCCAGGTGTGGGCAGTGCTGGTTCCTCCTGAGGCCCCTCTCCTGGGCTTGGAGACGCCGTCTTCTCCCTGTGTCCTCACAGGGTCGTCCCTCTGTGTGTGTCTGTGTCCTCGTCTCTTCTTATGAGATGGCTTAGTCCATCTCAGGCTGCTGTCACAGAATACCAGAGGCTGGGCGGCTTAGAAACAAAACACATTGATTCTCCCACAGCCCTGGAGGCTGGAGGTCTGAGATCCAGGTGTGGGCAGGGCTGGTTCCTCCTGAGGCCCCTCTCCTGGGCTTGGAGACGCCGTCTTCTCCCTGTGCCCTCACAGGGTCATCCCTCTGTGTGTGTCTGTGTCCTCATCTCCTCTTCTTATGAGATGTCTTAGTCCATCTCAGGCTGCTGTCACAGAATACCAGAGGCTGGGCGGCTTAGAAACAAAACACATTGATTCTCCCACAGCCCTGGAGGCTGGAGGTCTGAGATCCAGGTGTGGGCAGTGCTGGTTCCTCCTGAGGCCCCTCTCCTGGGCTTGGAGACGCCGTCTTCTCCCTGTGCCCTCACAGGGTCATCCCTCTGTGTGTGTCTGTGTCCTCGTCTCTTCTTATGAGATGGCTTAGTCCATCTCAGGCTGCTGTCACAGAATACCAGAGGCTGGGCGGCTTAGAAACAAAACACATTGATTCTCCCACAGCCCTGGAGGCTGGAGGTCTGAGATCCAGGTGTGGGCAGTGCTGGTTCCTCCTGAGGCCCCTCTCCTGGGCTTGGAGACGCCGTCTTCTCCCTGTGCCCTCACAGGGTCGTCCCTCTGTGTGTGTCTGTGTCCTCATCTCCTCTTCTTATGAGATGTCTTAGTCCATCTCAGGCTGCTGTCACAGAATACCAGAGGCTGGGCGGCTTAGAAACAAAACACATTGATTCTCCCACAGCCCTGGAGGCTGGAGGTCTGAGATCCAGGTGTGGGCAGGGCTGGTTCCTCCTGAGGCCCCTCTCCTGGGCTTGGAGACGCCGTCTTCTCCCTGTGCCCTCACAGGGTCGTCCCTCTGTGTGTGTCTGTGTCCTCATCTCCTCTTCTTATGAGATGTCTTAGTCCATCTCAGGCTGCTGTCACAGAATACCAGAGGCTGGGCGGCTTAGAAACAAAACACATTGATTCTCCCACAGCCCTGGAGGCTGGAGGTCTGAGATCCAGGTGTGGGCAGTGCTGGTTCCTCCTGAGGCCCCTCTCCTGGGCTTGGAGACGCCGTCTTCTCCCTGTGCCCTCACAGGGTCGTCCCTCTGTGTGTGTCTGTGTCCTCGTCTCTTCTTATGAGATGGCTTAGTCCATCTCAGGCTGCTGTCACAGAATACCAGAGGCTGGGCGGCTTAGAAACAAAACACATTGATTCTCCCACAGCCCTGGAGGCTGGAGGTCTGAGATCCAGGTGTGGGCAGTGCTGGTTCCTCCTGAGGCCCCTCTCCTGGGCTTGGAGACGCCGTCTTCTCCCTGTGTCCCACAGGGTCGTCCCTCTGTGTGTGTCTGTGTCCTCATCTCCTCTTCTTATAAGGACCCCAGTCCTGTTAGATTAGGGCCCACCCTAATGACCTCATTTTACCTTAATCGCCTCTTTAAACACCCCAACTCCAAACACAGTCACATTCTGAGGTCCTGGGGGATCAAAGCTTCAACACACGAATTTTGAGGGAACACAATTCAAGCGATTCTCCTGCCTCAGCCTCCCTGGTAGCTGAGGTTACAGGCTTAAGCCACAGCACCTGACCTAATTTTTCTATTTTTAGTAGAGACAGGGTTTTTCCATGTTGGTCAGGCTGGTCTCGAACTCCTGACCTCAGGTGATCTACCCACCTCAGCCTCCCAAAGTGCTGGGATGGCAGGCATGAGTCACCGTGCCCGGCCAGAAGTTCTACTCTGAGGCGATCCTTTTGTTTTGTTGTTGAGATGGAGTCTCGCTCTTGTCGCCCAGGCTGGATGGAGCACAGTGGCGCGATCTCGGCTCACTGCAACCTCCGCCTCCCGGGTTCACGCCATTCTCCTGCCTCAGCCTCCCGAGTAGCTGGGACTACAGGCGCCCATCACCACGCCTGGCTAATTTGTTACATTTTTTGTAGAGACCGGGTTTCACCGTGTTAGCCGGGATGGTCTCGATCTCCTGACCTTGTGATCCGCCCGCCTCGGTCTTTATTACAAGGCCCAGGGGGTGTCTGTCAGTGGGACGACCTTGTTTCCCCTCCACGTCTCCTCTCGTGAGTAAGAGCAAGCTGTGAGTTCACCGTCGGGTTCAGGGTCCTTTTTGGGGTCACAGAAACTGGGGGAGTGAATCTCCTCTCCTTTGCAGGAGAGGAGTGTTTCCGTGACCCAGGATGGCGCACCCCGCTCACCCCGCGCACCCCGCTCACCCGGCGCACCCCGCTCAGCCCGCGCACCCCGCTCACCCGGCGCACCCCGCTCACCCCGCGCACCCCGCTCACCCGGCGCACCCCGCTCACCCCGCGCACCCGGCTCACCCCGCGCACCCCGCTCACCCCGCGCACCCGGCTCACCCCGCGCACCCGGCTCACCCGGCGCACCCCGCTCACCCCGCGCACCCCGCTCACCCCGCGCACCCGGCTCACCCCGCTCACCCCGCGCACCCGGCGCACCCCGCGCACCCGGCTCACGCCGCGCACCCCGCGCACCCCGCGCACCCGGCTCACCCCGCGCACCCGGCTCACCCCGCGCACCCCGCTCACCCCGCGCACCCCGCTCACCCCGCGCACCCGGCTCACCCCGCGCACCCCGCGCACCCGGCTCACCCCGCGCACCCCGCTCACCCCGCGCACCCGGCTCACCCCGCGCACCCCGCTCACCCGGCTCACCCCGCTCACCCCGCGCACCCGGCTCACCCCGCGCACCCCGCGCACCCCGCGCACCCCGCTCACCCCGCGCACCCGGCTCACCCCGCGCACCCGGCGCACCCCGCGCACCCCGCGCACCCGGCTCACCCCGCTCACCCCGCTCACCCGGCGCACCCCGCTCACCCCGCGCACCCGGCTCACCCCGCGCACCCCGCTCACCCCGCGCACCCGGCTCACCCCGCGCACCCCGCTCACCCCGCGCACCCGGCTCACCCCGCTCACCCCGCGCACCCGGCTCACCCCGCTCACCCCGCGCACCCGGCTCACCCCGCGCACCCCGCGCACCCCGCGCACCCCGCTCACCCCGCGCACCCGGCTCACCCCGCGCACCCGGCGCACCCCGCGCACCCCGCGCACCCCGCGCACCCGGCTCACCCCGCGCACCCCGCTCACCCCGCGCACCCGGCTCACCCCGCGCACCCCGCTCACCCCGCGCACCCCGCTCACCCCGCGCACCCGGCTCACGCCGCGCACCCCGCGCACCCCGCTCACCCCGCGCACCCCGCGCACCCCGCGCACCCCGCTCACCCCGCGCACCCCGCGCACCCGGCTCACGCCGCGCACCCCGCGCACCCCGCTCACTCCGCGCACCCCGCTCACCCCGCGCACCCGGCTCACCCCGCGCACCCCGCTCACCCGGGGCACCCGGCTCACCCCGCTCACCCCGCGCACCCGGCTCACCCCGCGCACCCCGCTCACCCCGCGCACCGCGCACCCCGCTCACCCCGCTCACCCGGCTCACCCCGCGCACCCGGCTCACCCCGCGCACCCGGCTCACCGGGCTCACCCCGCGCACCCCGCTCACCCGGGGCACCCGGCTCACCCCGCTCACCCCGCTCACCCCGCGCACCCGGCTCACCCCGCGCACCCCGCTCACCCCGCGCACCCCGCTCACCCCGCGCACCCCGCTCACCCCGCGCACCCGGCTCACCCCGCGCACCCCGCTCACCCCGCGCACCCGGCTCACCCCGCGCACCCGGCTCACCCGGCTCACCCCGCGCACCCCGCTCACCCCGCGCACCCGGCTCACCCGGCTCACCCCGCGCACCCGGCTCACCCCGCGCACCCCGCTCACCCCGCGCACCCCGCTCACCCCGCGCACCCGGCTCACGCCGCGCACCCCGCGCACCCCGCTCACCCCGCGCACCCCGCGCACCCCGCGCACCCCGCTCACCCCGCGCACCCCGCGCACCCGGCTCACGCCGCGCACCCCGCGCACCCCGCTCACCCCGCGCACCCCGCTCACCCCGCGCACCCGGCTCACCCCGCGCACCCCGCTCACCCGGGGCACCCGGCTCACCCCGCTCACCCCGCGCACCCGGCTCACCCCGCGCACCCCGCTCACCCCGCGCACCGCGCACCCCGCACCCCGCTCACCCCGCTCACCCGGCTCACCCCGCGCACCCGGCTCACCCCGCGCACCCGGCTCACCCCGCGCACCCCGCTCACCCCGCTCACCCCGCGCACCCGGCTCACCCCGCGCACCCCGCTCACCCGGGGCACCCGGCTCACCCCGCTCACCCCGCTCACCCCGCGCACCCGGCTCACCCCGCGCACCCCGCTCACCCCGCGCACCCCGCTCACCCCGCGCACCCGGCTCACCCCGCGCACCCCGCTCACCCCGCGCACCCCGCTCACCCCGCGCACCCGGCTCACCCCGCGCACCCGGCTCACCCGGCTCACCCGGCTCACCCCGCTCACCCCGCTCACCCCGCGCACCCGGCTCACCCCGCTCACCCCGCGCACCCGGCTCACCCCGCGCACCCCGCTCACCCCGCTCACCCCGCGCACCCCGCTCACCCGGCTCACCCCGCGCACCCGGCTCACCCCGCTCACCCCGCGCACCCCGCTCACCCCGCTCACCCCGCGCACCCCGCTCACCCCGCTCACCCCGCTCACCCCGCTCACCCCGCGCAGCCGGCTCACCCCGCGCACCCGGCTCACCCCGCTCACCCCGCTCACCCCGCGCACCCCGCTCACCCCGCGCAC
Source organism: Homo sapiens (assembly GCF_000001405.40). Taxonomy (NCBI): domain Eukaryota; kingdom Metazoa; phylum Chordata; class Mammalia; order Primates; family Hominidae; genus Homo; species Homo sapiens. Next base: position 1,365,315 of record NC_000024.10, on the reverse strand, counting down.
CCCGCTCACCCCGCGCACCCCGCTCACCCCGCTCACCCCGCGCACCCCGCACAGCCCACTCACCGAAGCGCTGGGGGGTGCTCCAGGCGCTCAAGAATTCATACACTCTTTCCCGGGCTCTTATTTGTACTGTGTACGTTCCAGGATTGAGTAGCTGGAAGGAGGTTCTGTCTCTGACCTGTGGTTTGAAAGAAAATAAAGAAGAGGGGCCAGGTATGGTGGCTCATGACTCTCACCTGGGCACTTAGGGAGGCCAAGGCAGGTGGATCACCTGAGGTCAGGAGTTCGAGACCAGCCTGGCCAACATGGTGAAACCCTGTCTCTACTAAAAATACAAAAATTAGCCTGGCATGGTGGCAGGCACCTGTAATCCCAGCTACTCAGGAGGCTGAGGCAGGAGAATAGCTTAAACCTGAGAGGTGGAGGTTGCAGTGAGGCGAGATGGCACCACTGCACTGCAGCCTGGGCAACAGAGTGAGACTCTGTCTCTAAATAAATAAATAAATAAATAAATAAATAAATAAAAGAAGAAAAGAGGGGCTGGGTGCTACGGTTTATGCCTCTCACCACAGCACTTTTGGAGGCTGAGGTGGGAGAATTCCTTAAGCCCAGGAGTTTGACACCAGCCTGGGCAACATAGCAAGACCCCATCTTTACCAAAAAAAAAAAACTGTAAAAATTACCAGACGTGGTGACACATGTCTTTGGTCCCAGCTACCAGGGAGGCTGAGGTGGGGGGATACCTCGAGCTTAGGAGTTTGAGACCAGCCTGGGCAACAAACCAAGACCCCATCTCTAGAAGAAAATTTGTTTTGTTTTGTTTTGAGACAGAGTTTCACTCTTGTTGCCCAGGCTGGAGTGCAGTGGCACCAACTCGGCTCACCGCAACCTCCGCCTCCCAGATTCAAGCGATTCTCCTGCCTCAGCCTCCCGAGTAGCTGGGATTACAGGCGCCCACCACCACGCTCGGTTAATTTTGTATTTTTAGTAGAGTCGGGGTTTCTCCATGTTGGTCAGGCTGGTCTCGAACTCCCAACCTCCGGTGATCCACCCGCCTCAGCCTCCCAAAGTGCTGGGATTACCAGTGTGAGCCACCACGTCCAGCCAAAAAAAAATTTTTTTTTTTTTGAGATGGAGTCTCACTCTGTCCCCCAGGCTGGAGTGCAGTGGCGTGATCTCGGCTCACTGCAAGCTCCGCTTCCCGGGTTCATGCCATTCTCCTGCCTCAGCCTCCCGAGTAGCTGGGACTACAGGCACCCGCTACCATGCCCAGCTAATTTTTTGTATTTTTTTTTTTAGTAGAGACAGGGTTTCACCATGTTAGCCAGGATGGTCTTGATTTCCTGACCTCATGATCCACCCGCCTCGGCCTCCCAAAGGGCTGGGATTACCAGCGTGAGCCACCGCGCCCAGCCAAATTTTTTTTTAAATGAGCTGACCTGGTGGCAAACGCCTGTAGTTTCAGCTACTTGGGGGGCTGAGGCAGGAGGATCCCTTGAGCCCAGGAGGCAGAGATTGCAGTGAGCCGTGACTGTGCCACTGCACTCTAGCGTGGGTGACAGAGTGAGAGCCTGTCTGAAATTAAAAACCAAACAAAAAAGTAGAAGAAAAGACCATTCATATTTGATGGGTACAAAAGAATGAGTCTGCATTGTGATCCCCCAAAATTCATATGTTGCAGTCTTAGCCCCCAGCTCCTTACAGTGGGGCCTTATGATGAAATAGCTCGGCCAGGCGCGGTGGCTCACGCCTGTAATCCCAGCACTTTGGAGGGCCAAGGCGGGCAGATCACAAGGTCAGGAGATCGAGACCACAGTGAAACCCCGTCTCTACTAAAAATACAAAAAATTAGCCGGGCCCGGTGGCGGGCGCCTGAGGTCCCAGCTACTCAGGAGGCTGAGGCAGGAGAGTGGCGGGAACCCGGGAGGCGGAGCTTGCAGTGAGCCGAGATTGCGCCACTGCACTCCAGCCTGGGTGACAGAGCGAGACTCCGTCTCAAAAAAAAAAAAAAAAGAAGAAAAGACCATTCATATTTGATGGGTACAAAAGAATGAGGCTGCATTGTGATCCCCCAAAATTCATATGTTGCAGTCTTAGCCCCCAGCACCTTACAATGGGGCCTTATGATGAAATACCTGTTCATGGCAGATGTCGTTAAGATATAGATTGAGATGATGTCATTTTGGATCAGGGGGGGCCCTAAATGCAATGACCAATATCCTTATAAGAAGAGGAGACGTGGCCGGGCGCGGTGGCTGACACCTGTAATCCCAGCACTTTGGGAGGCTGAGGTGGGTAGATCACCTGAGGTCAGGAGTTCGAGGTCAACCTGAGCAACAAGGTAAAATCCCATCTTTACTAATAATACAAAAATTAGCCAGGCGTGGTGGTGTGCACCTGTAGTCCCAGCTACTCGGGAGGCTGAGGCAGGGGAATCGCTTGAACCTGGGAGGCGGAGGTTGCAGTGAGCTGAGATCGCACCACTGCACTCCAGCCTGGGTGACAGAGCGAGACTCTGTCTCAAAATAAATAAATAAATAAATAAAAAGGAGACACGGATGCAGAGGAGAAGGCCATGTGGAGACGGAGGCAGAGAGTGGAGTGATATGGCCACAAGCCCAGGGACCCCAGAGTCCCCAGGAGCTGGGAGAAGCGGGAAGGATCCTCATTAGTCCATGAAAATGGACTAATACAGGAGGACGGAGATAGAAACAGACAGGGAGAGACAGAGAGAGAGAAAGAGATACAAAGAGACACAGAGAGGGGAGACAGAGAGAGGGAGAGAGAAAAACAGAGACAGAAAAACAGACATAGACAGAGATAGTGGGTGATGGACAGAGAGAGACAGATAGAAACAGAGAGAGACAGAGATACAAAGAGACACAGAGAAGGGAGACAGAGGGAAAAAGAAAGAAAAACAGAAACAGACAGAGACAAAGAGACAGAGTAGGTGATGGACAGAGAGAGACAGAGATAGAAACAGACAGGGAGAGACGGAGATACAAAGAGACACAGAGAGGGGAGACAGAGAGGGAAAGAGAAAAAGAGACAGAAAAACAGAGAGACATAGACAAAGACAGACAGAGTGGGTGATGGACAGAGAGAGAGACAGAAACGGAGAGACAGAAAGACATAGATACAAAGAGAGAGGGAAAGAGAAAAACAGAAAAACAGAAACAGAGAGACATAGAGAGACAAAGAGACAGAGTGGGTGATGGACAGAGAGAGACAGAGATAGAAACGGAGACAGAGAGAGAGAGACAGAGATACAAAGAGACAGAGAGAGGGAAAGAAAAACAGAGACAGAGAGGAAAACAGAAGCAGAGAGACAGAGAGAGTGGGTGATGTAGTTTGGCTGTGTCCCCACCCAAATCTCATCTTGAATTGTAGCCCTTATAACTCCCACGTGTTGTGAGAGGGACTGGGTAGGACATAACTGAATCATGGGGGCAGTTTCCCCCCACACTGTTCTCGGGGTAGTGAATAAGTCTCACGAGATCTAATGGTTTAATAAGGGAAACCTTTCTCTCGGCTCTCATTTTTTTTTTTTTTTTTTTTTTCTCGAGACGGAGTCTCACTCTGTCACCCAGGCTGGAGTGCAGTGGCGCGATCTCAACTCACTGCAACCTCTGCCTCCCGGGTTCAAGCGATTCTCCTGCTTCAGCCTCCCGAGTAGCTGGGACCACAGGCGCCTGCCACCACCACGTCTGGGTAATTTTTTTTATTTTTAGTAGAGCTAGGTTTCACCATGTTGGCCAGGCTGGTCTTGAACTCCTGACCTCGTGGTCCACCCACCTCGTCCTCCCAAGGTGCTGTGATTACAGGCATGAGTCACTGCGCCCGGCGACTGTCTCATTCTGTCTTGCCCGCTGACATGTAAGACATGCCTTTCCTCCTCCTTCACCTTCTGCCGTGATCGTGAGGCCTCCCCAGCCACATGGAACTGTGAGTCCAGGAACCCTCTTTTGTTTATAAATTACCCAGTCTTGGGTATATGTTTATCAGCAGTGTGACAATGGACTAATACAGGGGGACAGACAGACAGAGGCAGAGAAAGAAAGAGACAATCACAGAGAAATAATGGGAGAGAGAAAGGGAGAGACATAGAGACAGGGGAATGGAGAGAGAGAGAGGGGAAGGGAGAGAGAGACAGAGAAGGAAAGGGAGAGAGAGACAGAGAGGGGAAGGGAGAGAGAGACAGAGAGGGGAAGGGAGAGAGAGACAGAGAGGGGAAGGGAGAGAGAGACAGAGAGGGGAAGGGAGAGAGAGACAGAGAGGGGAAGGGAGAGAGAGACAGAGGGGAAGGGAGAGAGAGACAGAGAGGGGAAGGGAGAGAGAGACAGAGAGGGGAAGGGAGAGAGAGACAGAGGGGAAGGGAGAGAGAGACAGAGAGGGGAAGGGAGAGAGAGACAGAGAGGGGAAGGGAGAGAGAGACAGAGAGGGGAAGGGAGAGAGAGACAGGGAGAGAGCTAGAAAGATAAAGAGAGGGGCCGGGCACGGTGGCTCACACCTGTAATTCCAGCACTTTGAGAGGATGAGGCAGGTGGATCGCCTGAGGTCAGGAGTTCGAGACCAGCCTGGCCCACTAGTGAAACCCTGTCTCTACTAAAAATACAAAAAAAAAAAAAAGTTAGTTGGGCATGGTGGCGAGTGCCTGTAATCCCAGCTACTTGGGAGGCTGAGGGAGTAGATTCGCTTGAACCTGGGAGGCGGAGGTTGCAGTGAGCCGAGATCGTGCCATCGCACTCCAGCCTGGGCAACAAGAGAAAAACTCCGTTTCAAAAAGAAAGATGAAGAGAGGGAAGGAGAAAGGGAGAGAGATACAGAGATACAGAGAGACTGGGAGAGGGGGAGATATAGACAAGGAGAGAGATAGAGAAAGAGAGGGAGAATGAAAGAGGGAGAGACAGAGACACAGATTTGGACAGTGGGAGATAGAGGCAGAGAGAGAGAGAGAGATAAAGAGAGGGAGGGAGAAAGGGAGAGAGATACAGAGACAGACACAGAGAGACAGGGAGAGGGGGAGATAGAGACCAGGAGAGAGAGAGAAAGATGGAGGGAGAAAGGGAGAGAGATACAGAGACAGACACAGAGAAAGAGATGGGGAGGGAGGAAATAGAGACCGGGAGAGAGAGAGAAAGATGGAGGGAGGGAGAAAGGGAGAGAGACACAGAGACAGACACGGAGAAAGAGACGGGGAGAGGGGGAGATAGAGACCGGGAGAGAGAGAGAAAGATGGAGGGAGAAAGGGAGAGAGATACAGAGACAGACAGAGAGAGAGAGATGGGGAGAAGGGAAGATAGAGACCGGGGGAGAGAGAGAAAGATGGAGGGAGAAAGGGAGAGAGATACAGAGACAGACACGGAGAAACAGACAGGGACAGTGGGAGATAGACACAGGGAGAGACAGAGAGATGGAGGGAGAAATGGAGAAGGTTACAGAGACAGACACAGAGAAAGAGATGGGGAGGGGGGAGACAGAGACCAGGAGAGAGAGAGAGAGAGAGAAAGAGAGGGAGGGAGAATAAAAGAGGGAGGGAGAATGAGAGAGGGAGAGACAGAGACACAGAGAGAGAGATGGGAACGGGGAGAGAGAGACAGGGAGAGAGAGATGGAGGGAGAAAGGGAGAAAGATAGAGACAGACACGGAGCGGGAGATAGAGACAGGGAGAGAAAGATAGAGAGAGGGAAGGAGAATGAGAGAGGGAGGGAAAGAGACACAGAGAGAGATGGGGACAGGGAGAGATAGACACAGGGAGAGAGCCAGAAAGATAGAGGGAGGGAAAAAGGGAGGGAGATACAGAGAGGGGGAGGGAGATAGAGACGAGAGAGAGAGAAAGAGAGGGAGGGAGAAAGGCAGAGAGATTCAGAGACAGAGAAAGAGATACGGGGAAAGAGATGGACAGAGAGAGAGGGGACAGAGAATGCTGTGGTCCGGCTGTCTGTTCCTGCAGATCCCAGGCAGGGGCTGGGGGAGGGTCCTCTGTCTGAGGTCTGGGCCACCTGTCTGAATGCTTGTCTCTGCTGGGTGGAGCTATGGTTTGGTAGCTTGTTCCTGCTGGACTGGGGCTGCCTGGCCCAGGGTAAGGAATCTGGGGCAAATGGGTGGACCTCGTTTGGACAGCACCTGGCCAGCCATAGCATCTGGCTCTCACACCTTGGGAGGTGTCATCCCTGACTCTTCCTTTTCCCATCCCTCAATTTGGGGATGTGAAATATCCCAATTTTGCAAGATCGCAGTAAGGGTGACACTCAAGAGTCTGTCCAATGAAAGTCACTGAACATTGAATAATAACATTTATTATTAATAATATTTTCATTATTTTATTAATAAGAATTATTAATATTTTTTATCATTTTATTCTTAATAATAATAAAACTCACCCTTTGCAATGTCAAGTACAGCGGCTGGGGGTAGGGAACACTCACCTGTTCTGTGATTACAGGCTGCATTCTCTGCAACACAAAAGCAAGCAAACTTTTGAGTGTCTGGACCGTCCCTGAAAGCCTCCTCCTCCCAAACTCAAATTTCTCCCTCCAGGAAAACCAGCAAAACAGTGAGGGCTCTGGGAAGGCCTTCGGGCAGCAGTGGGGGCAAAATAATGAGCTTAGGAGTAAATAGCACCTGACCAAAAGGTTTGTTTGTTTATTTATTTATGAGACGGAGTCTCACTCCGTCACCCAGGCTGGAATGCAGTGGCGTGATCTCGGCTCACTGCAACCTCCGCCTCCCGGATTCAAGTGATTCTTTTGCCTCAGTCTCCCGAGTAGCTGGGACTACAGGTGCGTGCCACCACGCCTGGCTAATTTTTTGTATTTTTAGTGGAAACAAAGTTTCACCATGTTGGCCAGGATGGTCTTGATCTCTTGACCTCATGATCTGCCCACCTCGGCCTCCCAAAGTGCTGGGATTACAGGCATGCCCCATCGCGCCTGGCCCAAAAGGTTTCTTATGGGCCACTGTGGCAAGACCTTGGTGGGAGGGGGCTTTGTGAGGCCGGTGGACAAACAAGACCCACCGTCCTCCCAGACTGTGTCCAGATGCACTCAGGGGTAGCCACAGACAGCCTATGCCAGGCCAGCGAACTAGGTAGGGGGTGCAACATCAGACTAGCTACGACTCTGCCTGTGGCTGCAGCTATGCCTGCTCCCTCAAATCAGTGAAAGAAAGAAGTCTGTGCTGTATTTATTTTCTTTTTTTTTTTTTCTCCTGAGACGGAGTCTCACTCTGTTGCCCAGGATGGAGTGCAGTGGCACAATCTCAGCTCGCTGCAAGCTCCGCCTTCTGGGTTTACGCCATTCTCCTGCCTCAGCCTCCCAAGTAGCTGGGACTACAGGCGCCCGCCACCACGCCCAGCTAATTTTTTTTTGTATTTTTAGTAGAGACGGGGTTTTACCATGTTAGCCAGGATGGTCTCTATCTCCTGACCTCGTGATCGTCCTGCCTCGGCCTCCCAAAGTGCTGGGATTACAGGCGTAAGCTACTGCACCCAGCCATTTATTTTCTTAAAAAAAAAAAAAACCCAAACAGATTGGCTAAAAAACACTTGGTAATATAAAAGAAATTAATAGACCTAACGTTTTTTAGCAGATTTAGACTTACAGAAAAATTGCATATGAAATAATTAGTATTTGAGCATAAATAATAAATATATGGCGGGGCACAGTGCCTCACGCCTGTAATCCCAGCACTTTGGGAAGCTGAGGCGGGTGGATCATGAGGTCAGGAGTTCAAGACCAGCCAGGACAAGATGGTGAAACCCCATCTCTACTAAAAATACAAAAAAAAATTAGCCAGGCATGGTGGCAGGTGCCTGTAATTCCAGCTACTCAGGAGGCTGAAGCTGAGAATTGGTTGAACCCGAGAGGCGGAGGTTACAGTGAGCTGAGATCATGCCACTGCACCCCAGCCTGGGCAACAGAGCAGGACTCCGTCTCAAAAATAATAAACAAACAAACAAACAAACAAACAGCTTGGGTGACAGAGCAGGACTCCGTCTCAAAAATAAATAAATAAATAATAAAATACAATAAAATAAAATACAAACTAAATATAACACATAGGCTGCGCACGAAGGCTCACACCTGTAATCCCAGCACTTTGGGAGGCCGAGGCGGGTGGATCACCTGAGGTCAGGAGTTTGAGACCAGCCTGGCCAACATGATGAAACTCTGTTTCTACTAAAAATACAAAAACTTAGCTGGGTGTGGTGATGGGTGCCCATAATCCCAGCTACTCGGGAGGCTGAGGCAGGAGAATCACTTGAACCCGGGAGGCAGAGGTTGCAGTGAGTCAAGATTTAAGCCACTGCACTCCAGTCTGGGCTACAGAGCCAGAGTGGCTCAATAAATAAATCAATATTTATGTTCAACTGATCCAACGAACTGTGGATCAAAAATATCTGGGAAGCTTGCATTGAATCTGTAGATCACTACAAAAGAAAAAAGAAAGTTCAAGAAAAAATTAAAAAACCACATAACAATAGAAATAATAAAAATAAAAAACAACAGACCACATACAGTCTCAAACTTTTTTTTTTTTTTTGAGACGGAGTCTCGCTCTGTCGCCCAGGCTGGAGTGCAATGGCGCGATCTCGGCTCACTGCAACCCCCACCTCCTGGGTTCAAGCAATTCTCCTGCCTCGGCCTCCCCAGTAGCTGGAACTACAAGACCGTGCCACCACGCCCAGCTAATTTTTTTTCGTATTTTTAGTAGAGACGGGGTTTCACCGCGTTAGCCAGGATGGTCTCGATCTCCTGACCTTGTGATCCACCTGCCTCAGCCTCCCAAAGTGCTGGGATGACAGGCGTGAGCCACAGCGCCCGGCCTTTTGTTTTTGTTTTTGTTTTTTAATGATCCATGCCTTCTGTGACGTTATCAGAGGAGATTGTTGCCCGTTTCAAGGCCCCAGAGTGCGACTTACCAAAAATAAGGGATGTCCACGGGGGTGGGGGGGCTGGGGGCGGGGTGAAAGTTTACCTTTTGTATCTGAAGCTCATAGCGAAATTTGCGATTGAAATGACTTCTCATTTTCCAGTGCATAAAGGAATGTGTCTTATTACACTTTGCAGTCATGTTGGGTGGAGTTAATATCTCTAGCAACGAGAAAAACACTTTTAGGATTTAGGAGTACAAGAAATCAATTCTTTTTCTTTTTCTCTTTTTTTTTCTGGAGATACTTCAAATTACTTCTCCTATGCATTTGGAGAGCGGGAGAGAAAAACACCAGGAAGGAAGAGGGAACAAAGAAACTCTACAGGCAGAGACACAGGACTGAGCCGCGTTGGGGGCACTGGGAGGAGTGAGCCTTGGGGTTGCACCCTCGGAGCCCCACTGTCCTGGGAGCAGCCTTCAGAACCACCCTTTTGTTCTCTGAAGTACCAGGCGTTCAGCTTTTCCAAGGACTGGCAGCTGCACATCTTTGTCCCTGCCCCTTCCATCTCTAGGCTCAGCCCCGCTGGGCAGCCTGGCCCACTCCCCACCCCTGCCCAGGGCCAACCCCTACTTCCCATGCCCCCTCTGCCCACCTGCAGCACACTGGAGCCTTGGAGGCCCTCTCTGCATCATTCAAGATGCAGACTCCTACACTTTGACCTGCACACATCCTCCTGAAGCTTCCACTTCCTGGCCCCTGCCTGGCTTCTCACCTCCCCCACCTCCGCCCCCCAGGGGATGTGCCGCCTCTCCCAGTGGCCCAGGACATCCTCCACTTCCCGGGAACCCCAGGCACTTCCACATCCTCAGGTGTGACCCGACTACCAGCCCAGCCCTGTGTGTCCGGCTGCCTGGCTGGGTCTCCCCTGGGCCCCTGGAAGGAAGTCCAGCCCTGGCCCCCTCCTCCTCCTCCCCCTCCTCCTACCCTCCTGGTCTTTCTCCCCTCCCCTCCCCTCCCCTCCTCCCCCTCCGCTCCTACTCTTCCTCTCTCTCCTTTTTCTACCACTCCTCTCTCCTCCCCATTCTCCTTGTCACCCTCCTCCTCCACTCTCCTTTCTCCTCCTCCCCTCCTGCCCCTCCTCCTTTTTCCTCCCCCTCCTGCTCCTCTTCCTCCATCCTCTCCCCTCCTTCTCCCTCCTTCCTCCTCCCCCTCCACCCTCCTCCCCCTCCACCCTCCTCCCCCTCCACCCTCCTCCCCCTCCTTCCTCCTCCCCCTCCTTTTCTTCCCTCTCCTCCTCCCTGCCCATTCTCCTCCTCCTCCTCCTCCTCTCCTCCCGCTCCTTCTTCCTCCTGCCCCTCCTTTTTCCTCCCCCTCCTGCTCGCCTTCCTCCATCTGCTCCCCTTCCTCCATCCTCTCCCCCTCCTTCTCCCTCCTCCCTCCTCCTCTCTCCCCTCCTCCCCCTTCCTCCCCCCAGTCCTCCTCTCTCCTCCTCCCCCTCCTTCTCCCTCCCCACCTCACCACCCTTCTACCCCACCTTCTCTATCCTCCCCTTCCTCCTCCTCACCTCCTTCTCTTCCCTCCCCCGCCTCCTCCTCCTCTCCATTCTCCTCCCTCTCTCCTTCACCCTCTTCCTCCTCCACCCTCTCCTCCTCCTTTCTTCCTCTTCTTTCTTCTCCTCCTCCTGCTCCTTCTCTCCCCATCTCCACCTCCTCCCCCTCCTTTCCCTCCATTTTCTTCTCTTCCTCCCCCTCCTGTTTTCTTCTCTTCCTCCTCTTCCTCCCCTCCCCATCTCCACCTCCTCCCCCTCCTCTTTCTCCATTTTCTCTTCCTCCTCCTCCTCCCCCTCCTCTTTCTCCGTTTTCTTCTCTTCCTCCTCTTCCTTCCCTCTCCATCTCTACCTCCTCCCCCTCCTTTTCCTCTGTTTCTTTTCCTTCTCCTCCTCCTCCCCCTGCTCATGTTCTTCCTCTCCTCCCTTCTCTTCTCCTTGTCCTTCTCCTCCTCTTCCTCGTTTCCCCCTCCTCTTCTGAAGCATCCGAGCACCCTGCCCTTGGGTTCAGGGCACGTCAGCTCTGGGCATATTGACATTCTCACCACCTGGGAGGTTCCTCGGAGCTCGGGTATCGTGGACTGAAAGTGTGTGTCCTTCTGTCCCAAATTCCTCCACTGAAGCTCTAACCCCTGGTTGGGCGGTGTTAGAAGGTGGGGTCTTTGGGAGGTGACTGGCGTGGGCTGAAGTTATGAGGGTGGACCCCCATGATGGGGGCTCCCGTGACCCATGATGGGACCCATGACCCATGATGGGGGCTCCCATGACCCATGATGGGACCCATGACCCATGATGAGGGATTCCATGACTCATGATGGGGGCTCCCATGACCCATGGTGGGACCCATGGCCCATGATGAGACCCATGATGAGGGATTCCATGACTCACAATGGGGGCTCCCATGACCCATGATGGGGGTGGGGGTCCCACGACCCATGATGGGGGGGGGGGTCCCATGACCCATGATGGAACCCATGATGAGGGATCCCATGACTCATGATGGAATCCATGATAGGGGATCCTATGACCCATGATGAAACCCATGATGGGGGTTCCCATGACCCATGATGGAACCCGTGATGGGGGGGGTCCCATGACCCATGATGGAACCCATGATAGGGGATCCTATGACCCATGATGAAACCCATGATGGGGGTTCCCATGACCCATGATGGAACCCATGATTGGGGGGGGTCCCATGACCCGTGATGGAACCCATGATGGGGGGGGTCCCATGACCCGTGATGGAACCCATGATGGGGGGGGTCCCATGACCCATGATGGGACCTATGATGGGGGATCCCATGTGGAACCCATGATGGGACCTATGATGGGGGATCCTATGACCCATGATGGAACCAATGATGAGGGATCCCATGTGGAACCCATGATGGGGGGTCCCATGACTCATGATGGAACCCATGATGGGGAATTCTATGACCCATAATGGGACCCATGATGGAGGTTCCCATGACCCATGATGGAATCCATGATGGGGGTCCTATGACCCATGATGAAACCCATGATGAGGGATCCCATGACTCATGATGGGACCCATGATGGGGGGGTCCCATGACCCATGATGGAATCCATGATAGGGGGTCCCATGACCCATGATGGAATCCATGATAAGGGATCCCATGACTCATGGTGGAACCCATGATGGGGGGGTCCTATTACCCATGATGGAACCCATGATGGGGGGTCCCATGACCCATGATGGAACCCACGATGAGGGATCCCATGACTCATGGTGGAACCCATGATGGGGGGTGTCCCATGACCCATGATGGAACCCATGATAGGGGGTCCTATGACCAATGATGGGACCCATGATGGGGGTTCCCATGACCCATGATGGAATCCATGATAGGGGGTTCTATGACTCATGATGAAACCCATGATGGGGGATCCTATGAACCATGATGGGACCCATGATGGGGGTTCCCATGACCCATGATGGAATCCATGATAGGGGGTTCTATGACTCATGATGAAACCCATCATGGGGGATTCTATGACCCATGATGGGACCCATGATGGAACCCATGATGGGGGGTCCCATGACCCATGGTGAGGGATCCTATGACCCATGATGGGACCCATGATGGTGTTAGTGCCCTTCTAACAAGAGACCCCAGAACTTCATCTCTCTCTCTCTCTACACCACGTGAAGACACAGTGAGAAGATGACCCTCTCTCCAAGCCAGGAAGAGACCTCCCGAGGAGCCCAGCCAGCCAGCACGCTGACCTCCAACGTCCAGCCTCTGGAAATGTGAGAGGCCAACGTCTGCGTTGGGAGCCACGTGGTCCCGTGGGATCTGGCCTGGCGCTAAAGCCGTGGTATCACAGAACTGAGGGTGGGAGGGAGTGTCCCGGGCTACTCACCAATCTGTGAAAAGACGACAAACTTATCTGTGCAGGGGATACCGAAGGCTGCGCTCCTGCCCCGCACCAGGATGTGGGAACTTTGAGAACCGCTGGAGAGTCGAGAGATGTCATCGAAACGACACCCGATACGTGTTCCCTGAGCATCCGTTTTGTAGTGAAGACACTCGTACTGTTGACGCCTGCTGCGGTAAGCGGTAAGGTTGGGGGACGACCCCACGCCGATGGCACCCGCACCAGGGACAGCCCGGCCTCTGCCCACGGGCACACCTACTTGGCAACGTTCAAGTACAGGTCGTACTGGACGTCCGCGGGGGCCCCCGGGCCTACCGCCCAGCTGCAGCTCAAGAAATCCACGTCATGAATCCAGCAGGTCAGATTCTCCGCACCTGCCCAAGGCTTCCCACCTGGGTTCACAAACATGAAAGAGAACTCGAATCGGGACCGGGCGCGGTGGCTCACGCCTGTCACCCCAGCATTTTGGGAGGCCGAGGCGGGTGGATCACATGAGGTCAGGAGTTCGAGACCAGCCTGGCCAACATGGAGAAACCCAATCTCTACTAAAAATGCAAAAATTAGCTGTGTCTGGTGGCACGCGCCTGTGATCCCAGCACTTTGGGAGGCCGAGGCAGGTGGATCACCCGAGGTCCGGAGTTCGAGACCAGCCTGGCTAACATGGTGAAACCCAGTCTCTACTAAAAATATAAAAAATTAGCCAGGTGTGATGTCGGGCCGCTGTAATCCCAGCTACTCGGGAGGCTGAGGCAGGAGAATTTCTTGAACCCAGGAGGCAGAGGTTGCATGGAGCTGAGATCACGCCACTGCACTCCAGCCTGGGCGACAGAGTGAGCCTTCGTCTCAAAAAAATAAAAAAACAAACCCAGGCATGGTGGCTCACGCCTGTAATCCCAGCACTTTGGGAGGCCGAGGCAGGAGGATCACCTGAGGTCCGGAGTTCGAGACCGGCCTGGCTAACATGGTGAAACCCTGCCTCTACTAAAAATACAAAAATTAGCCGGGCGTGATGTCGGGCCGCTGTAATCCCAGCTACTAGGGAGGCTGAGGCAGGAGAATTTCTTGAACCCAGGAGGCAGAGGTTGCAGTGAGCCCAGGCCACGTCACTGCACTCCAGCCTGTGTGACAAGAGCGAGACTCCGTCTCAAAAAAAAAAATAAAACTCTAATTCCTTTTTAGAGTGCCTTTTGTATTTTGAGACCATGGTAGATACACAAGCCGTTGTAAAAAATAATAATAATATGGAGAGATCCTGCATATTCTTTTAATGATTTATTTATTCATTTTTACAGAGTCTCGCTCCGTCGCCTAGGCTGGAGTACAATGGCGCCATCTCGGCTCACTGCAACCTCCACCTCCCGGGTTCAAGCAATTCTCCTGCCTCAGCCTCCCAAGTATCTGGGACAACAGGCACCCACTACCACACCCAGCTAATTTTTGTATTTTTAGTAGAGATGGGGTTTCACCATGTTGCCCAGACTGGTCGCGAATTCCTGACCTCAAGTGATCCACCCGCCTCAGCCTCCCAAACTGCTGGGACTACAGATGTTTTTCTTTCATTGTTTGTGTGTGTGTGCGTGTGTGTGCATCTGTGTGTGTGTTTAAGACAGAGTTTCACTCTTGTTGCCCAGGCTGGAGCTCAATGGCTCACCACAACCTCCGCCTCCCAGGTTCAAGTGATTCTCCTGCCTCAGCCTCCTGAGTAGCTGGGACTGCAGGCATGTGCCACCACCCCTGGCTAATTTTGTATTTTTAGTAGAGATGGGGTTTCACCATGTTAGCCGGGATGGTCTCGATCTCCTGACCTCGCGATCCACCCACCTCGGCCTCCCAAAGTGCTGGGATTACAGGTGTGAGCCACTGGGCCCGGCCGCTAATTTCTTTTTAATTTTTTTTTTTTTTTAGATGGAATTTCACTCTTGTTGCCCAGGCTGGAGAGCAATGGCACGATCTCAGCTCACCGCAATCTCCGCCTCCCGGGTTCAAGTGATTCTCCTGCCTCAGCCTCCTGAGTAGCTGGGACTACAGGCATGTGCCACCACCCCTGGCTAATTTTGTATTTTTAGTAGAGATGGGGTTTCACCATGTTAGCCAGGCTGGTCTCGAATTCCTGACCTCAGGTGATCCGCCTGCCTCGGCCTCCCAAAGTGCTGGGATTACAGGCGTGAGCCACCATGCCCGGCTAATTTTTGTGTTTTTAGTAGAGACGGGGTTTCACCATGTTGGCCAGGCTGGTCTCGAACTCCTGACCTCAGGTGATCCGCCCGCCTCGGCCTCCCAAAGTGCTGGGATTACAGGCGTGAGCCACTGCGCCCGGCCTCCCCAAGGAGCACTTTTACAGCCAAACCCACCTCTCTCAGCTCTCACTCCTGCTTATATCCCTGCAACCCAGGAGACTGTTTTCTATTTGTAAAATTTTGCCATTTCAAGACAGTTGTATTAATGAAATCACTGTGTGTGTCACGCTCTGGAGTGGTCTTTTTTTTCCGACTCGGCATAACTCCCTGGAAATCCATTAAACTTAAAAATAATTAAATTGAGGCCCGGCACAGTGGCTCCCGCCTGTCATCCCAGCACTTTGGGAGGCTGAGGCGGGTGGATCACAAGGTCAGGAGTTCGAGACCAACATGGTGAAGCCCCGTCTCTACTTAAAATACAAAATTTAGCCGGGCTTGGTGGCGGGTGCCTGTAATCCCAGCTACTTGTGAGGCTGAGGCAGGAGAATCGCTTGAACCCGGGAGGCGGAGTTTGCGGTAAGCTGAAATCGCACCACTGCACTCCAGCCTGGGCGACAAGAACAAGACTCCATCACAGAAAAACAAACAAAACAAAACAAAAAAATAAACCATGGACTTCTAATTAATTAAAAAACAAAGAAGAGGCCAGGCGTGGTGGCTGATGCTTACAATCCCTGCACTTTGGGAGACTGAGGCGGGAGGATCACTTGAGCCTAGGAGTTTGAGACCAGCTCAGGTAACATAGCGACACCCCATCTCTACAAAAAGTATTTAAGGCTGGGCGCGGTGGCTCACCCCTGTACTCCCAGCACTTTGGGAGGCCGAGGCGGGCAGATCACGAAGTCAGGAGTTTGAGACCAGCCTGACCAACATGGTGAAACCCCATCTCTACTAAAAATACAAGAATTAGCTGGGCGTGGCGGTGGGCGCCTATAATCCCAGCTACTCGGGAGGCTGAGGCAGGAGAATCGCTTGAACCCGGGAGCCAGAGGTTGCAGTGAGCCGAGATCGCGCCAGTGCACTCCAGCCTGGTGGACAGAGTGAGACTCTGTCTAAAAAAAAAAAAAGGTGTTTAAAAAATTAGGTGGGCATGGTGGTACATGGGTGTAGTTCCACCTACGTGGGAGGCTGAGGCAGAAGGATTGTTTGAGCTCAGGAGGTGAAGCCTGCAGTAAGCTGTGATTGCACCACTGCGCTCCAGCCTGGGCAACAGAGCAAGACCGTGTCAGGAAAGGAGAGGGGAGAGGAGGGGAAGGGAGGGGAGGGGGAAAGAGAGAAAGAGAGAGAGAGAGAAAGGGAAGGAGGGAAGAAGGAAGGAAAAGAGGAGGGAGAGAAGGAAGGAAGGGAGTGAGGCAGGGAGGAAAAGAAAACGAAAGGGAAGGAAGGAGAGAGAGGAAGTAGGGTGGGAAGGAGGAGGGAGGAAAAGGAGAGAAGGAGGGAGGGAAGGAAGTGAAGAAAAGAAAGAAGGGAGGGAGGGAAAGAGAAAGAAAAGAAAGAGAGGAAAGAAGGAAAGAAAGAAAGAAAAAGAAAGGAAGAAAGAAACAGAAACAGAAAGAAAGAAAAAGAAAGAAAGAAAGAAAGAAAGAAAGAAAGAAAGAAAGAAAGAAAGAGAAAAAGAAAAGAAAAAAGACACAGCGAAGGCGAGAGGGAGGGAGAGAGGGAAGGAGGGAGGGAATAGAGAATAAACAAACAATGAACATTTTTCTCACTGTTCTCAGGGAAGAGGATCCACGTGGAGAATGGTGGGTTGGCCACTCGGACGGTGTAGTTGGTCACTTCACATAAGGAAATTGCTCCAAACTGGCAATAGCTATTGTTCACTGCCTAAGAGAGACATAGGACTATGATGGCTGCTGACAGACCATGCTTAATTTGACGCTAATGATGTTCAGATTTTTTTTGAGGCAGAGTTTCGCTCTCGTCGCCCACGCTGGAGTGCAGTGGCGTGATCTCGGCTCACTGCAGCCTCTCCCTCCCGGGTTCAAGCCATTCTCCTGCTTCAACCTCCCGAGCACCTGGGATTACAGGTGCCCGCCACCACGCCCAGCTAATTTTTAAAGTATTTTTCTGGGTAGAGACAGGGTTTCACCATGTTGGTCAGGCTGGTCTCGAACTCCTGACCTCATGTGATCCGCCTGCCTCAGCCTCCCAAAGTGCTGGGATTACAGGCGTGAGCCACCGTGCCCGGCCAAGACTTTTTTCTGTTTTTTTTTTTTTTGAGAGGGAGTCTCGCTCTGTCGCCCAGGCTGGAGTGCAGGGGCGCGATCTCGGCTCACTGTAGCCTCTCCCTCCCGGGTTCATGCCATTCTCCTGCCTCATCCTCCCAAGTAGCTGGGACTACAGGCGCCCGCCACCACGCCCGGCTAATTTTTATATTTTTAGTAGAGACGGGGTTTCACCGTGTTAGCCAGGAGGGTCTCGATCTCCTGACCTCGTGATCCACCCTCCTCGGCCTCCCAAAGTGCTGGGATGACAGGCGTGAGCCACCGCGCCCGGCCACAATTTTTTTCTAAAGATACAAAAGCTTGAATAAAAATAATCCCACTTAGCAGTAAATATTAGTGAAATACTTTTCTGTTTGTTTTGCTTTGTTTTTTTCTTGTTTGTTTGTTTTTTGTTTCTTTGTTTTTTTGTTAAGACAGGGCCTCACTCCGCTTGCCCAGGCTAGACTTCAGTGGTGCGATCTCAGCTCACTGCAACCTCCACCTCTCGGGTTCAAGCAATTCTCCTGCCTCACCACCGCACCCGGCCACATTTCATTAATCTACTTGTATATTCTTCGTTTTGTTTGCTTTTGTTTTTGTTTTTTTGAGACAGAGTCTCGCTCTGTCGCCCAGGCTGGAGTGCAGTGGCGCGATCTCGGCTCACTGCAAGCTTCTGCCTCCCAGGTTCAAGCCATTCTCCTGCCTCAGCCTCCCGAGTAGCTGGGACTACAGGCACCAGCCACCACGCCCGGCTAATTTTTATATTTTTAGTAGAGACGGGGTTTCACCGTGTTAGCCAGGAGGGTCTCGATCTCCTGACCTCGTGATCCACCCGCCTCGGCCTCCAAAGTGCTGGGATGACAGGCGTGAGCCACCACGCCCGGCCTACTTGTGTATTCTTATAGCAATCCGCACATTGGGTATGAACTTTTCAGTGCCTTTTGATATAGGTAAGGCAGGTTCTCCTTCATTCACCTTCTTTTTCAAAATTTCCTTAGTTTTTTTTTCAGCATTTGTGTTTCTAAAGTTGAGAGTCAGTTTGCCATGGTATGGTAAAATCGCTCTGGGATTCTAGACTGTTTTATCTCTACTCTCCAAAATCACAAAGTTCAATGGGACTGTATTTGGAGCTGGGGGTAGGATTTTATAATGGTGGCCCGAGCAGACGCATGAAGGGCCGTGATTTGAATTGTATTGAACGAACATAGCTCTTGGAGGGGACCAAATAGGTTCTCAGGGAAACGTGCTCCTTTCCCATAAGACACTGACTTGTAAATAGCTCACAGTGTCACCTGGGCCACCCCATGAGGTCTGGCGCTGTTCTCAAACCCTGAGAACGCAGGTGATGACAAGATGGGGGATTTGGAAGGATTTCGTGATGAGGACCTTGTTTCCTGAGCACACACTTTTGTTTTGTTTTTGCTTTTGTTTTTGTTTTTGTTTTGAGATGGAGTCTCACTCTGTCACCCAGGCTGGAGTGCAGTGGCACAATCTCGGCTCAGTGCAACCTCGGCCTCCCAGGTTCAAGCAATTCTCCTGCCTCAGCCTCCTGAATAGCTGGTATTACAGGCATGTGCCACCACATCCGGCTAATTTTTCTTTTTCTTTTTTGACATGAAGTCTTGCTCTCGTCCCCCAGGCTGGAGTGCAGTGGCACAGTCTCGGCTCAATGCAACCTCTGCCTCCCGGGTTCAAGCGATTCTCCTGCCTCAGCCTCCCAAGTAACTGGGATTACAGGCGCCCACCACCATGCCCAGCTAATTTTTATATTTTTAGTGGAGGCGGGGTTTCACCATGTTGCCCAGACTAGTCTCGAACTCCTGGCCCCAGGTGATCCATCCGCCTCAGCCTCTCAAAGTGCTGGTGTGAGCCACTGTGCCCGGCTAACTTTCGTATTTTTAGCAGAGACAGCGTTTCACCGTGTTGGCCAGACTGGTCTCGAACTCCTGACCTCATGATCCGCCCGCCTCAGCCTCCCAAAGTGCTGGGATTACAGACGTGAGCCACCACGCCCAGCGTGGGGTTGGGTTTCGCACCAGTCATAGCTTAGCCTCATTTCACTTTCACATCCACCCTGTCCAGTGTGTGCCATCTTAGATGTCCCGCGGACGGGGAACCAGACCCTCCAAAGTCACTTCAAATCCCACACCTGACTTCGGGGCAGAAACCAGGTAGTCATGACACCAGCGATGGGAGCAGTATTGGTTCTGAGATTCCTGCAGAAGACGGAAACGTCTTGTTCGTCAACATTAGAGAGTCTGGGCCATGCGCGGTGACTCGCGCCTGTAATCCCAGCACTTTGGGAGGCCGAGGCGGGCAGATCACGAGGTCAGGAGATCGAGACCCTCCTGGCTAACACAGTGAAACCCCATCTCTACTAAAAATACAAAAAAATTAGCCGGGCATGGTGGCGGGCGCCTGTAGTCCCAGCTACTCGGGAGGTTGAGGCAGGAGAATGGCATGGACCTGGGAGGTGGAGGTTGCAGAGAGCGGAGATCGGGTCACCGCAGTCCAGCCTGGGCGACAGAGCAAGACTCCGTCTCAAAAAATAAATAAATACATAAATACATAAATAAATAAAATAAAAATAAAAAAACAATAGAGAGTATGATTTACCGGCATAGAATAGTCGGCGTCTTTAACACACTCGATATCGGTCACATTTCTGTTAAGGTCCCAGGTCAACTGCTGAGCCTTTGCTTTCATCCTTAGGTTCGTGATTGGTGGGTTTGGATCTAAAACGGTGACAGGTTGGAGTTCGAAGAGATACGTAAGAATCTTAAAACGGCATTGTAAGGGGTATGGTTTTTTTTTTTTGCCCGTGGAGTTAGCCAATACCTTTGGGAGGTGGAGTTCTTTTATTTAATTTTTTTAAATTTTTTGACATGGAGTTTCACTCTTGTCGCCCTGGCTGGACTACAGTGGCACGATCTCAGCTCACTGCAAGCTCCGCCTCCTGGTTCAAGCAACTCTCCTGCCTCAGCCTCCCGAGTAGCTGGGACTACAGGCGCCCGCCACCACGCCCGGCTAATTTTTTTTTTTTTGTATTTTTAGTAGAGATGGCGTTTCACCGTGTTAGCCAGGATGGTCTCGATCTCCTGACCTCATGATTCGTCCGCCTCAGCCTCCCAAAGTGCTGGGATTACAGGCATGAGCCACCGCACCAGGTCAACAATCTTAAAACAGCATTGTAATGGGTATGGTTTTTTTGCCCGTGGAGTTAGCCAATACCTTTGGGAGGTCGAGTTCTTTATTTTTTTAAATTTTTTATTTTTTTGAGACGGAGTTTTGCTCTTGTCACCCAGGCTGGAGTGCAGTGGCACGATCTCAGCTCACCGCAACCTCTACCTCCCGGGTTCAAGCGATTCTCCTGCCTCAGCCTCCCGAGTAGCTAGGATTACAGGAGCCCACCACCACGCCCGGCTAATTTTTGTATTTTTACTAGAGATGGGGTTTCACCATGTTGGCCAGGATGGTCTCGATCTCCTGACCTCGTGATCTGTCCGCCTCGGCCTCTCAAAGTGCTGGGATTACAAGCATGAGCCACCATGCCCAGTTGATATACAACAATCTTAAAACAACATTGTAATGGGTATTTTTGTTTGCTTGTTTGTTTTGAGACGGAGTCTCACTCTGTCGCCCAGGCTGGAATTCAGTGGCGCGATCTCGGCTCACTACAACCTCCGCCTCCCGGGTTCAAGCGATTATCCTGTGTCAGCCTGCTGTGCAGCTGGGATAACAGGTGCCTGCCACCACACTCGGCTAATTTTTGTATTTTTACTAGAGATGGGGTTTCACCATGTTGGCCAGGCTGGTCTCGAACTCCCAACCTCACATGATCTGCCTGCCTCAGCCTCCCAAAGTGCTGGGATCACAGACGTGAGTTACTGAGCCTGGCTGGGAAGTGGAGTTCTATGTACACAGGAGACTTCTGTGAGCTGGTAGAAGTCATAAAGCAAACGGGCGTGGTGGCTCACGCCCGTCATCCCAGCACTTTGGGAGGCCAAGGTGGGCGGATCACCAGGTCAAGTGATCAAGACCATCCTGGCTAACACGGTGAAACCCCGTCGCGACTAAAAATACAAAAATTAGTTGGGCGTGGTGGCGGGCGCCTGTAATCCCAGCTAATCAGGAAGCTGAGGCAGGAGAATCACTGGAACTCGGGAGGCGGAGGTTGCGGTGAGCTGAGATCGTGCCACTGCACTCCAGCCTGGGTAACAGAGCGAGACTCCATCTCAAAAAAACAAAAAAACTCCGTCTCAAAAAAAAAAAAAAGAAAGAAAGAAAAAGAAGGTCTCTCTTAGCCATCACAGAGCTCAAGATATTTCATAAATGACCTGTACAAAGATGTTAAAGGCAATATTCTTTTTTTTTTTTTTTTTTTGAGATGGAGCCTCGCTCTGTCACCCAGGTTGGAGTGCAATGGCGTGATCTTGGCTCACGGCAACCTCCGCCTCCCGGGTTCAAGTGATTCTCCTGCCTCAGCCTCCTGAGTAGCAGGGATTACAGGTGCACAGCACCGCGCCCAGCTAATTTTTTTGTATTTTTAGTACAGACGGGGTTTCACCATGATGGCCAAGCTGGTTTTGAACTCCTGACCTCAAGTGATCCACCCGCCTCAGCCTCCCAAAGTGCTGGGATTACAGACGTGAGCCGTTGCACCCGGCCAGTAAAAGGCAATATTCTATCACATTTTGCTGGTCACCCAAAGCTAGAAACATACATCAACTATTTCTCTAGGGTTTATCTCTGATCGGCCACTTAGAAAACTTGAGGAAATGACTTTATAAACTGTAAGGATCTTGAGTGGTTATCAAGGTCAGCAACCTTGGTTTGATAAGCGGGACCAAAGCATAAGAATGTCTAGACTTCTGGCATTATTTTCTTCTAACTTAGAAGGATAATTTATCCCTTAAAACAAACTGTCTGGGGAAAAAAATTCTTATAAGAAATTCATTCATTCATTCATTCATTTTGAGACGGAGTCTCACTCTGTCGCCCAGGCTGGAGTGCAATGGCGTGATCTAGGCTCACTGCAACCTCCTCCTCCCGGGTTCAAGCGACTCTCCTGCCTCAGCCTCCCGAGTAACTGGGATTACAGGCGCCCGCCACCACGCCCAGCTGATTTTTGTATTTTTAGTAGAGACGGGGTTTCACCGTGTTAGTCAGGCTGGTCACGAACTCCTGACCTTGTGATCGTCCACCTGCCTTGGCCTCCCAAAGTGTGTAATCCCAACCCCGAGGCAGGCGGATCATGAGGTCAGGAGATCGAGACCATCCTGTCTAACACGGTGAAACCCCGTCTCTAGTAAAAACAGAAAAATTAGCTGGGCGTGGTGGCGGACACCTGTAATCCCAGGTGCTTGGGAGGCTGAGACAGGAGAATCAATTGAACCCAGCAGGTAGAGGTTGCAGTGAGCCATGGTCACGCTATTACACTCCAGCCTGGGCGACCAGAATGAAACTCTGTGTCAAAAAAAAAAAAAAAAAAGAAGTTAAAGAATGAAAAGCAAATTAAAGTTAAAAGAAATTCAAGGTAAAGTGAAACCCTGCAGTAATAGACTGTAAAAACCAATGAAAAAAAAGGCCGGGCGCTGTGGCTCACACCTGTAATCCCAGCACTTTGGGAGGCCAAGGCAGACGGATCACTTGTGGTCAGCAGTTCTAGACCAGCCTGACCGACATAGTGAAATCCCGTCTCTATCAAAAATACAGAAATTAGCCGGGTATGGTGGTGCGCGACTGTAATCTCAGCTCCTCGGGAGGCTGAGGCAGAAGAATCGCTTGAATCCGGGAGGCAGAGGTTGCAGTGAGCCGAGATCACACTATTGCACTCCAGCCTGGGCAAGACAGTAAGACCCTGTCTCCAAAATAAAAATAATAAGAAAATGAAAAAGTAAGATAAACAATGAAGGAAACTGGAAATTGTTATTGGTGCTGTTGATCCCAGCGTGTGAGTTTCATCAAAACACCTCACATGGCATCTGTGTCACGATCAGGTCCCTGCCTGTGAGGTCGTATTACCGTTTTGCAAGATGCTGCATTACAGGGAACTTGGTGACGGGTACAGGGAAGTGTCTGAGTCATTCCCGACCACTGCATGAGACTCTGCCATGAGCTCAGCATGAAAAGTTTCCCTGAAGGACGGCACGCTGACATTGTGTGTCTGTCTACCCCCACCGCTCCCCAGGTGGCACGTGCATTTTTTCTCCAGTTCTTACCTTCCTTCGTTTGCAGGAGACAGGGCAGGGCGATCAGGAGCAGCGTGAGCCAAAGGAGGACCATCGGGAACGCAGCTCCGGAACGCAGGACAGAGGTGCCTGCTGCAGGAGAAACGAGAGTCAGGCAGCGGGGACTGGCTGTGAAACTGGGTTGCGGGTAATGAAGGATGCTTGCCCCTTCCAGAGCCTGGTGCTCACAGCAGAAGGAGCTGCTTCTGGAGGGAAAGCGGTGGTGAGTGTGCATATGTGTCTGTGTGCAAATGCGCCTTTGCACATGCATGCACATCAGAGTGTGCTTCTACATGTGTGCACGAATATTCGTGTGTGTGTACATGGGTCTATATGTGTGCATGCCTCTATGTAGCCATGTCTGTTTGCACATTTGCAGGACTGCATGCATGCCTGTGCACACACGGGTACTGTGTACATGTGTCTGTGTGTGTGTGTGCTTGCACGTGTGTACATTTTTGTGCCCGTGTGTATCTGTGTGCACACATAAGTGTTTGTGTGTTTTCTTTTTTTTTTTTTCCTGATGGAGACTCGCCCTTGTCGTCCAGGCTGGAGTGCAGTGGCATGATCTCGGCTCATTGCAACCTCTGCCTCCCAGGTTCAAGCGACTCTCCTGCCTCAGCCTCCTGAGTAGCTGGGATTACAGGCACTCGCCACCATGCCTGGCTAATTTTTGTATTATTTATTTATTTATTTATTTTTTGTGACAGAGTTTTGCTCTTGTTGCCCAGGCTGGAGTGCAATGGCGTGATCTGGGCTCACTGCAACCTCCGCCTCCCAGGTTCAACCGATTGTCCTGCCTCAGCCTCCCGAGTAGCTGGGATTATAGGCACCCACCACCATGTCCGGCTAATTTTTGTATTTTTAGCAGAGACGGGGTTTCACCGTGTTGGCCAGGCTGGTCTCGAACTCCTGACCTCAGGTGATCCACCCACCTCAGCCTCCCAAAGTGCTGGGATGACAGGCGTCAGCCACCGCGTCCAGCCCACTTTTTGTATTTTTTAGTAGAGATTTGACCATGTTGGCCAGGCTGGTCTCGGACTCCTGCCTCAGGTGATCCGCCCGCCTTTTCCTCGCCAAGTGCTGAGATTACAGGTGTGAGCCACCGTGCCCGGCTGTGTTTGTGTGTTTTCATGCATGCAGGTACACACAGTCTTTGTGTTTGAATGCATATGTATCTGTGCATGCATTCCACGTGTACACACATGTGCATAAATATATGTGCATACACAAATATACATGCATGAGTCTGTATGTGTGCATGCATGTGCCTAGAAGTGCATATTTATGTGCATGCATGTGTGAATGTATGTGTACAAATGTGTTTGCATCAGTGTGTATGTGTGCATGTATGTGCATGCATCTGTGTGTGTGTCAGCCGTTCCCTTTTGAAAGAAGCCCTGCCGGCTGGGTGCAGTGGCTCATGCCAGTAATCCCAGCACTTTGGGAAGCAGAGGTGGGCAGATTGCCCGAGGTCAGGAGTTCAAGACCAGCCTGGCTAACATGGTGAAACCCCGTCTCTACTAAAAATACAAAAATTAGCCAGGCGTGGTGGAGTGTGCCTATAATCCCAGCTACTCGGGAGGCTGAGGCAGGACAATCAGTTGAACCCGGGAGGTGGAGCTTGCAGTGAGCCGAGATGGCGCCACTGCACTCCAGCCTGGACGACAGAGCGAGACTCCGTCTCAAAAAAAAAAAAAAAAAAGAAAAGAAAAGAAAGAGTTGCTGCCCTGGGGGTTTAGCCCGTTCTTGGCTCGAGCTGTATCCACAAACCAGGAAAACACATCCTCTGCGGCACACCAGGAAGCTCAGATGACAAAGCAGTGGAAGGAAGTATAATTACAATGATGAAATCAACACACGGAAATTCCTAAGTGGCTGCAGTTACCGTAACAAGGGGGTACAGGACCTCAGCCTCCTGCACTGGAACTTTCTGCCGCATCCCAGAAAGGCTGGCTCTCCTACACTGTGCTCTGGGGTGGCAGCTGTCTTTTCTGGTTTTTTGTTTTGTTTTGTTTTGTTTTTTCTGAGATGGAGTCTCACTCTTGTTGTCCAGGCCGGAGTGCAGTGGCGCGATCTTGGTTCACTGCAACCTCCACCTCCCACGTTCAAGCGATTCTCCTGCCTCAGCCTCCCCAGTAGATGGGATTACCGGTGTCCGCCACCACACCCAGCTAATTTTTCTATTTTTAGTAGAGATGGTGTTTCACCATGTTGGTCAGGCTGGTCTCGAACTCCTGACCTCATGATCCACCCGCCTTGGCCTCCCAAAGTGCTGGGATGACAGGCGTGAGCCACCGCGCCCGGCCTAACATCTTTTAAAGAACCAAATGGCGTTAGCGTCAGTGGACCTTGCTTGTCTCCAAATTATAAATGGAAGGGGTGAGCCTGGAAAAAGCTGAGCCCCTTGAGGCTGGGGACGGGACTGAGGGCAGCAGGGAAAAGGTAAAATGAGGTTCCAGAGGCCTCGGAGCCCCTTCCTGCCTGGGCAGAGGGACCGCAGCCCACCTCCAAGGCAACAGGCAATCTCTAGAGTCTCCTTTCGGACAGAGCCTGTGTTCAGCTCATGGGCTCACCACACACAGTCACACTTGCCTGTAGGGGCTGTGGTCCAGGAAGATGCCTGAGTCAGAACGTTGGGAAATCTGTGCTCTTAACATTTATTGATTAATATTTTCATTGGCCAGGCGCGGTGGCTCACGCCTATAATCCCAGCACTTTGGGAGGCTGAGGGGGGTGGATTGCTTGAGGTCAGGAGTTCGAGACCAGCCTGACCAACATACAAAACATACTAAACATACAAAATCTCTACTACTCTACTAAACATACAAAGTCTCTACTAAACATACAAAAATTAGCCAGGCGTAGTTGCGGGTGCCTGTAGTCCCAGCTACTCAGGAGGCTGAGGCAGGAGAATTGCTTGAACCCGGGAGGTGGAGGTTGCAGTGAGCTGAGATCGCGCCACTGCACTCCAGCCTGGGCGACAGAGCGAGACTCTGTCTCAAAAAAAACCACCACTTCTATCTTCTAGAACATTGTCACGACCCCAAAAGGAGACTCCAGACCCATTAAAGACCCGTCCTTCCTCTTCCCCAGCCTGTGGCAACCACTCATCCACTTTCTGTCTCTGTGGATTTGCCTGTATCTGGACATAGGGAATAAATGGAATCATACAGACACTATGTATCTTTTTGTATCTGGCCTCTCTCAGGAAGCATGATGTCCTCAGCATTCACCCACATTGCCACCTGTGGCAGAGCCTCGTTCCTTTTCATGGCTGTGTAATATTCCACCGTGTGGCTGGACCACATTATATTTCTCCATTCATCTATAGATGGGTATGAGGACTCTCTCCACCTCTTGGCTAGTGTGAATAAAGCTGCTTATTCCTTTTCATGGCTGTGTAATATTCCACCGTGTGGCTGGACCACATTATATTTCTCCATTCATCTATAGATGGGGTATGAGGGCTGTCTCCACCTCTTGGCTATTGTGAATAAAGCTGCTTGTTCCTTTTCATGGCTGTGTAATATTCCACTGTGTGGATGGACATTATATTTTTCCATTCATCTATAGATGGGTATGAGGGCTGTCTCCACCTCTTGGCTATTGTGAATAAAGCTGCTTGTTCCTTTTCATGGCTGTGTAATATTCCACTGTGTGGATGGACATTATATTTCTCCCTTCATCTATAGATGGGGGTATGAGGGCTGTCTCCACCTCTTGGCTATTGTGAATAAAGCTGCTTGTTCCTTTTCATGGCTGTATAATATTCCACTGTGTGTCTGGACCACATTATATTTCTCCATTCATCTATAGATGGGTACGAGGGCTGTCTCCACCTCTTGGCTATTGTGAATAAAGCTGCTTGTTCCTTTTCATGGCTGTATAATATTCCACTGTGTGGCTGGACCACATTATATTTCTCCATTCATCTATAGATGGGTATGAGGGCTGTCTCCACCTCTTGGCTATTGTGAATAAAGCTGCTTGTTCCTTTTCATGGCTGTGTAATATTCCACTGTGTGGCTGGACCACATTATATTTATCCATTCGTCTATAGATGGGTATGAGGGCTGTCTCCACCTCTTGGCTATTGTGAATAAAGCTGCTTGTTCCTTTTCATGGCTGTGTAATATTCCACCGTGTGGCTGGACCACATTATATTTATCCATTCGTCTATAGATGGGTATGAGGGCTGTCTCCACCTCTTGGCTATTGTGAATAAAGCTGCTTGTTCCTTTTCATGGCTGCGTAATATTCCACTGTGTGGATGGACATTATATTTTTCCATTCATCTATAGATGGGTACGAGGGCTGTCTCCACCTCTTGGCTACTGTGAATAAAGCTGCTAGGAGGGACCTGAGGTTTCACCAGCCATCTGGAACATTCTGAGTCCCGCCAGCCTTTGAAAACCACTGAGAAACACTACAAGCAGGCTGGGGTCCCAGCCCCAAAAGCGGCTCCCCGGCTGGCAGTCAGCTCGCCCTGGGCGTGAGCTCATTGACTAACTGAACCAGCGCTTTCTAATAAACAGAGAACTCTAGCCATGTGTAGGTGTGTACATTTTCTAGCAAGCACACAGAAAAAGCAGAAAGCACTGTCAAATTACTCCTAATGCTATCACCTTTATAAACCCAAGGCATCTAACATGCTATGATGGCTTCAGCGTCCGATCCACTTACAAAAGGGTGAATGAGATCGCAAACATACTTCTCTGGTACCGGGTCATTCTATGTGTGGTGTGGTGCCCACACGGACAGCAGGTCTCAGCAGAAACCTGTTACATGCCAATGCCCCGTGTCTGCCAGCTTGGATTTGGGAACCCACAGTCCACCGCCTCCCCTGCCTGCCCTCTTTTTCCCTCATCCCACCCTGGAGGGGGGACCTTACCTTAAATGGAGATCAAAGTACTGTGTGGAAGAAACAGCCTTCGTGGTTCCAGTTGAGAAGATCTGGGGTGTCCTGATCCTAGGATGTTTCTGATATCTTCCCGTGTGCGCTGAAAGCAGCTTTCCCCGAAGAGAAACCGAAGGTTGTACTCCCCGATTGAGCTGTTTTATAACCTCCAGCTGGGGCCCCACCCCTGAAACTCAGACCCAATAAGGATCTGGCAGTGGGGAGGGGTGGGGGCTGTCAGAGACCCCCTTCTCTCCCACGGGCTGGGATCCTGGGGTCAGCAGCTTCGTAACCATGAACCTGACTTTCCTTGAAAGAAAGACTCTTTCTTTGAAAATTATCATGTTCCCGTTCTCATTTTTTTTTTTTTCTGCAAGTGTTTCTGTTTGCTATAATTAGAATTCTTGCTGGCTATACAGGCAGGGTTGGGCAACTTCCTGACATAGTAAATTCAGCCTTGGAGGCGTGAACGCTGGTGTCCAGGGGCTCCTGCCTGTGTTTCCTCCCTGTCTCGTGGGAAACAGCACCCAGACAGGGAGGTGGCCCCCGGTCTCAGATGACAGATCTTATTAAAGATATGTTAGTGGCCGGGTGCGGTGGCTCACGCCTGTCATCCCAGCACTTTGGGAGGCCGAGGCGGGCAGATCACTTGAGGTCAAGAGATTGAGACCAGCCTGGCCAACATGGTGAAACCCCGTCTCTATTAAAAATACAAAAATTAGCCCAGCGTGGTGGTGAGCACCTGTAATCCCAGCTACTCGGGAGGCTGAGACAGGAGAATCGCTTGAACCTGGGAGGCGGAGGAGGTTACAGTGAACCGAGATCGCGCCACTGCACTCCAGCCTGGGCGACAGAGCAAGACTCGGTCTCAAAAAAAAAAAAAAGATATCTTAGTGGTCAGGGGTGGTGGCTCACACCTGTCATCCCAGCACTTTGGGAGGCCGATGAGGGCGGATCACCTGAGGTCAGGAGTTTGAGACCATCTGGCCAACATGGTGGAAGCCCGTCTCTAGTAAAAATTTAAAAATTAGCCAGGCGTGGTGGCAGGTGCCTGTAATCCCAGCTTCTCTGGAGGCTGAGGCAGGAGAATAGTTTGAACCTGGGAGAGAGGTTACAGTGAGCCAGGATGGCGCCAGTGCCCTCCAGCCTGGGTGATAGAGCAAGACTCCGTCTCAAAAAAAAAAAAAAAAAGATATCTTAGTGGTCAGGTGCGGTGGTTCACACCTGTCATCCCAGCACTTTGGGAGGCCGAGGAGGGTGGATCACCCTGAGGTCAGGAGTTCGAGACCATTCTGACCAACATGGTGAAACCCCGTCTCTAGTAAAAAGAAAAAAGTTAGCCAGGCGTGGTGGTGGGTGCCTATAATCCCAGCTTCTCCGGAGGCTGAGGCAGGAGAATCATTTGAACCTGGGAGGCGGAGGTTACAGTGAGCCAGGATGGCGCCACTGCACTCCAGCCTGGGAAATAGAACGAGACTCCGTCTCAAAAAAAAAAAAAAAAATCTTAGTGGTCAGGCGCGGTGGCTCGCACCTGTCATCCCAGCACTTTGGGAGGCTGAGGCGGGTAGATCACCTGAGGGCAGGAGTTCAAGATCAGCCTGGACAACATGGTGAAACCCCGTCTCTAGTAAAAATTTAAAAATTAGCCAGGCGTGGTGGCAGGTGCCTGTAATCCCAGCTTCTCCCAAGGCTGAGGCAGGAGAATCACTTAAACCCGGCAGGCGGAGGTCACAGTGAGCCGAGATCACACCACTGCACTCCAGCCTGGTGACAAGAGCAAACTCTGTCTCAACAGAAAACAAACAAACAAAAACCCTTAGTAAAGTCCAGCCCTGAATGGGGCACTCACCAACCTGTCCCGGGCTTCTCTTTCCAACGCTGAAATCTGTTATTTCTGTTTACTCAGCACGCGCACTCCCAGACAGCCCTTCCCTTCCCTCTGAATGTATCAACTCTTCTCTGGTTCTCGGCACCCTTCCCAAATTCCACCCCAACCTCAGCCCTTCCCCAGAGCCTCCACCTTGCAGCCCGGCTCCTGTTTTTTTTTTTTTTTTTCTTTGAGACGGAGTCTCGCTTTGCTTGCTCTGTCATCCAGGCTGGAGTGCAATGGTGCGATCTCGGCTCCCTGCAACCTCTGCCCCAGGTTCAAGCGATTCTCCTGCCTCGGCCTCCCAAGTAGCTGGGATTACGGGCACCTGCCACCACGCCCGGCTAATTTTTAAATTTTTACTAGAGACGGGGTTTCACCATGTTGGCCAGATGGTCTCGAACTCCTGACCTCAGGTGATCCACCCTCGTTGGCCTCCCAAAGTGGTGGGATGACAGGCGTGAGCCACCGCACCTGACCACTAAGATATCTTTTTTTTTTTTTTTTTTTTTTTTTTCTGAGATGGAGTCTTGCTCTATCACCCAGGCTGGAGTGCAGTGGCGCGATCTCAGCTCTCCGCAACCTGAGCCTCCCAGGTTCAAGCGATTCTCCTGCCTCAGCCTCCCGAGTAGCTGGGATGACAGGTGCCCGTCACCACACCCAGAAAAGGAAGTTTGAAATGATGGGGTTGTAAATGTGATGTCAACTCATGGCTAACCGCTTCCTTATTTTTTTTTAACTGGATATATTTAACGTACAAACAAGATGTTTTGATACAGAATTAACTCTTAGGCAATGTGCAGGTTACAGACACTGCCACCTCGTGCACTCAAAAATCCAAATACAGGGCGGGGCCCAGTGGCTCACGCCTGTAATCCCAGCTCTGTGGGAGGCCAAGGTGGGTGCATCACCTGAGGTCAGGGGTTCAAGACCAGCCTGACCAACATGGCGAAACTCCATTTCTACTAAAAATACAAAAATGACCCAGGCACGGTGGTACATGCCTGTCATCCCAGCTACTCAGGAGGCTGAGGCAGCAGAATCGCTTGAACCCAGGAGGTGGAGGTTGCAGTGAGCTGAAATCACGCCACTGCACTCCAGCCTGGGCAACAGAGTGAGACTCCATCTGAAAAAAAAAAAAAAATCCAAGTGTGACTTTTAACTCCCCCAAACCGTAACAACTAACAGCCTAGTGTTAACCAGAAGCCTTACTGATAACATAAACAGTTGATTCATACATATTTGTTATGCTCTGTGTATGCTATACTGCATTCTTGCAATTAACTAGGCTACAGAAAAGAATGGTATTAAGAAAACCATGGCGGCAGGCCGGGCGCGGTGCCTCACACCTGTCATCCCAGCACTTTGGGAGGCCGAGGCGGGCAGATCACAATGTCAGGAGTTCAAGACCAGCCTGACCAACATGCTGAAACCCTGCCTCTACTAAAAATTCAAAAATTAGCTGGTTGTGGTGGCACATGCCTGTAATCCCAGCTACTCGGGAGGCTGAGGCAGGAGAATCGCTTGAACCCGGGAGGCGGAGGTTGCAGTGAGCCGAGGTCGCGCCACTGCACTCCAACCTGGGCAACAGAGCAAGAATCCGTCTCAAAAAAAAAAAAAATACAAAAAGTAGCTGGGCATGGTGGCAGGCACCTGTAATACCAGCTACTGAGGAGAATAAGGCAGGAGAACTTCTTGAACCTGGGAGGTGGAGGTTGCAGTGAGCTGAGATTGTGCCACTGCATTCCAGCCTGGGCGACAGAACAAGACTCCATCTCAAAAAAAAAAAAAAATTAATACAAACACCCTGGCATGCTTGGGTCAGTTTTTTTTCCTTGGTAACATCTTACAAAATGAGGGTTGCAATGTTGCAACCTGGAGATTGATACAATCTTACTTGGGTGTTCCCAGTATTACTAAGCATTCAGTTCTAAGTAATTTTATCACATGTGTGGCTCAAGCCTGTCATCCCAGCACTTTGGGAGGCCGAGGTGGGCGTATCACGAGGTCAGAAGATCGAGACCATCCTGGCTAACACGGTGAAACCCTGTCTCTACTAAAAATACAAAAAACAAAAAAAATTAGCTGGGTGTGCTTGTGGGCACCTGTAGTCCCAGCTAGTCAGGAGGCTGGGCCAGGAGAATTTGGCTTGAACCAAGGAGGCGGAGGTTACAGTGAGCCAAGATCATGCCACTGCACTCCAGCCTGGTGACAGAGGAAGACTCTGTCTCAAAAAAAAAAAAAAAAGAAAGAAAGAAAATAGCCCTTTAGATGATCAGTCATTCTCCTATAAAGACACACGCACACGTATGTTTTTGCAGCACTGTTCACAATAGCCAAGACTTGGAACCAACCCAAATGTCCATCAATGATAGACTGGATAAAGAAAATGTGGCACATAGACACCATGGAATACTATGCAGCCATCAAAATGGATAAGATCATGTCCTTTGCAGGGACATGGATGAAGCTGGAAACCATCATTCTCAGCAAACTCACACAGGAACAGAAAAACCAAACACCGCATGTTCTCACTCATAAGTGGGAGTTGAACAATGAGAACACATGGACACAGGGAGGGGAACATCACACACCAGGGCCTGTCGGGGCTTGGGGGACAAGGGCAGTGAGAGCATTAGGACAAATACCTAATGTAGATGACGAGTTGATGGGTGCAGCAAACCACACTGGCACATGTATACCTATGTAACAAACCTGCACATTCTGCACATGTACCCCAGAACTTAAAATAAAATACAAATAGAAATAAAAAACAAAGAAAACAGCCCTTTAAAAACCAACACCTCCCCTCCACCTTGAGTCTGGGGGGATGGGGTCATTTTATTTTATTTTTATTTTTATTTTATTTTTTTAGATGGAGTCTCTCTCTGTCACCCAGGCTGGAGTGCAGTGGTGTGATCTCTGCTCACTGCAACCTCTGCCTCCCAGGTTCAAGAGATTCTCCTGCTTCAGTCTCCCGAGTAGCTGGGATTACAGGCGCCCGCCACCACGCCTGGCTAATTTTTGTATTTTTAGTAGAGACCGGGTTTTGCCATGTTGGCCAGGCTGGTCTCGAACTTCTGACCTCAGGCAATCTGCCGGCCTCCCAAAGTGCTGGGATGACAGGCGTGAGCCACCATGCCTGGTGGGGGCCATTTTATTTATTTATTTACTTACTTATTTACTTATTTATTTATTTATTTTTGAGACAGATTCTTGCTCTCTCGCCCAGGCTGGAGTGCAGTGGCGCGATCTCGGCTCACTGCAACCTCTGCCTCCCAGGGTTCAAGCGATTCTCTTGCCTCGGCCTCCCAAGTAGCTGGGATTACAGGCACCTTGCCATCATGTCCAGCTAATTTTTTTTTTTTTTTTTTTTGAGACGGAGTCTCGCTCTGTCGCCCAGCCTGGAGTGCAGTGGCAAGATCTCGGCTCACTGCAAACTCCGCCTCCCAGATTCAAGTGATTTTCCTGCCTCAGCTTCCGGAGTAGCTGGGACTACAGGCACCTGCCACCACGCCGGGCTAATTTTTGTATTTTTAGTAGAGACAGGGTTTCAGCTTCTTGGTCAGGCTGGTCTCGAACTCCTGACCTCAGGCAATCTGCCGGCCTCCCAAAGTGCTGGGATGACAGGCGTGAGCCACCATGCCTGGTGGGGGCCATTTTATTTATTTACTTACTTATTTACTTATTTATTTATTTATTTTTGAGACAGAGTCTTGCTCTCTCGCCCAGGCTGGAGTGCAGTGGCGCGATCTCGGCTCACTGCAACCTCTGCCTCCCAGGGTTCAAGTGATTCTCCTGCCTCAGCCTCCCGAGTATGGGATTACAGGCAGCTGCCATCATATCCAACTAATTTTTTTTTTTGAGATGGAGTCTTCCTCTGTCACCCAGGCTGGAGTGCAGTGGCAAGATCTCAGCTCACCACAACCTCCGCCTCCCAGCTTCAAGCGATTCTCCTGCCTCAGCCTCCCGAGTAGCTGGGACTACAGGCGCCCGCCACCATGCCCGGCTAATTTTTGTATTTTTAGTAGAGAAGGGGTTTCAGCTTCTTGGTCAGGCTGGTCTTGAACTCCTGACCTCAGGTGATCCATCTGCCTCTGCCTCCCAAAGGGCTGGGATGACAGGCGTGAGCCACGCACCCAGCAGGGGTCATTCTGAAAAACTCCTTGGGCTGGTGGCAGAGGAGGGAGGCAATTGGGAATAGCTTCAGAAGCTTGCGGGAGGGGTGGCGGCCTTGGCAGGACTTGGGCAGGAGGAACAGAAACAAGGAAATGAGAAGGGATGGTGGGTGAGTCTGGGAGATAACACAGATGGGAGACACCCGAAATAGAACCTCCTTAACGCAGCAAGGCGTGCACCTGTGTGTGCAGACCCTCGTATGTGTGCCACCCATGCCAGGAGCACAGCCGACTTTTTCTTTGTTCTTTGAGACGGAGTCTCGCTCTGTCGTCCAGGCTGGAGAGCAGTGGCATAATCTAGGCTCGCTGCAAGCTCCACCTCCCGGGTTCAAGCGATTCTCCTGCCTCAGCTTCCGCAGTAGCTGGGATGACAGGCACCTGCCATCATGTTCAGCTCATATTTTTTTTTTTTTTTTTGATATGGAGTCTTGCTCTGTTGCCCAGGCTGGAGGGTGGTGGTGCGATGTCGCCTCACTGCAAGCTCTTCCTCCTGGGTTCACGCCATTCTCCTGCCTCAGCTTCCCAAGTAGCTGGGATGACAGGCACCTGCCATCATGTCCAGCTAAATTTTTCTCTTTTTTTGGAGACGGAGTCTTGCTCTGTCGCCCAGGCTGGAGTGCAGTGGCGAGATCTCGGCTCACTGCTACCTCTGCCTCCCAGCTACTGGGGAGGCTGAGGCAGGGGAATCACTTGAACCCCGGGAGGCGGAGGTAGCAGTGAGCTGAGATGGTGCCACTGCACTCCAGCCTGGGCAACACAGCAAGACTCCGTCTCAAAAAGAAAAAGAAAAAAATGAGCTGGACATGATGGCAGGTGCCTGTCATCCCAGCTAGGCGGGAGGCTGAGGCATCCCTTGTGAGGATGTTGAGGGGTGCACAGTGGCCAGGTAAGTGGGATGGGACCTGGCTTTGGTTAACCTTCCTCTGGGTTTCCGTCCGCTGCTCTTCCGCAGCCTGGGTGATGGCTGGAGACCTCAGGTCTCCCTCTGGTGACGCAGCCCTCCTGTGTGCCTGCTGGAGCAATCTCGGGCCTTGCCAATCTCCATGCCAGAAGCCGCACCTTGATCACAACATCCTATCCCCCAGTCCTGGAGGTCAGGAGTCTGAGATCAAGATGTCTCAGGGTCGGGCCAGGCGTGATGGCTCACTCCTGTAATCCCAGCACTTTGGGAGGCTGAGGCGGACGGATCATGAGATCAGGAGTTCGAGACCAGACTGGCCAATATGGTGAAACCCCGTGTCTGTTAAAAAATACAAAAATTGTCCAGGCGTGGTGGCGGGTGCCTGTAATCCCAGCTACTGGGGAGGCTGAGGCAGGAGAATGGCTTGAACCCGGGAGGCGGAGGTTGCAGTGAGCTGAGATGGCGCCACTGCACTCCAGCCTGTGTGACAGAGCAAGACTCCGTCTCAAAAAAAAGCAAAAAACAAGAAAACAAAAAAGGTGTCTCAGGGTTGAGCTCCCTCTGGGGGCTCTAGGGGAGGGTCCTTCCTGCCTCTCCCGCCTCCTGGGGGCTCCAGGCATCCCTGGGCTTGTGGCCGCATGACTCCAGTCTCTGCCTCCGTCTCCACGTGGCCTCCTCCTCTCTGTCTGTGTCTCCTTTTCTGTCTCTTAGAAACACACCTGTCATTGCATTTAGGGCCACCCCCCTCCAGAACGATCTCATCTCAAGATCCTTTACTTAACAACATCTACAAAGACCTCTTTGCCATGAAAGAGGGGTCCCAGCATATCCAGCCTGCATTTGCCTGGGATGAATTAAACCAGGAGTAGTCAGTCGGGCACGGAGGCTCAGGCCTGTAATCCCAGCACTTTGGGAGGCTGAGGCGGGTGGATTGACTGAGCTCAGGAGTTCAAGACCAGCCTGGGCAACATGGCGAAACCCTGTCTCTACTAAAATACAAAAAATGAGCCAGGCATGGTGGGGCGCGCCTCTGATCCCAGCTACTCAGGAAGCTGAGACAGGAGAATCGCTTGAACCCGGGAGGCGGAGGTTGCAGTGATCCGAGATCGCGCCACTGCACTCCAGCCTGGGAGACAGAGTGAGACTCTGTTTCAAAAAAAAAAAAAAAAGAAAAAGAAATCTCAGAGACTCAGCCCCACTCCGGGTGACAGAGTGAGACTCCATCTCAAAAAAAAAAGAAATCTCAGAGACTCAGCCCCACTCTGGGTGACAGAGCAAGACTCCATCTCAAAAAAAAAATTGGAAATCTCAGAGACTCAGCCCTACTCTGGGTGACAGAGCGAGACTCCATCTCAAAAAAAAAAAAAATAGAAATCTCAGAGACTCAGCCCCACTCTGGGTGACAGAGCGACACTCCATCTCAAAAAAAAAAAATAAAAAATAGAAATCTCAGAGACTCAGCCCCACTCTGGGTGACAGAGTGAGACTCCATCTCAAAAAAAAAACAAAAAACAAACAAATGTCAAAGACAGCCCCACTCTGGGTGACACAGCGAGACTCCATCTCAAAAAGAAAAAAAAAAAAATAGAAATCTCAGAGACTCAGCCCCACTCTGGGTGACAGAGTGAGACTCCATCTCAAAAAAAAAAAAAAAAAAAAAAACAAATCTCAAAGACTCAGCCCCACTCTGGGTGACACAGTGAGACTCCATCTCAAAAAAAAAAAAAAAAAAAAAAGAAATCTCAGAAACTCAGCCCCCCTTCCCCAGGGATCCCAGGAGTGAGGGGGCTGCAAAGCCTGTGACCGGATGTGTTTTCGCTGGGAAAGTTCGCCAGGAAAGCCCCTCGTCTCAGGGGAATTCCACGGGCAATACTGGGGTCACGGAAACCACTCCTGCCTGGGTTGGACGGTAAAGGCTGCCTGGAGCCAGGAACTAGCCCCACAGGTGCCTGCAAGGACCCTCCTGGGGATGGTGTTGCTGAGACCTTCCGTGACCAGTGGGTCTCTCAGACCACGTGCCCACTCTTTGCTCTTGCCCTGGCTTCTAAGAGGGTGGACGTGCAGGTCTGTCCCGGGGAAATGAGGGATCCTCCAGCCCCCCACCCTCCACCCACCGTGAGGCTGACTCCTGGTTCCCGGCTTCTGCAATGTGGCTGGTTCTGCTACTGCTCAGAGCCCCCCAGGGCAGGGGCCACGGTCTCCGGCAGTTGCAAGACCGACCCACTTCTGTCTGAACGTGAGATACCATCCCCTGGGTTACTGTTAAAAGGGGTCGTGGGGATGAGGGGCTCCAACTGTGCTCATATTTATTTATTTATCTATTTTTTGAGATGGAGCCTCACTCTGTCACCCAGGCTGGAGGGCAGTGGCGTGATCTTGGCTCACTGCAAGCTCTGCCTCCCGGGTTCAAGCGATTCTCCCGCCTCAGCCTCCTGAGTAGCTGGGATGACAGGTGCACACCACCACGCCCAGCTAATTTTTGTATTTTTAGTAGAGACGGGGTTTCACCATGTTGGTCAGGCTGGTCTCGAACTCCTGAACTTGTGATCCGCCTACCTCTGCCTCCCTAAGTGGTGGGATTACAGGCATGAGCCACTGCGCCCAGCCATGCATTGTACCATAGATCTCTTGAATCTATCTATCCTGCAAAACCACCTCCCGGGTTCAAACGATTCTCCTGCCTCGGCCTCCTGAGTAGCTGGGATGACAGGTGCACACCACCACGCCCGGCTAATTTTTGTATTTTTAGTAGAGACGGGGTTTCACCATGTTGGTCTGGCTGGTCTCAAACTCCTGATCTCTGGGGATCCGCCCACCTCGGCCTCACAAAGTGCTGGGATTTCAGGCGTGAGCCACAGTGCCTCGCCTGATATTTTTGTTATTTATTTATTTATCTATTTTTATTTATGTTTTTTTGAGATGGAGTTTTGCTCTTGTTGCCCAGGCTGGAGTGCAGCGGCTCTATGTAGGCTCACCTCAACCTCCACCTTCCTGGTTCAAGCGATTCTCCTGCCTCAGCCTCCTGAGTAGCTGGGATTACAGGCACCCGCCACCACGCCCGGCTAACTATTGTATTTTTAGTAGAGATGGGATGTCACCCTGTTGGCCAGGCTGGTCTCGAACTCCTGACCTCAGGGGATCCACCCGCCTCGGCCTCACGAAGTGCTGGGATTACAGGCGTGAGCCACTGCAACCGGCCTGATATCTTTATTTTTTAAAATTATTATTTTATTTTACTTTATTTTTTTTGAGATGGAGTTTCACTCTTGTTGCCCAGGCTGGAGTGTAGTGGCATGATCTCGGCTCACCTCAACCTCCGCCTCCCGAGTTCAAGCGATTCTCCTGCCTCAGCTTCCCGAGTAGCTGGGATGACAGGTGCGCGCCAACACACCCGGCTAATTTTTGTATTTTTAGTAGAGATGGGGTTTCACCCAGTTGGCCAGGCTGGTCTCGAACTCCTGACCTCAGGTGATCCGCCCGCCTCGGCCTCCCAAAGTGCTGGGATGACAGGTGTGAGCCACTGTGCCCGGTCTGATATCTTTTTTTAAAAAATTTAATTTAATTTAATTTAATTTTATTATTTTTGAGATGGAGTTTCACTCTTGTCACCCAGGCTGGAGTGCAATGGCACGATCTCAGCTCACCTCAACCTCTGCCTCCCAGGTTCAAGCGATTCTCCTGCCTCAGCCTCCCATGTAGCTGGGATTGCAGGCCACCATGCCCAACTAATTTTTATTATTATTATTCTTTTTAGTAGAGACGGGGTTTCGCCATGTTGGCCAGGCTGTTCTCGAACTCCTGACCTCAGGTGATCCGCCCGCCTCGGCCTCCCAAAGTGCTGGGGTGACAGGCGTGAGCCACCGCGCCCGGCCTGATATTTTTTCTA
Source organism: Homo sapiens (assembly GCF_000001405.40). Taxonomy (NCBI): domain Eukaryota; kingdom Metazoa; phylum Chordata; class Mammalia; order Primates; family Hominidae; genus Homo; species Homo sapiens. Next base: position 1,326,088 of record NC_000024.10, on the reverse strand, counting down.
TAACTCCATCCTGCTCACTCAGAAGTTTCTCCACAGCTGAGCTCATCCGTAGAGCCACAGCCAGAGTGTCCCAGAGAAACCTTGTTTTGTGATCAGAGGTTCTGAAAACCAAAGCTACCGTCACCGACGGTAATGTGGGCACCGCCTGAGTCACTCAGGGGCTATCGCAGGTGGCACCTTGACTGGTTGGCTGGGGACACGGGGCTTATCTTGGTCACCGGCTCCTGGGGGGCAGGTGGTCACAGAGAGAGCAAATCATCTCTCTTTCACTGGGCAAGTGTCAACTCAGTCTGTCAACACAAAGGAAATCTTTCGAAAGATGCTGGCTGTCAGCACCTGTTCATCGCTCCCCCTGCCTGAACCCAAAGACGTGGATGAAGTTTTGAAATTAAAATCTGTCCGATCAGGAGCCACGGCCTCTTAGGACATGTGTTATTTCTTCATTGTTTTGACCCAAGGTCGGGGTCAGGGTGTTTCTAATTCCCGCGGGAATCTCCTGGCTGGTGTGTGTCTTCAGCACCCACCGCAGGCATTTTTACTTTTCCTTCATAGCACATTTGAGGCATCTGGCCTGGCGAGATTCCCCTGCCTCGCCTTCCCCTCCGCTCCCCTTCCCTCTCCTCCCCACCTCCCTCTCTCCCCTCCCCTCCTCCCCCCCTCCTTCCCGCCTCCCCTCCCCTCTCCTCCTTCCTCCCTCCCCTCCCCTCTCCTTTCCTTTCCTTTCCTTTTTTTATTTGGAGACAGAGTCCGCAGGCTGGAGTGCAGTGGTGCAATCTTGGCTCACTGCAACCTCCATCTCCTGGGTTCAAGCAATTCTCCTGCCTCAGCCTCCCCAGTAGGTGGAACTACAGGTGCCCGCCACCACGCCCGGCTAATTTTTTTGTGTATTTTAGTAGAGACGGGGGTTTCAACACGTTGGCCAGGCTGGTCTCGATCTCCCGACCTCTTGATCCGCCCGTCTCGGCCTCCCAAAGTGCTGGGATGACAGGCGTGAGCCACGGCGCAAAGTATGTTTTGTTTTCAACTCAGGACGGGGCACCAGGTACACCTCTCTGGAAAACCTTTAAAAGAAGAGAGAACCTGGTGTCGGTGGCCAGTTTGGGGCACAGACAGCTGAGTTGTGACCTGAGGGAGGAGGCGGAGAAACCCAACCGTCCTGTGATCGCTGAGTACCCAGTTCTTGGACACAGGGCTCTGACAAGGAGGTCAGACTTTCCTGCCTTTCTTTCCCTCAGGGGTCCTCAGAGTCTGCACCTCCGGGTGAGGACAGCAAAGGGCTTCATGGGTGTAAGCTGCTGACAGCTTTCCCTGCGTGCGTCCACATCTTGCGTGGTCCCGACTCAGACAGGCCTTTGTTAGGTGGCAACGAGAGTGCTTCTTGGTCATGCCCAAGCGGCCCTGCTGGGCAAAAGCAACCTCTCCATCCACAGTGGGGCCAAAGCACTTATGTCCTTTTTCTTTTTTCTTTCTTTCCTTTCTTGCTTTTCTTTCTCTCTTTCTCTTTCTTTCTTTCCTTCCTTCCTTCTTTTCTTTCCTTTCTTTCCCTTCCTCCCTCCCTCCCTCCCTTCCTTCTTTCCCTCCTCCTTCCCTCCCCTCCCTCCCTCCCTGCTTGCTTGCTTGCCCTTTCTCTTTCTTTTTCTTTCTTTTTTCTCTCTCTCTTCTTTCTTTTTCTTTCCTTTCTTTTCCTTTTTCCTTCCTTCCTTCTTTCTTTCTCTTTCTTTCCTTTCTCTTTTTCCTTCCTTCCTTCCTTCCTTTTTCTTAGAGACAGGATCTTGCTATGTGGCCCAGGCTGGCCTCTAACTCCTGACCTCAAGTGATCCTCCAGCCTCTACCTCCCAAAGTGCTGGGATTACAGGCGTGAATCACCCCTCCTGGCCTCTGTTTTGTTTTTGTTTTTGTTTTTAAAGGCAGAGTTACACTCTGTCACCCAGGCTGGAGTGCAGCGGCGTGATCTTAGCTTACTGCAACCTCCACCTCACAGACTCAAGTGATCCTCCCACCTCAGCCTCCCCAGTAGCTAGGGCAACAGGAACATGCTACCATGTCCAGCTAAATTTTTGCATTTTTTTTTTTTTGAGACGGAGTCTCACACCATTGTCCAGGCTGGAATGCAGTGGGGTGATCTTGGCTCACCACAACCTCGGCCTCCCGGGTTCACGCCATTCTCCTGCCTCAGCCTCCCGAGTAGCTGGGACTACAGGCGCCCACCACCACGCCCGGCTAATTTTTTGTATTTTTATTAGAGACGGGGTTTCACCGTGTTAGCCAGGATGGTTTCGATCTCCTGACCTCATGATCTGCCCGCCTCTGCCTCCCAAAGTGCTGGGATTACAGGCGTGAGCCACTGCGCCCAGCCTGCATTTTTTTTAAGAGATGGGGGTCTCACTATGTTGCCCAGGCTAGCCTCAAACTGCTGGATTCAAGAGATCTTGCTGCCTCAGCCTCCCAAAGTGCTGGGATTGTAGGTGTGAGCCACCACACCCAGCCCAGACAGCTTCTAAAGCTCTTCCCACTTCTCGAGGTGCGGTCCATGGAAGCATCACTAGCACCACCTGAGAGCTGCTGGGAGGTCCTTGTGGCCACCACCCAGATGTGAGAATCCGGTCGCCTGAAGGTGGGGGACATTGCTGCCCTCTAGTGACTGACGACATGCTCCTCTCTGCAGCCATCCCTGCCAGTCCCGACTAGTAACTATGGACGTTTAATAACAGGAACTGGGGCCAGGTGCGGTGGCTCACCCTGAGACGGGGTTTCACCATGTTGGCCAGGCCGGTCTTGAACTCCCGACCTCAGGTGATCCGCCCGCCTCGGCCTCCCAAAGTGCTGAAATTACAGGCGTGAGCCACCGCTCCCGGTTCATCTTCAGATTCTTTACTTCATTACATCTGCAAAGACCATTTTATATTTTATTTTATTTTATTTTATTTTATAATTGTAATGTATTGTATTGTATTTTTTTTGAGACGGAATCTCGCTCTGTCGCTCAGGCTGGAGTGCGGTGGCGCGATCTCGGCTCACTGCAACCTCCACCTCCCGGGTTCACGCCATTCTCCTGCCTCAGCCTCCCGAGTAGCTGGGACCACAGGCGCCCGCCACCACGCCCGGCTAATTTTTTGTATTTTTAGTAGAGATGAGGTTTCACCGTGTCAGCCAGGATGGTCTCGATCTCCTGACCTCGTGATCTGCCTGTCTTGGCCTCCCAAAGTGCTGGGATTACAGGCGTGAGCCACCGCGCCCGGCCAATCTTCAGATTCTTTCCTTCATCACATCTGCAAAGACCTTATTTTGAAATAATGTCCCATTCTGAGGTTAACGTGGACATAAATGTTAAGGGTCACTGTTCAACGCACTACAATTTTTGACCTGAAAATCTCTCAGTGGGCAGCTTTGGAGGAAGGACGTCGCTCTGTCCATTGTGTGATTGTTGAGTAGCTGAGCCAGGGGCGTTCAGGAGAACCGTGGCTCCTCCGAGAGCTGCCGCGTGACCACAAAGGGTTCAGTGGGGCCCCACAGCTAAACAGTTCCATGAAATGAGCACTGAACTTGGAGGTGACTCATGGCCCAATCACAGGATGTCATTGAGAAAGAAAAAGATACTTACAGGGTCTTTCTCTGGAGAGCTACCTTTCAAAAAAAAAAAAAAAAAAAACAAACACACACAGTTAAGATGGTAAGTGGGCCAGGTGTGCTGACTGATGCCTGTAATCCCAGCACTTTGGGAGGCTGAGGTGGACGGATCACGAGGTCAGGAGATCGAGAGCATCCTGGCTAACACGGTGAAAGTCCGTCTCTACTAAAAATACAAAAAAAAAAAAAATAGCCGGGTGACGTGGCGGGCACCTGTCGTCCCAGCTACTCGGGAGGCTGAGACAGGAGAATCACTTGAACCTGGGAGGTGGAGGTTGCGTTGACCAGAGATTGCGCCATTGCACTCCAGCCTGGGTAACAGAGTGAGACACTGTCTCAAAAATAAATAAATAAATAAATAATAGGATGTTATTATATTGCCCAGGCTGGTCCTGAAATCCTGGGATCAAGCAATGCTCCTGCCTCAGCCTCCAAAAGTTCTGGGATTACAGGCATGAGCCACCATGCCGGGGTAATTTTGTATTTTTAGTGGAAAAGGGGTTTCACCACGTTGGTCAGGCTGGTCTCGAACTCCCGACCTCATGATGCGATCCACCCACACCTCGGCCTCCCAAAGTGATGCAATTTACAGGCATGAGCCACCGCACCCGGCTGATACTTGGGGCAAGTTTGTGGCCATTCAGAGGCATCATAAGCAGTGTGGCAAAAAAATCTGAGTTGCCTGATGTGGACGTTCTCAGCTACGCTGAAGAAGCGGGGTTCTGCCTTTTTGTGACAGTGCCTACAATACACAATGGTCTTCTTTTTGCAGTCCGTTTAGCTCCACGTTGCTCGCATTTTAAGATTTCGCTTGGTGATGGTCACTGTTTAAGTTAACCCCCAAGCGTGTACTGAAATGCTGTCTGCGTTTCTTTTTTTTTTTTTTTGAGATGGAGTCTCGCTCTGTCCCCCAGGCTGGAGTGCAGTGGCACGACCTCAGCCAACCGCAACCTCTGCCTCCTGGGTTTTTATTTTATTTATTTATTTATTTTTGAGATGGAGTCTCACTCTGTCACCCAGGCTGGAGTGCAGTGGCACGATCTCGGCTCACTGCAAGCTCCGCCTCCCGGGTTCACGCCATTCACCTGCCTCAGCCTCCCGAGTAGCTGGGACTACAGGAGCTTGCCACGTCGCCCGGCTAATTTTTTGTATTTTTAGTGGAGAAAGGGTTTCATTGTGTTAGCCAGGATGGTCTCGATCTCCTGACCTCGTGATCCACCCGCCTCGGCCTCCCAAAGTGTTGGGATGACAGGCGTGAGCCACCGTGCCCGGCCTCTGTCTGCACTTCTTAAAAGGGACTAGAATGGGTCAATCCAAAATATGCCAAGTTGGGGCTGAGCCTATAATCTCAGCACTTTGGGAGGCCGAGGAGGGTGGGTCACCTGTGGTCAGGAGTTCAAGACCAGCCTGACTGACATGGTGAAACCCCATGTCTGCTAAGAAAAATTACAAAAATTAGCTAGACGTGGTGGCGTCTGCCTGTAATCCCAGCTCCTTGGGAGGCTGAGGCACGAGAGTCACTTGAACCTGGGAGGTGGAGGTTGCAGTGAGCTGAGATCGCGCCACTGTACTCGAACTTGGGTGACAGAGTGAGACTCTGTCTCAAAACAAACAAACAAAAAAAAACAGAGATCATAAGGTTGACAAAACAGGCTGGGTGCAGTGGCTCATGCCTGTAATCCCAGCACTTTGGGAGGCTGAGGCGGGCGGATCACAAGGTCAGGGGATCGAGACCATCCTGGCCAACATGGCGAAACCCCGTCTCTACTAAAATACAAAAAAAAAAAAAAAAAAAAATTAGCTGGGCATGATGGTGGGCGCCTGTAGTCCCAGCTACTCAGGAGGCTGAGGCAGGGGAATCGCTTGAACCCTGGAGGCAGAGGTTGCAGTGAGCCAAGACCACGCCATGGCACTCCGGCCTGGGTGACAGAGTAACACTCCGTCTCGGAAAAAAAAAAAAAAGCCACATTGGCATATAAATTCTTCTGAACTGAGGCATTTGAGAATCAACAGATCTAGAAAGAAACTTCTTGGAGCTTCCCTTTTCTGACTAAAAGCAAAAACCTCTGAAAAATGATGAGTGTTGTAAATTCTCTCTCTGGGGAAGTTTTGTGACCACAAAGAAGACAGCATTAGCCGGGTGCAATGGCTCACGCCTGTCATTCCAGCATTTTGGGAGGCCGAGGCGGGTGGATCACCTGAGGTCAGGAGTTCGAGACCAGCCTGACCAACATGCTGAAACTCCATCTCTAATAAAAATACAAACAGGCCGGGCGCAGTGGCTCATGCCTGTAATCCCAGCACTTTGGGAGGCCGAGGCAGGTGGATGACGAGGTCAGGAGATCGAGACCATCCTGGCTAACATGGTGAAATCCCGTCTGTACTAAAAATGCAAAAAATTAGCCAGGCGTGGTGGCGGGCACCTGTAGTCCCAGCTACTCGGAAGGCTGAGGCAAGAGAATGGCGTGAACCCAGGAGGCAGAGCTTGCAGTGAGCCGAGATCGTGCCACTGCACTCTGGCCTGGGGGACAGAGCGAGACTCCATCTCAAAACAAACAAACAAACAAACAAACAAACAAATTAGCCAGGCGTGGTGGCACGTGCCTGTAATCCCAGCTACTCGGGAGGGTGAGGTAGGAGAATCGCTTGAACCTGGGAGGCAGAGGTTGCAATGAGCCAAGATTTTGCCCCTGCACTCCAGCCTGGGCGACAGAGTGAGACTCTGTCTAAAAAAAAAAAAAAAAAAACAGCAAAGGCGTGAAGAATGGCTGTAATTCCAGAACTTTGGGAGGCTGAGGCAGGAGGATCACTGGAGCCTAGCAGTCAAGACCAGTCTGGGTAACATAGTGAGATTCCATCTCTACAAAAAACTTGGGCTAGGCATGGTGGCTCATGCCTGTAGACCCATCACTTTGGGAGGCCGAGGAGGGTGGATCGCTTGAGGCCAGAAGTTGGAGACCAGCCTGGGCAACATAGTGAGACCCCGTCTGTACTAAAAATACAAAAATTAGCCGGGTGTGGTGACGTTCAGCTGTGGTCCCAGCTACTTCAGGAGACTGAGAGAGGAGGATCGCTAAGCCGGGGAGTCTGAGGCTACAGTGAGCCATGATCGTGCACTCCAGCCTGGGCAAAGGAGCAAGATGCTGTCTCAAAAATTTAAAAAGGAGGCCGGGCATGGTGGCTCATGTCTACAATCCCAGCACTTTGGGAGGCCGAGCCGGGTGGATCACCTGAGGCCAGGAGTTCAACACCAGCCTGGCCAACATGGTGAAACCCTGTCTTTACTAAAAATACAAAAATTAGCCAGGCGTGGTGGCGGGCACCTGTAATCCCAGCTACTAGGGAGGCTGAGGCAGGAGAATCGCTTGAACCCGGGAGGCGGAGGTTGTAGTGAGCCGAGATCATGCCACTGTACTCCAGCCTGGGTGACAGACCAAGACTCAGTCTCAAAAAATAAATAAAATAAAATAAAATAAAATAAATAAAGGATCATCATCACCAGGGGGCGAAAGGAAGCTTTGCAATTTTCTTTCTTTTTTTTTTTTGAGATGGAGTCTTGCTCTGTAACCCAGGCTGGAGTGCAGTGGCACGATCTCGGCTCACTGCAAGCTCCGCCTCCCGGGTTCACACCATTCTCCTGCCTCAGCCTCCCGAGTAGCTGGGATTACAGGTGCCCGCCACCATGCCAGGCTCATTTTTTGTACTTTTAGTAGAGATGGGGTTTCACCGTGTTAGCCAGGAGGGTCTCGATCTCCTGACCTTGTGATCTGCCTGCCTCGGCCTCCCAAAGTGTTGGGATTACAGGCGTGAGCCACCGCGCCCGGTCAGCTTTGCAATTGTCTTCCCAGACATCTGCAAACCTCTCCAAAGTCTTTTCTATCCTTTCTCTCAGGAGGGGCTATCGGCGGCTCAGGGGGAGTGGGGCAAAGTCCAACGGCCTGGGGGTAAGAGGAGAAGGTGCAACCACCCTTTGGCCAGTGGAGACAAAAGTTCAGCTTCGGCCTGGCGCAGTGGCTCACGCCTGTAATCCCAGCACTTTGGGAGGCCGAGGTGGGCGGATCACGTGAGGTAGAAAGTTCAAGACCAGCCTGGCCAACATGGTGAAACCCCGTCTCTATTAAAAATACAAAATTAGCTGGGTGTGGTGGCGTATGCCTGTAATCCCAGCTACTTGGGAGGCTGAGGCAGGAGAATCACTTGAACCCGGGAAGCAGAGGTAGCAGTGAGCCAAGATCACGCCATTGCACTCCAACCTGGGCAACTAGAATGAAACTCTGTCTCAAAAAAAAAAGTTAAAAAAAAAAAATTAGCCGGGCGTGGTGGCGGGTGCCTGTAGTCCCAGCTACTCGGGAGGCTGAGACAGGAGAATCGCTTGAACCCGGGAAGTGGAGGTTGCAGTGAGCCGAGATCGCTCCACTGCACTCCAGCCTGGGTGACACAGTGAGACTCTGTCTCACAAAAAAAAGAAAAAAAAAGAAAAGAAAAAAATTAGCCAGTCATGGTTGTGCATGCCTGTCATCCAAGCTACTAAGGAGGCCGAGGTGGGAGGATTGTTTAAGCCTGGGATGTTGAGGCTGCCGTGAGCCAAGAGTCGCCACTGCACTCCAGCCTGGGCAAAGGATCTTCCTAGCAATCTCTTACTTTCCCTCAATAGAATTCCTCTTTTCCCACTCCAGGAGAGAAGATCCAAGCCCCATTAGAATTTCTCTTCTTCCTCTTCTTCCACTCCAAAAGCTTGTACCTCCCTGGGAGCGTGGGTCTTCATTCTGAAGGCTTCTGTGCGTGCACGTTACAGAAATTTGCACGTTACAGAAATGGTGACCTGAGATGATACCATTGCACTCCAGCCTGGGTGACAAGAGCAAGACTCCGTCTCAAAAAAAAAAAATAAAATAAAATAAAAATAAAAAAAGCTGGGCGTGGTGGCTCACGCCTGCAACCCCAGGACTTTGGGAGGCCGAGGCGGGCAGATCACCTGAGGTCAGGAGTTCGAGACCAGCCTGACTGATGTGGAGAAAGCCCGTCTCTACTAAAAATACACAATTAGCCGGGCGTGGTGGTGCATGCCTGTCATCCCAGCTACTCGGGAGGCTGAGGCGGGAGAATCGCTGGAACCCGGGAGGCGGAGGTTGTGGTGACCTGAGATTGTACCACTGCACTCCAGCCTGGGCGACAAGAACAAGACTCTGTCTCAAAAAAAAAAAAAAAAAAAAAAGCTGAGCGTGGTGGCTCACGCCTGTCATCCCAGCACTTTGGGAGGCCGAGGCAGGCAGATCATAAGGTCAGGAGTTCGAGACCATCCTGGCTAACATGGTGAAACCTCGTCTCTACTAAAAATGCAAAAAAAATTAGCCGGGCATGGTGGTGGGCACCTGTAGTCCCAGCTACTCGGGAGGCTGAGGCAGGAGAATGGCGTGAACCCGGGAAGCGGAGCTTGCAGTGAGCCGAGATCGCGCCACTGCACTCCAGCCTGGGCGACAGAGTGAGAGTCCGTCTCAATAAAAAAAGAAAGAAAGAAAATATGCATGTCTTGTTTCTTAGTAATCTATCTAGTTCATTGTTAGTGATTATTCAGCAAACCGTTAGGGGGGCAAGCGTGTTGGCCCCACGCCCTCAACGCCTCTGTGTCTGGGGCGTCGGCTGCTGGTTTTGTGTCCACACAGGAAGACAGAATTAGGGAACTTGCTCCCCACGGCATGACTCAACAGGATGAGAGACGCAGGCACGGATGTAGGAGGTGGTGGTGCTGTTGATCTCATTCAGGAGAACCCAGGCGTTGGGGAGCCCCATGACGCCGGTGTTCCCTCCCGCGTGGATGGGCAGGGGCTGAACGTGAGTCTCCATGGCTCTTCCCGGGCCAAGCCCATCTCCAGGACATACCTTTCTCCTGTCGCTTGTTAGACGCTGTGCACTGAAGACCTAGCCTTACCCAAAGGGAAGTCTTGCCTTGGGTCTTGGCTGGAGGGTGGTGATACCTCAGGTCCTGGAATGGCCCCTGGTAGTATCTTTGCTGGCCTGGGGGCTTTGGATGGTTCACCGTCTAACAATGTGATTTAAGGTGAGGGTCTTGGAACAAGTGAGATCAGTTCCAACTTCCAGGAGGGAGCCTGAGAAATAGCAGATAGATCCCAACTACCTCTCTGTCTGTCTGTCTGTCTATCTATCTATCTATCTATCTATCTATCTATCTATCTATCTATCATCTATCTAATCTATCATCTGTCATCTATCATCTATCTATCTACCTATGTATCTATGTATCTGTCTATGTGTCTATCTATCCATCTGTCTAGCTCTTCTATCATCTATCTAATCTATCATCTATCTATGTATCTGTCTATGTATCTATGTATCTATGTGTCTATCTATCCATTTATCTATTCTATCTATCTATCTATCTATTGATCTATCTATCTGTCTATTGGTCTATCTATGTATCTATCTATATATCTATCTATCTGTCTATCCATCTATCATCTATTTTCTATCAATCATCTATTTATCTATCATCTATCATTTATTATCTATCATCCATCTATCATCAATCTATCCATCATCTATTATCCATCTAGAGTCTATCTATCTGTCATCTATCCATTCATCCATCTATCTATCCATCTATTTATCCATTCATCTATCTAATCTATCTATCTATCTATCTATCTATCTATCTATCTATCTATCTATCTATTATCTATTTTATCTATTTTCTATCTATCTATCTATGTCTATCATCTATCTAAAATTCATCCATTATGGCTGGGCAAGGTGGCTCACGCCTGTAATCCCAGCATTTTGGGAGGCTGAGGCGGGCAGATCACTTGAGGTCAGGAGTTCGAGACCAGCCTGGCCAACATGGTGAAATCCTGTCTCTACAAAAAATATAAAAAATTGGCTGGGGGTGGTGGTGCACACGTGTAATCTCAGCTACTCAAGAGGCTGAGGCAGGAGAATCACTTGAACCTGGGAGGCGGAGGTTGTAGTGAGCTGAGATCGCGCCACTGCACTCCAGCCTGGGTGACAGAATGAGACTCTGTCTCTTAAAACAAAATAAAATAAAATAAAATTCATCTATCATCTATCTATCAAATATCTATCAGTCAATCATGTATCTAGCTATTATCTGTTACCTATACATCTATTCATCTATCATATATATTTTTCATCTGTCATCTATCAATCATCTATCTGTCTTCTATATATATCATCTATTTTTTAAATTTCTTTTGAGACCCATTTTCACCACACCTGTCCTCATCATAGAATCTGTCTCCCCTCCCTCTCTTTTCTCCACCTGCACAACCCTGATCTCACGCAGGTGACCGATGACCCTCCCCCCCACAGTGTGACTCCCACCTGCATGCATCTTATAAACAGTCTTCTCCAGTTTAGGCATGCAAAGGATTGAATGTCTGCATTGCTCTTCCTTTGGTGCAGTGTGGTTGGGCAGGTGCAGTGGGGTTGGGCAGGTGCAGTGCGATTGGGCAGGCACAGTGGGGTTGGGCAGGCACAGAGGGGTTGGGCAAGTGCAGTGCGGTTGGGCAGGTGAAGTGGGGTTGAGCAGGTTCAGTGTGGTTGGGCAGGTGCAGTGCGGTTGGGCAGGTGCAGTGGGATTGGGCAGGTGCAGTGCGGTTGGGCAGGCACAGTGGGGTTGGGCAGGTGCAGTGGGATTGGGCAGGTGCAGTGGGATTGGGCAGGTGCAGTGGGATTGGGCAGGTGCAGTGGGATTGGGCAGGTGCAGTGCGATTGGGCAGGCACAGTGGGGTTGGGCAGGCACAGAGGGGTTGGGCAAGTGCAGTGCAGTTGGGCAGGTGAAGTGGGGTTGAGCAGGTTCAGTGTGGTTGGGCAGGTGCAGTGGGGTTGGGCAGGTGCAGTGGGGTTGGGCAGGTGCAGTGGGATTGGGCAGGTGCAGTGGGATTGGGCAGGTGCAGTGGGATTGGGCAGGTGCAGTGCGGTTGGGCAGGCACAGTGGGGTTGGGTAGGTGCATTGGGGTTGGGCAGGTGCAGTGCAATTGGGCAAGTGCAGTGCGGTTGGGCAGGTGCAGTACGGTTAGGCAGGTGCAGTGTGGTTGGGCAGGCACAGAGTGGTTGGGCAGATGCAGTGGGGTTGGGCAGGCGCAGTGGGGTTGGGCAGGTGCAGTGTGGTTGGGCAGGCACAGAGTGGTTGGGCAGATGCAGTGGGGTTGGGCAGGCGCAGTGGGGTTGGGCAGGTGCAGTGGGGTTGGGCAGGTGCAGTGGGGTTGGGCAGGTGCAGTGCGGTTCTGCAAAAGCTCCCTCTCAGCCAATATTGACAGCCTCTGCCCACCCATTCCTTGGAGAGGGTCCGTAGGTGCCAAAGAACACAGGGGAGGGGCTGATCGCCACAGCCTTCAGGGGCCTCAGTCATCCTAGGCCCTATCTCTGCTGGCTGTTTTTTATTTTTTATTTAATTTTATTTTAATTTAATTTTATTTTATTTATTCATTTATTTTGAGACAGAATCTCGCCCTGTCACCCAGGCCGGAGTGCAATCGCATGATCTGGGCTCACTGCAACCTCTGCCTCCCAGGTTCAAGCGGTTCTCCTGCCTCAGCCTCCTGAGTACAGCAACTGCAATTACAGGTGCCACCACACCCGGCTAAGATTTTGTATCTTTAGCAGAGATGGAGTTTCACCATGTTAGCCAGGCTGGTCTCGGACTCCTGACCTCAGGTGATCTGCCCACCTCGGCCTCCCAAAGTGCTGGGATTACAGGCATGAGCCACTGTGCCTGGCCACAGCTCCTCTCTGTCACCCAGATTGGAGTGCAATGGCGTGATCTTGGCTCACTGCAACCTCCGCCTCCTGGGTTCAAGCGATTCTCCTGCATCAACCTCCCAAGTAGCTGGGATTATAGGTGCCTGCCACCACACCTGGCTTTTTTTTTTGTATTTTTAGTAGAGACGAGATTTTGCCATGTTGGCCAGGCTGGTTTTGAACTCTGACCTCAAATGATCTGCCTGCCTTGGCCTTGCAAAGTGCTGGGATTCCAGGCATGAGCCACTGTGCCTGACCACAGCTCCTCTCTGTCACCCAGATTGGAGTGCAGTGGCGTGATCTTGGCTCACTGCAACCTCTGCCTCCCAGGTTCAAGTGATTCTCCTGCCTCAGCCTCCTGAGTAGCTGGGATTACAGGCGTGTGCCACCACACCCAGCTTTTTTTATTTTTTTTTTTGTATTTGTAGTAGAGACGAGTTTCACCACGTTGGCCAGGCTGGTTTTGAACTCCTGACCTCAAGTGATCCACCTGCCTTGGCCTGGCAAAGCGCTGGGATTATAGGCATGGCTACCACGCCCGGCCTCTGCTGTCTCTTTGACACCGGAGGCCTCTGCTTCTGAGGTAAATAGGGCCTGAGGTCTCTGAAACCCACAGGTTCATACCCAGGAATGTGGTGCTCCCTTGGGGAGGTGGACCTGCTTCCTGGGGCGCCCTGTGGGAGTCTCCTCCTCTCACTTCTTGCAGGCCCAGAGGATTCCACGCTTTTTCTTCCTTGCTGTGTTTTAGACGCTTCTCCCCACCAAGAGCCTGGCTCCATCTCTTCCCCAAGCTTTGACTTGTGAATCAAAAGGTCAGGGGTAGAAGGTTCCGGAAGGCTGCCTCTGCTCCATCGTCAAATCTCCCCTGAAACTCTGAAGCAAGGGGCCGGCTGGGGTTTGCAGGAGGGACGTGGAACACCCACGAGGGAGGAAACAGCTGGCACCTCACCGTCAGATCCATCCCAAGCTCGGCTCTCTCTCGGCTCCAAGTCCTGAAGTCCCCTGTAGGCCCTAGACCACCTGTCAGCCACCATCTCAGTTGATGTTTCGGTATCTGTGGCGATTGAATTACTCACTGATCGTGGGAGGCAAAATAATGTCCCGTAAATATGGCCATGTCCTAATCCCATGTGGGAGACAGAATAATGGCCCCAAAGATGTCCACGTCCTAATCCCATGTGATAGACAGAATAATGTCCCCAAATATGTCCACGTCCTAATTCCATGTGGGAGACAGAATAATGGTCCCAAAGATGTCCACGTCCTAATTCCACGTGGGAGACAGAATAATGGCCCCCAGCATGTTCTTACCTGGATAAGCATGCTGTGGACACATTACAGAATGCTCTCTATGGAAGGAGGACTTTTATTCCAGGGATATTGCCATGGAGAGATGATTCTGGAGTGTCCCCGTGGGCCTGACATGTAATTACAATTGTCCTTATAAGGAACAGGTGTGGTGGTTCACACCTGTAATCCCAGCACTTTGAGAGGTTGAGGCAGGTGGATCACCTGTGGTCAGGTCAACATGGTGAAACCCCATCTCTACTAAAAATACAAAAGTTAGCCAGGTGTGGTGGCAGGTGCCTGTCATCCCAGCTACTCGAGAGGCTGAGGCATGAGAATTGCCTGAACCCGGGAGGTGGAGGTTGTAGCGAGCTGAGATCGTGCCACTGCACTCCAGCCTGAATGACAGAGCGAGACTCCATCTCAAATAATAATAATAATAATTGTCCTTATGAGAGGGAGGCAGGAGAGTCACAGTCCAGTGAGATATGAGGAGTCAACAGCAGGCCTGAGTGACAGCAACCACCAATGAAGAAAGTCAGCCTTTTCTAGATGTGGGAAATGGAGGGAAATGAATTTCCGTCTCGTCTTAGTCTGTTTTGTGTTGCTACAAAGGGATTCCCCAGGCTGGGTGATGTATTTTAAAGAGAGGTTTATTTGGCTGGACGCGGTGGCTCACGCCTGTCATCCCAGCACGTGGAGACGCCAAGGGGGGCGGATCACGAGGTCAGATGGAGACCAGCCTGACCAACAAGGTGAAACCCTGTCTCTACTAAAACACAAAACAAAACAAAAAAAAGTAGCCGGGAATGGTGGCGGGCGCCTGTACTCCCAGCCACTTGGGAGGCTGAGGCAGGGGAATTGCTTGAACTGGGGAGATGGAGGTTGCAGTGAGCAGAGATTGTGCCACTGCACTCCAGCCTGGCGACAAAGCAAGACTCCAACTTAAAAAAAAAAACAAACAGGTTTATTTGGCTGATGATTCCACAGACTGTACAGGAATTGTGCCTTCAGCATCTGCTGCTGAGAAGCTCAACAACTTCCACTCCTGGTGGGAGAGGAAGGGGAGCTGGTGTTACATGGTGGGAGAGGTGGCAAGAGGCAGGGAAGGAGGTACCAGCCTCTTTTTCTTTTTACCTTTTTTTTTTTTGGAGACAGAATCTAACTCTGTTGCCCAGGCTGGAGTGCAATGGCGTGATCTTGGCTCACTGCCACCTCCGCCTCCCGGGTTCAAGCAATTCTGCTGCCTCAGCCTCCTGAGTAGCTGGGACTACAGGTGGCCGCCACCACACCCAGCTAACTTTTTGTATTTTTAGTAGAAGCGGGGTTTCACCATGTTGCCCAGGCTGGTCTCGAACTCATGAGCTCAGGCAATCCACCAGCCTCGGCCTCCCAAAGTGCTAGGATTACAGGCGTGAGCCACCATGCCCGGGCACCAGCCTCTTTTTGATAACCAGCTCTTTCAGGAACAAATAGAGAAAGAACTCACTCATTACTACAAGAAAGGCACCAAGCCATTTATAAGGAGTCCGCCCCCTCTTCATTCAAACACCTCCTGCCAGGTCCCACCTCCAACCCGGAGAACCAAATTTCAAACTGAGATTTGCAAGGGACAAACAACCAAACTATATCATCACTTTGTCCTCCAGAAGGAACCGGACCTACTAAAAACTGGATTTATAACCCAGGGAGGCCTGGCACTGTACAATAATAATTTTTTTTTTTTTTTTTTGAGATGGAGTCTCGCTATGTCATCCACGCTGGAGTGCGGTGTTGTGATCTCGGTTCACTGCAACCTCCTCCTCCCGGGTTCACGCCATTCTCCTGCCTCAGCCTCCCGAGTAGCTGGGACTACAGGCGCCCGCTACCACGTCTGGCTAATTTTTTGTATTTTTAGTAGAGATGGGGTTTCACTATGTTAGCCAGGATGCCCTCGATCTCCTGACCTCGTGATCCTCCCGCCTCGGCCTCCCAAACTGCTGGGATTACAGGTGTGAGCCACCGCGCCCGGCCATCAATTTTTTTTTTTTTTTAAATGTGATGGAGTTTTGCTCTTGTTGCCCAGGCTGGATTGCAATGGCGCAATCTCAGCTCACCAGGTTAGTTATTCAAGGAGGAGGCTACACAGTACCTCAGTAGTTGGGTTGGAAAGAGATGCAAAAGCTTCTTGGAGTCTAAGCATCTTTGCGAAGTATCACTTTTTTTGAGACAGAGAGATGGGGTCTTAGTTTGTTACCCAGGCTGGAGTGCAACGGTGCAATCATAGCTTACTGTCAGCTTGAACTCAAGTGATCCTCCCGCCTCAGCCTCCCAGATAGCTGGCACTACAGGCACAAGCCACCACGCCCAGCTAATTTTTGCCTTTTTTGTAGAGACAGGGTCTTGCTATGTTGCCCAGACTGGTCTTAAACTCCTGTCTCCAGCAATCCTCCAAAGTGTTAGGATTACAGGCATGAGCCACGGCGCCCAGCCAAATATCAGGTTTTTATTATTTATTATTATTGTTTGTTTTGAGATGCAATCTTGCTCTGTCACGCAGGTTGGTGTGCAATGGTGCGATCTTGGCTCACTACAACCTCCGCCTCACGGGTTCAAGCAATTCTCCTGCCTCAGCCTCCCAAGTAGCTGGGATGATGGGCGTCCGCCGCCGTGCCTGGGTAAATTTCTGCATTTTTAGTCCAGATGGGGTTTCACCATGTTGGGCAGGCTGGTCTTGAACTCCTGACCTCAGGTGATCCGCCTGCCTTGGCCTCCCAAAGTGCTGGGATTACAGGCGTGAGCCACCGCGCCTGGCCCCAAATGTCATGTTTTTAAATAAAAACATAGAAAATGATATAAAGGTTCACAGCATCATCAAGAAAACAGTTCCCCCGTGTCGCGGAGGCGGAGATGTCCATGCCATTCCTACACCCTCTGGGTCTCAGGTAATTTCCTTCACGGTCAAGACCTCTTCGCGGTAGCCTTTCCCTTCCTCTGGGGTGAATTCCTCCCAGATGATCTGAGAAAAAGGAGGGTTCAGGCTGTCAGATCTTCACGAGCTCAGCCTGGGACTCAGTGGGCTGTGTTTATTTTCTTTTTCTCCCTCGAGACGGAGTCTCATTCTATTGCCCAGGCTGGAGTGCAGTGGTGTCATCTCAGCTCACTGCAACCTCGGCCTCCCGGGTTCAAGCGATTCTCCTGCCTCAGCCTCCTGAGTAGCTGGGATTACAGGCGCCCGCCACCACAAATTTGACTGATCAGATGAGGCCCACTCTTCCCCCTTTAGACCTTCGACTGATTAGATGAGGCCCACCTTTCCCCCTTTAGCCGCCACCAGCTAAATTTTGTACTTTCAGTGGAGATGGGGTTTTACCATGTTGGCCAGGCTGGTCTCAAACTCCTGACCTCGAGGTGATCCACTCGCCTCGGCCTCCCAAAGTGCTGGGATGACAGGCATGAGCCACTGCACCTGGCCATGGGTTTTTCCTGGGGTAAAGATCTGAGACAGATCCACCCATGGGACCTCATAGTTGACGATGAACAGGGTGGTCTTTGGAAGAGCTTGTGAGCATGAAACCTGGGCAGGGTACAGCAGGTGCTAAGCCCCTGGAGCTGATGGAGCTCAGAGAAGGGAAGGTTGAAGCCTGAAGCCGTCATCCTGGCACCTCGATGTGGGGGACCCCTGGGGGTCAGTGGAAAGCGGGGGCCGGGGAGGAGGCTGGCGTGGGGGTGGAAGGTAATGGAATGACAGATGGCCAGGTCTAGGATGGGGGTGTGCAAGTGGCAACCAGGAGGATGTTACCTATGTGGCAGAGAAGAGGGCGCTGGGGGCAACCCTGGGCTGCAACTGGAGTTCCCCATGGGAGGAAGACACAGCCCCTGAGCTGGAGAGAGGTGGGTGGGAGAGGGCCACCCACGGGGTCTTGGGATGTGGGTCACGCAAGTCTCTCACCCTTAGTCACCCTCTCTGGGGTCTTGCTGTTCAGCCTCTCTCTCGGTCTCTCTGCCTCTTTTCTCTGTCTCCCTCTCTGTCTCTCTTTCCTCCCCCTCTCACCTTCTTCCACCCCCATCTCTGGGTCTCTATCTCCATCTTCCTGTGTGTCTGCCTCTTTTGGGTTCAGTCTCTGTTTCTCTTTCATCTCTTGGCCTTCGTCTCTGATACCCGGCACCAATGACGTGTCCCCGTGACTAGGCTACAGTCCCCAGTTATTGAATGAAACCATGACTCAGCGGCTGCTACGAAGGGGCTTTGTAGATGTCAAGTCCACAATCAGCTGATTTCCAGGAAAAGAGATTGGACTGGAGAATGTGGGTGGGCCTTATCTAATCAGTCAAAGGTCTAAAGGGGGTGGGCCTCATCTAATCAGTTGAAGGTCTGAAGAGGGGTGGGCCTCATCTAATCAGTTGAAGGTCTAAAGGGGGTGGGCCTTGTCTAATTAATAAGCTGAAGGTCTAAAGGGGAAGGGGGGAAGGGTGGGCTTCATCTAATGAGTTGAAGGTCTAAATGGGAAGGGTGGGTCTCATCTAATCAGTCAAAGGTCTAAAGGGAGAAGGGTAGGCCTCATCTAATCAGTCAAAGGTCTAAAGGGAGAAGGGTAGGCCTCATCTAATCAGTCAAAGGTCTAAAAAGGGAAAGGTGGGCCTCATCTAATCAGTTGAAGATCTAAATGGGGGAAGGACGGGCCTCATCTAATCAGTCGAAGGTATAAAGGGGAGGGTGGGCCTCATCTAATCAGTCGAAGGTATAAAGGGGAGGGTGGGCCTCATCTAATCAGTCGAAGGTATAAAGGGGAGGGTGGGCCTCATCTAATCAGTCGAAAGGCTGAAGGGGGAAGGGTGGGCCTCATCTAATCAGTTGAAGGTCCAAAGGAGAAGCGTGGGCTTCATCTAATCAGTCAAAGGTCTAAACGGGGAGAGTGGGCCTCATTTAATCAGTTGAAAGTCTAAAGGGTAAGGGTGGGCCTTATCTAATAAGCTGAAGGTCTAAAGGGGAAGGGTGGGCTTCATCTGATCAGTCGAAGGTCTAAAGGGGAATGGTGGGCCTCATCTAATCAGTCGAAGGTGTAAAGGGGGAAGGGTGGGCCTCATTCAATCAGCCGAAAGTGTAAAGGAGAAGAGTGGGCCTGGTCTAATCAGTCAAACGTCTAAAGGATAAAAGCTGAGGTTCCCCGACAAGAGTTTTATTTCCTTTTTAAAAATTTCATCTCCCACTCTGAGAATGCAGGACAGTTCTGCCTCTGGGATGCAGCATCAGCCCTGGCCTGACTTTCCAGCCTGCCAGCCTACTGCAACATAAGACGCAGTCCCTGAGCCGGAGAGAGGTGGGTGGGAGAGGAGCGCCAATGGGGTCTCAGGGTGCAGGTCACATGGTTCCTCGCCCTTGTTCACCCTCTCTGGGCTCTCGCTGAGACTAAGTCCGACTCCTCTGTCTTCCCTGTCTCTCTCGGTGTCTCTGTGTGTCTTTTATCTGCCTCCCTCTCTGTCTTTTTCCTCCATCTGTCTCTCTCTTCCACTCCCATCCCTTGCTCTCTGTCTCTTTCTGTCTCTCTCTCTCTCTCCCCTCTCTGTGTCCACCTATGTCTCTCTGTTTCTCTCTCTGTCCGTCTTTTTCTCTTTGTCCCTGTCTCTATGTCTCCTTCTCCCTCTCTCTCTCTTTTTCTGTGTCTTTCTCTGTGTCTCTCTGTCTTTGTCTCTCTCCCCTCTCTGTGCCTCTGTTCCTCTCTGTCTCTCTCCTCTCCCTGCTGGGGATGATTTTTTTGTTTTGTTTTGTTTTTGATAGAGAGTTTTGCTCTGTTGCCCAGGTTAGAGTGCAATGGTGCGATCTCGGCTCACTGCAGCCTCCGCCTCCTGGGTTCAAGTGATTCTCCTGCCTCAGCCTCCAGAGTAGGTGGGATTACAGGTGTGCGCCACCACACCTGGCTAATTTTTGCAATTTTAGTAGAGACGAGGTTTCTTCAGGTTGGTCAGGCTGGTCTCGAACTCCCGACCTCAAGTGATCCACCCGCCTCGGCCTCCCAAAGTGCTGGGATGACAGATGTGAGTCACCGCGACCGGCCCCCGCCTGGGTCTTTATGTTTGTTGTTTATCTGTCTCTGTTTCTCCATCTGTGTCTCGTGTCTCTCTCTTTCCTTCTCCCTTTTCTCCCTCCCTCTCTCTGTTTCTCTGTCTGTGTGTCTGCCTTTGTTTCTGTCAGTCTGTCTGCCTGTTTCCCTCTCTTTTGTGTCTCCTCATTCTCTTCTACATTCCTCTCTCTCTCCTCCATCTCTCTCCCTCCATCTTTCTCTGCCTCTGTCTCTTGTCTCTATTTCTGCCTCTCCTCTCTACCTTCTTTTTTCTTTTGAGATGGAGTCTCGCTCTGTCACCCAGGCTGGAGTGCAGTGGTGCGATCTCGGCTCACTGCAACCTCCGCCCCCTGGGTTCAAGCCGTTCTACTGCCCCAGCCTCCCGAGTCACTGGGATTTCAGGCGTACACCACCACACCCAGCTAATTTTTTGTATTTTTAGCAGAGATGGGGTTTCACCACGTTGGCCAGGCTGGTCTCGAACCTCTGACCTCAGATGATCCACATGCCTCAACCTCCCAAAGTGCTGGGATGACAGGCATGAGCCACCGTGCCTGGCCCTCTCTACCGTCTTCTCCTCCTTTTCTTGACCACCACCCTGCCTCAGTTTCTCCTGATGGAGCTCACAGAGATGACTCTGACCCCAACCTTGGAGAAGACCCCGACCCGGGAGAAGGCCCAGGAGTGGGATACAGATTCCAGCCACACCGGTGGTGACGCTGCGGTCCCATCTGGTGGAGAAGCAAGATGGTCGACACCCAGAGGCCGTGTCCCACGCTCCCCACTCCCCACCTTCCATCCCAGGTCACTGCTCCGCCCACCCCTGCCTACCTCGTCTTCCACCTCATGGTTATCATTCAGTTTGTCTTTGATCTGTGGAACTGGCGGGAACAGCCGCTGTATCCTAAGGAACCTGAGACACAGAGAAAAAGTGTGAAGAGAATGAACCCCGGGTCACCAGAGTTCCTTCCATCAACGCCCTGTGCCGAGGGATGCTGCGTGCGGGGTGTCTGCGCTCAACTATGCAAAACTTCACTAAGAATCACCAAGTGACGAAAATCTTAAGGAACTAGGCCGGGTGCAGTGGCTCACACCTGTAATCCCAGCACTTTGGGAGGCCGAGGCGGGTGGATCACTTGAGGTTTGAGACCAGCCTGGCCAACGTGGTGAAACCCCGTCTCTACTAAAAATACAAAAATTAGCTGAGTATCGTGGTGCTTGCCTGTAATCCCAGCTATTCAGGAGGCTGAGGCAGGAGAATTGCTTGAACCTGGGAGGTGGAGGTTGCAGTGAGCCGAGATTGCACCACTGCACTCCAGCCTGGGTGACAGAGTGAGACTCCATCTCAAAAAAACAAAAAAAAATCACCAAATGACAAACATCTTAAGGAACTAGGCCAGGCATGGTGGCTCACACCTGTAATCCCAGCACTTTGGGAGGCGAAGGCGGGTGGATCACCTGAGGTCAAGAGTTAGAGACCAGCCTGGCCAACGTGGTGAAACCCCATCTCTACTAAAAATACAAAAATTAGGTGAGCATCGTGGTGCATGCCTGTAATCCCAGCTACTCGGGAGGCTGAGGCAGGAGAATGGCGTGAACCCGGGAGGTGGAGGTTGCAGTGAGCCGAGATTGCAACACTGCACTCCAGCCTGGGCAACAAGAGCAAAAGTCTGTCTCAAAACAAAAAACAAAAAAACAAACAAACAAAAAAAAACCCACCTCCAACCCAGAAACCACGCTCTTCAAGGCTAGTGGGATCAAGGCAGGCGTTTCCCCTCTGGAGCTCAGCCCTTCAACAGCAGTGACTTCAGACTCCCTGAAGCTGCCCACAGCTGACTGCCTGTTCCATTCCCATCCCTGTGCCCGAGGGGCTGAGGGAAGATTCTAGAAAGATTCCCTGTGAGCATCACTGTGTATTCCTGTAGGATCTCCCGTTTTCTCCGTTCTTTTGTTTGTTTTGAGATGGAGTCTCGCCCTGTCGCCCAGGCTGGAGTGCAGTGGTGCAATCTCGGCTCACTGCAACCTCCACCTCCCGGGTTCAAGCGATTCTCCTGCCTCAGCCTCCCGAGTAGCTGGGACTACAGGCGCCCGCGACCACGCCGGGCTAATTTTTTAGTAGAGACGGGGTTTCACTGTGTTAGCCAGGATGGTCTCGATCTCCTGACCTCGTGATCCACCCGCCTCGGCCTCCCAGAGTGCTGGGATTACAGGCATGAGCCAACACGCCCGGCCAAGGCTGTGTTTCTCTTTCTCAGAGACAGAGACAGAGACTGGACAAAGCGCTTTCCTCCCGGCCTGGCCTGTTTTCATTGGGGAGGCCCAGGTGTTTCACAGGTTACCTTTTAAAGAGGAAGCCGAGGACGATGCCACAGACAAGGGTTCCCACGATTAGGAGCACATAAATGTACACAGAGCCGAGGTTCCCGTCGTCAGAACCTGGAGAGACACACAGGTTTGCGTCTGCGGTGAATCGTTGACGGACATGTGAAAGGAAATTAAATCTCTTCGGGTGTCCAAATGCATTTAGCCAAAGGGAACAGTCAAGCTGAGAACTGGGCCCAGCAAACCTGCCTCCCTGTTTTTGGTTCTTAACTAAGATGGCTCTGAGATGAAAGCAACCTGCCTGCCCTATGTTTTGCCCACAAGGAAATTTCTGGTGAGCTGTTAAAACTTTGCCACCATGGGCCGGATGCGGTGGCTCACGCCTGTCATCCCAGCACTTTGGGAGGCCGACACGGGAGGATCACCTGAGGTTGGGAGTTCGAGACCAGCCTGACCAACATGGTGAAACCCCGTCTCTACCAAAAATACAAAAATTGGGCCAGGCACGGTGGCTCACACCTGTCATCCCAGCACTTTGGGAGGCCGAGGCGGGCGCATCATCTGAGGTCAGGAGTTCGAGACAAGCCTCACTAACATGGTGAAACCTCATCTCTGCTAAAAAAAAAATACAAAATTAGCCAGGCATGGTGGTGGGTGCCTGTAATCCTATCTACCTGGGAGTCTGAGGCAGGAGAATCGCTTGAGCCTGGGAGACGGAGGTTGCAGTGAGCCGAGATTGTGCCATTGCACTCCAGCCTGGGTGACAGAGTGAGACCCTGTGTCAAAATAAATAAATAAATAAAAATATTTAAAAAATGGCCAAGCATGATGCATGTCTGTAATCCCAGCTACTCAGGAGGCTGAGGCAGGAGAATCGCTTGAGCCTGGGAGACGGAGGTTGCAGTGAGCCAAGATCGTGCCATTGCACTCCAGCCTGGGTGACACAGCGAAACTCCATCTCAAAATAAATAAATAAATAAATAAAAATAAAAATACAAAAATTGGCCAAGCGTGATGCATGTCTGTAATCCCAGCTACTCGGGAGGCTGAGGCAGGAGAATCGCTTGAACCCGGGAGGCGGAGGTTGCAGTGAGCCGAGATCGTGCCATTGCACTCCAGCCTGGGTGACAGAGTGAGACCCTGTCTCAAAATAAATAAATAAATAAAAATATTTAAAAAATGGCCAAGCATGATGCATGTCTGTAATCGTAGCTACTCAGGAGGCTGAGGCAGGAGAATCGCTTGAGCCTGGGAGACGGAGGTTGCAGTGAGCCAAGATCGTGCCATTGAACTCCAGCCTGGGTGACACAGCGAAACTCCATCTCAAAATAAATAAATAAATAAATAAAAAGAAAAATACAAAAATTGGCCAAGCGTGATGCATGTCTAATGTAATCCCAGCTACTCGGGAGGCTGAGGCAGGAGAATCGCTTGAACCCAGGAGGCAGAGGTTGTAGTGAGCTGAGATCGTGCCATTGCACTCCAGCCTGGGTGACAGAGCGAGAGTCCGTCTCAAATAACAAAAAATAAATAAACAAAAAAAATTTCTTACAGGTGCAGTCACCCCGGCCCACCAGACACGAATGCACCTCTGATCATCCCTGTACCCCATTTTGTCTGTGTGATCTGGGAGGTAGAGGTGCACCACTGCACTGCAGCTCACAATTTTTCTTCTGTACCCTTTGTTGAGGTGAAAACCGCATACTTCTCAATATCCTGCCCCTTCCCCTTTTCAATTTGGAGCCCTCAAAATCATCTTCAGAGAAAAGCATAGACCTGTCTCCTGGGCAGCCGAGACCTGGCTTTGAAGAGAGCTTCCCCGGACGGGCAGGGTGGCTCACGCCTGTCATTGCAGCACTTTGGGAGGGCGAGGTGGGCAGATCACCTGAGGTCAGGAGTTCAAGAACAGCCTGACCAACATGGTGAAACCCCGTCTCTACTAAAAATACAAAATTAGCCGGGTGTGGTGGCGGGCGCCTGTAATCCCAGCTACTCGGGAGACTGAGGCTGGAGAATTGCTTGAACCTGGGAGGCGGAGATCGCGGTGAGCCGAGATGGCACCACTGCACTCCAGCCTGGGCAACAAGAGCGAAACGCCATCTAAAAAAAAAAAAAAAAAAAAAAGAGGGAGGGCCGGGCACGGTGGCTCACGCCTGTAATCCCAGCACTTTGGGAGGCCGAGGTGGGCGGATCACGAGGTCAGGAGATCGAGACCATCCTGGCTAAAAAACAGTGAAACCCTGTCTCTACTAAAAAAAAAAAAATACAAAAAATTAGCCAGGCGTGGTGATGGGCACCTGTAGTCCCAGCTACTGGGGAGGCTGAGGCAGGAGAATGGCGTGAACCCAGGAGGTGGAGCTTGCAGTGAGCCGAGATTGCGCCACTGGACTCCAGCCTGCGACAAGAGCGAAACGCCGTCTCAAAAAAAAAAAAAAAAAAAAGAAAAAAAGAGGGAGAGAGCTTCCCCTTGGCCAGGGAGCCGGAATGGTGACGGTTTGACCGGACAAAGACTGACTGATTGTTTCCCAGTGGAGCAGAGGGAGGTGGGACTTTAGGAGGGCTATCAGTGGGGTCCTTCTCTGGCTATTAAGGGATTCTAGCTCATCCACCCTGAAAAAAACACCAGCAAAGCAATGTTGCATGACCCCGTATGAGTATGAGACCACCTCCTTCTACTTTTTCTTTTTTTTTTTTTTTTTTTTTTTGAGACAGAGTCTCACTCTGTCACCCAGGCTGGAGTGCAATGGCGTGACCCCAGCTCACTGCAACCTCCACCTCCCGGGTTCAAGTCATTCTCCTGCCCTCAGCCTCCTGAGTAGCTGGGATTACAGGAATGTGCCACCAATCCTGGTTAGTTTTTGTATTTTTTTTTCTTTTTTTTTTTGAGACGGAGTCTCACGCTGTCACCCAGGCTGGAGTGCAATGGCGTGATCCCAGCTCAGTGCAACCTCCGCCTCCTGGGTTCAAGTGATTCTCCTGCCTCAGCCTCCCGAGTAGCTGGGATTACAGGCACCTGCCACAATGCTGGGCTAATTTTGTATTTTTAGTAGAGACGGGGTTTCACCATGTTGGCCAGGCTGGTCTCAAACTCCTGACCTCCGGTGATCCGCCGGCCTCAGCCTCCCAAATTGCTGGGATTACAGGCGTGAACCGCTGCACCTGGCCCTTCTCTGGTTATTAAGGGAGCCAACTCATCCGTCCTGAAAAAACATCAGCAAAGCAATGTTGCGGGACCAAGTACGAGACCACCTCCTTCTTTTGAGCCTCAGCGATAAGCTCAGAGCCTGACACTACTCCCAGCGACGTGCTCAACTCGATCTCAGCGCCCAGGACAGAGCACCTGACCTCTGTGCCTGCTGCAGGGTGGCCGCAGACGGCACAAACATCCCTTACCTCCGCCCAACGCTTACCAAATTCAATGGCTTCACTCCAGGAGCTCCAATTCAAGATGCGGACGTCTGCAGCTCTGATCTTCACACTGTGTTTTGCTCTGGGCTCAGAGCTTGGAAAGTTGTATCTATTTTCCAAATCACCAGAAACATTAATCTTTGGAGGAAAAAAGAAAGTTAGAGATAGGCGTCTTCTGTGTGGAGGAAAAGGTTGCCTTTTTTCGTTCTTTTGTCTTTTAAGTTTTTTTCTCCTTTTCTTTTTTTCTTTTTCTTCTTTTTTTTCTACCACTCTGAATGCACTTGGTCTGATCGGGTCTTCGAAGCTAAGCAGAGTCAAGCCTCGTTAGTATTTCGATGGGAGACAAGTTGGGAAAATTTGGGTGATGTAGGCTTTAAGCTTTTTTATTTTATTTTATTTATTTATTTTTTGAGACGGAGTCTCCCTCTGTCACCCAGGCTGCAGTGCAGTGGCGCGATCTTGGCTCACTACAACCTCCACCTCCAGGGTTCACACCATTCTCCTGCCTCAGCCTCCCCAGTAGTTGGGACTACAGGTGCCCACCACCACGCCCGGCTAATTTTTGTTGTATTTTTAGTGGAGACGGGGTTTCACCATGTTGGCCAGGATGGTCTCGATCTCCTCACCTCGTGATCCGACCGCCTCGGCCTCACAAAGTGCTGGGATTACAGGCATGAGCCACCACGCCCGGCCTCTTTTATTTTATTTTATTTGAGACACTCTCGCTCTGTCGCCCAGGCTGGAGTGCAATGGCATGATCTGGGCTCACCGCAACCTCCGCTTCCCGGGTTCACGCCATTCTCCTGCCTCAGCCTCCCACGTAGCTGGGATTACAGGCGCCCGCCACCACGCATGGGTACGTTTTGTATTTTTAGTAGAGATGGGGTTTCTCCATGTTGCCCAGGCTGGTCTTGAACTGCTGACCTCAAGTGATCCGCCCACCTCAGCCTCCCAAGGTGCTGGGATGACAGGCGTGAGCCACCGTGCCTGGCTAAAATTTTATTTTCTGAAACAGAAATTGTTGGCCAGGTGTGGGGGTGGGTGCCTGTAGTCCCAGCTACAGGCTGAGACTGTAGAATCTCTGTAGGGAGGCTGAGGCAGGACAATCGCTGGGAGGTGGAGCTTGCAGTGAGCCGAGATCGCACCACTGCACTCCAGCCTGGGGGACAGAGCGAGACTCCGTCTCAAAAATAAATACATACATAAATAAATGATTCAGGATCAACAACTGATATTAACAGACCTTCAGACGGATAGTTTAGCAAGGGATATTAAGATCCCCAAGTCTAGCATACTCATCGGACAGAGGAGGATACCGAGGGTCAGAGTGGCCGCGAGACTTGGTAAATACCCGGCAACAGTACTCACTCTAAAAGCATTTTAGAGGGAGACATAATCTCCTTAGACAGTCACTAGAATATATTCTTAACCCACGTAGAGGAAAGAGGAATAAAATGGGAAAATCAGTAGAACAGGCTGAGCATAAATATTCCAACCATTGGGACACGAAGGTTGAGGCC
Source organism: Homo sapiens (assembly GCF_000001405.40). Taxonomy (NCBI): domain Eukaryota; kingdom Metazoa; phylum Chordata; class Mammalia; order Primates; family Hominidae; genus Homo; species Homo sapiens. The sequence continues at coordinate 1,299,108 of NC_000024.10, read as the reverse complement.
AAGAGCAGACCCTGCCCAGTGAGAACTATGAGGGGGCCCTCACCCGTGTGAGATCTGCATCCTCTGGTTCAGGATCCACCGTGTCCACCCCTGGGCCACACTGGCACTAAGAGTCCCATAAACCAAGACTGTAGGGTTCGTGGAGACTGTAGGGTGACGCTAGGGTTGTGAGTGGTTCAACTGTATGTCGGGCAGAGTATTCTCCTGTCTACACTGGATCCAGGTAGACGTGGGGCAGGCTCTCCTTCTTGTCTACACTGGGTCTAGGGGGAGGTGAGGTGGGGTCTCCTCCTGATCACACTGGGTCTAGGCAGACATAGGTCGTGGGTAGGGGACTATAGGGTTACACTGGGGGTCATGTGGGGTTACACTAGGGGTCGTGAGTAGGGGACTGTAGGGTTCCACCAGAGGTCATGGGTAGGAGAGTGTAGGGGTCGTGAGTAGGGGACTGTAGGGTTCCACCAGGGGTCATGGGTAGGAGAGTGTAGGGGTCGTGAGTAGGGGACTGTAGGGTTCCACCAGAGGTCATGGGTAGGGGACTGTAGGGTTCCACCGGGGGTTGTGAGTAGGGGATTGTAGGGTCACACTACGGCTCCTGAATAGGGGACTGTAGGGTTACTCCAGGGGTCATGAGTAGGAGACTGTAGGGGTCGTGAGTAGGGGACTGTAGGGTTCTGCCAGGGGTCATGGGTAGGAGAGTGTAGGGGTCGTGAGTAGGGGACTGTAGGGTTCTGCCAGGGGTCATGGGTAGGAGACTGTAGGGGTCGTGAGTAGGGGACTGTAGGGTTCCGCCAGGGGTCATGGGTAGGAGAGTGTAGGGGTCGTGAGTAGGGGACTGTAGGGTTCCACCAGAGGTCATGGGTAGGAGAGTGTAGGGGTCGTGAGTAGGGGACTGTAGGGTTCCACCAGGGGTCATGGGTAGGAGAGTGTAGGGGTCGTGAGTAGGGGACTGTAGGGTTCCACCAGAGGTCATGGGTAGGGGACTGTAGGGTTCCACCGGGGGTTGTGAGTAGGGGATTGTAGGGTCACACTACGGCTCCTGAATAGGGGACTGTAGGGTTACTCCAGGGGTCATGAGTAGGAGACTGTAGGGGTCGTGAGTAGGGGACTGTAGGGTTCTGCCAGGGGTCATGGGTAGGAGAGTGTAGGGGTCGTGAGTAGGGGACTGTAGGGTTCTGCCAGGGGTCATGGGTAGGAGACTGTAGGGGTCGTGAGTAGGGGACTGTAGGGTTCCGCCAGGGGTCATGGGTAGGAGAGTGTAGGGGTCGTGAGTAGGGGACTGTAGGGTTCCACCAGGGGTCATGGGTAGGGGACTGTAGGGTTCCACCGGGGGTTGTGAGTAGGGGATTGTAGGGTCACACTACGGCTCCTGAATAGGGGACTGTAGGGTTACTCCAGGGGTCATGAGTAGGAGACTGTAGGGGTCGTGAGTAGGGGACTGTAGGGTTACTCCAGGGGTCATGAGTAGGAGACTGTAGGGGTCGTGAGTAGGGGACTGTAGGGTTCCTCCAGGGGTCATGGGTAGGAGACTGTAGGGGTCGTGAGTAGGGGACTGTAGGGTTCCGCCAGGGGTCATGGGTAGGAGACTGTAGGGGTCGTGAGTAGGGGACTGTACGGTTCCGCCAGGGGTTATGGGTAGGAGAGTGTAGGGGTCGTGAGTAGGGGACTGTAGGGTTCTGCCAGGGGTCATGGGTAGGAGACTGTACGGGTCGTGAGTAGGGGACTGTAGGGTTCCGCCAGGGGTCATGGGTAGGAGACTGTAGGGGTCGTGAGTAGGGGACTGTACAGTTCCGCCAGGGGTCATGGGTAGGAGACTGTAGGGGTCGTGAGTAGGGGACTGTAGGGTTCCTCCAGGGGTCATGGGTAGGAGACTGTAGGGGTCGTGAGTAGGGGACTGTAGGGTTCCGCCAGGGGTCATGTGTAGGAGACTGTAGGGGTCGTGAGTAGGGGACTGTAGGGTTCCGCCAGGGGTCATGGGTAGGAGAGTGTAGGGGTCGTGAGTAGGGGACTGTAGGGTTCCGCCAGGGGTCATGGGTAGGAAAGTGTAGGGGTCGTGAGTAGGGGACTGTAGGGTTCCGCCAGGGGTCTTGGGTAGGAGAGTGTAGGGGTCGTGAGTAGGGGACTGTACGGTTCCGCCAGGGGTCATGGGTAGGAGACTGTAGGGGTCGTGAGTAGGGGACTGTACGGTTCCGCCAGGGGTCATGGGTAGGAGAGTGTAGGGGTCGTGAGTAGGGGACTGTAGGGTTCTGCCAGGGGTCATGGGTAGGAGACTGTACGGGTCGTGAGTAGGGGACTGTAGGGTTCCGCCAGGGGTCATGGGTAGGAGACTGTAGGGGTCGTGAGTAGGGGACTGTACAGTTCCGCCAGGGGTCATGGGTAGGAGACTGTAGGGGTCGTGAGTAGGGGACTGTAGGGTTCCTCCAGGGGTCATGGGTAGGAGACTGTAGGGGTCGTGAGTAGGGGACTGTAGGGTTCCGCCAGGGGTCATGGGTAGGAGAGTGTAGGGGTCGTGAGTAGGGGACTGTACAGTTCCGCCAGGGGTCATGGGTAGGAGACTGTAGGGGTCGTGAGTAGGGGACTGTACAGTTCCGCCAGGGGTCATGGGTAGGAGACTGTAGGGGTCGTGAGTAGGGGACTGTACGGTTCTGCCAGGGGTCATGGGTAGGAGAGTGTAGGGGTCGTGAGTAGGGGACTGTAGGGTTCTGCCAGGGGTCATGGGTAGGAGACTGTACGGGTCGTGAGTAGGGGACTGTAGGGTTCCGCCAGGGGTCATGGGTAGGAGAGTGTAGGGGTCGTGAGTAGGGGACTGTACAGTTCCGCCAGGGGTCATGGGTAGGAGACTGTAGGGTTACACTAGGGGTTGTGAGTAGGGGAGTGTAGGGTTCCGCCAGAGGTCATGGATAGGGAACTGTATGGTTAGTTACACTAGGTGTAGTGACTAGGGGACTGTAGGGTTACTCCAGGGGTCATGGGTAGGGGACTGTAGGTTTATGCTAGGTGTGGTGAGTAGGGGATTGTAGGGTTATGCCAGGGCTCATGGGTAGGGGACTGTATGGTTACGCTAGGGGTCATGAATAGGGAACTGTAGGCGTCGTGAGTAGGAGACTGTAGGATTACTCCGGGGGTCGTGAGTAGGGGACTGTAGAGTTACACTAGATGTGGTGAGTAGGGGACTGTAGGGTTACGCTGGAGGTCATCGGTAGGGGACTGTAGGGGTCATGAGTAGGGGACTGTAGAGTTACATTAGGTGTGGTGAGTAGGGGACTGTAGGATTAAGCTAGGTGGACGTGGGGCAGGGTCTCTTCCTGTCTACACGGGGTCCAGGTGGTTGTGGGACAAGAGCTCCTCCTGTCTATACTGGGTCTCTGTGGAGGTGGGGCAGGGTCTCCTCCTCCTTACACTAGGTGTGGTGAGTAGGGGACTGTAGGGTTACGCTGGAGGTCGTCAGTAGGGGACTGTAGGGGTCATGAGTAGGGGACTGTAGAGTTACACTAGGTGTGGTGAGTAGGGGACCGTAGGGTTACGCTGGAGGTCGTCGGTAGGGGACTGTAGGGGTCATGAGTAGGGGACTGTAGAGTTACACTAGGTGTGGTGAGTAGGGGACCGTAGGGTTACGCTGAGGGTTGTCAGTAGGGTCTGTGGTTTCACTTACCAGTAGGTTTTCCGTGCCAGGCTGGGTATTCTAGAAACAAAACAAAACACAACACAAGGCTCACTGTTTCCATTTCTAAAACACTGTAGATGGTTCACACAGTGTCTCCCCTGGTGTGGGCACCGAATGGGAAGGAGTCCCTGCGGAGTGGCAGGCAGGTCTCCCTCCACAAACCCCGAATCTACAAGACAGGTAGGATGAGGAGCTGCAAACACAGAAGTCTTCCTGGCCAGATATCTTCCTGTAACCCATCCAGAAAGGTCCCACTGGCCTTGGGGCAGGGTGTTCTCCTGTCGTCCAGGTAGACATGGAGCAGGCTCTCCTTCTTGTCTACACTGGGTCCAGGTGGTTGTGGGACAAGATCTCCTCTTGTCTACACTGGCTCGAGGTGGACATGGGGCAGGGTCTCTTCTTGTCTACACTGGGTCCAGGAGGTTGTGAGACAAGATCTCCTCTTGTCTACACTGGATCGAGGTGGACGTGAGGCAGTCTCTCTCCCTGTCTACACTGGGTCCAGGTAGTTGTGGGACAAGAACTCCTCCTGTCTACACTGGGTCTCCATGGAGGTGGAGCAGGGTCTCCTCCTGTCTACACTGGGTGTAGGTGGAGGTGGGGTCGGGTGTCCTCCTATCTACACTGGGTCCAGGTAGACATGGGGCAGGGTCTCCTTCTGTCTACACTGCGTCCAGCTGGAGGTGGAGCAGAGGCTCTCCTTGCTTGTGGCATCGTCCCCCACACCTCCCGGTCCACTTCCTGGTTCCATGGTTGCAGGATCATCCTTGTCCACCCTCCCTGCAACCTCTTTCAAGGTGGCTCCACAGGCCACAGACCCTTCACCTCTTCCTCCGCTACCCGAAGTGCGTTCACCCCAGAGTCACCGCTCACCACCCACGCATCCTTCCCCCAGGCCACTTCCCCGGGATTCCCAGGCTCCTGTGCGGGCGTGTCCCGTACGCCTCCCTCCTGGTGCCCAGCCCCGGGGAGCTCTCACCGACCTTTCTGTGGACGTCCAGCTGGTACTGAAAGTCCAGGTACGACAGCTTCTGATAGGTCCTGGGCTGTTTCCACCGTACGAGGCAGTGCGTCGTGTTGCAACGTACGGTGACATTGCTGGGAGGGTTGAATCGTTCTGTAACGAGGGCGCAGGACACACCCCTGAACCCGAGAGGTCCTGTCTACACTGGGTCCAGGTGGAGGTGGTGCAGAGTCTCCTCCTGTCTACACTGGGTCCAGGTGGAGGTGGAGTAGGTCCTGTCTACACTGGGTCCAGGTGGAGGTGGAGTAGGGACACCTCTTTGACTACACTGGGTCCAGGTGGAGATGGGGCAGGGTCTCCTCCTGTCTACACTGGGTCCAGGTAGAGGTGGGGCAGGGTCTCCTCCTGTCTACACTCGGTCCAGGTGGAGGTGGTGCAGTCTTCTCCTGTCTACACTGGGTCCAGGTGGAGGTGGGGCAGGGTCTCCTCCCATCTACACTGGGTCCAGGTAGATATGGAGTAGAAACACCTCTTTGTCTACGCTGGGTCCAGGTGGAGATGGGGCAGAGTCTTCTCCTGTCTACACTGGGTCCAGGTGGAGGTGGGGCAGGGTCTCCTCCTGTCTACACTGGGTCCAGGTGGAGGTGGTGCAGAGTCTTCTCCTGTCTACACTGGGTCCAGGTGGAGGTGGGGCAGGGTCTCCTCCTGTCTACACTCGGTCCAGGTGGATGTGGACTAGGGACACCTCTTTGTCTACACTGGGTCCAGGTGGAGATGGGGCAGGGTCTCCTCCCATCTACACTGGGTCCAGGTAGATATGGAGTAGAAACACCTCTTTGTCTACGCTGGGTCCAGGTGGAGGTGGGGCAGGGTCTCCTCCTGTCTACACTGGGTCCAGGTAAATGTGGAGTAGGGACACCTCTTTGTCTACTCTGTGTAGGGAAAAGAAAGAGAGATCAGGGGGCTGGGCGCGGTGGCTCACGCCTGTAATCCCAGCACTTTGGGAGGCCGAGGCGGGAGGATCACGAGGTCAGGAGGTCGAGACCATCCTGGCTAACACGGTGAAACCCCGTCTCTACTAAAAATCCAAAAAAATTAGCCGGGCGTGGTGGCGGGTGCCTGTAGTCCCAGCTACTCGGGAGGCTGAGGCAGGAGAATGGCGTGAACCCGGGAGGCGGAGGTTGCAGTGAGCCGAGATCCCGCCACTGCCCTCCAGCCTGGGTGGGCGACAGAGTGAGACTCTGTCTCAGAAAAACAAACAAACAAACAAAAAGAAAGATCAGACTGTTACTGTGTCTATGTAGAAAGGAAGGTAAGAAACTCCATTGTGATCTGTATGTTGAACCACTGTTTTGCCTTGAGATGCTGTTAAGCTGTAACTGTAGCCCCAACACTGTGCTCACAGAAACATGTGCTGTGTCTTGTTAACAATAGGTTTGCAGGCAGCATGCTTGGTAAAAGTCATCGCCATTCTCCATTCTCTATTAACCAGGGACACCATGCACTGCGGAAAGCCGCAGGGACCTCTGCCCGAGAGAGCCCGGGTATTGTCTGAGGGTTCCCCCCACTGAGACAGTCTGAGATATGGCCTCGTGGGAAGGGAAAAAGACCTGACCGTCCCCCAGCCCGACATCCATAAAGGGTCTGTGCCGAGGAGGAAGTCCTCTCGCGGTTGAGATAAGAGGAAGCCCTCCGTCTCCTGCCTGCCCCTGGGAATGGAATGTCTCCGTGTAAAACCCGATCGTACATTCGTTCTATTCTGAGACAGGAGAAAACCGCCCTGTGGCTGGAGGCGAGATATGCTGGTGGCAATACTGCTCTGTGACTCTTTGCTACACTGATGTTTGTGTGGAGAGAAGCATAAATCTGGCCTGCGTGTGCATCCAGGCATAGTAGCTTCCCTTGAACTTATTTGTGACACAGATTCCTTTGCTCATATGTCTTCCTGCTGACCTTCTCCCCACTATCACCCTGTCCTCCTGCCACATTCCCCTTGCCAAGATAGTGAAAATAGTAAGCAATAAATACTGAGAGAACTCAGAGACCGGTGCAGGTCCTCCGTATGCTGAGCGCCGGTCCCCTGGGCTCACTGTTCTTTCTCTATACTTTGTCTCTGTGTCTTATTTCTTTTCTCAGTCTCTCGTCCCACCTGACGAGAAATACCCACATGTGTGGAAGGGCTGGTCGCCTTCACACTGGGTCCAGGTAGAGGTGGGGCAGGGTCTCCTCCTGTCTACACTGTGTCCACGTAAATGTGGAGTAGGGACACCTCTTTGTCTACACTGGGTCCAGGTGGAGGTGGTGCAGTCTCCTCCTGTCTACACTGGGTCCAGGTGGACGTGGAGTAGGGACACCTCTTTGTCTACACTGGGTCCAGGTGGAGGTGGTGCAGGGTCTCCTGTCTACACTGGGTCCAAGTGGAGGTGGTGCAGTCTCCTCCTGTCTACACTGTGTCCAGGTAAATGTGGAGTAGGGACACCTCTTTGTCTACACTGGGTCCAGGTGGAGGTGGTGCAGGGTCTCCTTCTGTCTACACTGGGTAAAGTGGAGGTGGTACAGGGTCTCCTCCTGTCTACACTGGGTCCAGGTGGACGTGGAGTAGGGACATCTCTTTGACTACACTGGGTCCAGGTGGAGGTGGTGCAGTCTCCTCCTGTCTACACTGGATCCAGGTGGACGTGGAGTAGGGACACCTCTTTGTCTACACTGGGTCCAGGTGGAGGTGGTACAGGGTCTCCTCCTGTCTACACTGGGTCCAAGTGGAGGTGGGGCAGCTACCATGTACAGGAGAGATACCCACTGGGGCAGGGGTTCCAGGGTGGGAGGTGGGGATGGGCTTGGTGGGCAGGAGTCACACTTCTGTGAGAGTCCTAAGCCTGAAGAGGCTGGGAACGTCCAACGGGATGAAGGAGTCCACGGGTGGGATGCGGTGGGCTTGGGAAGAGGAGAGCGTGTGGGCATATGGGACTGGCTCCAAGAGGCCAGCCAGGAGCAGGGCACTGGGACACGAAGAGGTGCTGGTGAGGAAGAAATGAAGAAAAAGAGGAAGGAAGGAGGAAATGAGTGAAGGAGAAGGAAGGAGAGGAAGAAGGAAGGAATGAAGAAGGGAGGGAGAGAGGGAGGGAGGGAAGGAAGAAGGGAGGGAAGGAGGAAGGAAGGAAGGAAAGGAGGGAGGGAGGGAAGGAAGGAAGGAAGGAAGAAAAAAGAAGAAAGGCAGAAAGGCAGGGAGGAAGGAAAGAAGGAAGGAGGTAAAGAGGGAGGTCAGGTGCAGTGGCTGACGCCTGTAATCCCAGCACTTTGGGAGGCTGAGGCAGGTGGATCATCTGAGGTCAGGAGTTCGAGACTAGCCCGGCCAAGATGGTGAAACACTGCCTCTACTAAAAATACAAAAATTAGCCGAGCGTGGTGGTGTGCACCTGTAATCCAAGCTACTAAGGAGACTAAGACAGAAGAATCGCTTGAACCTGGGAGGCAGAGGTTGCAGTGAGCTGAGATTGCACCACTGCACTCCAGCCTGGGTGACAGAGCGAGACTCTATCTCAAAAAAAGGAAAGTTAAATCAGCTCAGTTCTAATTTGTTACAGCACCAAAGTTACACAGATTTTTGTTTGTTTGTTTTTGAGACAGAGTCTTGCTCTGTCGCTCAAGCTGGAGTGCAGTGGCACAATCTCACCTCATTGCAACGTCCGCCTCCTAGGTTTGAGTGATTCTCCTCAGCCTTCCGAGTAGCTGGGATTACAGGCACGCGCCACCATGCCCGGCTAATTTTTGTATTTTTAGTAGAGATGGGGTTTCCCCATGTTGGTCAGGCTGGTTTTGAACACCCGATCTCAGGTGATCGGCCCGCCTCGGCCTCCCAAAGTGCTGAGATTACAGGTGTGAGACACCGCACGTGGCCTCAGTTACACAGATTTTAAGGCAAATTCCATTTCACCTATAAACAATAGGAAAATCATATGTGTTATTCTCACCTATTTTCTTTGTGTCCAAAAGTGAATCAAAGAATTGGATGCCAATTTCTCGGCTGGTTCCGTTAACCAGAAAGTAATTGCGAGACGTTAATCCTGACAGGTTATCCAGGTGACATCCCACATGGGTTCCTGAGTCTTGTATGTAATAAGGACACCGGATCTCCCTCCTTCTCCTGAAAGATTAGAAAGTGCTCAGAGAGCAATCAGGAAAACAAAACAAAACACAAAAACACAAAACAAAACAAAAACAAACACAAAACAAAACACAAAAACACAAAACACAAAAACACAAAACAAAAACACAAAACAAAAAAAACCCACAAAAACACAAAACACAAAACAAAAACACAAAACAAAACGAAAACAAACACAAAACAAAACATAAAAACACAAAACACAAAACAAAAACAAACACAAAACAAAACACAAAAACACAAATCAAAAACACAAAACAAAACAAAAACACAAAACAAAACAAAACACAAAAACACAAAACAAAACACAAAACACAAAACAAAAACACAAAAACACAAAACAAAACAAAAACAAACACAAAACAAAACACAAAAACACAAAACAAAACAAAACACAAAAACAAAACACAAAAACACAAAACAAAACAAAACACAAAAACACAAAACACAAAACAAAAACACAAAAACACAAAACAAAACAAAAACAAACACAAAACAAAACAAAACACAAAAACACAAAACAAAACAAAATGAAACAAAAACACAAAAACACAAAACAAAAACAAACACAAAAGAAAACCACAAAACAAAAACACCAAAACACAAACAAAAAAACACAAAACAAAAACAAACACAACACAAAACAAAAACCACAAAACAAAACAAAAACAAACACAAAACAAAACACAAAACAAAACAAAAACAAACACAAAAAACAAAAACACAAAAACACAAAACACCACAAAAACGTGAAACCAAAAAAACACAAAAACAAAAGAAAAACACAGAAACACAAAACAAAACAAGAACACAAAAACACAAGGCAAAACAAAAAGAAACACAAAACAAAACAAAAAACACAAAACAAAACAACAACCAAAAAAACAGGCCAGGTGCAGTGGCTCACGCCTGTAATCCCAGCACTTTGGGGAGGTTGAGGCAGGCAGATCACTTGAGGTCAGGAGTTGGAGACCAGCCTGGCCAGCATGGTGAAACCCTGTCTCTACTAAAAATACAAAAATTAGACAGGTGTGGTGGAGTGCACCTGTAGTCCCAGCTACTTGGGAGGCTGAGGCAGGAGAATCACTTGAACCCTGGAGGGAGGCGCAGGTTGCAGGGAGCTGAGATCACATCACTACACTCCAGCCTGGGCGACAGAGCAAGACTCTGTCTCTAAATACATAGATGTGGCCTGGTGTGGTGGCGGGCGCCTGTAATCCCAGCTACCTGGGAAGCTGAGGCAGGAAAATTGCTTGAACCCAGGAGGTCGAGGTTGCAGTGAGCCGAGGTGGCACCATTGCATTGCAGCCTGGGCAACAGAGCAAGACCATGTCTTAAAAAAAGAAAAAGGAAAAAAAGAAAACCAGCATGATTTTTTCTCCCATCCCTGCATTCCTCATAATTCTTCACATGAGGTGAACACTTACTTTGAGTTTCGTATGTACAAAAAATACTGGACGTCACGGGGGGCCGTCGGACCCCTCGCCCAGGTACAGTTCATTAAATCCGCATTGTAGATGAAACAGGAGAAATTCTGAGCAGCGGTACCCTCCCTTCCTGGGAAGAGGTAGAAACAAAATAATTTTCACTCCGAAGTTCAACGGGATGTACTTTGATGCTGGCGGGGTGGTGGGGCCAGTGCTGTAAACGGATCCCTGAGCTGTCTTGCTTACCTGAATTTGGATAAAGCAGTTTCTGTTGAAATCCTCTTTGACTAGTATTCACGTGAACCTCAAATGTGACTCCTTCATGCAGACAAATTTCACGAAATGTGCACGAACATTCGTTGTTACTGAGCTGAAGAATTGCAACCAGACAGAGCCGATTAGGAAACAACCTTCTGTCTCCTACAGTCTCCCAGGCTGGAGTGCAGTGGCGTGATCTCGGCTCACTACAACCTCCGCCTTCCAGGTTCAAGCAATTCTCCCGCCTCAGCCTCCCGAGTAGCTCGGATTACAGACACCCGCCACCACACCCTGCTAATTTGTGTATTTGTAGTAGAGACAGGGTTTCACCATGTTGGCCAGGCTGGTCTCAAACTCCTGACCTCAGGTGATCCACCCGCCTCGGCCTCCCAAAGTGCTGGGATTACAGGCGTGAGCCACCATGCCCGGCCATGGTATTGGTTTTTACCTGGATTTGGCGACACGCACCTGCCTCCCTTTGTGAAATCATCCCCCTAAGCTTCCTCCGAGGGCTCTGAGTGGATACGCTGAATACCAGCTTGCAGGTGAAAACTCAATCTTATACTCTAGCAGTGCTGAAAGTACCAGACTAGAGGCCAGGTGCCGTGGCTCACACCTGTAATCCCAGCACTCTGGGAGGCCAAGGCGGGTGGATCACTTGAGGTCAGGAGTTCAAGACCAGCCTGGCCAACATGGTGAAACCCCGTCTCTACTAAAAATACAAAAATTAGCCAGGTGTGGTGGCAGGCACCTGTAATCCCTGCTACTCGGGAGGCTGAGGCAGGAGACTCTCTTGAACCCAGGAGGCACAGGTTGCAGTGAGCTGAGATCACGCCAGTGCACTCCAGCCTGGGTGACAGACAGAGACTCCATCCCCCCAAAAAAAGGGTCGGACATAGTGGCTCACACCTGTAATGCCAGCACTCTGGGAGGCCGAGGCGGGTGGATCACTTGAGGTCAGGAGTTCAAGATCAGCCTGGCCAACATGGTGAAACCCCGTCTCTACTAAAAATACAAAAATTAGCCAGGTGTGGTGGTGGGCACCTGTAATCCCAGCTACTCAGGAGGCTGAGGCAGGAGAATCTCTTGAACCCAGGAGGCACAGGTTGCAGGGAGCTGAGATCACGCCAGTGCACTCCAGCCTGGGCGACAGAGCGAGACTCCATCCCAAAAAATAAAGGTCGGACACGGTGGCTCACACCTGTAATGCCAGCACTTTGGGAGGCCAAGGAGGGTGGATCACGAGGTCAGGAGTTGGAGACCAGCCTGGCCAACATGGTGAAACCCCGTCTCTACTAAAAATACAAAAATTAGCCAGGCGTGGTGGCACGCACCTGTAATCCCAGCTACTCAGGAGGCTGAGATAGGAGAATCGCTTGAACCCAGGAGGTGGAGGTTGCAGTGAGCCAAGATCACACCAGTGTACTCCAGCCTGGGCAACAAGAGGGAAACTCCATCTCAAAAAAAAAAAAAAAAAAAAAAAGTATGTCATCTGGGGTAACATAGCAAGACCACCCATCCCTCCGTGTAGCATCTACCTATAGAATTGATTATCAATCTTCCAATCATCTATTATCACCTATCAGTCAATAAATCATCTATCACCTATCTATCGATCATCCATATTTCTCTCTTCCTCTCCCTCCTCCTTCTATCCTTTCTCTGTGTTTCTCCCTCCTTCCCTCCCCTCTCCCCGCTCTTCTGTCTCTGTCTCCTGTGTTCCAAAAACCCTGACCTTAATCCCTTGGGGAACCAGGACGGTGACACACTGACAACGTGACTGACACTTTACTTTTCTCCGTCCTGCTTCCACCACAGACCCAGGGGCACATCCAACTGCATTTGCCAGGATTTCTCTTCTCTTGGGGTAAAATACGGTAACATAGGCTCTGCCTCAGGGAATCAGGCTCTGGTACACATTGTGGACATGAGCTAACAGCACTTTCCCGGTTCCCGTGAGATTATGGCTGTGACATTTCTCCAAATACCACACTTGTGTTGTTTGTGTCTGTGGCCCTCTCGCTTTTATTTAATTGAATTTATTATTTTTTTTTTTTTTTGGAGACAGAGTTTTGCTCTTGTTGCCCAGGCTGGAGTGCAATGGCACCATCTCGGCTCACCGCAACCTCCGCCTCCCGAGTTTCAGTAATTCTCCTGCCTCAGCCTCCCGAGTAGCTGGGATTACAGATGCCTGCCACCATGCCCGACTAATTTTTGTATTTTTAGTAGAGATGGGGTTTCACCATGTTGGTCAGCCTGGTCTTGAACTCCTGACCTCAGGTGATCCACCTGCCTCGGCCTCCCAGAGTGCTGGGATGACAAGCGTGAGCCACCACACCCGGCCTTATTGCATTTTATGAGACAGAGTCTCGCTCTGTCACCCAGGCTGGAGTGCAATGGCACGAGCTCGACTCACTGCAACTTCCACCTCCCGGGTTCGAGTAATTCTTCTGCCCTCAGCCTCCTGAGTAGCTGGGACTACAGGCATGCACCAGCACGCCCGGCTAATTTTGTATTTGTAGTAGAGACGGGGTTTCACCATGTTGGTCAGGCTGGTCTTGAACTCCCGACCTCAGGTGATCCGCCCACCTCAGCCTCCCAAAGTGCTGGGATGACAGGCGTGAGCCGCCGCGCCCAGCCGGCCCTGTTGCTTTTAACTCAGAAAGGGGTGTGTAAAGGACAGGGGTTGAGAATGGGAAATTCGTCTCACCCTGGGTTCCACGACTCTGTTCTTCTTGTCAGTTAAGAAACACTTGCTGAAGGTTGTGTTTTCTTGGCAGTCCCAGCTTAAATTCATCGTCCTGGAGTCAAACCTCACATTGAGACTAGAGGCTGGTGCCACTGTTCGCAGATCTGCAAGGAGCGGGCACTGGGTTCAGAATTTCCTCTTTTCTTTTCCTTTTTTTTTTTTTTTTTTTTTTTTTTTTTTGAGACGGAGTCTGGCTTTGTCTCCCAGGCTGGAGTGCAGTGCTGTGATCTCAGGTCACTGCAAGCTGCAAGCTCCACCACCCGGGTTCAAATGATTCTCCTGCCTCAGCCTCCCGAGTAGCTGGGATGACAGGCGCCGACCACCATGCCCAGCTAATTTTTGTATTTTTAGTAGAGATGGGGGTTTCACCATGTTGGTCAGGCTGGTCTCGAACTGCCGACCTCAGGTGATCCGCCTGCCTCAGCCTCCCGAAGTGCTGGGATAACAGGCGTGAGCCACCGTGCCCGGCCGGCCCTGTTTTCTGTCCTCCCACCCGGCTCTGGGAGGTGAAGTTCAGGGCTGAAGCCTGCTGATTTTCCTCTGTCACCCACATGGCCCCAGGACGTCCCACATCCTCAGGTATCTGTTCCTCCCTTGTCCATCTTCCCTCCTTTTCACAGCCCCCTGGCTGTTTCTGAAAAAGGAGATTTCTACTGCAGAAATATTCAAAAATCATCTGAAGACTGGGGGTGGTGGCTCACGCCTCTAATCCCAGCACCTTGGGAGGCTGAGGCAAAAAGCTGACTTGAGCCCAGTAGGTTCAGATCCCGCCTGGGCAACATAGCAAGATCGCATCTCTTTAAAAAAAATTTTTTTTTAAAAATTTAAATTAGGCAGGTGTGATGGTGCACATCTGTGGTCCCAGCTTGCTCCTTCTCCACATGGAGATGTTTACTGCAGAAATCATCAAAAACTGGCCAGGCGCGGTGGCTCATGCCTGCAATCCCAGCACTTTGGTAGGCTGAGGTGGGCGGATCACCTGAGGTCAGCAGTTCGAGACCAGCCTGGCCAATGTGGTGAAACCCTGTCTCTACTAAAAATACAAAAAAATTAGGTGGACATGGTGGCGGGTACCTGTAATCCCAGCTACTCAGGAGGCTGAGGCAGGAGAATCGGTTGAACCCGGGAGGTGGAGGTTGCAATGAGCCGAGATCGCGCCACTGCACTCCAGCCTGGGAGACAGAGTAAGACTCCATCTCAAAAAAAAAAAAAAAAAAAAAATCAAAAACTAGTCTTGGCAACATAGCAAGATCTCGTCTATAAAATTTAAAAAAAAAAAAATTTAAATTAGCTTGGCATGGTGGTGTATTTCTGCAGTCCCAGCTACTTGGGAGGCTGGAGTGGGAGGATACTTGATCCCAGAAAGCTGAGGCTGCAGTGAGCCGAGATCGCGCCACTGCACTCCAGCCTGGGTGACAGAGTAAGACTCCATCTCAAAAAAAAAAAAAAATCAAAAACTAGTCTTGGCAACATAGCAAGATCTCCTCTATAAAATTAAAAAAAAAATTTAAATTAGCTTGGCATGGTGGTGTATTTCTGCAGTCCCAGCTACTTGGGAGGCTGGAGTGGGAGGATACTTGATCCCAGAAAGCTGAGGCTGCAGTGAGCCGAGATCACGCCACTGCACTCCAGCCTGGGAGACAGAGCGAGATCCTGTCTCAAAAAAAAAAAAAAAAAAAAAAAAAAGAGAGACAGAGAAAGAAAACCGCTTGAATGAGAACAGGCAAAGGCTCTTTATCCAGAGTGATGTGGCTCTGAACACACTTCCCAAATTATGGAACCTTGGCAGTTTAATATAAAGCTGAAGGAATTTGAGAAAATTGCAGAAACAGAAAGCTGTCTTTGTCTGTCTTCCCTGAACCAGGTCACAAAAACCTGGAAATACTTTCCTGAAGCAGAGGCCCTGACACCCTCAGTCAAGAGGGTCCCTCCCGGAAACGCAAATCAAAACCACAATGAGCTATCATTCCACGCCAGTCACAATGGCTGCTATTAAGAAGTCAACAAACAAGAGGCTGGGTGTGGCGGCTCATAGCTGTAATCCTAGCACTTTGGGAGGCCGAGGCACGGGATCACCTGAGGCCAGGAGATTGAGACCAGCCTGGCCAACATGACAAAACCCCATCTCTACTAAAAATACAAAAAAATTAGCTGGGCCTGGTGGCAGGCGCCTGTAATCCCAGCTACTCGGGAGGCTGAGGCAGGAGAATCGCTTGAACCCGGGAGGCTGAGTTTGCAGTGAGCTGAGATTGAGCCATTGCACTCCAGCCTGGGCAACAAGAGGGAGACTCTGAAAAGAAAGAAAAAGAAAGAAGGAAAGAAAGAAAGAAAGAAAGAAGAAAGAGGAAGAAAGAAACAAAGAAGGAGAAAAAAAAAGGAGAAAGAAAGAAAGAAAGAGAGAGAGAGAGGGAGGGAGGGAGGGAAGGAAGGAAAGAAAGAAAAACAATGGAAGGAAGAAAGAGAGAGAGGGAAGGAGGGAAGGAAGAAAGAGAAAGAAAGAAGGGAGGGACGGAAGAAGGAAGGAAAGAAGGAAACAATGGAAGGAAGAAAGAGAGAAAGGGAAGGAGGGAAGGAAGGAAGAGAAAGAAAGAGAAGAAATGAATCAGGAGGGAGAGAAGGATGGAAGGAAGGAGAGAAGGAAGGATGGAAAGAGGGAGGGCAGGAGGAAGAGAAGGAAGCAAGGGAGGGAAGGAAGGAAGGAAGGAAGGAAGGAACGAAGGAAGGAACGAAGGAAGGAAGGAAGGAAGGAAGGAAGGAACGAAGGAACGAAGGAACGAAGGAAGGAAGGAACACTTTGGCCCCATGCAGACATGGGTCCTCATCCTGGCCCCATCACTACCTGGATGGTCGTTGGGTTAAACTGTGGAGGTATCTGAGCCTCCGTTTTCTCATCTGTAGAATGGGTGGATGGGAATTAACAGCAGAAAAGGAGGTGAGAACAAGAGGAGCTCTGAGCTTCTGGTGGGTTGGCTGGTGCTTATTGGGTCCCTCATAAACATTAGAGATGAAATGCAGATGGACCCAGGTATCCAGATGGGTCTCCAGATGCAGGACATCTAAACAGGGGCCGCGGAGAAGGTTCAGCCAGGTTTCCATACTTACCCGATTTCTCTGGGATCAGGAGGAATGCTGGGTGTGGTAACTCACAGAGCAGAAGGCTTGTCACCAGGAGAAGCATGGTGCTGGTCAGAGAGAAGGGAAGAGCTGCAGGAGAGAAAATATCACACAGTGAGAAGGTTGCCTCTCCCAGGACATTCCTGGCAGGGGACCCCAGGGAGGTGATTTGGGGAAACAAACCCAGGATGGTGGTCAGCCGCTGACCTGGTCAAATGAGGGGTCATGGCCAGCTGGGAAGGTCTGCAGGGCCATTATTCTGTCTCCCACATGGGATTAGGACGTGGACATCTTTGGCATCTCAAGATGGTCAATCTAGAGTCAAGCTTCCATGGTTCATGGGTCATGGCTCAGCTGACCTTCATGAGGGAACCCATAGCTGACACTAAAGGCAGGTTCTAACACACTTCAAGGAAATTGCAGTCACTTTCATTCATTTTTCATAGCTTTTACTTTCTGTTAATAATTAGTGGATTTGGGGAAATAAGATAAACGATGGCTCAGGTTTTCATTTTCATAACTTTTGTTTTGTTTTGCTCTTTTGTACTTTTTTTTTCTTTTTTGAGACAAAGTCACGCTCTGTCACCCAGGCTGGAGTGCAGTGGCGCGATCTCGGCTCACTGCAACCTCCACATCCCAGGTTCACACCATTCTCCTGCCTCAGCTTCCCAAGTAGCTGGGACTACAGGCGCCTGCCACCACACCCAGCTAATTTTTTTTTTTTTTTTTTTTTTTTAGTAGAAACAGGCTTTCACCGTGTTAGCCAGGATGGTCTCCATCTCCTGACCTCGTGATCCACCTGCCTCGGCCTCCCAAAGTGCTGGGATTACAGGCGTGAGCCACCGTGCCCGGCCCTGCTCTTTTATATTTTTTAAAAAATCTTGACTTTTGCAACAGCTATAAAAGGAAAGTGAAAAAAAAAAAAAAAAGAAGAGGAAGAAAAAAAGGGTGAGTACATAAAACGACATGAATGAAGTTTAAATACTTATGACTAAGGGAAAGAATCCACTTTGAGATGGCTGCAGACTGAGTCATTCTAACACTTGGACACTGTGGAAAAGACAAAATCATGGAAACAGTAAAAAGATCCGGAGTTGGTTGGCGTTGGGCAGATGGAGGGATGAATACATGGACCTCAGAGGATGTTTAGGGCAGTGAAACTACTCTTATTTGATACTTCTTTATGCAAAAAAGGAAAAAGAAGGAGGAGGAGGAAAGGTGCAGGAGGAGGAGAAGGAGGAGGAGGAGAAGGAAGAGAAGGAGGAGTAGGAGGAAGAGGAGGAGAAGGAGCAGGAGGAGAAGGAGGAGGAGGAGAAGGAGCAGGAGGAGGAGAAGAAGGAGGAGGAGAAGGAGGAGTAGGAGAAGGCGGAGGAGGAGGAGAGGGAGGAGGAGGAGAAGGAGGAGGAGGAGAAGGAGGAAGAGGAGAAGGAGGAGGAGGAGAAGGAGGAGGAGGAGAAGGAAGAGAAGGAGGAGTAGGAGGAAGAGGAGGAGAAGGAGCAGGAGGAGGAGAAGAAGGAAGAGGAGAAGGAGGAGTAGGAGAAGGAGGAGTAGGAGAAGGAGGAGTAGGAGAAGGAGGAGAAGGAGAAGGAGGAGAAGGAGGAGTAGGAGGAGAAGGGGAGCTGGAGGAGGAGGAGCAGGAGGAGGAGGAGGAGGAGAAGGAGGAGGAGAAGGGGAGCAGGAGGAGAAGGAGGAGGAGGAGAAGGAGGAGGAGAAGGGGAGCAGGAGGAGAATGAGGAGGAGGAGAAGGAGGAGGAGGAGAAGGAGGAGGAGGAGAAGGAGGAGGAGGAGAAGCAGGAGGAGGAGAAGGAGGAGGAGGAGAAGCAGGAGGAGGAGGAGGAGAAGGAGGAGGAGGAGGAGAAGGAGCAGGAGGAGGAGGAGGAGAAGGAGCAGGAGAAGGAGGAGGAGGAGGAGGAGAAGGAGAGGAAGGAGGAGAAAAGAAGCTACTCGGTATGATTCTACAAATGGTGGATCCATGTCAATATACTTCTATCCAAGCCCATAAGGAAGAAGAAGAAAAAGGAGGAGGAGAAGGAGGAGGAAGAAGAAGAAGAAGGGGAAAGAGAAGAAGAAGAAAGAAGAGAAGAAGAAGGAGGAGGAGGAAGAGGAGGAAGAGGAGGAAGGGGGGAGAAGGAGGAGGAAGAAGAGAAGGAGGAGGAGCTACAAACTCAACCAATTGTCAACCAGAAAATGTTTAAATTCATTT
Organism: Homo sapiens; assembly: GCF_000001405.40. Classification (NCBI taxonomy): domain Eukaryota; kingdom Metazoa; phylum Chordata; class Mammalia; order Primates; family Hominidae; genus Homo; species Homo sapiens. The sequence continues at coordinate 1,280,564 of NC_000024.10, read as the reverse complement.
ATAGCCTGGAAGCCCCCACTTTGAGTTGTCCCGCCTTTATGGACCAAACTAATGTATTTCTTTTCTTCTTCTTCTTTTTTTTTTTTTTTTTTTGAGACGGAGTTTCACTCTTGTCACCCAGGCTGGAGTGCAGTGGTGCAATCTTGGCTCACTGCAACCTCCGCCTCCCGGGTTCAAGCGATTCTCCTGCCTCGGCCTCCCAAGTAGCTGGGATTATAGGCGCCCGCCATTATGCCAGGCTAATTTTGCATTTTTAGTAGAGACGCTGTTTTGCCATGTTGGCCAGGCTGGGCTCGAACTCCTGACCTCAGATGATCTGCCTGCCTCAGCTTCTCAAACTGCTGGAATTACAGGCATGAACCACTGCACCCGGCCTTTGTAGCATCTTTAGTTCAAGCATCTGCACCTGGTGGGACCCATCTGTCCACCCTGAGGTTCCTGCTCCAAACCTCCTCTCTGAAAGATTGCGTCTCTCGGCCGGGCACAGTGGCTCACGCCTGTAATCCCAGCACTTTGGGAGGCCAAGGCAGGCGGATCGCCTGAGGTCAGGAGTTCGGGACCAGCTTGGCTAATACGGTGAAACCTCATCTATACTAGAAATACAAAAATTAGCCGGGTGGGGTGGTGGGTGCCTGTAATCCCAGCTACTCGGGAGGTTGAGGCAGGAGAATCGCTTGAACCCAGGAGGTGGAGGCTGCAGTGAGCCGAGATCGCGCCACTGCCCTCCAGCCTGGGTGACAGAGGGAGACTCTGTCTCAAGGAAAAGCAAACAAACAAAAAAAAAAAACGGTTGTGTCTCTCAGACCGTTCCTCTGCAAGAGGAACCTCGCTTGCTAAGAGGAAGTAAAAGCATGTAGGCCACACCTGTTTCTTCTTCTCCTGCCCCTGCCCCCCAACTCATCTGTAGCCCACATGACAGGGATGTGGCCGCTTCCCCCACTGGACTGTGGCACCCCGCTTCTTGGAGCCTGCTTCTGGGTCTTGCAGGTGTTTCTGGGCACTGGACAGACTCTCCTGTGGCACCCTAGAGATGCATGTTCTGTCTGGGTGGGCCTGACCTTGAGATTCAGATACAACTCCCCAGGTGGTGGTAACAGGTGTAGAAGTCCTGTTCCTTGAGACTGGCCCCCTCTGCTGAGTCACTAAATGTTTGGGATATTTGTGTACTTCTCTTGCACTAGTTATTATTATTATTATTAATTATTATTATTATTTTGTAGACGGTCTTGCTCTGTCGCCCAGGCTGGAGTGCAGTGGTGCCATCTCGGCTCACTGCAACCTCCGTCTCCCAAGTTGAAGCCATTCTACTGCCTCAGCCTCCGAGTAGCTGGGACTACAGGCACGCACCAACACGCCTGGCTAATTTTTGTATTTTTAGTAGAGACGGGGTTTCACCATGTTGGCCAGGCTGGTCTCAAACTCCTGATCTCAAGTAATCCCCCTGCCTCGGCCTCCCAAAGTGATGGGATGACAGGTGTGAGCCACTGTACGTACGGCCTTCTTGGTTGACTTATTTATTTATTTTTTGGAGATGGAGTCTCACTCTGTCGCCCAGGCTGGAGTACAGTGGCGCCATCTCGGCTCACTGCAACCTCTGTCTCCTAGGTTCAAGTGATTCTACTGCCTCAGCCTCCGAGTAGCTGGGACTACAGGCACGCACCAACACGCCTGGCTAATTTTTGTATTTTTAGTAGAGATGGGGTTTCACCATGTTGGCCAGGCTGGTCTCGAACTTCTGACCTCAGGTGATCCACATGCCTTGGGCTCCCAAAGTGCTGGGATTATAGGCATGAGCCACTGCACCCAGCCTCTGGATTACCTAGTCTTTCACTATTTTACTTTCATAATAAACTTGCTTGCCCTGAATTTTTTTTTTTTTTAGACTGAGTCTCATTCTGTCACCCAGGCTGGAGTGCAGTGGTGCCATCTCGGCTCACTGCAACCTCCGTCTCCCAAGTTGAAGCAATTCTACTGCCTCAGCCTCCGAGTAGCTGGGACTACAGGCACGCACCAACACGCCTGGCTAATTTTTGTATTTTTAGTAGAGATGGGGTTTCACCATGTTGGCGAGGCTGGTCTCGAAATCCTGACCTCAGGTGATCCACCTGCCTCGGGCTCCCAAAGTGCTGGGATTATAGGCATGAGCCACTGCACCTGGCCTCTGGAGTAGCTAGTCTTCCACTACTTTACTTTCATAATAAACTTGCTCGCCCTGAAATCTTTTGTTTTTTTGAGACTGAGTCTCATTCTGTCGCCCAGGCTGGAGTGCAGTGGTGCCATCTTGGCTCACTGCAACCTCCGTCTCCCAAGTTGAAGCAATTCTACTGCCTCAGCCTCCAAGTAGCTGGGACTACAGGCACGCACCACCATGCCTGGCTAATTTTTGTATTTTTAGTAGAGATGGGGTTTCACCATGTTGGCGAGGCTGGTCTCGAACTCCTGACCTCAGGTGATCCACCTGCCTCGGGCTCCCAAAGTGCTGGGATTATAGGCATGAGCCACTGCGCCTGGCCTCTGGAGTACCTAGTCTTTCACTATTTTACTTTCATAATAAACTTGCTCGCCCTGAAATTTTTTTTTTTTTTTTTGAGACTGAGTCTCATTCTGTTGCCCAGGCTGGAGTGCAGTGGTGCCATCTCGGCTCACTGCAACCTCCGTCTCCCAAGTTGAAGCAATTCTACTGCCTCAGCCTCCCGAGTAGCTGGGACTACAGGCACGCACCACCATGCCTGGCTAATTTTTGTATTTTTAGTAGAGATGGGGTTTCACCATGTTGGTCAGGCTGGTCTCGAACTCCTGACCTCAGGTGATCTGCCCACCTCCACCTCCCAAAGTGCTGGGATTACAGGCATGAGCCACTGCGCCCGGCCTCTGGAGTAGCTATTCTTTCACTGTTTTACTTTTGTAATAAATTTGCTTTGGCTTTGCACTGCTGACTCACCCCGAATTTTTTTTTTTTTTTTTTTTTTTTGAGATGGACTTACTCTATCGCCCAGGCTGGAGTGTAGTGGCATGATCTCCACTCACTGCAAGCATCGCCTCCCGGGTTCACGCCATTCTCTTGCCTCTGTCTCCCGAGTAGCTGGGACTACAGGCACGCACCACCACACCTGGCTAATTTTTGTATTTTTAGTAGAGATGGGGTTTCACCATGTTGGTCAGGCTGGTCTCGAACTCCTGACCTCGTGATCCGCCCGCCTCTGCCTCCCAAGGTGCTGGGATTACAGGTGTGAGCCACAGCGCCCGGCCGCCCTGAATTCTTTCTTGCGTGAGATCCAAGAACCCCCTCTTGGGGGCTGGATCCGAACCCCTTTCCTGTAACACAAGCACCCTTCGTTTATGCTTTAAGGGAAGCATGAGATGGGGTAGGAAGGGGTTATAATGAGCGACTTCTAAGCTTTCTGTCATTTCTTCACCTCTTTTCCCTGTCTTCTCAGCTACTGCGTAAGCTTTATTTATTTATTTAGAGACGGAGCCTCGCTCTGTCTCCCAGGCTGGAGTGCAGTGGCGTGATCTCAGCTCACTGCAACCTCCACCTGCCAGGTTCAAGTGGTCCTCCTGCCTCAGCCTCTCGAGTAGCTGGGATTACAGGCATGCACCACCACGCCCAGCTAATTTTTGTATTTTTAGTAGAGATAGCATTTCACCATGTTGGCCAGGATGGTCTCGATCTCCTGACCTTGTGATCCACCTGCCTCGGCCTCCCAAAGGGCTGGGATTGCAGGCGTGAGCCACCACACCTGTCTGCTACTGTGTATGCTTTCTAGGAGGCCAGGATATGCCTCCCCAGACAAGACTGTGGGAAATCAGTATATGCCACTTTAAAATACATTTCACCCCAAAATATATTTACTTGACATATTTTGAAATGGTCCTGCAAAACTGTCTGTTGGCTGGCCACAGAGGCTCACGCCTGCAATCCCAGCACTTTGAGAGGCTCAGGTGGGTGGATCACTTGAGGACAGGAGTTCAAGACCAGCCTGGACAATACGGTGAAACCCTCTCTCTACTAAAAATACAAATACTAGCCGGGTGTGATGGCGGGCGCCTGTACTCCCAGCTACTCGCGAGGCTGAGGCAGGAGAATCACTGGAACTCGAAAGGCAGAGGTTGCCGTGAGCCAAGATCATGCCACTGCACTCCAGCCCAGGCAACAGAGCAAGACTCCGTCTCCAAAAATTAAAAATAAATAAATAAATAAATATATAAACAAACATAAAACCAAGCTGCTGGCTGGGTGAGGTGGCTCACGGCTGTAATCCCAGTACTTCTGGAGGCTGAGGCAGGCAGATCATGTGAGGTCAGGAGTTCGAGACCAGCCTGGCCAACATAGTGAAACCCTGTGTCTACTGAAAAACAAAAACAAACAAACAAACAAACAAACAAACAAACAAAATTTAGCCAGGCGTGGTGGCGTACCTCTGTAATGCCAGCTACTTGGGAGGCTGAGGCGGGAGAATTGCTTCAGCTCCGGAGGCAGAGGTTGCAGTGAGCTGAGATCGCTCCACTGCACTCCAGCCTGGGCGACAGAGTGAGACTCTGTCACAAAAAATAAAACAAATAAAATAAAATAGCTGGACGCTGTGGCTTACGCCTGTAATCCCAGCACTTTGGGAGGCCGAGGTGAGCAGATCATGTGAGGTCACAAGTTTGAGACCAGCCTGGCCAACATGGTGAAACCCCGTCGCTACTAAAAATACAAAAATTGGCCGGGCGTGGTGGCGGGTGCCTGTAATCCCAACACTTTGGGAGGCTGAGGCGGGCGGATCACGAAGTCAGGAGATCGAGACCATCCTGGCTAACACGGTGAAACCCCTTCTCTACTAAAAATACAAAAAATTAGCTGGGCATGGTGGTGGGCGCCTGTAGTCCCAGCTACTCGGGAGGCTGAGGCAGGAGAATGGCGTGAACCCGGGAGGCGGAGGTTGCAGTGAGCCGAGATCGCGCCACTGCACTCCAGCCTAACAGACTGAGCAAGGCTTCATCTCAAAATAAATAAATAAATAAATAAAATAAAGTAAAATAAGTAAACAAACAAAAACATATAAAACCAAACTGCCGCTCAACCAGCTTGGATACGTGTTCTCAGGATCTCTTTAGACTATTTTCCCTGGGCCTTCTTGCTCACTCATATTTGGCTCAGAATAAATCTCTTTAAATATTTTGCAGTGTTTGGGACGGACTGTCGCTCTGTTGCCCAGGCTGGAGTGCAGTGGCGCGATCTTGGCTCACTGCAACCTACGCCTCCTGGGTTCAAGCGATTCTCCTGCCTCGGCCTCCGGAGTAGCTGGGACTAGAGGCAACTGCCACTACACCCGGCTAATTTTTGTATTTTTAGCAGAGATGGGGTTTCACCATGTTGGCCAGGCTGGTCTGGAACTCCTGACCTCATGATCCCCCCGCCTCAGCCTCCCACAGTGCTGGGATTACAGGCTTGAGCCACTGCGCCCGGCCGGCTCTTTTTTTTTTTTTTTTTGACAGGTTCATGCGTCTCTTCTGCCTGGAGACCCTTCAGGAGGATGTGCCTTGTCACGCTGCTTCAGGAGGATGTGTACTGTCTCAGAGGGAACGTGACATGTTAAATTTGTCATAGGTCAGACAGTTCCTCATTCAGATTCTTCTGCCCTGAGTTCTCACTTCTATCCTGGTTCATCATTATGGAGCAAAACATTTCAGTTCTTTAGACTTCACTTAAAAAAAAGAAAATCCCCAACCACATTACCGACAGGCCGAAGGAAGCACGTACAGGGTTCTACGCAAACATCGCCGCTTCTCGGATCTGCTGTCTCCACGGATTTTCCTGCTGTAAACTGTGAAAGGTAAATAAGTCTCAGGACCCCAAAATCATGAAAGGTTATAGTGGAAACTGTCTTAGGCAAACCTGCCTCGCATTTTATTCGTAAATAAGGTACTACAAAGGTTTTAAAAATTACATACCAGGGCTGGGCGCCATGGCTCACGCCTATAATCCCAGCACTTTGGGAGGCCGAGGCAGGTGGATCATTTGAGGCCAGGAGTTCGAGACCATCCTGGCCAACATGGTGAAACCCCGTCTCTACTAAAAATACAAAAATTAGCTGGGCGCGGTAGTGGGTGCCTATAATCCCAGCTACTCAGAAGGCTGTGGCAGGAGAATAGCTTGAACACGGGAGGCGGAGGTTACAGTGATAGTGAGCTGAGATTGCACCATTGCACTGCAGCCTGGGTGACAGAACAAGACTGGATCCCCAGCTCCCTCCCCGCCAAAAAAATGTATGAAAGCAAATTGTGCCCTGTGTATCCACAGCACCTGTCATCGCGATTTCCTGAGGCTCTGTCATGGGCAGGCGTCCTTAACCTCGGCAAAATGAACTTTCTAAATGGACTGAGACCTGTCTCAGATACCTCTTTTTTGGTTTACAGGACATTTTGCACTCACGGAAAATTATGCAACATCTTTGCGTTTTGTCTGTACCGCTTATACTTTTTTCTCTTCTTCTTTTTTGTGTTTACAGAATGAGTTTTCTTTCCCCTTTCTGGAAATTTTCGGCTGATCCTAAAATAGAGGCCGCCAAGCTTCCTTCTCAGATTCAAAGCAAGAATGATGGAGAGTGAGGGAAATCATGATATTTTACCCCAACACAGGGCTCCACGGTATAACAAGGATTTTTAATGAAAAACCCTTTCATGCCGGGCGCGGTGACTCACGCCTGTCATCCCAGCACTTCGGGAGGCCGAGGCGGGCAGATCATGAGGCCAGGAGATCGAGACCATCCTGGCAAACACAGTGAAACCCCATCTCTACTAAAAAAAAAAAATACAAAAAAAAAAAAAAAAATTAGCTGGGCGTGGTGGCGGGCGCCTGTAGTCCCAGCTACTCGGGAGACTGAGGCAGGAGAATCACTTGAACCTGGGAAGCAGAGGCTGCAGTGAGCCAAGATTATGCCCCTGTACTCCAGCCGGGAGCAGTGGTTCACGCCTATAATCCCAGCACTTTGGGAGGCCGAGGCGGTTGGATCACCTGAGGTCAGGAGTTCAAGACCAGCCTGGCCATCACAGTGAAACCCCATCTCTACTAAAAAAAAAACAAAAAACAAAAAACAATTATCTGGGCACGATGGCTCATGCATATTACGCCAGCTATTTGGAAGGCTGAGGAGGCAGGAGAATCGCTTGAACCTAGAAGACGGAGGTTGCAGGGAGCCAAGATTGCACCACTGCACTCCAGCCTTGGAAACAGAATGAGACCATCTTAAAAGAAAAAAAAAATACAACTAAGAAACATATTTTGGGGCAACATATGTTGTTTTTTTTCTCTGTCTTGTAACGTTTGCCAGAGTCAGGTTGGAAAGTAAGTCACGATATACAGGGTTCAATAAATCCCATTTGATGAGAATTTATGGTTTGTAGGGCTTGCCTCCTCAGACCTCTTAGATAGGAATTTGGGCAAGATAAAAAAAGTCAGAGGCCCGGTGTGGTGGCTGGTGCCTATAATCCTAGCACTTTGGGAGGCTGAGGCGTGTGGATCACTTGAGGTCAGGAGTTCGAGACCAGCCTGGCCAACCTGGTGAAATGTTGTCTCTACTAAAAACACAAAAATTACTCAGGCAGTAGTGGTACGTGCCTGTAATCTCAGCTACTTGGGAGGCTGAGGCAGGAGAATTGCTTGACCTTGGGAGGTGGAGGCTGTGGTGAGCTGAGATTGTGCCACTGTACTCCAGTCTGGGCGACAAAGTTAGACTCCATCTAAAAAAAAAAAAGAAAAAAAGAAAGAAAAAAAAAAAGAAAAAGAAGAAGCTAGGTGCAGTGGCTCATGCGTATAATCCCAGCACTTTGGGAGGCCGAGGAGGTTGGATCACCTGAGGTCAGGAGTTCAAGACCAGCCTGGCCAACATGGTGAAACCCCGTCTCTACTAAAAATACAAAGAAAATTAGCTGGGCGTAGTGGCGGGTGCCTGTAATCGCAGCTACTCGGGAGGCTGAGGCAGGAAAATCGGGTGAACCCAGGAGGTGGAGGTTGCAGTGAGCTGAGATCGCACCACTGCACTCCAGCCTGGGCGGCAGAGTGAGATGCTGTCTCAAAAAAATAAAATAAAATAAAATAAAATAAAGAAAAAAATCAGAGTTCAGTCCGCAGTAGAAATTATATATTGCTCCTCAATAGAATTCCTCTTTCCCCCCAACCCTATAACCTTTTTTTTTTTGTACCAGGATCCAATCCCCTATCCTTCTGTAGTCTCAATGTGGTGTACTAGCTTCTGAACCTCATTGTGGGGTGGAGTCCTCATTCTGAAGAATCTTGTGTATACACATTCTATAAATGTGTAAATCTGGCTGGGTACAGTGGTTCACGCCTGTAATCCTAGCACACTGGGAGGCCGAGGCAGGCGGATCACCTGAGGTCAGGTGTTCGAGACCAGCCTGACCAATATGGAACAACCCTGTCTCTACTAAAAATAGAAAAATTAGCCAGGCATGGTAGCACACGCCTGTAATCCCAGCTACTGGAGAGGCTGAGGCAGGAGAATCAGTTGAACCTGGAAGGTGGAGGTTGCAGTGAGCCGAGATCATGCCAGTGCACTCCAGCCTCGGTGACAGAGCGAGACTCCGTCTCAAAAAAAAAAAAGAAAAAAAAAGTGCATGTCTTTTCTCTTATTAATCAATCTGCCTCATGTCTGTCATCTACAGCAAACCTACAGGGGACCAAGAGCTTTCAGCCCTCGAGAAGAGCTTCTCGAGTTTAAACCAAAAATCTAAAGAGTGAAATCCGGCCGGGCTCCGTGGTTCATGTCTGTAATCCCAGCCCTTTGGGAGGTCAAGGTGAGCGGATCATTTGAAGTCAGGAGTTCCAGACCAGCCTGGCCAACATGGTGAAACACCATCCCTACTAAAAATACAAAAATTAGCCGGGCATGGTAGCACACACCTGTAATCCCAGCTACCCAGGAGGCTGAGGCAGGAGAATCACTTGAACCCGGGAGGCGGAGGTTACAGTGAGCCGAGATCGCACCACTGCACTCCAGCCTGGGCAACAGAGCAAGATACTGTCTCCAAAAAAATAAATAAATAAATTCAAAAATTAGCTGGGCATGGTGGCACGTGCCTGTAATCCTAGCTACTCAGGAGGCTAATGCAGGAGAATTGCTTGAACCCGGGAGGTGGAGGTTGCAGTGAGCGGAGATTGCACCACTGCACTCCAGCCTGGGCGACAGAGCAAGACGCTGTCTCCAAAAAAAAAAAAAAAAAAAAAAAATACAAAAATTAGCCGGGCGTGGTGGCAGGTGCCTGTAATCCCAGCTACTCAGGAGGCTGAGGCAGGAGAATTGCTTGAACCCAGGAGGCGGAGGTTGCGGTGAGCAGAGATCGCGCCACTGCCCTCCAGCCTGGGCGACAGCACGAGACTCTGTCTCAACAAAAAGAGTGAAATGTGATTTAGCACACCTATAAAACGCGCAACAAGCTGTCCAAATCCAGACTCTTAGTACCCCAATCTGGGTGGTAACTTAAGATGCTTCATTTCTGTCTTTTTTAAAATTTGTAATAATTTAATCTTTTTTTTATACACGAGGGATGGGGGAATCTTACGATGTTGCCCCGGGCTGGTCTGGAATTGCTGTGGCCTCAAGCAATCCTCTGTCACCTCAGCCTTCCAAAATATTGGGATTACAGGCGCCCGCCACCACGCCCCGGCTAATTTTGGGTATTTTTAGTAGAGATGGGGTTTCACCCTGTTGGCCAGGCTGGTCTCGAACTCCTGACCTCAGGTGATCCGCCCACCTCAGCCTCCCAAAGTCCTGGGATTACACCACGCCCAGCTTAGAGGGACTCCATCTAGAATAGGGGCTGGGAACAGGGAGGCTGGGACAGGCTGGGCAGCATTCCCTGGAGGTCAGCCATTCCTGACGCAAGATATGTGAACAGATCAATACTGTTTACTAAACAGACCGAGGACTGAACAGACACAGAAACCTCCTGATGTGTTGATATCTTCAGAACAAAAGCTTTCATAGTGTGAGAATCCGTTTTGCTTTAAAAATGATAATATTGGGCCAGGCGCGGTGGCCCACACCTGTCATCCCACCACTTTGGGAGGCTGGGGCAGGAAGATAGATTGAGTCTAGGAGTTCAAGACCAGCCCGGGAAACACAGTGAAACCCTCGTCCCTACAAAAATACAAATATTTGCCAGGAATGGTGGCATTTGCCTTTGACCCAGCTACTCGGGAGGCCGAGATGGGAGGATTGCTTGAGCCCAGGAATTCAAGACAGCAGTCAGCTGTGATTGCACCACTGCCCTCCAGCCTGGATGACACAGCCAGATGATCTCAAAATAATAATAATAAAAAATATATAATATGTATATATACAATATTGATTACTGCAAAAGATAGTCATGACAAAGATGAATCCTTTATCAGTCACCCTTGTAGTGGAGCATCTCTCCCCACGACTTTTTTCTTTTAGTTATCTTTTTTTGGGGACAGAGTTTTGCTCTTGTTGCCCAGGCTGGAGTGCAACGGTGCAATCTGGGCTCACTGCAACCTCCGCCTCCCGGGTTCAAGCGATTCTCCTGCCTCAGCCTCCCAAGTAGCTGGGATTACAGGCACACACTGCCACACCTAGCTAATTTTTTCTATTTTTAATAAAGGTGTGGTTTTGCCATGTTGGCCAAGCTGATCTCGAACTCCTGAGCTCAGGTGATCCGCCCGCCTCAGCCTCCAAAAGTGTTGGGATTACAGGCATGAGCCACCGTGCCCGGCCCCCCTTTACTATCTTAATAAGCTTGCTTTCAGTTTGCAATGTGAACTTGCCTCCAGTTCTTTCTTGGGCAAGATCCCAGAACCCGTTCTTGAAGTCTGGATCAGGACCCCTTTCTAGTAACTAGTAACACCATCACACTCCCTCCCCCTTTCAGCTCTGCGTTCATCTCTTTTCATCTCTTTTTTTTTCTTTTTCTTTTTTTTGAGACAGAATCTCGTCTTGTTGCCCAGGCTGGAGTGCAGTGGTGCAATCTCAGCTCACTGCAAGCTCCGCCTCCCGGGTTCAAACGATTCTCCTGCCTCAGCCTCCTGAGTAGGTGGGATTACAGGTGCCTGCCACCACCATGCCCGGCTAATTTTGTATTTTTAGTAGAGACGGGGTTTCTCCATGTTGGCCAGGATGGTCTCGAACTGTCGACCTCAGGTGATCCACCCGCCTCAGTCTCCCAAAGTGCTGGGATTACAGGCGTGAGCCACCACGCCCGGCCGCGTTCATCTCTCGAAACGGCTTCCGGATGCCACAGATAGCTGTGAATTCACGTGATAATTCCGTGCTAGATACTACACCCCAACGCCCTGTAGCTTAGCAATGTACAGCCAATCATTAATCAATTGTTTTTTTCTGTAAACCAACGAGAATTCCCAGCAAACAGCTTCACAGAAGCCCCCTCCCTGTCCTCCAACAACACCTCCCTCTTTTTATTTTATTTTATTTTTTTAATTTTGCCTTTAAAAACCTGCATATAACAAAGGCAGAAGACAACTCATATGCAAGGTTCCTTGGCTCTCAGTCTTCTGGGCCGCTGTCCCCACTTCGGCTCGAGCCAACGTTTGAAATCTTATGTTCCAGTTCAGTCTCTTTCTTTTCTATCGACAGACACAGCAGAAACATGTACCCGGGTGACTCGACATGCTCAAAGACCACAGAAGGAAAGAACTTAGCTTACCCCCACGGCATCCGCTTCCTCTCCTTCCACCTGCTTTTCTTCTCTCGGAGACTCCCGCTTCTGAGTAGCTCCCTTCAGAGTTCCTCTGTGTCATCATACACTCCCTGCCCCTCCCTCCCCTGCTTCCTCATTTCATAGGATTGGGAAACCTGTAATTGCTCCGTGAGTTCATTGGCTCCTGACCTCGTCTCCAAAGACTGGCCCGTGGAACAGCTCAAGTGTGAGTCCCACACACATCTACACACACACACCTGCACACACATGTATGTCTGCACACACATCTGCACACACAGACCTGCACACGCACACATTCCCACACGCCCGCACACACGTGCACACACACTCCTGCACACATGCTTGCACGCGTGTGCATGTTTGCACACACACCTGCACACACAGACCTGCACACACACACATCTCCACACACCTGCACACAGTGCGCACGGGCGTACACACAGCTACACACACATCTGCACACACACCTGCACACATATGCATGTCTGCACACACAACTGCACACACAGACCTGCACACACACATCCCCACACACCTGCACACAGTGCACATGGGCATACACACAGCTACACACATATCTGCACACACATCTGCACAAACAAGCACACTGGCACAGTCCTGCACACACACCTGCACACACATACATGTCTGCACACACATCTGCACACACAGACCTGCACACTCACACATCCCCACTTTCCTGCAGGCACATGCATGTCTGCACACACAGACGTGCGCACACATCCCCACACACCTGCACACAGGGCACATGTGTGTACACACAGCTACACACACACATCTGCACACACACCTGCACGTACGTCTGCACAAACAAGCACAATGGCACACACACTTGTCTACACACGCACATCTGCACACACACCTGCACACACATGCATGTTTGCACACACATCTGCACACACAGACCTGCACACACATCCCCACACACCTGCACACAATGCACATGTGCATACACACAACTACACACACATCTGCGCACACACCTGCACACACATGCATGTCTGCACACACAACTGCACACACATCCCCACACACCTGCACACAGTGCACACGGGCGTACACACAGCTACACACACATCTGCACACACATCTGCACAAACAAGCACACTGGCACAGTCCTGCACACACACCTGCACACACATACGTCTGCAAACACATCTGCACACACAGACCTGCACACTCACACATCCCCACTTTCCTGCAGGCACATGCATGTCTGCACACACAGACGTGCGCACACATCCCCACACACCTGCACACAGGGCACATGTGTGTACACACAGCTACACACACACATCTGCACACACACCTGCACGTACGTCTGCACAAACAAGCACAATGGCACACACACACTTGTCTACACACGCACACCTGCACACACACCTGCACACACATGCATGTCTGCACACACAACTGCACACACAGACCTGCACACACACATCCCCACACACCTGCACACAGTGCACATGGGCGTACATAGAACTACACACACACATCTGTACACAAGCACATCTGCACACACACCTGCACACATATCTGTACACACACACACCTGCACACAGTGCACATGTGCATATACACAAGGACACATGCACATCTGCACACACATCTGCAAACACACACCTGCACACACATCTGTACACACACACACCTGCATACACATGCATGTCTGCACACACAGACCTGCACACACACGCATGTCTGCACACACAGACCTGCACACACACATCCTCACACACCTGCACACAGTGCACATGTGCATACACACATCTGCACACACACACATGCACACACACCTACACGCACGTCTGTACACACACCTCCATACACATGCATGTCTGCACACACAGACCTGCACACACACATCCCCACACACCTGCACACAATGCACATGTGCATACACACAACTACACACACATCTGCACACACACCTGCACACACATCTGTACACACACACACACCTGCATACACGTGCATGTCTGCACACACAGACCTGCACACACACATCCCCACACACCTGCACACAGTGCACCTATCCATACACACAACTACACACACATCTGCACACGCCTCTGCACAAGCATATTGGTGTACACACACCTGCACAGACACTTGCACACACACAAATACAGATGCCTTTTGTGCTGTCTACAAAATCATAAGAAACATCACGCAGGCCAGGGGCAGTGGCTCACTAAAAAAAAAAAAATACAAAAATTAGCCAGGCGTGGTGGCGAGTGCCTGTAATCCCAGCTACTCAGGAGGCTGAGGCAGGAGAATCCCTTGAACCCAGGAGATGGAGGTTGCAGTGAGCTGAGATGGTGCCATTGCCCTCCAGCCTGGGCAACAAGAGCAAAACTCCGTCTCAAAAAAAACAACCAAACAGACTGGACATGTGTTACGATACTAACAGTTGGCGCCTAAACAAAGCATAGGGCTTCATGCACATGCAATGGAAAACACCTGGATAGCAACATCAGCAAAGGTGAAAGATGGCTGACCAGGCTGCACCTCTACCGTCTTAGCCTCCCCATTCCTGCAGGAGCTGTCTTAGTCCATTCATGTTGCTGGAAAGGAATACCTGAGGTTGGGTAATTGATAAAGAAGAGATCATTGGCTGGGCGCGGTGGCTCACGCCTGTAATCCCAGCACTTTGGGAGACCGAGGCAGGCGGATCATGAGGTCAAGAGATCAAGACCAGCCTGGCCAACATGGTGAAACCCCATCTCTACTAAAAATACAAAAATTAGCTGGGTGTGGTGGCGTGCACCTGCAGTCCCAGCTACTTGGGAAGCTGAGGCAGGAGAATCAATTGAACCCGGGAGGCGGAGCTTGCAGTGAGCCGAGATGCTGCCACTGCACTCCAGCCCGGCGACAGAGCGAGACTGTGTCTCAAAAAAAAAAGAAGATTATAAATCATGCTGCTATAAAGACACATGCACACATATGTTTATAATGGCACTATTCACAATAGCAAAGACTTGGAACCAACCTAAATGTCCAACAACGATAGACTGGATTAAGAAAATGTGGCACATATACACCATGGAATACTATGCAGCCATAAAACATGATGAGTTCATGTCCTTTGTAGGGACAGGGTTGAAGCTGGAAACCATCATTCTGAGCAAACTATCGCAAGGACAAAAAACCAAACACCGCATGTTCTCACTCATAGGTGGGAATTGAACCATGAGAACACATGGACACAGGAAGGGGAACATCACACACCGGGGACTGTTGTGGGGTGGGGGGAGGGGGGAGGGACAGCATTAGGAGACATACCTAATGCTAAATGACGAGTTAATGGGTGCAGCACACCAACATGGCACATGGATACATATGTAACAAAGCTGCACGTTGTGCACACGTACCCTAGAACTTAAAGTATAATAATAATAAAATTTTTAAAAAAAGGTAAAAAAAAAAAGAGATTATTTATTCGGCTCATAGTGGTTCTCCAGGTTGTCCAGGAAGCGTGGTGTTTGGACCTGCTTGTGGTGAGGACGTCACGCTGCTTCCAGTCATGACAGAAAGTGAAGGGAAGACATTGTGTGTGGAGAGACCACATGGGCAGAAAGGAAGCAAGAGAGAGCGGGGGGAGGTGCCAGGGTCTTTTCAACAACCAGCTCTCCTGGAAACTGAGAATGAGAACTCACTCATGACTATGGGGGCAGGACCAAGCCATTCATACGGGATTCACCCACATGGTTTAAACATCTCCCACCAGGTCCCACCTACCACACAGGGGGTCAAATTTCAACATGAAACCTGGCAGGACCAAACAAACCGTATCCAAACTGTAGCATGCTGCCTCTCTCCAGAATTGATGTAGAGAAGGTTATCTCCCAAGAGCTCAAGCAGGTGGCTCACGAAGGCTGCTGGAAATGGCCACCATGGTGGATCTTCTTGTGAATGGCTCATACTTTGTTGCTGACATCGATGTAGAGAAATTTAACTTTCCAAGAGTTCAACCAGATGGCTTACCAAGGCTCAAACTGCAAACTATAGTGGGTCTGCTTGTCAATGGCTCATACCCTGTTTCTGACTTTCACCATTCATGTAGAGAAGTTTGTCTTTCCAAGAGCCAAATCAGATGACTCACCAAGGCTGCTGGAAGTGGGCACAATAATGGGCCTTTTTGTCTTTAATGAATCATGCCCTGTTGTTGACATCAATGTAAAGAAGTTTATC
The DNA here is from genome assembly GCF_000001405.40 of Homo sapiens. Classification (NCBI taxonomy): domain Eukaryota; kingdom Metazoa; phylum Chordata; class Mammalia; order Primates; family Hominidae; genus Homo; species Homo sapiens. Next base: position 1,264,649 of record NC_000024.10, on the reverse strand, counting down.
TTCCCAAGAATTCAACCAGATGGCTCAGCCAGGCTGCTGGAACTGGGCATCATGGTGGATCTTTTTGTCAAAGGCTCATATCTTCTTGTTGACATTGATGTAGAGAAGTTTATCTTCCCAAGAGCTCAACCAGATGGCTCAGCCAGGCTGCTGGAACTGGGCATCATGGTGGATCTTTTTGTCAAAGGCTCATATCTTCTTGTTGACATTGATGTAGAGAAGTTTATCTTCCCAAGAGCTCAACCAGATGGCTCAGCCAGGCTGCTGGAACTGGGCATCATGGTGGATCTTTTTGTCAAAGGCTCATATCTTCTTGTTGACATTGATGTAGAGAAGTTTATCTTCCCAAGAGCTCAACCAGATGGCTCAGCCAGGCTGCTGGAACTGGGCATCACGGTGGATCTTTTTGTCAAAGGCTCATATCTTCTTGTTGACATTGATGTAGAGAAGCTTATCTTCCCAAGAGCTCAACCAGATGGCTCAGCCAGGCTGCTGGAACTGGGCATCACGGTGGATCTTTTTGTCAAAGGCTCATATCTTCTTGTTGACATTGATGTAGAGAAGTTTATCTTCCCAAGAGCTCAACCAGATGGCTCACCCAGGCTGCTGGAACTGGGCATCATGGTGGATCTTTTTGTCAAAGGCTCATATCTTCTTGTTGACATTGATGTAGAGAAGTTTATCTTCCCAAGAGCTCAACCAGATGGCTCACCCAGGCTGCTGGAACTGGGCATCATGGTGGATATTCTTGTCAAAGGCTCATATCTTCCTTTTGACATTGATGTAGAGAAGTTTATCTTCCCAAGAGCTCAACCAGACGGTTCACCAAGGCTGCTGGAACTGGCACTGTTATACTACTTCTTGTCAATGGCTCACACCTTGTTTCTGAGTTTCACCATCAATGTGGAGAACTTTAAATTCCCGAGTTCAACCAGATGGCACACCAGATGCACACCGTGATATAATGGCTCGTATCTCACGGCTCACTCCCAGCTTAGGGCCAGATCCATTCAATTGTATTCATCCGACCCTCACAAAGCACCTTAAGCATTTTTCTTTTCTTTTCTTTTTAGACGGAGTTTTGCACTCTCTCCCAGGCTGGAGTGCAATGGTGCAATCTCGGCTCACTGCAATCTCCGCCTCCCGGGTTCATGCGATTCTCCTACCTCAGCCTCCTGAGTAGCTGGGATTACAGGCACCCGCCACCACACCTGGCTAAGTTTTTGTATTTTTAGTAGAGACGGGGTTTCACCATGTTAGCCAGGCTGGTCTCTATCTCCTGACCTTGTGATCCGCCCGCCTCGGCCTCCCAAAGTGCTAGGATTACAGGTGTGAGCCACTGCACCCCGGCCTGAAGTGAGTTTTTCTTGTTGTTTTCTGTTCCTGGATGGGATGGCAGAACTGGTTTTGCCAGATGGCCAGTCTAGGTGGTGTCAGCCGATCCGCCAGATGCAGGCTCTGCAAAACATCTCAAGCATCGATCTTAGTTTTACAACAGTGACATACTCCTGCAGGAGCCCTAAACTGTAATTTCTAATTTTGTAGCTAATTTGTGAGTCCTGTGAAGGCAGACTGGACCTTAGCTCTTAGGGAAAGGGGCTGTTTTCCATTTTGTTTCAGAATTACACCACGAACTGAATTTCTTCTCTTTTTTTTTTTTTAATTTTGAGAAGGAGTCTCACTCTGTCGCCCAGGCTGGAGTGCAGTGGCGCGATCTCGGCTCACTGCAAGCTCCACCTCCTGGGTTCACGCCATTCTCCTGCCTCAGCCTCCCGAGTAGCTGGGACTACAGGCGTCCACCACCACACCAAGCTAAGTTGTTGTATTTTTAGTAGAGACTGGGTTTCACCATGGTTGCCAGGCTGGTCTCGATCTCCTGACCTCGTGATCCGCCCGCTTGGCCTCCCAAAGTGCTGGGATTACAGGCGAGTCACCGCATCCGGCCTCACAGTTGGGTTTTATACATTCTAGGGATACATAAGAAATCAATCAACATAAGCAAGATGGGCCAGGGGCAGTGGCTCACACCTCTGACCTCAGGTGATCTGCCCCTGTCTGCCTCCCAAATGGCTGCATTCTTTTGAGTTTCTGGTTAGCCTCTCTAAAGGAGGCAATTAGATATGCATCTATCTCAGTGAGCACAGACGGTCACTTTGAATAGAATGAGAGGGAGAGGCCCTAAGCAGTTCCCAGCGGGGCCCAGAGATTTATTTTTCTTTCTTCTCGCCCAGGCTGGAGTGCAGTGGCTCGATCTGGGCTCACTGCAAGCTCCACCTCCCGTGTTCACGCCATTCTCCTGCCTCAGCCTCCTGCGTAGCTGGGACTACAGGCGCCCGCCACCACGCCTGGCTAAGTTTTTGTATTTTTAGTAGAGATGGGGTTTCACCGTGTTAGCCAGGATGGTCTCGATCTCCTGACCTCGTGATCCGCCCGCCTCGGCCTCCCAAAGTGCTGGGATGACAGGCGTGAGCCACCGCGCCTGGCGATTTATTTTTCTTTCACAAGGGACATCAGCTTTCGTGGAAGGGGCTAGAAGCAGGTGAAGGAGGAGGTGGGTTGGGGAGGAGGTGGAGTAGGGGAGCAGGGGAGCTGGGGAGAAGATTGAGTTGGGGGAATGCAGAGATAAGAAATAAAAGCTCTGGGCTGGCCGCGGTGGCTCACGCCTGTCATCCCAGCACTTTGGGAGGTGGAGGCGGGAGGATCACCTGAGGTCAGAGGAGTTACAGACCAGCATGGCCAACATAGTGAAACCCTGTCTCTACTAAAAATAGAAAAATTAGCCGGGCATGGTGGCAGCCACCTGTCATCCCAGCTATTCGGGGGGCTGAGGCAGGAGAATTGCTTGAACCCGGGAGACAGAGGTTGCAGTGAGCTGAGATCGCACCATTGCACTCCAGCCTGGGGAACAGGAGCGAGAGACTTTGTCTCAAAAAAAAAAAAAAAAGAAAAAAAAAGAAAAAGAAAGAAAGAAAAGAAAAAAAGAAAAGAAAAGAGAAAAGAAAAGAAAAAAAAAGAAATAGAAGCTCTGCTCTCAGGGGAATGGGATTAAGGGGCAAGGAGGGGGGCTCAGCTTCCCCAGGGAGAAACCATTCAGCTGTGGGGAGGGGTCTGCAGAGCACCTGCCCTCTGCCGGGTTGGGAGCATTGATGATGCTGCCAGAGAGCTTCTCATTCAGGCTGTTCTTTGTTCTCTACATGACAGAAAGCGCCCCTCACAGGGGTCTCCCTGGGGCACCGTGATCAGAATGATCCTGTCCAGATAACTCCTTCCCAACTGGAAATTCTCCATGACAAAAAGCTCAAGCTTCTGGTCCAGGCTCGCTGGCTCACGCCTGTAATCCCAGCACTTTGGGAGGTTGAGGTGGGCAGATCACGAGGTCAGGAGTTCAAGACCAGCCTGGCCAACATGGTGAAACACCATCTCTTACTAAAAACACCAAAGAAATATTAGCCGGGCGTGATGGCGGGCGCCTGTAATCCCAGCTACTCGGGAGGCTGAGGCAGGAGAATCACCTGAACCTGGGAGGCGGAGGTTGCAGTGAGCTGAGTTCATGCCACTGCACTCCAGCCTGGACGACAAGAGTGAAACTCCATCTCAAAACATAAAACAAAACAAAACAAAACAAAAACAATCTCTTGCTGACCGGGCTCATTGACTGACGCCTGTAATCCCAGCACTTTGGGAGGCCGAGACAGGTGGATCAGTTGAGGTCAGGAGCTCGAGACCAGCCTGGCCAACATGGGGAAACACCATCTCTACTAAAAATATCAAAAAAAGGCCGGGTGCAATGGCTTACCCTGTCATCCCAGCACTTTGGGAGGCCGAGGGGAGCGGATCACCTGAGGTCAGGAGTTCGAGACCAGCCTGACCCACAGGGAGAAACCCCGTCTCTACTAAAAATACAAAAATCAGCTGGGTGTGGTGGTGGGCGCCTGTAATCCCAGCTACTCGCGAGGCTGAGGCAGGGGAATCGCTTGAACCCGGAAGTGGAGGTTGCAGTGAGCTGAGATCGTGCCACTACACTCCAGCCTGGGTGAGGAGAGTGAAACTCCATCTCAAAACATAAAACAAAAAAAAAAAACAACAAAAATCTCTTGCTAACCGGGCGCAGTGGCTCACGCCTGTAATCCCAGCACTTTGGGAGGCCGAGAGGGGTGGATCACTTGAGGTCAGGAGTTCAAGACCAGGCTGGCCAACATGGTGAAACCGTGTCTCAAATAAAAATACAAAAACAAAAAAGAAAAATTAGCCGGGCGTGGGGGCAGGCACCTGTACTCCTAGAAACTCAGGAGGCTGGGGCAGGAGAGTCTCTGGAACCTGGGAGGCAGAGGTTGCAGTGAGCCGAGATTGTGCCACTGCATTCCAGCCTGGGCAACAAGAGTGAAACTCCGTCTGAAAACATAAAAACAAAACAAAAGAAAAACCCTGTTTCTGACCGGGCGCAGTGGCTCACGCCTGTAATCCCAGCACTTTGGGAGGCCGAGACGGGTGGATCACTTGAGGTCAGGAGTTCGAGACCAGGCTGGCCAACATGGCAAAACCCTGTCTCTACTAAAAATACAGAAACAAAAAAAGAAAGAAAAATTAGCCAGGCGTGGTGGCAGGCACCTGTACTCCCAGAAACTCGGGAGGCTGAGGCAGGAGAATCTCTTGAACCCGGGAGGCGGAGGTTGCAGTGAGCCGAGATCGTGCCACTGCACTCCAGCCTGGGTGACAAGAGTGAAACTCCGTCTCATAACAAAAACCAAAAACCAAAAAACCCTCATTCCTCTGGAGCCCACAGAACTTCCAGAACCAAAATCCCATGGCCCAGAGGGGTCGGTTTCTACTTCTCTAGGACCGAGGATTACCTGGAAGCTGTGAGTTGCAGGATTTCAAATCTCCCTTGTCTGGCAGTTTATCCTAAAGGTTAGTGGCTGAGAGAAAGGTTCTGAGAACAGATGAGAAACAGGCTTTCCAAGAAACGGAGACTGGGTTTCCCGCTCTGCATGCTCTTCTGCCCACAGAAAGAATTCCCCACGTCTTATTATTCTCCCAGGTTTGGGCCAAAAACTCCGAAACTGATGTCCTTTTCAGAGGCTACTTATTAGCTACTGTTTTGTTTTGTTTTGTTTTGTTTTTTGAGACGGACTCTCGCTCTGTTGCCCAGGCTGGAGTGCAGTGGTGCAATCTCGGCTCACTACAACCTCCGCCTCCCGGGTTCAAGCGATTCTCCTGCCTCAGCCTCCCAAGTAGCTGGGATCACAGGCATGTGCCATCACGCCTGACTAATTTTTTTTTTTTTGTATTTTTAGTAGAGATGGGGGAAGAGGGGGCTCACCGTGTTAGCCAGGCTGGTCTCGAACTCCGGACCTCAGGTGATCCGCCTGCCTCTGCCTCCCAAAGTGCTGGGATTACAGGCATGAGCCGCTGTGCCGGCCTGTTTTGTGAATCTTATGATCTTGGTTTTCACGTGAATGCTGCTCAGCTGTGCCTGAATTCTAAAGGCAGGAGGCTGTAATGAGGCATGTCCGGCCCCACTTTCCATGACGGCCTGAAGTGGACTTTCAGGTTAACTTTTTTTTTTTTTTTTTTGAGACAGAGTCTCACTCTGTCACCCAGGCTGGAGGGCAGTGGCGCAATCTTGGCTCACTGCAAGCTCTGCCTCCTGGGTTCACTCCATTCTCCTGCCTCAGCCTCTTGAGTAGCCGTGATTACAGGCACCTGCCCCCACGCCAACCTAATTTTTTGTATTTTTAGTAGTGACGGGGTTTGACTATATTGGCCAGGCTGGTCTGGAACTCCTGACCTCATGATCCCCCCGCCTCGGCCTCCCAAAGTGCTGGGATTACAGGCGTGAGCCACCGCGCCCGGCCTTAACTTTCAAATGTCCTTAGTTGAGGGAAGGGATCCATTCAGATAGTTGAGCAAGCATTCAAATTTTATTTGTGGTTTACATTAGTGATAACAGGAGCCTGTGGAGATGCTATAAACCTCTGTTTTTTCTCTTCTTTTCTCTTGTTTTTTTTTTTTTTTTTTTGAGACAGGGTCTCACTCTGTCCCCCAGGATGGAGTACAGTGGTGTGATCTCAACACATTGCAATCTCTGCCTCCGGGTTCAAGTGATTCTCATACCTCAGCCTCCTGAGTAGCTGGGATTACAGGCATGCAGCGACATGCCCAGCTAATTTTTGTATTTTTAGTAGAGACGGGGTTGCACCCTGTTGGCCAGGCTGGTCTTGAACTCCTACCTCATGTGATCTGCCTCTCTTGGCCTCGCAAAGTGCTGGGATGACAGGCTGGGATCATGGTATCCAGGCAATTTTTTTTTTTTTTTTTTTGAGACAGAGTCTCGCTGTCTCCCAGGCTGGAGTGCAGTGGCACGATCTTGGCTCACTGCAAGCTCTGCCTCCTGGGTTCACGCCATTCTGCTGCCTCAGCCTCCAAGTAGCTGGGACTACAGGCGCCCGCCAACACGCCCGGCTAATTTTTTGTATTTTTAGTAGAGACGGGGTTGCACCCCGTTGGCCAGGCTGGTATCGAACTCCTACGTCACGTGATCCGCCTGTCTTGGCCTCGCAAAGTGCTGGGATGACAGGTTGGGATCACCGTGCCCGGGCAATTTTATAAAAAAACTTATCTGTACACACAAAGTCTCACTATGTTGCCCAGACTGGTCTCGAACTCCTGGGCCCAAATGATCTGTCTGCAGAAAAACCACAGAGTGATACATGATCTTGGCAGATTCTTTTTTTTGAGACTGAGTCTCACTCTGTCACCCAGGTCGGAGGGCAGTGGTTTGATCTCAGCTCACCGCAACCTCCACCTCCCAGGTTCAAGCGATTCTCCTGCCTCAGCCTCCTGAGTGCAGCTGGGATGACAGGCACACACCACCACGCCTGGCTAATTTATGTAGTTTTAGTAGAGACGGGGTTTCACCATGTTGGCCAGGATGGTCTCGATCTCTTGACCTCGTGATCCACCCGCCTCGGCCTCCCAAAGTGCTGGGATGACAGGCGTGAGCCACCGTGACAGGCGTGAAACTGTTCATTTTTAAGCTTAGGTTTAACACAGTCTGGACACCTGTGTAGAAGCAGAATTGGTGGAAAAAGGCCTGATCTAAGGCTAATGAATGAGTGAGGAAATCCAGCCAGGCCTGTCTTTCTAGATTCTTCTTGGTGTCTCTCAGCAGAGCTCCTTTTCTTCTGGGTGTGGGGCAGAAGAAAAGAACGGAATTCCTGTTCCTCTCTGGAATGGAAATCTTAGGATCTTCAGACAAACAAGGGAGGTCATGGAATTTCCTTATGGCCAGTTTTTACACAGAAAAGGGGAGGGAAAATCAGAGTCCTATTTTTATTTATTTATTTATTTTAGACGGAGTCTCGCTCTGTGGCCCAGGCTGGAGTGCAGTGGCACGATCTCGGCTCACTGCAAGCTCCGCCTTCCGGGTTCACGCCATTCTCCTGCCTCAACCTCCCATGTTGGCCAGGCTGGTCTTGAACTCCTGACCTCAGGAGATCCGCCCTCCTCGGCCTCCCAAAGTGCTGGGATTACAGGCTTCAGCCACCGCGCCCGGCCTAACACAGATCTTAAGTCTGAAAAAGAAATATTTACAATTGGCTGGGTCCGGTGGCTACAAAAAATACAAAAAATACAGAAATTAGCCAGGCACGGTGGCACCTGTAATCCCAGCTACTTGGGAGGCTGAGGCAGAAGAATCACTTGAACCCGGGAAGCGGAGGTTGCAGTGAGCCGAGATCATGCTACTTCACTCCAGCCTGGGTGATAGAGCAACACTCTGTCTCAAAAAAAAAAAACAAAAACAAAAACAAAAGGAGAAACATTTACAATCTAGTCTCTCTGAAGCCTGCTCCCTGGAGGCGTCATCTGCTTGATAAAACCTTGGTCCCCAAACCCTATACCATTATAACCCAGACATTCTTTTCTATTGATAATAATTCTCGGCCAGGCACAATGGCTAACGCCTGTCATCCCAGCACTTTGGGAGGCCGAGGAGGGTGAATCACCTGAGGTTGGGAGTTCGAGACCAGCCTGACCAACATGGAGAAACCCCGTCTCTACTAAAAATACAAAATTAGCCGGGCGTGGTGGCGGGCGCCTGTAGTCCCAGCTACTAGGGAGGCTGAGGCAGGAGAATCGCTTGAACCCAGAAGGCGGAGGTTGTGGTGAACCGAGATCACGCCATTGCACTCCAGCCTGGGCAACAGAGCAAGATTCCACCTCAAAAATAAAATAAAACAAATAGGCCGGGCGCAGTGGCTCACACCTGTAATCCAAGCACTTTGGGAGGCCGAGGCAGGCAGATCACAAGGTCAGGAGATCGAGACCATCCTGGCTAACACGGTGAAACCCTGTTTCTACTAAAAATACAAAAATTAGCCGGGCATGGTGGCGGGTGCCTGTGGTCCCAGCTTCTTGGAAGGCTGAGGCAGGAGAATTTCTTGAACCAGGGAGGCAGAGTTTGCAGTGAGCTGATACCATGCCACTGCACTCCAGCCTGGGTGACAGAGTGAGACTCCACCTCAAAAATAACCCCATCTCTACTAAAAATACAAACTTAGCCGAGCATGGTGGTGCATGCCTGTAATCCTAGCTATTCGGGAGGCTGAGGCAGGAGAATCGTTTGAACCCGGGAGGCAGAGGTTGCAGTGAGCTGAGATCATGCCACCGCACTCTAGCCTGGACAACAAGAGTGAAACTCCATCTGAAAAAAAAAAGAAAAATTATTTCAAACAATTACCAATCACAAAATGTTTAAATCTACCTATTACCTGGGAGCGTTTGCTGTGAGCTTCCCCATTTTTCCGGACTGAAGCAATGTGTGTCTTAAATATGTTTGATTCATGTCTCACGTCTACCTAAAATGTACAGAAGCAGCCCAGCCTGGTGTGGCTCCCGTCTGTCATCCCAGCACTTTTGGGAGGCCGAGGCGGGCGGATTGCCTGAGCTCAGGAGTTGGACACCACCCTGGGTATAGTGATGAAACCCTATCTGTACTAAAAATACAAAAAATTAGCTGGGCATGGTGGTGCGTGCCTGTAATCCCAGTTAGGAGGCTGAGGCAGGAGAATCACTTGAACCCGAGAGGCAGAGGTTGCAGTGAGCTGAGACCGCGCCACTGCACTCCAGCCTGGGCAACAAGAGGGAGGGAGACTCCATCTTAAAAAAAAAAAAAACAATAATACAAATACAAATACAAAAATTAGCCAGGTGTGGTGGTGCGTGCCTGTAATCCCAGCTACTCAGGAGGCTGAGGCAGGAGAATCGCTTGAACCCTGGAGGTGGAGGTGGCAGTGAGCTGCAATTGTGCCATTGTACTCCAGCCTGGGCTACAAGAGTGAAGCTCTGTCTCAATAATAATAAGAAGAAGAAATAAGAAAAAAAAGAAATTAACACAGTTGCATTTTTCCACGTTTTTCTTGATTGTTTCAGATGGGAGGGTAAAGTGCATTTCCATGATTCCATCTTGGCTGAACGTAGACTTCTCTGTCCCTACTTTTATCACCATCCCACAGCCCACCATGGACATGCAGCTGTAATCCCTGTAATCCCACCTACTCAGGAGGCTGAGGCAGGTGAATCGCTTGAACCCTGGAGGTGGAGGTTGCGATCAGCCGAGATCTTGCCACTGCACTCCAACCCGGCAACAGAGCAAGATTCCCTCTTTAAAAAAAAAAAATTGAGATGGTGATAGAGTTTGTATGTTTGTACCCTCCAAATATCATGTTGAAATGGGATCCCCAATGTTGGGGGGTGGGGTCTGGTGGTAGGTGTTTGGATCATGGGGTGAATCCCTAGTAAATAGCTTGGTGCAGTCCCCAAGGTAATGAGACAGTAAATGAGCTCTCCTCTGTGAATTCGTGTGAGAGTTTGTTCTTTTACCATCCTGGCTAACATGGTGAAACCCCATCTCTACTAAAAATACACAAAATTAGCCGGGCGTGGTGGTGGGCACCTGTAGTCCCAGCTACTTGGGAGGCTGAGGCAGGAAAATGGCATGAACCCGGGAGGTGGAGGTTGCAGTGAGCCGAGATTGCGCCACTGCACTGCAGCCTGGTGACAGAGTGAGACTGTCTCAAAAAAAGAAAAAAGCCAGGCGCAGTGGCTCACGCCTGTAATCCCAGCACTTTGGGAGGCCGAGGTGGGCGGATCACGAGGTCAGGAGATTGAGACCATCCTGGCTAACATGGTGAAACCCCGTCTGTACCAAAAATACAAAAAAAAAATTAGCCAGACGCTGTGGCAGGCGCCTGTAGTCCCAGCTACTCAGTAGGCTGAGGCAGGAGAATCGCTTGAACCTGGGAGGCGGAGGTTGCAGTGAGCCAAGATCGCGCCACTGCACTCCAGCCTGGGCAACAGAGTGAGACTCCGTCTCAAAAAAATAAAAAAGACCCTGGCTTCTCTCTCGCTTCCTTTCTCACCATGTAATTCCTTCTACCCCTTTGCCTTGCACCATGACTGGAAACCCTCCGCCTCCAGTTCTCAGTTCTCCACTTTCCTCGTATGTCACCTTCAGATGACATTGAGCATTTGTTTATTTATACTTCCCTGCCTTTCCAGAAACAATGGTCCTGTGAATCTTTAACCTCCAGTACTAAGGCCAGAACGTGGCCCTGAGGAATGTGTTCAAAGGACTGAGCTCTGAGATTCATCCCAGCACCTGTAAGCGGCTTCCTGTAGGTGCCTGTCCTGGTCTGTGAACCTGGGGATGGTGATATCTTTTGCTTGATGGACACATGGCCCAGAGAATGTCACTGCTTTTACAGACATAGCCTTGTCTGTGCCATCTGCTTGTTCCTTGCTGGGAAGCCCCAGTTCTTTGCCTTCTGCCATGACTGGAAACCCTCCGCCTCCAGTTCTCCGTTCTCTGCTTCCCTCATACGTCACCTTCAGATGATATTGAGCATTTGTTTATTTATACTTCCCTGCCTTTCCAGAAACAATGGTCCCGTGAATCTTTAACCTCCAGTACTAAGGCCAGAACGTGGCCTGGAGGGATGTGTTCAAAGGACCGAGCTCTGAGATTCATCCCAGCACCTGTAAGCGGCTTCCTGTAGGTGCCTGTCCTGGTCTGTGAACATGGGGATGGTGATATCTTTTGCTTGATGGACACATGGCCCAGAGAATGTCACTGCTTTTACAGACATGGCCTTGTCTGTGCCATCTGCTTGTTCCTTGCTGGGAAGCCCCAGTTCTTTGCCTTCTGCCATGACTGGAAACCCTCCGCCTCCAGTTCTCAGTTCTCCGCTTCCCTCGTACGTCACCTTCAGATGACATTGAGCATTTGTTTATTTATACTTCCCTGCCTTTCCAGAAACAATGGTCCCGTGAATCTTTAACCTCCAGTACTAACGCCAGAACGTGGCCCGGAGGGATGTGTTCAAAGGACCGAGCTCTGAGATACATCCCAGCACCTGTAAGCGGCTTCCTGTAGGTGCCTGTCCTGGTCTGTGAACCTGGGGATGGTGATATCTTTTGCTTGATGGACACATGGCCCAGAGAATGTCACTGTTTGAACAGACATAGCCTTGTCTGTGCCATCTCCTTGTTCCTTGCTGGGAAGCCCCAGTTCTCTCTTTAGAATGAGGGATGTGGGCCAGGCAGGGACTTTCTGACCTGAGTTTCCTCTTAGCTGAAAACTGTGGTTCCTGGTCTCCTTCACCTCCCTTTTCTCAGGGGCAGGGATGGGTACCAGGAGGGGGGGTGGTATGAGGTAAAGCTCAGAGACAGACTTTAGATGGTGGGTTGGGCGAGGTGGCTCACACCTATAATCCCAGCACTTTGGGAGGCCGAACAGGGGCATTTAATAAATCTACACATGGGCCGTGCGCAGTGGCTCACACCTGTAATCCCAGCAGTCTGGGAGGCCGAGGCAGGCAGATCACTTGAGGTCAGGAGTTCGAGAGCAGCCTGGTCATCATGGTGAAACCCCATCTCTAACAAAAATACAAAAAAAATAGCTGGGTGTGGTGGCAGTTGGCTGTAATCCCAGCTACTCGGGAGGCTGAGGCAGGAGAATCGATTGAACCTGGGAGGTGGCCGTTGCAGTGAGCTGAGATCATGCCATTGCACTCCAGCCTGGGCAACAAGAGTGAAATTCTATCTCAAAAAATAAATAAAATAAAATAAAAATAATAAATTCACAAGTCGTGATTTTCCTGGAAAATGTTGATGCTGTTGGGAAGGAGAGAAGTCTGAGGACTCAGATAAGCCTGTTCTGCCTCTGAAGCAGCTCGGCGTTGTAATAAGTAAAGGCACCAGTGGGAAAAGTCTCAGGGTGTTGTCTGCTGAAGCAGACTCAATGAGTTTTCCTGTGTGGGGTGGTGGGAAGGTTGGCAGGTAGACCACAAGGCAAATTAAGATAAGCTGGTGACTCCGGCCTTTGGAACAAAGAAATGGAAAACTACAGCCCCAGGCCGGGAGTGGTGGCTCAAGCCTGTAATCCCAGCACTTTGTTTATCATTATTATTTTGAGAGGGAGTCTTCCTCTGTCACCAGGCCTGAGTGCAGGTGGCGCGACCTCTGCTCACTGCAATCTCTGCCTCCCGGGTTCACGCCATTCTCTTGCCTCAGCCTCCTGAGTAGCTGGGATTACTGGCGTGCATCACCATGCCTGGCCAATTTTTGTATTTTTAGTAGAGACGGGGTTTCACCATGTTGGCCAGGATGGTCTCGAACTCCTGACCTCGTGATCCACCCGCCTCGGCCTCCCAAAATGCTGGGACTACAGGCGTGATCCACCACACCCGGCATCTATCTATGTGTCTGTCTATCTATCTATCTATCTATCTATCTATCTATCTATCTATCATCTATCACTTATCTATCCTATCAATTATCTACCCTATCATCTATCAATTATCTATCATCTGTCTACCTATCACCTACCATCTATCATATCTATAATGATTACTTATTATATCAATTAATCTTCTATTACATCTATTATTTGTCTATGCTCTCTTTGTATCTACTCTCTCTATATATCTATATGGATAGATATCTATGTATATCTATATGGATATATCTATGTGGATATATCTGTGGATATATCTATATGGATATATCTATGTGGATATACCCATATGGGTATATCTATGTGGATATACCCATATGGGTATATCTATGTGGATATACCCATATGGGTATATCTATGTGGATATACCCATATGGGTATATCTATGTGGATATACCCATATGGGTATATCTATGTGGATATACCCATATGGGTATATCTATGTGGATATATCCATATGGGTATATCTATGTGGACATATCTATATGGATATATCTATATGGATAGATATCATAATCATTTATTATATCTATCATCTCAGTTTTATCTATCTATATGTCTATCTATCATCTATCTACCTATCACCTATCATATCTATAATGATCACTCATTATATCAATCGATCTTCTATTCCATTTATTATCTATGTCCCTCTATCTTTGTATCTACTCTCTCTAGATATCTATCTAGATATCTGTCTATATAGATATCTACCTAGATATCACCTATCATAATCATTTATTATATCTATCATCTAAGTTTTATCTATCTATATGTTTATCATCTATCACCTACTATCTATCGTATCTATAATGATCACTTATATCAATTAATCTTCTATTCCATCTATTATCTATGTCTCTCTTTGTATCTACTCTCTCTATATCTATATAGATATCTATCTATATAGATATGTATCACCTATCATAATCATTTATTGTATCTATCATCTAAGTTTTATCTATCTATATGTCTACCATCTGTCTATCACCTACCATCTATCATATTGATAATGATCACTTATTATATCAATCGATCTTCTATTCCATCTATTATTTATGTGTCTTTCTATTTACTCCCTCTATATATCTATATAGATATCTATGTATCTATCACCTATCATAATCATTTGTTATATCTATCATCTAAGTTTTATCTATCTATTGATCTATCTATCATCTGTCTACCTATCACCTATCATCTATCATATCTGTAATGATCACTCATTATATCGGTCCATCTTCTCTTCCATCTATTATCTGTCTATCTGTCTATCTATCTTTCTATCTACTCCATCTATCTATCTATCTATCTATCTATCTATCTATCTATCTATCTATCTAGCTATCTATCTAGCTATCATCTATCTATGTATCATCTATCTATAACAGTGGTTCACAGGCCAGGGAGAATTCTACCCCCAGGGGAAACTTGGCAATGTCTAGAGACAATCACAAGAGAATGACAATCTGTGGACACCCTTGGTGTCAGTCCTGGGAAGTTTGCTCCTGGCCCCCGGTGTGTGGATCCCAGGACGGCTGCTCAACACCCACCAGTGCCCAGGACAGCCCCACCACAGAGAATCCTCCCGCTCCCAATGTCAGCAGTGCCGAGGTTGAGAATGCCCCATCCTGCATGTTGGGGACAATATCAGTTTGCTTTTCCCTTTTCTTTTTTTTCTTGAGATGGAGTCTCGCTCTGTCATCCAAGCTGGAGGGCAGTGGTGCGATCTCGGCTCACTGCAACTTCCGCCTCCCGGGTTCAAGCGATTCTCCTGCCTCAGCCTCCTCAGTAGCTGGGATTACAGGCACCCACCGCCATGCCCGGCTAATTTTTGTATTTTTAGTAGAGAAGGGGTTTCACTGTGTTGGCCAGGCTGGTCTCGAACTCATGACCTCGTGATCAGCCCACCTCAGCCTTAAAGTGCTGGGATGACAGGAGTGAGCCACCGTGCCAGCCTCAGTTTGTTTTTCTGCTGATACTGGCTCACTTTCCCTGTGGCCACACATTCTTCTGTCCACAGACCATCCCTCCAGCCACAGAAGGGAGGAGGGTGTGACCCCAACCCCTTATCTAGCAACAGAAGGAGCTGTGGTAGGGCAGCTCCTCAGAAGCCGGAAATCTGCAAGCTCTCGGGGGAGGGTGGAGCCCAGCGCGTTGTAACATCTCTTTTTCCCCGAAGAGGAAGCACAGACTATCAGGCCTGTTTCCAAATCTCAACTTCCTGACCCGGCTTACCTTCAGGCTTTAACAAGCTCCCAGCCTCCTCCTAGCTGGCTCTGGCTAAAGCTGGAGTCCAGGAACCTCAAATAGCCTAGAGGCTCTCTCCAGGGCTTGAGTAGCACCAGGAAGGGCCACGTGGTCTGCGCTGGACAGAGACCTTCCTGGGGTGCAACGTGACACTTCCTGCCCCAGAGGCAGCTCCAGCAGAAACAGCTGCAGGCATCCCCAGCAATCCTCATCCCAAGCTCCTTCCACAGCTCACAGCGTCCGTGATGCGGGATCAACACAACCTGCTGGCTATATTTGAGGCTTGCCAGATAGCCTGGCTCCTGCATTCTTGCCTCGGGATTCCCGTTGTGATCTGCTTTTTCCAGTCCTTTCTGGGACCCCTTTCATTGCTGACAGCCGCTGGGGGCTGAACCGGCCAGGGCTGAATCTGCAGACGTGTCCAAGGCGCGTCCCAGAGCAAGGGCTTGGTGGGGGGGGGGGTCAGGGACCCGGGGCCTGTCGTTTAATGAGCTCTCACGGACACTTTAAGCCCATTTATGCCGGAGGTTGCAAGTTTTTTTGGTGTAAAAAACCAGATCTTGGCGATGACCTTCAGCCTTCAGACAAGCTTAGCGTTCCAATAATGGAACGCTAGGCATACACGGGTTCCTCATGAGCTCTCCCCCCAGGAAAACCCGAAGGCTCAGGGGCGGCCTTTCTGCAGCTGAGGACACGCAGAGGCAGAAGACGGGAGACGCGCCTCGATCGCGGCCCCAAAGTATATACGTTGAGTTCCAAACGCCTCTGGTCTCCGGGAATGACGCCTCGTTTGGAATTAAGGCCCTTGCAGATGTAATTAGTTAAAAGAAAGGCGCCGGGGCCCAGCCGTTAATTCAGTACCGCCCGCGTGGAAATCCGAGCCTGGCTGCGCCTTTGGAATTCCAGGGGTGGGGGAGGGATTCCAGGGGTGGGGGAGGGATTCCTTTAACCCTTTCTTCTCCGGATCGCTAGTAACGAATCAAGCACCCAGGACAGTGAACCCTGCCAGAAACAAGAAGCAGAAAAGTGACAGCTGTGACTAACCCTGGAATCCCTCCCCTCCACCTCCACAAGAAAAGTCCGGGGTTTTCCGGCACCCCTCAACTCAAGGGGTGGGTAGTACAGGCTGTCTCCTCTCCTCTCCTCTCGTCTCCTCTCCTCTCCCCTCCTCTCGTCTAGTCTCCCCTCCCCTCCCCTCCCCTCCCCCCTCAACTCTACGAGTGGGTAATACAGGCTGTCCTCTTCTCTTTTCTTTTCTTCTCCCCCCTCCATTCCCCTCCCCTCCCCTCTCCTCCTCTCCCCTCCATTCCCCTCCCCTCCCTTTCCCCCTCAAGTCAACGGGTGGGTAGTACAGGCTCTTGTCCTCTCTTCTCCTCTCTTCTCTTCTCCCCTCCCCTCCCCTCCCCTCCCCTCCCCTATCCTCCCCTCCCCTATCCTCCCCTCCCCTATCCTCCCCTCCCCTCCCCTATCCTCCCCTCCCCTATCTTCCCCTCCCCTATCCTCCCCTCCCCTATCCTCCCCTCCCCTCCCCTCCTCTCCCCTCCTCTCCCCTCCCCTCTCCTCTCTTCTCTTCTCTTCACCCCTCAACTCAACGGGTGGGTAGTACAGGCTGTCTCTTCTCTTCTCTCTCTTTCTTTTTCTTTCTTTCTCTTTCTTTCTTTTCCTTCTTTCTTTCTCTCTCTCTCTCCCTCCCTCCCTCTCTCTCTCTCTCTCTCTCTCTCCTTCCTTCCTTCCTTCCTCCGTCCCTCCCTCCCTTCTTTCTTTCTTGAGATTCTTTTCTTTTCTTTTTTGAGATAGAGTTTTGCTCCTGTTGCCCAGGCTGGAGTACAATGGCGCGATCTCGGCTCACGGCAACCTCCGTCTCCCAGGTTCAAGCGATTCTCCTGCCTCAGCCTCCCGAGTAGCTGGGATTACAGGTGTGCACCACCACGCCCAGCTAATTTTTTGTATTTTTAGTAGAGACGGGGTTTCTCCATGTTGGCCAGGCTGGTCTCGAACTCCTGATCTCTGGTGATCCACCCACCTCAGCCTCCCAAAGTGCTGGGATTACAGGCGTGAGCCACCGCGCCTGGCTCGAATAATTTCTTGCACGACATCCAAGAACCCTCTGTTGAGGTCTGCATTGGGACCCCTTACACTGTGGGTTTTTTTTTTTTTTTTTTTGATGGAGTCTCGCTTTGTTGCTCAGGCTGGAGTGCAGTGGCGCGATCTTGGCTCGCTGCATCCTCTGCTTCCTGAGTTCAATCGATTCTCCTGTCTCAGCCTCCCGAGTAGCTGGGATTACAGGCACCCGCCACCACCCCCGGCTAATTTTTTGTATTTTTAGTACAGACGGGGTTTCACCATGTTGGTCAGGCTGGTCTCGAACTCCTGAGCTTGTGATCCGCCCGCCTGATTTTTTTTTTTTTTTAGAGCACTGTAAGCTCCGCCTCCCTGGTCATGCCATTCTCCTGCCTCAGCCTCCCGGTAGCAGTGACTACAGGCGCCTGCCACCACCCCCGGCTAATTTTTTGTATTTTTAGTAGAGACAGGGTTTCACCATGTTGACCAGGCTGGTCTCGAACTCCTGACCTCGTGATCCGCCCGCCGGATTTTTATTACCGTATTTATTCAAATCCCGGAACCTTAAGCCACGCAATTTCTTTTTGGGGACTCGACTGCCACCTGCTGGCCATGCCTATGTTTGCAGGCGTGCGGTGCCGGGAGAATGAGGCTTGGAGTCCTCATTTGTAGGGTGTGTAGTTTCTTGGGGTGGACAGAACAAACCGAGGGCCTTAAAACAACTGGAATGTATCCTCTCTGAGGCCTGCAGACCAGGAGTCTTGAGATCCAGGTGTCTCAGGACTGTGCTCCCTCTGGAGGCTCTAGGGGAGGGTCCTTCCTGCCTCTCCCAGCTCCTGGGGGCTCCAGGCGTCCCTGGGTTTGTGGCCGCCTCACTGCAGTCTCTGTCACCATCTCCACGTGGCCTCCTCTGTGTCTGTGTCTCCTCTTTGTCTCTTATGGGGTCACCCCTCATTGGATTTAGAGTCCAACTCCAATGCAAGGCGATTTCATTTTGAGATCCTTCCCTTAAACACATCTGCAAAGACCCTATTTCCAAATGAGGTCCTATTCACGGATTCTAAGGTTTAGGACCTGGACATGTCTTTGGGGGATCCCCATTCAACCCACTGCAGTTTGGTTTGGTTCCTTTTAGAAGCTCTAGGGGAGGATCCTTCCTGCCTCTTCGAGCTCCTGGGGGCTCCAGGCGTCCCTGGGACTGTGGCCACCTCACTGCAGTCTCTGCCTCCGTCTCCACGTGGCCTCCTCCCCTGTCTGTGTCTCCTCTTCTGTCTCTTTTTTTTTTTTTTTTTTTTTTGAGATGGAGTCTCACTCTGTCGCCAGGCTGGAGTGCAGTGGCTCGATCTTGACTCACTGCAACCTCCGCCTGCCGGGTTCAAGCGATTCTCCTGCCTCAGCCTCTGGAATAGCTGGAATTACAGGCGCCTGCCACCACGCCCAGCTAATTTTTGTATTTTTAGTAGAGACAGGGTTTCACCATGTTGGCCAGGCTGGTCTCGATCTCCTGGCCTCAGGTGATCCGCCTGCCTCGGGCTCCCAAAGTGCTGGGATTACAAGCGTGAGCCACCGCGCCCGGCCCCTTCTGTCTCTTAGACCTACACTCATGGGATTTATGACTCACCTTAATCAAAAATGATGTCATCTCAATTTACATTTTAATTACATTTCCAAATAAGGTCCCAATATTCACAGAGACTGGAAGTTGGGAACTCAACGTACATTTCACCCCTTAACAAATTATCCTGCTGCATCTCCCATCTTCTGCTTCTTCTGCTCGTCGTCGGCCACGGAAAGGCTGCCCTGGAGCTTTCAAGTTTGCCTGGCTGGAGAGCTCATTAATAACCCGTTTATAGGCTGGGCGCAGTGGCTCACGCCTGTCATCCTAGCACTTTGGGAGGCCAAGGCAGGTGGATCACCTGAGGCCAGGAGTTCGAGACCAGCCTGGCCAACATGGTGAAACCCTGTCTCTACTAAAAATACAAAAAAAAAAAAAAAAAAAAAAAAAATTAGCAGGGCATGGTGGTGGGCGCCTGTAGTCCCAGCTACTCGGGAGGCTGAGGCAGGAGAATCACTTGAACCCGGGAGGTGGAGCTTGCAGTGAGCCGAGATGGTGCCATTGCACTCCAGCCTGGGGGACAGAGCCAGACTCTGTCTCAAAAAATAAAAAATAATAAAAAATAACCCGTTTATAGGCCGGGCGCGGTGGCTCACGCCTGTCATCCCAGCACTTTGGGAGGCCGAGGCGGGTGGATCACCTGAGGCCAGGAGTTCGAGACCAGCCTGGCCAACATGGTGAAACCCCGTCTCTACTTAAAAGACAAAAGTTAGCCGTGTGTAGTGGCAGCTGCCTGTAATCCCAGCTACTCGGGAGGCTGAGGCAGGAGAATCGCTCGAACCCGGGAGGCGGAGGTTGCAGTGAGCGGAGATCATGCCATTGCACTCCAGCCTGGGTGACACAGCGAGATTCGGTCTCAAAAAAAAGAAAAAAGGAATTACAGGCATGAGCCACGTTGCCCGGCCATAGATGGGTTTAAAGCGTCTCTGCAGAGTTCATTAAACTGCAGGCCCCCAGGCCCCCTGAGCCCACCCAGCCCTTGCTCAGGGACACGCCTTTAATTTGGAAGTTTTGGACACTAGGGGTCAGAAGCATCCTCTGCAAATTCAGCTTTGGCTGGCTCAGCCCCCCCCAGCAGCTGTCGGCGATGAAAGGGCCGCAGGAGGGGCTGGAAAAGCCTCTCTGTATCCCGCAGCACTTGGAGACCCAGTGTCCCCCGGGGCTGGAGTCAAGCTGTCTCGCCAGCCTCAAAGGTGACCAGAGGCTTGTGTTAATCCCACACCTGGGACGCAGTGAGCTGTGGAAGGAATTTAGGATGAGGATACCTGGGATGTCTGGGGCTCTCCCTTCCCTTCCCTTCCCTTCCCTTCCCTTCCCTCCCCTTCCCTCCCCTCCCCTCCCCTCCCCTCCCCTCCCCTCCCCTCCCTCTCTTTCCCTCCCTCCTTCCTTCCTTTCTCTTTCTTTTTCTTTCTCCTTCCTTCCTTTCTTCTTCTTTCCTTTCTCTTTCTCTTTCTTTCTTTCCTTCCTTCTCCTTCCTTCCCTTCCCTTTCCTTCCTTCCTCCCTTTTCTTTCTTTCTCTTTCTTTCCTTCCTTCTTCCTTCCCTTCACATTCCTTCCTTCCTCTCTTTCCCTCCCTCCCTGCTTCCTTCCTTTCTTTTCTTTCTTTCATTCTTTTTTCTCTGTTTCTTTCTCCTTCTTTCCTTCATTTCTTTCTCTCTTTCTCTTTCTTTCTTTCTCTCTTTCTGTCTTTCTTTCTCTTCCTCCTTCTTTTCTTTGGAGCCTTGCTCTCTCACTCAGGCTGTACTGCAATGGCACAATCTCGGCTCACTGCAACCTCCGCCTCCCGGGTTCACGCCATTCTCCTGCATCAGCCTCCTGGGTAGCTGGGATTACAGGCACCCGCCACCACGCCTGGCTAATTTTTTGTGTTTTCGGTAGAGACGGGGTTTCACCAAGTTGGCCAGGCTGGTCTCGAACTCCTGACCACGTGATCCGCCTGCCTCAGCCTCCCAAAGTGCTGGGATTACAGGCGTGAGCTACCGCGCCCAGCTAGGAAGGTCTCTTTCTGGGAACTACCTCCCTGTTGAGCCAAGCCCAGGAGAGCCTTTGTGTTTTACGTGCTGGACCTTTAGCCAAAGCCCATTAGAAAGAGGCTGGGAGCTTGTTACCACGTGAGGGTTTCAGAAATTCATTCTGAACTGACAACTTGCACAGGTATCCCCTGGCCCCCTCAGACAGTACCCCTTCCTGACTGGATACCCCCGGCGGTATTTGAACCAGCTGTGAAAATCTAGGTAGCTTGCTTTTTTTTTTTTTTTTTTAATGGAGTTTTCACTCTTGTTGCCCAGGCTGGAGTGCAGCGGCGTGATCTCAGCTCACTGCAACCTCCGCCTCCCGGGTTCAAGCGATTCTCCTGCCTCAGCCTCCCAAGTAGCTGAGATTACAGGTGCCCACCACCACATCTGGCTGATTTTTGTATTTTTAGTAGAGACGGGGTTTCACCATGTTGGCCAGGCTGGTCTCAAACTCCTGACCTTTGGTGATCCACCCGCCTCAGCCTCCCAAAGTGCTGGGATGACAGGCGTGAGCTGCTTGTGAGTTGCTTGTTGTTTCTATTTCCTGGTGTTTGCAGAACCGGCTCTGCCTGAAAACTCTCAGCGTCCTTATCTCCTGGAGTTATCTTGTATGTTGGTGCCTTGGAAACCCCCTTCCCACCTCCAGCACTTGGCTTGAAAAATCTTCACAAGAAAAGAGAAATCAGATGCCTTCAAGAAGGCCAGGACGCTCTCTGGTTTGCTAAGTTTTGACAAAACATCCTGGGCTGGGAGACCCGCAAACCGGGGTGTAACTCCCACATGCTGGGTCCTTCCTGGGCGGGGAGGGTGGGGGGACCTTCCTGGGTTGGGGAGCCTCCCAGTACCTTTGCCAGCCAGCCCCCCTGCTCTTTCCTCCTGTGGGGTTCGGCCCTAGGCCTCAGGGCATATTCTCACACCCCGAAAGCAAGCACTGAGTGGGAAGCCACAGGTGGGATGACTCAGCTGGGAAGAGGAGGGTTGCTGTGTGTTTTTGTTTTTTTTTAAATTTTTTTCAGATGGAGTTTCACTCTTGTTGCCCAGGCTGGAATGCACTGATGCGATCTCGGCTCACTGCAACCTCCGCCTCCCGGGTTCAAGCGATTCTCCTGCCTCAGCTTCCCGAGTAGCTGGTATTACAGGCGCCTGCCACCATGCCTGGCTAATTTTTGTATTTTTAGGAGTGACAGGGTTTCACCATGTTAGTCAGGCTGGTCTCGAACTCTGACCTCAAGTGATTCACCTGCCTCGGCCTCCCAAACTGCTGGGATTACAGGCGTGAGCCGCCGCGCCTGGCCCTTTTTATTTTACTTATTTTTATTTTTTGTATTGTTTTGAGGCGGACTTTTGCTCTTGTTGTCCAGGCTGGAGTGCAGTGGTGCGATCTCAGCTCACTGCAACCTCTGCGTCCTAGGTTCAGGTGATTCTCCTGCCTCAGCCTCCCGAGTAGCTGGGATTACAGGTGACCGCCAAAAACCCTGGCTAATTTTTGTATTTTTAGGAGTGACGGGGGTTTCACCATGTTAGTCAGGCTGGTCTCGAACTCTGATCTCAAGTGATTCACCTGCCTTGGCCTCCCAAACTGCTGGGATTACAGGCGTGAGCCACCGCGCCTGGCCCTTTTTATTTATTTACTTATTTTTATTTTTTTTATTTTTTTGAGGCGGACTTTCGCTCTTGTTGCCCAGGCTGGAATGCACTGGTGCGATCTCGGCTCACTGCAACCTCCGCCTCCCGGGTTCAAGAGATTCTCCTGCTTCAGCCTCCCGAGTAGCTGGTATTACAGGCGCCTGCCACCATGCCTGGCGAATTTTTGTATTTTTAGGAGTGACGGGGTTTCACCATTTAGTCAGGCTGATCTCAAACTCCTGACCTCAAGTGATTCACCTGCCTTGGCCTCCCAAAGTGCTGGGATTACAGGTGTGAGCCACCGTGCCCAGCCCTATTCATTTATTTATTTATTTAATTTAATTAAATAATTTATTATTTATTTTGAGGCAGACTTTCGCTCTTGTTGCCCAGGCTGGAGTGCAGTGGCGTGATCTCAGCTCACTGCAACCTCTGCCTCCCGGGTTCAAGTGATTCTCCTGCCCCAGCCTCCCTAATAGCTGGGATGACAGGCATGCGTCACCACGCTTGGCTAATTTTATTTATTTATTATTATTTTTAAAATATATTTTTCTAAGACAGAGTGTTGCTCTGTCACCCAGGCTGGAGTGCAGGAGTGCAATGGCGTGATCTGGGCTCACTGCAACCTCTGTCTCCTGGGTTCAAGCGATTCTCCTGCCTCAGCCTCCCGAGTAGCTGGGATGACAGGTGCCCGCCACCACGCCTGGCTAATTTTTGTATTTTTAGTAGAGACGGGGTTTCACCGTGTTAGCCAGGCTGGTCTCAAACTCCTGACCTCAAGTGATCCGCCTGTCTTGGCCTCCCAAACTGTCGGGATTACGGGCATGAGACACCGCGCCCGGCCCACAGTTCCAGGAAAAAATGCAGGAGAGAAAATGTGATGAGGTTACTGCATTTCTGATCGTCACCCCATGGATGGTCTTCACCCCAAATCTCCATCCCTCAGAGAGAGACCCCCACTCACCCCAAATCTCCATCCCTCAGAGAGAGACCAACACTCACCCCAAATCTCCATCCCTCAGAGAGACCCCCATTCACCCCAAATCTCTATCCCTCAGGGACCCCCCCACTTACCCCAAATCTCCATCCCTCAGAGAGAGACCCCACTCACCCCAAATCTCTATCCCTCACAGAGACCCCCGCTCACCCCAAATCTCCATCCCTCAGAGAGAGACCCCACTCACCCCAAATCTCTATCCCTCACAGAGACCCCCGCTCACCCCAAATCTCCATCCCTCAGAGAGACCCCCATTCACCCCAAATCTCTATCCCTCAGGGACCCCCCCACTTACCCCAAATCTCCATCCCTCAGAGAGATCCACACTCACCCCAAATCTCCATCCCTCAGAGAGAGACCCCACTCACCCCAAATCTCTATCGCTCACAGAGACCCCTGCTCACCCCAAATCTCCATCCCTCAGAGAGAGACCCCCCACTCACCCCAAATCACCCCTCCTGCAGAGGCCTTCACTCACCCCAAATCTCCACCATGCTCCAGAGACCCCACTCAGCCGGCGAACTCCGCGAGGCTGGGGCCGTGATCCTCTGGGATGGGGCCGTGGCCGACTGTTCAGTGGTCCTAGGCAATTCAGGGATCTTTATGGATGTCTTGTCTTGTCTTTTCTTTTTCTTTTCTTTTTTTTTTGAGATGGAGTCTCGCTTTGTCACCAGGCTGGAGTGCAGTGGTGTAATCTTGGCTCACTGTAACCTCCACCTTCCAGGTTCAAGCGATTCTTCTGCCTCAGCCTCCCGAGTAGCTGGGATTACAGGCACATGCCAGCACGCCCGGCTGATTTTTGTATTTTTAGTAGAGATGGGGTTTCACTGTGTTGGTCAGGCTGGTCTCGAACTCCTGACCTCAGGTGATCCACCCGCCTCGGCCTCCCAACGTGCTGGGATGACAGGCGTGAGCCACTTCTCCCGGCCTAATTTTTGTATTTTTAATAGAGACAGGTTTTTGCCATGTTGTCCAGCTGGTCTCAAACTCCTGACCTCAGGCTGAGGTGATCCACCCGCCTCAGCCTCCTAGAGTGCTGGGATTACAGGTGTGAGCCACTGTGCCCGGCCTAATTTTTGTATTTTTAATAGACACAGGTTTTTGCCATGTTGGTCAGGCTGGTCTCAAACTCCTGACCTTAGGTGATCCACCCGCCTCGGCCTCCCAAAGTGCTGGGATCACAGGTGTGACTCACCGCGCCTGGCCAGAGTTTGGCTCTTTTTTTTCTTGACAACACCCAGCACCAGAGGACGGGTCTGGAGGCTTCCCTGTCGTATCCGTGCGTCAGCGCCGTGGGTGGGTGGGAATATTCCTAGAAGATACTGCTATCATCATGGGAGGCCAGACCGCAGTGAGCCAGGCCTGGCCGTGACGTTGGAACCCACGGGCAGATCCCTCAAAGACCACATGCAAATCAACTGCAGGTCAACTTCCCTGTCTCAGCTCCCCAGAACCCCACCTCTGCCCCGGGGCCGCCCGGCATACGGGGAACTTAGGCAGAGGGGAAGTGGGAGTGGAGAGAAACCGCAGCTAAATGGAGCCGAAATGTCTCATTTTGGCAAATTTTCCAAAGCCCGGGATCCTCTGAAGTTACGCCCTTCCCAGACCGCAAGACGAGCCGGCCTCCTGGTTAATTCACCTGTCTCTTACTTTTGTGTTTTTTTAATTTTTTTTAATTAATTTATGTTTATTTTTATTTTTTGAGACAGAGTCTCACTCTGTCGCCCAGGCTGGAGTGCAGTGGTGCGATCTCAGCTCACTGCAACCTCCGCCTCCCGGGTTTAGCCATTCTCTTGCCTCAGCCTCCCGAGTAGCTGGGACTACAGGTGCCCGCCACCACGCCCGGCTAATTTTTTGTATTTTTAGTAGAGACGGGGTTTCACTATGTTGGCCAGGCTGGTCTCGAACTCCTGACTTCGTGATCCACCCTCCTCGGCCTCCCAAAGTGCTGGGATGACAGGCGTGAGCCACTGCGCCCGACCGAATATTTTTTTTTTATGTTTGAGGATGAGTGGGTTTTTCATTGCAATGACAGGTCTCAGTACATTTATTTTATTTATTTATTTATTCATTTATTTTAATTTTGTTTTGAGACAGAGCTCTCTGTTGCCCAGGCTGCAGTACAACGGTGTGATCTCGGCTCACTGCAACCTCTGCCTCCGGGGTTCAAGCGATTGTCCTGTCTCAGCCTCCCGAGTAGCTGGGATTACAGGCGTGCACCACCACGCCCAGTTCATTTTGTATTTTTAGTAGAGACGGGGTTTCACCAGGTTGATCCGGCTGGTCTCCAACTCCCGACCTCAGGGGATCAGCCCACCTTGGCCTCCCTAAGTGCTGGGATTACAGGCATGAGCCACCGTGCCCGGCCTTTATTTTATTTATTATTTTATTTTTTGGAGACAGAGTCTCGCTCTGTCGCCCAGGCTGGAGTGCAATGACGTGATCTCGGCTCACTGCAACTTCCACCTCCCTGGTTCAAGCGATTCTCCTGCCTCAGCCTCCCGAGTAGCTGGGATGACAGGCGCCCACCACTACGCCCAGCTAATTTTTGTATTTTTAGTAGAGACGGGGTTTCTCCAGGTTGGTCAGGCTGGTCTCTAACTCCCAACCTCAGGTGATCCACCCGCCTCGGCCTCACTAAATGCTGGGATGACAGGCATGAGCCACCGCACCCGGCCTGTTTTATTTTATTTTTTGAGATGGAGTTTCAGTCTTGTCATCCAGGCTGGAGTGCAGTGGTGTGATCTCGGCTCACTGCAACCTCCATCTCCTGGGTTCAAGTGATTCTCCTGTCTCAGCCTCCCAAGCAGCTGGGATTACAGGCACCTGCCACCACGCCTGGTTAATTTTTTTTATTGTTTTCTTTTGAGGCAGAGTCTAACTCTGTTACCCAGGCTGGAGTGCAGTGGTATGATCTTGGCTCACTGCAACCTCTGCCTCCGGGTTCAAGAGATTCTCCTGTCTCAGCCTCCTGGATAGCTGGGATTACAGGCACCCGCCACCACACCCGGCTAATTTTTGTATTTTTAGTAGAGATGGGGTTTCACCATGTTGACCAGGCTGGTCTTGAACTCCTGACCTCAGGTGATCCGCCCACCTTGGCCTCCCAAATTGCTGGGATTACAGGCGTGAGCCCCCATGCCCGGCCGCAGGTCTCAGTTAATTTAGAAAGTTTATTTTGCCAAGGTTGAGGACGTGAAGATTCGTCCCTGTGACGCAGCCTCAGAAGGTCCTGATGACAGATGCCGAGGGTGGTCCGGGCGCAGCTTGGTTTCATACATTTTAGGGAGATGTGAAACATCCATCAGTGTGGGTAAGATGAACATTGCTTCAGTGTAGAAAGGCGGGGGATAAGGCCGGGAGTGGTGGCTCACGTGTGTAATCCCACCACCCACCACCAAGCCTGGCTAATTTTTGTATTTTTATTTATTTTTATTTATTTATTAATTTTTGTATTTTTTGTATTTATTTTTTTTGTATTATTTATTTAATTTTTGTATTTTTATTTATTTTGTATTTTATTTTATTTGTATTTTATTTTATTTATTTTGTATTTTTATTTATTTTGTTTTTTATTTTTTCAATAGAAACTGTGCTACTTTATTAAAATACTGAGTTTTATTTCACATGTATGTTTTTGTCTCCCCACCATTTCCACGTCTGACCACTGCTACGACTATGTACTATCGTAAGATTCCGTACGTACTTAACACCAAGCAAAGGTGGCCGGGCGCGGTGGCTCACGCCTGTCATCCCAGCACTTTGGGAGGCCGAGGCGGGTGGATCACGAGGTCAGGAGATCGAGACCAGCCTGGCCAACATGCTGAAACCCCGTCTCTACTAAAAATACAAAAATTAGCCGGCCGTGGTGGCGGGCGCCTGTAGTCCCAGCTACTCAGGAGGCTGAGGCAGGAGAATGGCGTGAACCCGGGAGGCGGAGGTTGCAGTGAGCTGAGATCACGCCACTACACTCCAGCCTGGGCGACAGAACGAGAGTCCGTCAAAAAGAAGAAGAAGAAAAAGCAAAGAGTGGAGTTCCATCTTTAAAAACTAAACAGGCATCTTGGACAACACATTCTTGGCAACGGAACCAGGACATTTCTCAAACATGGTAGGGAAAGTTCTTACTCTGCATTGTAAAAAGGACAGCCAGATATCAACTGCTACAGAAATGAAATAAGATGGAAAATTTTTAACAAATTGTTTAACCTATTTTCTTTTTTTTTTTGTTTGTTTTTTGTTTTTTGTTTTTTGTTAATTTTTTTTTTATTGATAATTCTTGGGTGTTTCTCACAGAGGGGGATTTGGCAGGGTCATGGGACAATAGTGGAGGGAAGGTCAGCAGATAAACAAGTGAACAAAGGTCTCTGGTTTTCCTAGGCAGAGGACCCTGCGGCCTTCCGCAGTGTTTGTGTCCCTGGGTACTTGAGATTAGGGATTGGTGATGACTCTTAACGAGCATGCTGCCTTCAAGCATCTGTTTAACAAAGCACATCTTGCACCACCCTCAATCCATTCAACCCTGAGTGGACACAGCACATGTTTCAGAGAGCACAGGGTTGGGGGGTAAGGTCACAGATCAACAGGATCCCAAGGCAGAAGAATTTTTCTTAGTGCAGAACAAAATGAAAAGTCTCCCATGTCTACCTCTTTCTACACAGACACGACAACCATCTGATTTCTCAATCTTTTCCCCCTTTCCCCCCTTTCTATTCCACAAAACCGCCATCGTCATCATGGCCCGTTCTCAATGAGCTGTTGGGCACACCTCCCAGACGGGCCCAGAGGGCAGAGGGGCTCACTTCCCAGTAGGGGCGGCCGGGCAGAGGCGCCCCTCACCTCCCGGACGGGGCGGCTGGCCGGGCAGAGGGGCGCCTCACTTCCCAGTAGGGGCGGCCGGGCAGAGGCGCCCCTCACTTCCCGGACGGGGCGGCTGGCCGGGCGGGGGACTGACCCCCCCCACCTCCCTCCCGGACAGGGCGGCTGGCCGGGCAGAGGGGCTCCTCACTTCCCAGTAGGGGCGGCCGGGCAGAGGCGCCCCTCACTTCCCGGACGGGGCGGCTGGCCGGGCGGGGGACTGACCCCCCCCACCTCCCTCCCGGACGGGGCGGCTGGCCGGGCAGAGGGGCTCCTCACTTCCCAGTAGGGGCGGCCGGGCAGAGGCGCCCCTCACCTCCCGGACGGGGCGGCTGGCCGGGCGGGGGGCTGACCCCCCCACCTCCCTCCCGGACGGGGCGGCTGGCCGGGGAGGGGGCTGTCCCCCCCACCTCCCTCCCCGACGGGGCGGCTGGCCGGGCAGGGGGCTGTCCCCCCCACCTCCCTCCCCGACGGGGCGGCTGGCCGGGCGGGGGCTGACCCCCCCCCACCTCCCTCCCGGACGGGGCGGCTGGCCGGGCGGGGGGCTGACCCCCCCACCTCCCTCCCGGACGGGGCGACTGGCCGGGCGGGGGCTGACCCCCCCACCTCCCTCCCGGACGGGGCGACTGGCCGGGCGGGGGCTGACCCCCCCCCACCTCCCTCCCCGACGGGGCGGCTGGCCGGGCAGGGGGCTGACCCCCCCACCTCCCTCCCGGACGGGGCGACTGGCCGGGCGGGGGCTGACCCCCCCACCTCCCTCCCGGACGGGGTGGCTGGCCGGGCGGGGGGCTGACCCCCCACCTCCCTCCCGGACGGGGTGGCTGCCGGGCGGAGACGCTCCTCACTTCCCAGATGGGGTGGCTGCCGGGCGGAGAGGCTCCTCACTTCTCAGATGGGGTGGTTGCCAGGCAGAGGGTCTCCTCACTTCTCAGACGGGGCGGCCGGGCAGAGACGCTCCTCACATCCCAGACGGGGTCTCGGCCGGGCAGAGGCGCTCCTCTCATCCCAGATGGGGCGGCGGGGCAGAGGCGCTCCCCACATCTCAGACGATGGGCGGCCGGGCAGAGACGCTCCTCACTTCCTAGATGTGATGGCGGCCGGGAAGAGGCGCTCCTCACTTCCTAGATGGGATGGCAGCCGGGCGGAGACGCTCCTCACTTTCCAGACTGGGCAGCCAGGCAGAGGGGCTCCTCACATCCCAGACGATGGGCGGCCAGGCAGAGACACTCCTCACTTCCCAGATGGGGTGGCAGCCGGGCAGAGGCTGCAATCTCAGCACTTTGGGAGGCCAAGGCAGGCGGCTGGGAGGTGGAGGTTGTAGCGAGCCGAGATCATGCCACTGCACTCCAGCCTGGGCACCATTGAGCACTGAGTGAACGAGACTCCCAAGCTATTTTCTTAAAGGAAAAATATGGCCGGGCGGGGTGGCTCACACCTGTAATCCCAGCACTTTGGGAGGCCGAGGCAGACGGATCACTTGAGGTCAGGAGTTCGACACCAGCCTGGCCAGCATGGTGAAACCCCATCTCTTCTAAAAATACAAAAATTAGCCAGGTGTGGTGGCGGGGGCCTATCATTCCAGCTACTAGGGAGGCTGGGGCAGGAGAATCACTTGAACCCGGGAGGTGGAGGTTGCGGTGATCCGAGATCATGCCACTGCACTCCAGCCTGGGCGACAGAACGAAACTCTGTCCCAGAAAAAAAATAAAAAAAAAGATAAAAGATTGTGAATTCAGATCAAGGTTCTTTTGAAATCCTAAGGTGGCTGCCCTTAGAGACAATAGATGACAAATGTTTCCTATTCAGACCTTTATTATTTATATATTTATTTACTTATTTTTTAAATTTTTTTGAGATGGAGTCTCGCTCTGTGGCCCAGGCCGGAGTGCAGTGGCACGATCTCTGCTCATTGTAACCTCCGCCTCCCGGATTCACACCATTCTCCTGCCTCGGCCTCCTGAGTAGCTGGGACTGCAGGCACCCTCCACGCCCGGCTAATTTTTTGTATTTTTAGTAGAGATGAGGTTTCACCCTGTTAGCCAGGATGGTCTCGATCTCCTGACCTCATGATCCGCCCGCCTCGACCTCCCAAAGTGCTGGGATGACAGGCGTGAGCCACCGCGCCCGGCCCTATTCAGACCTTTAAAAGCTGCTAGACTCTCCGCTAATGTCTTCAGGATTGGGAGGGCCTGGAAGAAAAAGATCTAACTACGTCAAAAGAGATTCTTTACAGATGCCAGTTTCCCCCCACAAAGGACAGCTCTGCGGGGCCATTTCCAAATATAGCAAAGGAACATGTTTGGGGGCAAAATATTTTGCCTTGCTTCTTTGTCACATAATGTGATACCACAGCCCGACCGTAAAGTAAGTCATGATATATAGCGATAAATAAAACCCACTGAATGAAAACTTATGATTTGTAAGGCGTGACTCCTGATTACACAGGAACTTGGGCAAGATAAAGAATCAGATCTTAGTCCTCGGTGTCAATGTACCACCTTCTTCTTTTCTGTTTTTTTTTTTTTTTTTTTCTTTTTGACAGTATCTCACTCTTTCGCCCAGGCTGGAGTGCAGTGGTGCGATCTCGGCTCAGTGCAACCTCCACCTCCCGGGTTCAAGAGATTCTCCTGTCTCAGCCTCCCGAGTAGGTGGGACTACAGGTGCGTGCCACCATTCCCAGCCTAATGTACCACATTTTCTTTTTTTCTTTCCTTTTTTTTTTTTTTTTGGCGCTCTGTCCCCCAGGCTGGACTGCGGTGGCGCGATCTGGGCTCACCGCAAGCTCCGCCTCCCGGGTTCACACCATTCTCCTGCCTCAGCCTCCCGAGTAGCTGGGACGACAGGCGTCCGCCACCACGCCGGGCTGATTTTTTGTATTTTTAGTAGAGACGGGGTTTCACCGTGTTAGCCAGGCTGGTCTCCTGTTACCCAGGATGGTCTCGATCTCCTGACCTGGTGATCCACCCATCTCGTCCTCCCAAAATGCTGGGATTACAGGTGTGAGCCACTGCACCCGGCCTCTAATGTACCGCATTTTCTTTATCCAATGGTGGTTGCATCTTTTCCTTCCTTCCTTCCTTCCTTCTTTCCTTCCTTCCTTCCCTCCCTCCCTCCCTTCCTTCTTTTTTTTTTCTGACGGAGTTTTGCTCTTTCACCGAGGATGGAGTGCAATGGTGCAATCCCGGCTCACTGCAACCTCTGCCTCCTGGGTTCAAGTGATTCTCCTGCCTCAGCCTCCTGAGTAGCTGGGAATACAGGCACCCACCACCACGCCCGGCTAATTTTTGTATTTTTAGCGGACACGGGGTTTCACTATGTTGGCCAGGCTGGTCTCGATCTCCTGGCCTCGTGATCAGCCCGCCTCGGCCTCCCAAAGTGCTGGGATTACACGCATGAGCCTTGGCGTCTAGCGTAGTTTATCAATAATGTTATACTATCCCTTCCCTTCTCATTCACCATGCCCCTTGCAAACCCCCTCCCGTGCTAACAATAGAGAACCACGTTTTGCTGTAATTTTCCATTACCTACCCAACTCCTATAAAGCCACAACTTCCCCATCTCCCTTCGCTGACCGTCTCTTCGGACTCAGCCTACTTGCACCCGAGTGAACAAACAGCTTTATTTTGCTCACACAAAGCACCTGGCCAGTGGTTGCCTCTTATCTTGGACATTTCACCTCGCTGGTGTTTAGATCACACGTTTGTAATGCAGGCACGGATCGGCCGGGCGCAGTGACTCACGCCTGTAATCCCAGGACTTTGGGAGGCCGAGGCGGGCGGATCACGAGGTCAGGAGTTTGAGACCAGCCTGGCCAACATGGTGAAACCCCGTCTCTACTAAAAATATAAAAAATTAGCTGGGTGTGTGGGTATGCACCTGTAATCCCAGCTACTCGGGAGGCTGAGGCAGGAGAGTTGCTTGAACCCGGGAGGTGGAGGTTGCAGTGAGCTGAGATCGCGCCCCTGCACTCCAGCCTGGGCGACAGAGCGAGAGTCCGTCCCGAAAAAAAGAAAATACAGTCACAGATTCAGGTCTCCCTGACAAGTCTGTAGTAGGGAGCGAATAAAGCCATACATCTCAAGATGCAAGCCCAGCGCTGAGCCACACGCAATGTTCTGAGCCCCTTGATCTCTGCAACCGTTGATTTTTATCACAAAGCAGAAGGAACTGCAAGAAACGGTTTGCAATTCAGATCAGAGAGACTTTCGCAGACCTGCCACACAGAAGGAGGCCTTCTCTTTCATTCTATCTCATTAGGAAATGTATTTATTCATTCTAATTCATACATAAAAATTTGAAGTCCTAAAATTTGAGACAGGTCTCATTTAACTTCGAAAGCTTCTTTTGCCAAGGCTGAGGATGTGTTTCCGTGACACAGCCTCATGAGGTCCTGATGACACGTGCCCATGCTTCGGGTACAGCTTGTTTTGGTTTTTTGGTTTTTTTTTTGTTTGTTTGTTTTGTTTTTTTTTGAGATGGAGTCTCACCCTGTTACCCAGGCTGGAACACAGTGACATGATCTCAGCTCACTGCAACCTCCACCTCCCGGGTTCAAGCAATTCTCCTGCCTCAGCCTCCCAAGGAGCTGAGACTACAGGCACCTGCCACAACACCCCAGCTAATTTTTGTATTTTTAGTAGAGACGGGATTTCGCCATGTTGGCCAGGCTGGTCTCCAACTCCTGACCTCAGGTGATCCGCCCGCCTCGGCCTCCCAAAGTGCTGGGATTACAGGTGAGAGGCACCCACGCCCGGCTGATTTTTTTTTTTTTTTTTTTGAGACGGAGTCTCACCGTGTTGCCCAGGCTGGAGTGCAGTGACACGATCTCAGCTCACTGCAACCTCCGCCTCCCGGGTTCAAGCGATTCTCCTGCCTCAGCCTCCCGAGTAGCTGGGACCACAGGCGCACATCACCATGCCCGGCTAATTTTTTGTATTTTCGTAGAGACGGGGATTCACCGTGTTAGCCAGGATGGTCTTGAACTCCTGACATCACGCAGTCCACCCGCCTTGGGCTCCCAAAGTGCTGGGATTACAGGCTGGAGCCACTGCACTTGGCCATTTTTTTTTTTTTTTTTTCCTGAGACAGAGTCTCACCCTGTTGCCCAGGCTAGAGTGCAGTGACATGATCTCGGCTCACTGCAACCTCTGCCTCCTGGGTTCAAGCGATTCTCCTGCCTCAGCCTCTTGAGTAGCTGGGATTACAGGCATGCACCACCACGCCTGGCTAATTTTTGTATTATTAGTAGAGATAGGGTCTCACTATGTTGGCCAGGCTGGTCTCGAACTCCTGACCTCAGGTGATCCACCCACCTCGGCCTCCCGAAGTGCTGGGATTACAGGCATGAGCCATCAGGCCCGGCCTTACAGCTTGGTTTTATACTTTTTTCTTTTTTGAGATGTTGTCT
Organism: Homo sapiens; assembly: GCF_000001405.40. NCBI lineage: Eukaryota > Metazoa > Chordata > Mammalia > Primates > Hominidae > Homo > Homo sapiens. The sequence goes on along the minus strand of NC_000024.10, from coordinate 1,231,025 downwards.
CTCTCTGTCGCCCAGGCTGGAGTGCAGTGGCGTGATCTCCGCTCACTGCAACCTCCGCCTCCAGGGTTCAAGCGATTCTCCTGCCTCAGCCTCCCGAGTAGCTGGGACTACAGGCGCCCGCCACCACTTTTGGCTAGTTTTTGTATTTTTAGTAGACACTAGGTTCACACTGTTGACCAGGCTGTTCTCAAACTCTTGACCTCAGGTGATCTGCCTGGCTCAACCTTCCAAAGCGCTGGGATGACAGGCGTGGGCCACTGCGCCCAGTTCATTGTATGCATTTTTTTTTTTTTTTTGAGACGGAGTCTCACTCTGTCACCCAGGCTGGAGTGCAGTGCCGCGGTCTCGGCTCACTGCGACCTCCGCCTTCTGGGTTCAGGCGATTCTCCTGCCTCAGCCTCCCGAGTAGCTGGGATTACAGGCACCTGCCACTACATTTGGCTAATTTTTTTTTTTTTTTTTGTATTTTTAGTAGAGACAGGGTTTCACCATGTTGGCCAGGCTGGTCTTGAACTCCTAACCTTAGGTGACCCACCCGCCTCGGCCTCCCAAAGTGCTGGGATGACAGGCGTGAGCCTCCGCGCCCGGCCTTTGTTTTATGCATTTTAAGGAGACATGAGATGTGAATTAATATATGTAAGAAGTACACTGGTTCTGTGCAGAAAGGCAGGGATGACTTAAAGCAAGCAGGGGGCTCCCAGGTCCGAGGTAGGTGAGAGACCGATGGCTGTATTCCTCTGAGTTTCTGATAAGCCTCTCGAAAGCAGGCAATCAGAATATGCATCTATCTCCATGACCACAGGGTTGACTTTTTATAGAAACGGAGGCAGATTTGCCCTGAGCACCTCCTAGCTTGAATTTTCTCTTTAGCTTAGTGATTTTGGCCAGGCTGGTCTCCAACTCCTGACCTCAGGTGATCCACCTGCCTCGGCCTCCCAAAGTCCTGGGATCACAGGCGTGAGCCGCCACGCCCGGCCCCTGCTCAGTTTTTCTTTAAACCTGAACTTCTCTACAAACAAAAAGACAAACAAACAAAAAACCATTGAATGAAAAAAGAAAGTCAGTCTGAGATGGCTACAGACTATGGCTGCAACTATAAGACATTCTAGAAAAGGCAAAACTGTCCGGGCACGGTGGCTCACGCCTGTCATCCCAACACTTTGGGAGGCCGAGGTGGGTGGATCACCTGAAGTCGGGAGTTCAAGACCAGCCTGGCCGACATGGGGAAACCTCGTCTCTACAGAAAACACAAAATCAGCCGGGCTTGGTGGCGGGCACCTGTCATCTCAGCTACTCGGGAGGCTGAGGCAGGAGAATCGCTTGAACCTGGGAGGCAAAGCTTGCAGTGAACCCAGATCACGCGACTGCACTCCAACGTGGGAGACAGAGTGAGACTCTGTGTCAAAAAAAAAAAAGAAAAGAAAAGAAAAGAAAAAGAAAGCAAACTTATGCAGACAGTAAGATGATCAGGGGTGGCCAGAGGTGTCAGGCAGGGAGGAATGAACAGGTAGAACTCAGGGGATTTTTAGAGCAGTGAAACTCCTCCATTTGATCGTATAATGGTCCATCCAACGTCACTATATGTTTGTCCAAACGCACAGAACTTACAACAGCAACAAAGAACTCTTTTTTTTTTGAGATGGAGGCTCGCTCTATCGCCCAGGCTGGAGTGCAGTGGCGCGATCTCAGCTCACTGCAAACTCCACCTCCCAGGTTCACGCCATTCTCCTGCCTCAGCCTCCCGAGTAGCTGAGACTACAGGCGCCCGCCACCACGCCCGGCTAATTATTTTTGTATTTTTAGTAGAGATGGGGTTTCACCATGTTAGCCAGGATGGTCTCAATCTCCTGACCTGGTGATATACCCGTCTCGGCCTCCCTAAGTGCTGGGATGACAGGCGTGAGCCACCGCGCCCGGCCAACAGCAACAAAGAACTCTAACATGGGCTGGGAGTGGTGGCTCACACCTGTCATCCCAGCACTGGGAGGCTGAGGCGGGCGGATCACCTGAGGTCAGGAGTTCGAGACCAGCCTGACCAACATGGTGAAACCCCGTCTCTAGTAAAAATACAAAAATTAGCCGGGCGTGGTGGAGGGTGCCTGTAGTCCCAGCTACTCGGGAGGCTGAGGCAGGAGAATGGCGTGAACCCAGGAGGCGGAGGTTGCAGTGAGCTGAGATCGCGCCACTGCACTCCAGCCTGGGCGACAGAGTGAGACTCTGTCTCAAAAAAAAGAACTCTAATGTGAACTGTTATTGACTATTCTGTTCATAATATATCAGTATTAGTTCATGGATTGTAACAAACACACCAAGCTGAGGCAGGGTGTTCACCATAGACGAAGCTGTGAGCTGGGGAGAGGATATATAAGAACTTTCTGTACTTTCTGCAAATTTTGCTCTAAACCTAAAAACACTCTAAAAATAGCCTGTATATTTTTTTAAGAAAACCACTTCTGTAGTTTCCCTTCATAGTCTTTGTAGTTGCCTTCGTGGATCTCCAGGATTTCTGGTCACGATGTTTACACATTACCTATAGGAGGTTTTCTTTGGAATAACTCCACACTTTTCCAAAAAAAAAAAAAAAAAAGGCAGTTGATGGTAAATCAAGGGTAGGAAAATGGTTGAACAGAGAGGTGAAGGACCATTTACTTAATTACATTATTATTATTATTTTATAACAATAAAGGAATAGGGCCGGGCGCAGTGGCTTATGCCTGTAATCCCAACACTTCGGGAGGCCGAGTTGGGTGGATCATCTGAGGTCGGGAATTCGAGACCAGCCTGGCCAACATGGTGAAACTCCATCCCTACCAAAAATAAAAAAAATTAGCCGGGCCTGGTGGTGCATGCCTGTAATCCCAGCTACTTGGGAGGCTGAGGGAGGAGGATCACTTGAACCCAGGAGGTGGAAGTTGCAGTGAGCCGAGATCATGCCATTGCACTCCAGCCTGGGCAATGGAGTGAGACTCCAATTCAAAAAAATAAATAAATAAAATAATAGTAATATCCATCCATCCATCAACCCACCCACTCACTCACCCATCTATCCATCCATCCACCCATTCATTCATTCATCCATCCATCCATCCATCCATCCATCCATCCATCCATCCATCATTATAATGTTTGTTAAGAGTTTTATGATTTTGTCTGGGAACGGATCTGAGCTTCTGGAAAAAAAATATAGATGTCAGAGGCCCCTTCAGTGGCCAGAGGATATCTCACCTATGGATGGCATGAGATGGGGGAGTGTTGGCAAGACACTCTTCTGTGGGTCCAAGAATTAAGCATTGTCTATAGACCAAATAAAGTAGGACACATATTCTCAGCTGGGAGGTGAGCAAGACTTGTGGACTCACCCATCCCATCTACACATTCACCCACTCATCCACCCATTCCTCAATCCATCCATCCGCCTACCCATCCACTCACCCATCCTCTCATGTATCCATCCATCCATCCATCCATCCATCCATCCATCCATCCATCCTTCCATCCATCCACTCATCCACCCATCCACCCATCCATCCTCTCATGTATCCATCCATCCATCCATCTATCCATCCACCTACCCATCCGCTCACCCATCCTCTCATGTATCCATCCATCCATCCATCTATCCATCCATCCATCCATCCACCCATTCCTCAGTCCATCCGTCCATCCATCCAATCCATCCATACCCCCATCCATCCACCAACTCATCTATTTATCTACCAACTAATCTATCCACCCATCCATCCATCTATCCATCCATCCATCCATTTACCCACCCACTCACCTATCTATTCATCTGTCCACCCACCCATCCACCCATTCCTCAATCCATCCATCCACCCATCCATCCACTCACCCATCCTCTCATGTATCCATCCATCCATCCACCCACCCATCCACTCACCCATCCTCTCATGTATCCATCCATCCATCCATCCATCCATCCATCCATCCATCCACCCATTCCTCAATCCATCCATCCATTCATGCCCCCATCCATCCACCAACCCATCTGTCTAATAGATAGATCATCCATCCTCTCATGTATCCATCCATCCATCCATCCATCCACCCACCCATCCACTCACCCATCCTCTCATATATCCATCCATCCATCCATCCATCCATCCATCCATCCATCCATCCATTCATGCCCCCATCCATCCACCAACCCATCTGTCTAATAGATAGATCATCCATCCTCTCATGTATCCATCCATCCATCCATCCATCCATCCATCCACCAACCCATCTATTTATCCACTGACTCTTCTATCCACCCATCCATCCATCTATCCATCCATCCATCCACCCACTCACCCATCTATTCATCCATCCACCCACCCATCCACCCATTCCTCAATCCATCCATTTATCCATTCACCCATCCATCCACTAACCCATCTATTTATCCACCAACTCATCCATCCATCCATCCACCCATCTATCCATTCATCCACCCATGCACCCACCCATCCATTTATCCATCCATCCATCCATCCAACCACCCACCCACCAACTCATCCATCCATCCATCCATCCATCCACCCACCCACCAACCACCCATTCATTTATCTATCCATCCATCCATTCACCCACCCATCCATCCATTCCTCAATCCATTCTTGTATCCACTCATCCATCCACCAACCCATCTATTCATCCACCAACCCATCTAACCATCTATCCATCCACCCACTCTTGCATTTATCCATCCATCCATCCATCCATCCATCCATCCATCCATCCATCCATTTACCAACCCATCTATTCATCCACCCACTCATCTATCCATCTGTTCATCCATCCATTAATTCATCTACCTATCCATCTACCCATCCATCCATCAATCTATCCATTCATCTACTCCTCCCTCCCTCCCTTCCTCCCTCCACCCACCCATCTATCTGACAATTCATATATCAATTTATTTATTTATTATTTTTTGTTGAGATGGATTCTCACTCTGTTGCCCAGGCTGGAGTGCAGTAGTACAGTTCTTGGCTGTACCCAGCCCAGAACAAAATCTTGCCTCAAACAAATGAAATCACAACAGACTCCTAGCATCATCCTGTGCTATAAAACACTGCTGTGGCAGGGCGCGGCGGCACACGCCTGTAATCCCAGCACTTAGGGAGGCCAAGGCGGGTGGATCATGAGGTCGGGAGTTCGAGACTAGCCTGGCCAACATGGTGAAATCCCGTCTCTACTAAAAATACAAAAGTTAGCCTGACGTGGTGGCGGGCAACTGTACTCCCAGCTACTCAGGAGGCTGAGGCAGGAGAATCGCTTGAACCCAGGAGGCGGAGGTTGCAGTGAGCCGAGATCTCACCATTGCACTCTAGCCTGGGTGACAGAGCAAGACTCTGCCTCAAAAAATAAAATAAAATAAAATAAAACACTGCAGTACTATGCATATAACCGTTCCCTCTGCTGGAGTGGGGAAACCCTTCTGTTATGGTTGCCCTGAAGAGCAAATACTCCTTTTTTTTAAATTTAATTGAGCTGAGTAGCTGTAATAATCCATTTTCAGGAACCACACGTTTCTGTCTCCGTGAAAGACCCATTTCTCCAGATCACAATTCCTCAGTCTCAGAAGGACCAAGGTGAACCCTGGTTATGTATTTTGACTTGGGATTGGCCTCTGCAGCCTGCAGGTCTCCCCTCGTTATCAGCCTACAATTGTCTCCGCTTCCTGTGTAAAATTCCTGAAATCACAGCCCCCAGAAGTCAACTGGAGAAGAGCTGGAAGCTCCAGTGTCCCTGGGGCATTGGGGACAATGGAGGGTTGGGACGGGGAGGGGAATCCTCACAGCAAGGTGGAGTCAATTGGCTTTGGCTCGGCACTTAATCTGATAGGAAACCACACTGCTCACGGCAGCAAGCCCCTATTTCTTTTTCATGATTAGATTCAGCTGGTCTGGCAGATTTTTCGAAACAGAAACAGCTAGAGATAAGAGATCACCTCACAATGTACATTTTGACTCAATTCAATACAGAAAGTGTTTGACATTTAAGATTGAGGCTTTACCCTGGCGATGAGGAGACCGAATCTTGAGTTAAAGCCGAGAATGAAGTTTTTGTTTTTTTGAAGTAACACTAGCCTGTATTTTATTTTTTTAATTTTTATGTAATTTAAAAAAATTTTTTTAAAAAATATTTTAAAAAATTTTTAAAATTTTATTTATATACTTTTTTGAGACGGAGTCTTGCTCTGTCACCCAGGCTGGAGTGCAGTGGTGCAATCTCGGCTCGCTGCAACCTCCACCTCCCGGGTTCAAGTGATTCTCCTGCCTCAGCCTCCCGAGTAGCTGGGACTACAGGCGCCCCCAATCACGTCGGGCTAATTTTTGTATTTTTAGTGGAGACGGGGTTTCACCACATTGACCAGGCTGGTCTCAAACTCCTGACCTTGTGATCCGCCCACTTCGGCCTCCCAAAGTGCTGGGATTACAGGTGTGAGCCACTGCGCCAGGCTGCTTTTCTTTTTTTTTGAGATGGAGTCTCACTCTGTTGCCCAGGCTGGAGTGCAGTGGCTCGATTTCGGCTCGCTGCAACCTCCACCTCCCGGGTTCAAGTGATTCTCCTGCCTCAGCCTCCCAAGTAGCTGGGACTACAGGCGCCCCCAATCACGTCAGGCTAATTTTTGTATTTTTAGTAGAGACAGGGTTTCACCATATTGGCCAGGCTGGTCTTGAACTCCTGACCTCAGGTGATCCACCCACCTTGGCCTCCCAAAGTGCTGGGATTACAGGCGTGAGCCACCCTGCCCTGCCAGTAGACTTTGTTTAAAGGAGGTACCTATTGTGGAGAAAGAAAGGTGGGTGCAAATGCTTCACAGAGCCCTTTTCCCAAACCCCCAGGAGAGCTGGAGTACACTTTGTCTTCCATTGAGTCTGGGCTAACCCATGGTTTGCTTTGGCCAATAGAATGGGGTGGAAATGAAAGTCATGTGAGCGAACCTTCCGGAATGTTCTGGTTCTATCAGCCTTCCAGCACAAATGGGCTGAGTCTCCGCCCAGCTTCCACATATGTAAGTCAACCATCCAGAAGATTCTGCACCAAGTAAGTCTGCACATAGATAGATACAGCCCAAGTCTAGCTCTCAACTGACCTGCCTAGCTTCCAGGTGAGCTTCCAAATCAATGGGCCCTTGAGAATGTTCTGAGGTTTGCAGATAGATAGGGTCCAAGCCAAGCTCTCAGCTGACTTTCCACTCAGCCTCCAGGTGGGCTTCCAAATGAATGGGCCCTTGAGAATGTTCTGGACGTATTAAGTTTGTAGATAGATACGGCCTGAGTTAAGCACTATCAGATGACACTCAGCCCAGCTTCCAGGTATGTGAAGGAACCATCTAGAATGTTCTGGATCCATTAAGCCAGCAGATAGGTACGGCCCAAGTCAGCTGACACACAGCCCAGCTTCCAGGTATATGAGTGAGCCATCTAGAATGTTCTGGATCCATTAAGCCAGCAGATAGACACAGCCCAAGTCAAGTCCTTAGTTGAACTTCAGCCCAGCTACAAGACATGTGATTGAACCAACTAGAACACACCTGCCCAATCAATCCTCCAGTTTCCTACAGCCCCAGTCAACACCACATGGAGCAGAAGAACCTCCCAGCTGAGCCCTGTCAGCCCTCAGAATCACACCACATAACAACAAGTTGGAGTTCCTCAATGCCTCTATGTTTCCAGGTTAATGTGTCACATGACAATTGATAACCAAAACAATCCCCTCACTCAGGATTAGTAAAAAGCAATCTATGGAAGAAATTAGAAAGGCCTTCTTAGAGCAGCTGTTCCATGTTGAGCTGCATTGGAAGAGATGTTTGATGGCTGCCATCCTCCTGTTTTCCTCCCAGCTGACTCATTGTCCATGCCTGCTATTGTGAAACACAAACAACAGAATATTGGTTTGTGGTTTGGGATAAAGATGATGAAGAAAAAGGAAGCGGGGCAGTTGGGTGTGTGTCATCTGCATGACAGACAAGGATGACCTTCAGAACGTGCGTAGAATAAGTTTCCACTCTGGAGTCCAGAAAGGAGGACGTGCTTTGCCTGCCCCTTCAGACCTTAATGCCCCCAAACGTATACCCTTGTAAAGGGAAAAGCCAGAGCACTGAAGTGGCTGACGAATTTCCCCGTATTAGATATGAGTTCTAAGTTTCTTTTCAAAGAGTTAATATGTTAGTATGTTCAATCGTTTGCCTTCTACTTTTTAACTTCCTTGTAAAGCAAACTTTTTCGATCACCTGCTCCACCCTGACTCATTCCGATTACATGCTATCTGCTCTTCCCTGACTCCCCCCAAAGCACTCACCCCGTCACTCTCTTTAAATTAGCCAATCGTTATTAGTTTAGCCTGTGCGGTCTAACCCTAGCCAACAGAGGAACGACACAGCACAGGGGCCACGTACGTCAGGGATAAGGACCCCTTCCCCTCCCTTGTCCAGCTATGCACTTGCCATTGTTCCATCTGTACGGGACACCCTTCTATAGAAGTACCTTGCCTTGCTGAGAATTAAAAAGAAAATTTTATATTTGAGTGCTATTCCTTTTGTGGCACTGAAACTTTACATATAACACCTGGCAGCCAGGCATGGTGGCTCATGCCTGTAATCCCAGCACTTTAGGAGGCTGAGGTGGGTGGATCACCTGAGGTCAGGAGTTTGAGACCAGCCTGGCCAACATGGTGAAACTCTGTCTGTACTAAAAATACAAAAATTAGCTGGGCATGTTGGTGGGTGCCTGTGCTCCCAGCTACTCAGGAGGCTGAGGCAGGAGAATTGCTTGAACCCAGGAGGTGGAGGTTGCCATGAGCCGAGATTGAGGCACTGCACTCCAGCTTGGGTGACAGAGTGAGACTCCGTCTCAAAAACAAACAAAAAAACAAACACACCTGGCAGTTCATCTTGTTCGCCCAACTCCAGCAAGCGTGTTCTTCCCACGGTATCACCCTTCCCAGAGTCGTGTCTTTCATTCTGTGTTTCAGTGGAAGGAGCTATGAAGCGCGGGGGAAATGCGCTTAGTAATTGACAAGGAGGTGCAAGGGAACTTGATGTATTCCAAGTTTCTCATCATGCATTACGGGTTCCCCCAAGAGCAAATACTCCTTTTTTTAAATTTAATTGAGCTGAGTAGCTGTAATAATCCATTTTCAGGAACCATGTGTTTCTGTCTCCATGAAAGACCCATTTCTCCAGATTACAATTCCTGAGTCTCAGAAGAACTAAGGTGAACCCTGGTTGTCTAGTTTGACTTTGGATTGGCCTCTGTGGCCCGCAGGTCTCCCCTTGTTATCAGCCTACAATTGTCTCCTCTTGTTGCGTAAAATTCCTGAAATCACAGCTCCCAGAAGGCATTTGGAGAAGAGCTGGAAGCTCCAGTGACCCTGGGGCGGCGCTGGGGACAATGGAGGGTTGGGACGGGAGAGGAAGGGAGGTCTCTCTCTCAACTTTCAGTGGACATTTGGAAAAGGATGGAGACGTTTTTGCTTGTCATGACTTGGTGGGGGATACTGCTGACATTTACTGGGTATGGTCTAGACGTTTGCCCCACATCCCCCAATGCACAGGACGGCCTCACAGCAGAGAACGACGCAGATGAGAATATCCTGGGCGGAAACAGCTTCAAAGTTGAGAAACCCTGACTTAGCGTGAGAAATTCTCTTTATCTTGTGTTCTTTCTCTCTATCTATCTATCTATTTATCTATCTATCAATCATTCATCTATCATTTATCTATCCATCCATTCATCTATTCATCCATACTTCTTTCTATCTACATATCAATTAATATCATCTATCCATTTATCCATCTATTCATCCATTCTGCTACCTATCTATGTATCTATCGTCTAACGATTTATCCATCTATTCATCTATTTATCCTATCTATCACCTATCTACCCATTCATTAATCTATTTATCTATGTATCTATCATCTATCTAATCACTTTTCTGTCTATTCATCTATCTAGCAATCCATTCTATCATCTATGTATGTATCTATCATCTATCCATTCATCTATCCATGCATCCATATACGTATCCATCTATTTATCCATCCATCATCTATCTACCCCTCCATTCTTCTATGTATCTATTAATATCATCTATCTACCCATTTATCTTTCTATTCATCTATTCTTCTACCTTTCTATCTATATATGTATCTATCATCTATCTAACCATTTATCCATCTATTCATCTATCTATCTATCTATCCACCTATCTTTTTTTTTGAGACAGAGTTTCACTGTTTCGCCAGGCTGGAGTGCTGTGTTGTGATCTCAGCTGACTGCAGCCTCAGCCTCCTGGGTTCAAGCGATTCTCCTGCCTCAGCCTCCTGAGTAGCTGGGATTACAGGCAGGCACCACCACACCAAGCTAATTTTTGTATTTTTAGTAGAGACAGGGTTTCACCGTGTTGGCCAGGATGGTCTCGATCCCTTGACCTTGTGATCTGCCAGCCTCGGCCTCCCAAAGTGCTGGGATAACAGGTGTGAGCCACCGCGCCTGGCCCATTCAATCTATCTATCTATGTATCTATGTATCTATGTATCTATCTATCTATGTATCTATCTATCTATCTATCATCTATCCACTCATTCATCTATGTATGTATCTATGTATGTATGGATGGATGGATTTATATAGCTATCTATCAACTATCTACCTACTCATTTATCACCTTTGCATCTATGTATTTACCTATCATCTTTCTATCCATTCATCTATGTATCTATCTGTCATCTATCTATCCATTCATTTACCTATGCTTCTTTTTTTTTTTTTGAGACGGAGTCTCGCTCTGTCACCTAGCCTGTAGTGCAGTGGTGTGATCTCGGCTCACTGCAACCTCTGCCTCCCAGGTTCAACCCATTCTCCTGCCTCAGTATCCCAAGTAGCTGGGACTACAGGTGCCCGCCACCACACTCAGTTTTTTTTTTTTTTTTTTTTGTATTTTTAGTAGAGACGGGGTTTCACTGTGTTCGCCAGGATGGTCTCAATCTTCTGACCTCGTGATCTGCCTGCCTTGGCCTCCCAAAGTGCTGGGATTACAGGTGTGAGCCACCGCATCCGGCCCACATTTATCTATGTTTATCTATCTATCCATTCATCTATCTATCTGTCATCTATCCATTCATCTATGTTTCTATGTATCTATGATCTATCCATTCATCCATCTATCTATCCATCTATCCATTCATTTATCTATTATCTATGTACCCACTTATCTATCATCTACCTACCCACTCATTGATCTATCTACCTTTGTATCTATGTATCTACCTATCATGTATCTATCCATTTGCCTATCTATCTAGCTATCTGTCATCTATCCATTCGTTTATCTATATATCTATGTATCATCTATCTTTCCATTCATCCGTGTATCCATCTATTTATCCATTCATTTATCTATCTATCTATCATCTATTTATCTATCCATCCATCATCTATCTATGTACTCACTCATTCAGGTATGTATGTATGTATGTATGTATGTATGTATCTATCTATCTATCTATCTATCTATCTATCATTTATCTACCCACTTATCTATCTACCCACCTTTGTATCTATGTATCTACCTATCATCTATCTATTCGTCTATGTATCTAATCTATCTGTCATATCTATCCATTCATCTATGTATCTATGTATCTATCTATCCATTTATCTATCATCTATCTATCCATCTGTCATATCTATCTATCTGTCTATCTATGTCTATCATTTATCTACCCACTTATCTATCATCTATTTACCCGCCTCTCATTCTTCTACCTTTGTATCTACCTACCTATAATCTATCTATTCATCTATCCATCTATTTAATCTGTCATATCTATCCATTCATCTATCCATTTATCTATCATCTATCCATCCGTCATCAATCTCTATCTACCCACTTATCTATCATCTATTTACTCATTCATCTATCTACCTTTGTATCTATGTATCTACCTATCGTCTATCATCTATCCATCTATCTATCTAATCTGTCACATCTATCCATTCATCTATGTATCTATGTATCTATCTATCCATTTATCTATCATCTATTTATCAATCTGTTATTTATCTATGTATCTAATCTATCTGTCATATCTACCCATTCATTTATCTATGTATCTGTGTATCTATATATCTATCATCTATCTATCTATCTATCTATCTATCTATCTATCTATCTATCGCTCTATGTAGCTATGTATGTATCTATCTATCGCTCTATGTAGCTATGTATCTGTCTATATATCTATCTATCTATCATCTATCTATCTATCTATCTATCTATCTATCTATCTATCTATCGCTCTATGTAGCTATGTATCTGTCTATATATCTGTCTATCTATCTATCTATCTATCTATCTATCTATCTATCTATCTATGGCAGCGATTTACAATGAGGAGTGATTTCACCCCCCAGGGAACCCTTGGCAACCTCAGTGGAATTTTTGGTTGTCACAGCAAGAGCTGGGAGGGGCTGCTGACATTTAGTGGGTGGAGGTCATGGACACTTCTCAGCATCCTATGAAGCATAACACAGCCCACACAACCAAGAATTATCCAGCTAAAATCTCACGAGGGTAGAGGTCAAGAACCCCTGGGTAAGTGAGATGCCAAGGCTGGGTTTAGGGGCTTCTTCCTTTACGCCTGAAGGTCCTCAGTCCGAAAACCTTCCTGACCACAGAAATCAGCAGTTCTGCCTCTGCCCTTCCTCCCCCTCCAATTCCCTTTTCCTTTCCTTTTTTCTCTCTCTTTTTTTTTCTTTTTTGTGAGATAGAGTCTCATTCTGTCACCTAGACTGGAGTGCAGTGGCACGATCTTGGCTCACTGCAACCTCCACCTACTGGGTTCAAGCAATTCTCTTGTCTCAGCCTCCCAAGTAGCTGGGATTACAGGCATGCACCACCACACCAAGGTAATTTTTGTATTTTTAGTAGAGACAGGGTTTCACCACATTGACCAGGCTGGTTTCAAACTCCTGACCTTGTGATCCACCCGCCTCAGCCTCCCAAAGTGCTGGGATTATAGACGTGAGCCACCGTGACTGGCTGCTTTTCTTTTCTTTTTGAGACAGAGTCTCACTCTGTTGCCCAAGCTGGAGTGCAGTGGCTCGATCTCGGCTCACTGCAAGCTCCGCCTCCTGGATTCAAGTGATTCTCCTGCCTCAGCCTCCCAAGTAGCTGGGATTATAGGTGCCTGCCACTACGCCTGGCTAAATTTTTTGTGTGTGTATTTTTAGTAGAGACGGGCTTTCACCATGTTGGCCAGGCTGGTCTCGAACTCCTGACCTCAGGTGATCCACCCACCTCGGGCTCCCAAAGTGCTGGGATTACAGGCGTGAGCCACCGCATCCGGCCAACAAATGTATCTTGAATGAATGTTGAATGAAGCCAGTTCTGACACCTGTAGAAGCAGAACTCGTGGAGGGTCCTGGGCAGAGATGCTTCCTTTTTTTTTCTTTTTTTTTTTTTTTTGAGATGGAGTCTTGCTCTGTCACCAGGCTGGAATGCAGTGGTGTGATCTTGGCTCACTGCAACCTTCGCCTCCTGGGATCAAGTGATTCTCCTGCCTCAACCTCCTGGGGAGCTGGGATTATAAGTGCATGCCACCATGCCCGGCTCATATTTGTATTTTTAGTGAAGACGGGGGTTCACCATGTTGGTTTCGAACTCCTGACCTCAGGTGATCCTCCCGCCTCAGCCTCCCAAAGTGCTGGGATTACAGGCACCCGCCACCATGCCCAGCTAATTTTTGTATTTTCAGTAGAGACAGGGTTTCACTATGTTGTCCAGGCTGGTCTTGAACTCTTGGCCTCAGGTGATCCACCCGCCTCGTCCTCCCAAAGTATTGGGATTACAGGCATGAGCCACCGCGCCCGGCCACTTCCCCTTTTCCCAGCGCTCACCATGACCATGTCCAGAGCATACGTACTTATTTAAGCTTCGTCTCGTCCTACAGAACGCATTCTTCACGAGGGCAGGGAGTCCTGTCTGTTTGTAGGCCAACCTCCTTTCTCTCTCTCTGCAGACTTGCCTACTTTGCATGCGACAGTATCTACTGTCCAGTAGTAACAGTGGACGTTGATTGGGGGCTGAATTCAGAACAATGCTCAATGTTTTATGTATATTATCACTTTGTCTCTCTGAGCTAGGTGATATTATTGTCACCTCCCCAGTGCCTGGGAGATAACAGACCCTCAACAAATGTATCTTGAGTGAGTATTGAATGAAGCCATTTCTGTCATCTGTAGAAGCAGAAGTTGTGGAGGGTCCTGGGCAGAGATGCTTTTTTTTTTTTTTTTTTTTTTTTGAGACAGAGTCTTGCCCTGTCACCAGGCTGGAATGCAGTGGTGCCATCTCGGCTCACTGCAACCTCCGCCTCCCGGGTTCCAGCGATTCTCCTGCCTCACCCTCCCGAGCAGCTGGGATAACAGGTGCATGCCACCACGCCTGGCTAATTTTTCTATTTTTAGTGGAGACAGGGTTTCACCATGTTGGTCTCTAACTCCAGAAGTCAGATGATCCTCCCGCCTCAGCCTCCCAAAGTGCTGGGATTACAGGCACCTGCCACCACGCCTGGCTAATTTTTGTATTTTTAGTAGAGACGGAGTTTCTCCATGTTGGCCAGGCTGGTCTTGAACTCCTGACCTCAGGTGATCCTCCCGCCTCGGCCTCACAAAGTGCTGGGATGACAGGCATGAACCAATGAGCCCGGCAGGAGATGGTTCTTGAGGCTCACACTTCCTTCTTGTCCCCTACTCTCTACAGGGTTCCGTGAGACATGGTATTCTGGTCAACGTTGTCATCTAACCTTTCACACTGTGTCATTATTTGGATTATTTTATCTCTTCCATGACGAACCATGGAGCTCAGAGCTCTCAATAATGAAAGCATTGGGCGGGGCGCGGTGGCTCATGCCCATCATCCCAGCATTTTGGGAGGCTGAGGCTGGCGGATCACGAGGTCAGGAGATCGAGACCATCCTGGCTAATATGGTGAAACCCTGTCTCTACTGAAAATACAAAAATAAGCCGGGCGTGGTGGTGGGCACCCGTAGTCCCAGCTACTCGGGAGGCTGAGGCAGGAGAATGGCGTGAACCCTGAAGGTGGAGCTTGCAGTGAGCAGAGATCACACCACTGCACTCCAGCCTGGGCGACAGAGCAAGACTCCGTCTCAAAAAAACAAAAAACAAAAAAACAGAAAAACAAAAAAGGAGCCAGGTGTGGTGGCAGGTGCCTGTAATCCCAGCTACTCGGCAGGCTGAGGCAGGAGAACTGCTTGAACCAGAGAGGCAGAAGTTGCAGTGAGCTGAGATTGCACCATTGCACTCCAGCCTGGGCAGCAAGAGAAACTCCGTCTCAAAAAATAACCCCTCAAAAACAGAAAAACAAAAAATCAGCCAGGTGTGGTGGCAGGTGCCTGTTGCTTGAACCCAAGAGGCAGAAGTTGCAGTGAGCTGAGATTGCACCATTGCACTCCAGCCTGGGTGACAGAGGGAGACTCTCCACCTCAAAAAAACATAAAACAAATGTTAGTGGTCTCAAACTGGTCACTCACGGTTAATCCAATCTTCCTGCTGTCAAGCAAAAGAACACCTAAAATTCTTCCGTCACGTACTGGAGAAAGATCCTGCATTTGTGCTCTGAAAGTCCCCAAACCGCATCTCTAAACAGTTCCCACAATCACTTCTGCTTTGCTTGTACGAAGGAGTGGTGGCAACCAACAGGAATCACCTGCTCTGCCTGGCACACTTGTGTTTTGACCGCAAGGAATCTCCAGGCATGAGCCGAGATCTTTTAAGATGACATGTCTGTTCCAACCAGCTCTCTCCAGACTTTTATTTATTCACTTATTTATTTATTTATATATTTTGAGACGGAGTCTTGCTCTTGTCGCCCAGGCTGGAGTGCCGTGGCACGATCTCAGCTCACTGCCAACTCCGCCTCCCGGGTTCACGCCATTCTCCTGCCTCAGCTTCCTGAGTAGTTGGGATAACAGGCACCCACCACCACGCCCGGCTAATTTTTGTATTTTTAGCAGAGACGGGGTTTCACCGTGTTGGCCAGGCTGGTCTCGAACTCCTGACCTCAGGGGATCCTCCGGCCTCGGCCTCCCAGAGTGCTGGGATGACAGGCGTGAGCCACCGTGCCCGGTCCTCTACAGTCTTAAACTGGGGCCCCATCTACCCAGCATATGCTACCATCACAGTGTTTGTGGTGTTACGAGGAGAATGCCTACAAGCTTGAGTCCCTTGGTCTGGGAAGCTGGTCAGCGGCAAAGGTGAACTCTGCGTTTGTCTGAAGACAGATGAACTATGAAGTCTCTGGATGTCCAGCCCAGCTTGGGTGCAGAGTATATCACAGAACACTGACCACACAACTGCACACTCATCCACGAGTCTCATCATTTAGCAGAGAGCAAGAATTCCGGGCTTAGAAAGTTAGCATGTCATATTTTTTTTTTTTTTTTGAGACAGAGTCTCGCTCTGTCAACAAGGCTGGAGTGCAATGGTGTGACCTTGGCTCGCTGCAACCTCTGCCTCCTGGGTTCAAGCGATTCTCCCCGTCTCAGCCTCCTGAGTAGCTGGGATTACAGGTGCGTGCCACCACGCCTGGCTAATTTTTGTATTTTTTTTTTTAGTAGAGACAGGGTTTCGCCATGTTGGCCAGGCTGCTCTGTGATATGCTTTCAAGCAAAGCTCAGGCCAGGTGCGGTGGCTAACGCCTATAATCCCAGCACTTTGGGAGGTCGAGGCGGGTGGATCACCTGAGTCCAGGAGTTTGAGACCAGCCTGGTCAACATGGTGAAACCCCGTCTCTATGAAAAATACAAAAATCAGCAGGGTGGGTGGCATGCATCTGTAATCCCGGCTACTAGGGAGGTTGAGGCAAGAGGATTGCTTGAGCCAAGCTGTTTGAGGCTGTGGTGAGTCCTGATTGCACCACAACACTCCTGCGTGGGTACCAGACGAACACCTTGTCTCAAAGAATAGGAAAGAAAAGCTGGGCACGGTGGCTCACGCCTATAATCCCAGCACTTTGAGAGGCTGAAGCGGGCCGATCACTTGAAGTCAGGAGTTTGAGACCAGCCTGGCCAACATGGTGAAACCCCATCTCTACTAAAAATATAAAAATTAGCCAGGCGTGGTGGTGGGCGCCTGTAATCCCAGCTACTCAGGAGGCTGAGGCAGGAGAATCGCTTGAACCCGGGAGGAGGAGGTTGCAGTGAGCCAAGATCGTGCCACTGCACTCCAGCCTGGGTGACAGAGAGTGAGACTCCAGCTCAAAAAAAAAGAAAGGAAAAGCAAGAGAAAGGAAGGGGAGGTGGGGAGGGGGAGGGGAGGAGAGGGGAGGGGGAGGGGAGGAGACGGAAGGGGGAGGGAGAGGGGAGGGAGGAGGGGGTGGGGGGAGGGGGGAGGGGAAGGGAGGGGAGGGGATGTACACATCTACGTATCCATCTATGCATGCATCCATCCACCCATCCACCTATGTATCTGTTCATCCATTTATCCATCCATCCACCCACCTATCCACACATCCTTTCATCCACTTATCCATCCATCCATATACCATCCATGGAGGGGAGGGGAGGGGATAGGTGGAGGGGGTGGGGGAAGGGAGGGGGACAAAAGATGAGGGGATGGGAGGGGGATGGGAAGGGAGGGGGTGGGGTGGGGGGGAAGGGGAAGGGAGGGGAAGGGAAAGGAAGGGAAGGGAGGGGAGGGAAGGGGGAGGGGAGGGAAGGGGGAGGGGAGGGGGAGGGGAGGTGGGGAGGAGGAGGGGAGGGGAGGAAAGGGAAGGGGGAGGGGGAGGGGAGGGAGGAGGGGGTGGGGGAGAGGCAGAAGGGAAGGGAGGGGAGGGGAGGGGATGGAGGGGAGGGGAGAGGGGAGGGGGAGGGGAAGTGAAAGGAAGGGAAGGGAGGGGAGGGGAGGGGGAAGGGGAGGGGAGAGGGGGAAGGGGAGGGGAGAGGGGAGGGGAGGGGAAGGGAAAGGAAGGAAAGAGAGGGGAGGGGAAGGGGGAGGGGAGGGGAGTGGGGAGGGAATGGAGGGGAGGGGAGGGGAGGGGGAGGGAGGGAAGGGAATGGAGGGGAGGGGGAGGAGATGGGGGAGGGGGAGGGAAGGGGAGGGCTCAGCTCAGCAGTGTGCGTGGCAGTCCTGATCCTGGATTGATTGTGTGTGTGTGTGTGTGTGTGTGTGTGTGTGTTCTTGACAAGTGTATCTTTGAAAATCAACTGTCACTGTGCTTCCTGCCTGTAATCATTTCCCTAGTTTCCTTTCTGACTTTTTAAAATCGATGGTGACCTCTGCTTATGAGTCATGAGTGATCTGTTCGTTGTAGGTCCCTGAGGACCTCACTCTCCACTCCTGTTTCAGGCATGGGGCGGCTGGTTCTGCTGTGGGGAGCTGCCGTCTTTCTGCTGGGAGGCTGGATGGCTTTGGGGCAAGGAGGAGCAGGTAATTATTTAAACACCCTCTTCTTGTTGTATTTTGGTTTGTGGTTTGCTTTGCAACCAGGCACTCTTTATTTTGTAAAACTTAAACAATGAGCATGGAGGTTTCTTTCTTCTTTTCTTTTTTTTTTTTTTTTTTTTCCGGGTTCAAGCAATTCTCCTGCCTCAGCTTCTCAAGTAGCTGGGACAAAACATATTTATAAGTAAATACATGAATATTAAGTATACTTATTGCTCCCGGAATATCCACTGCTTATATGAGCTTTCGGTGGCCAGAACTAGGAACTGTATGTGTGCGTGTGTGTGTCTATCTATTGATTGATTGATTGGTAGATATATTCATTTTTAATCTATCCATCAATGTATCTCATCTATCTTTTCCCATTAATCACCCATCCATCCACTATCCATCCATCTATTATTCATTGATCCATCCACTAATATATCCATCCACCCATCTATCAAACGATTCATCCACTCATACATTCACCCACCCATCAACCCACCCAGCCATCCGTCCACCCAACCTTTCATTCACTCATCCATCCATCCACCATCCACCCAGCTGTTATCTATCCATCCTCCCATCCACCCATCTATCATCCATCCATCCATCCATCCACCCATCCACCCATCCATCCACCAATACATCCATCCATCCATCCACCCATCCACCCATCCATCTACCAATACATCCATCCATCCATGCATTCACCCACACTTTTATCCACTTATCCATCCATCCATCCATCCACCCATCCATCCACCAATACATCCATCTATCCATGCATTCACCCACACTTTTATCCACTTATCCATCCATCCATCCATCCATCCACCCATCCACCCATCCATCCACCAATACATCCATCCATCCATGCATTCACCCACACTTTTATCCACTTATCCATCCATCCATCCATCCACCCATCCATCCACCAATACATCCATCTATCCATGCATTCACCCACACTTTTATCCACTTATCCATCCATCCATCCATCCACCCATCCATCCACCAATACATCCATCTATCCATGCATTCACCCACACTTTTATCCACTTATCCATCCATCCATCCATCCATCCACCCATCCACCCATCCATCCACCAATACATCCATCTATCCATGCATTCACCCACACTTTTATCCACTTATCCATCCATCCATCCATCCATCCATCCATCCATCCATCCATCCACCCATCCACCCATCCACCCACCAATACATCCATCTATCCATGCATTCACCCACACTTTTATCCACTTATCCATCCATCCATCCATCCATCCATCCATCCACCCATCCATCCACCCACCCACCCATCCATGTACACATCTACGTATCCATCTATCCATGCATCCATCCATCCATCCATCCATCCATCCATTCACCTATGTATCTGTTCATCCATTTATTTATCCACTGACTCACTCATCCACCCACCCATCCTTTCATCCACTTATCCATCTATCCATCCATCCACCAACACATCCATCCACCCACCCATCAAACCATCCATCCACCTATGCATTCACCCACACTTTCATCCACTCATCCATCCATCCATCCACCCATCCATGTACACATCTATGTATCCATCTATCCATGCATCCATCCACCCATCCACCCATTCACCTGTGTATCTGTTCATCCATTTATTCATCCATCCACTCACCCATCCACCCACCCATCCACTTGTCTTCCACCTATACACCCACCTGTCCATTGATTCATCCATCTACCTACCCATCCCTATCTATCTGTGTCTGTCTGTCTAACTATTTCTATCATCATCTATATAATTCTATCTATCTAACATTACCATTTATCTATCTATCTGTATCTATCTATCCTCCAGATACCTCCACTTAGAACCCAACATGACAAGGTTCACTGTACCCCATCTTTCCAAACCTGTAACTGACTTCTTTGACAGTGAGAGACTTGGCCGGGCGCTGTGGCTCATGCCTGTAATCCCAGCACTTTGGGAGGCCGAGGTGGGCGGATCACAAGGTCAGGAGATGGAGACCATCCTGGCTAACACGGTGAAACCCCGTCTGTACTAATACAAAAAATCAGCCGGGCATGGTGGCAGGTGCCTGTAGTCCCAGCTACTTGGGAGGCTGAGGCAGGAGAATGGCATGAACCCGGGAGGCAAAGCTTGCAGTGAGCCGGGATCGCACCACTGCACTCCAGCGTGGGCGACAGAGCGAGACTCTGTCTCAAAATAAAAAAAAGAGACTTGGCTTTCATTATGCAAAATATCATTACATGTTTGCTCAATTCTAAAATATTTCCATTGTCCCTGTTCGGAATTACAAACCCAGACCTCTTGAAACATCAAACCTACTGAAGTCTATGCAACCTTCCTAGCAAACGTAGAAAGTCTTCTTTACGGTTGGCCCATTTCTTTTCTTTTCTTTTCTTTTCTTTTCTTTTCTTTTTTTTTTTTGATAGGGAGTCTTGCTGTGTCACCCAGGCTGGAGTGCAGTGACACGATCTCGGTTCACTACAACCTCTGCCTCCTGAGTTCAAGCCATTCTCCTGCCTCAGCCTCCCAGGTAGCTGGGATTACAGGTACCCACCACCATGTCCAGCTCATTTTTTTGTGTTTTTAGTAGAGACGGGGTTTCACCATGTTGGCCAGGCTGGTCTCGAACTCCTGACCTCGGGTGATCCACCCGCCTCGGCCTCCCAGTGTTAAGATTACAGACGTGAGCCGCTGCACCTGGCCAGTCCATTTCTGAAGTTGGTGTGTGTGGTGTTTTGAGAAAGACAGTAAGGTGGATCGATGGGGACAGTTTCCGATGCCACCTTAGGTATCCACAGGGGATGTGTTGTTGGATACATGATTGATCTATACAGATACATCTGTGCATGGCACTAGTGGGTGAACTTACCTTTTGCAAAAACAAAAACAAAAGCAGCCGGGCGCGGTGGCTCACGCCTGCAATCTCAGCACTTTAGGTGGATGAGGCGGGCGGATCACGAGGTCAGGAGATCGAGACCATCCTGGCTAACACAGTGAAACCCCATCTCTACTAAAAGTACAAAAAATTATCCAGGCATGGTGGCGGGCACCTGTAGCCCCAGCTACTCGGGAGGCTGAGGCAGGAGAATGGCGTGAACCCGGGAGGCGGAGCTTGCAGTGAGCCGAGATTGCGCCACTGCAGTCCAGCCTGGGTGACAGAGTGAGAGTCTGTCTCACACAATACACTACACTACACTACACTACACTACACTACACTACACTACACTACAATACAATGCAATACAATGCAATACAATACGTCAGGCGCGGTGGCTCACGCCTGTAATCCCAGTACTTTGGGAGGCCGAGGCGGGTGGATCATGAGGTCAGGAGATCGAGACCATCCTGGCTAACACGGTGAAACCCCGTCTCTACTAAAAATACAAAAAATTAGCCAGGTGTGGTGACAGGTGCCTGTAATCCCGGCTACTCGGGAGGCTGAGGCAGGGGAATCGCTTGAACCCGGGAGGCGGAGGTTGCAGTGAGCCGAGATCGTGCCATTGTACTCCAGCCTGGGCAACAGAGTGAGACTCTGTCTCAAAAAGAAAAATAAATTTAAAAAAATAAAAAAATAGAGTTGCCTCACCGTGAACTTCATGCGTCTCTCTGTGTCTAGCAGAAGGAGTACAGATTCAGATCATCTACTTCAATTTAGAAACCGTGCAGGTGACATGGAATGCCAGCAAATACTCCAGGACCAACCTGACTTTCCACTACAGGTAAGTGGCCCCCAGAAAGCGAACCCCACGCCCAGGGGGCTCAAAATCGCTCTTCTGAGCCGTCAGCGATTGGGAATGCTTGAGAACAAAAGTGTAAAGCATCAGACTGTGCAAGCCGGAATGTTTGTTCTGTGAAACCCTCAGCCCTCACCACAACCACAATCTCATTGCCCCAAACCTTCTTGCCAAGGGATGGCTGACTCACTGTCAAAATCAACTACATTCTTTTTTTTGTTTGTTTTTATTTTGAGTCGGAGTCTCACTCCGTTGCCACGCTGGAGTGCAGTGGCGCAATCTCGGCTCACTGCAACCTCTGCCTCCCGGGTTCAAGCCATTCCCCTGCCTCAGCCTCCCGAGTAGCTGGGATTACAGGCACCTGCCACCATGCCTAGCTAATTTTTGTATTTTTAGTAGAGATGGTGATTCACCATATTGGTCAGGCCGGTTTCAAACTCCTGACCTCATGTGATCCACCTGCCTCAGCCTCCCAAAGTGCTGGGATGACAGGCGTGAGCCACGGCATCCGGACTGAAAATCACCTAGATTCTTCACGGGAGATTAACAGAGAGTTTTGTTCACCCAGAGCTCTGGGTGAACTTTAAGTCTTATCTGCTAGGCAGCCGGGGAGGGAAAGACTCAGTCTCTGAAACATTTCACAGCCTTACCCGGGGCTACCCCCAACCCTGTGTCTCCCTGATGTGACTTTATTTTTATTTTTACTTTGGCTTAGTTAGACACCCAGAAGTATGCGTACGAACATTGCAGGAAGGGTTTTTCCAATAAATTTAATCATGGGTGGATGATTCTTCAGTTTGATAACAAAAGAGATAAACGGCAAAGCGTACAGAACAGGGAAATTTTAAAACGAAGTTATTTGGAAAATAAGACTCACCGTTGGGAGACCGAGGTGGGTGGATCATCTGAGATCAGGAGTTCCAGACCATCCTGGCCAACATGGTGAAACCCCAACTCTACTAAAAATACAAAAACTAGCCGGGCGTGGCGGCAGGTGCCTGTAATCCCAGCTACTCAGGAGGCTGAGGCAAGAGAATCGCTTCAACCTGGGAGACGGAGTTCACGGTGAGCCGAGATTGCACTCCAGCCTGGCCGACAGAGCGAGACTGTCTCAAAAACAAAACAAAACAAAACAAAAACCTCACAAAAAGAAAAAAAAAAGTGCTGGATTTTGCACGTAGTTGCAGAATTCAGCTCAGTTTCTTCCTCTGTAAAAGGGGCAGTTCTTGGGGGGGGTGTTGGCTCATGCCTGTTATCCCAGCACTTTGGGAGGCTGAGGGGGGGGGGGGTGGATCACCTGAGGTCAGGAGTTCAAGACCAGCCTGGCCAACATGGTGAAACCTCGTCTCTACTAAAAATACAAAAAAATTAGCCGGGCGCGGGGGCGTGCGCCTGTAATCCCAGCAACTTGGGAGGCTGAGGCAGGAGAATCGCTTGAATCCGGGAGGCAGAGGTTGCAGTGGGCCGAGATCACGCCATTGCACTCCAGCCTGGGCAACAAGAACAAAACTCTGTTTCAAAAAACAAACGAACAAATAAAAAAACGGCCGGGCGCGGTGGCTCACGCCTGTAATCCCAGCACTCTGGGAGGCCGAGGCGGGTGGATCACCTGAGGTCAGGAGATCGAGACCAGCCTGGTCAACATGGCGAAATCCCATCTCTATTAAAAACACAAAAATTAGCTGGGGGTGGTGGTGCGTGCCCGTAATCCCAGCTACTCAGGAGGCAGAGGCAGGAGAATCGCTTGAACCCGGGAGGCAGAGATTGCAATGAGCCGAGATCGTGCCACTGCACTCCAGCCTCAGGGACAGAGCGAGACACCATCTTAAAAAAAAAAAAAAAAAAAAAGCCGGTGTGGTAGCTCACACCTCTCATTCCAGCAGTTTGGGAGGCCAAGGTGTATGGATCACCTGAGGTCAGGAGTTCCAGACCAGCCTGGCCCCAACATGGTGAAACCCTGTCTCCAGTAAAACTACAAAAATTAGCTGTATATGGTGGCAGGTGCCTGTAATCCCAGCTACTCAGGAGGCTGAGACAGGAGAATTGCTTGAACCCGGGAGGCAGAGGTTGCAGTGAGCTGAGATCGCGCCATTGCACTCCAACCTGGGCGACAAGAGCAAGACCCCATCTCTAAATAAATAAGACATGCTTTTTTGTTTTGTTGCTGAATGGTCATCGTTTTAAACCACAGATTCAACGGTGATGAGGCCTATGACCAGTGCACCAACTACCTTCTCCAGGAAGGTCACACTTCGGGGTGCCTCCTAGACGCAGAGCAGCGAGACGACATTCTCTATTTCTCCATCAGGAATGGGACGCACCCCGTTTTCACCGCAAGTCGCTGGATGGTTTATTACCGTAAGTATTGTAAAGCCAGCTCACCATGCTTTTCAGTACTTCCTTCAGCTTATTACCACAAGGACTGAAAACCAAGCTCATGCAAATCGCCGGATCCATGATTACCGTTAACTATTGAGAAGCAAGCTCACCATGCCTTTCAGTACTTCCTGCAGCTTATTACTGTAAGTAACGAAAAACCAAGCTCCAGCCAGTCGCGGGATCAATGATTCCCGTAACTATTGAAAAGGAAGCTCAGCATAGTTTTCAGTACTTCCTTCAGCTTATTACCGTAAGTACTGAAAAGCTCACGTAAATCGTCGGATCCATGATTACCGTAATAATTGAAAAGCAAGCTCAGCACGCTTTTCACTACTTCCTTCAGCTGATTACCGTAAGTACCGAAAAGCAATCTCATGATAGTCGCTGGATCAATGATTACCGTAACCACTGAAAAGCAACCCAGCCTACTTTTCGCTACTTCCTTCAGGTTATTACCATAAGTACTGAAAAGCTCATGCAAATTACCGGATCCATGATTACCATAACTATTGAAAAGCAAGCTCACCATGCTTTTCGTACTTCCTTCAGCTTATTACCATAAGTACTGATAAAGCAAGCTCATGCAAGTCACTGGATCAGTGATTACCGTAGCTATTGAAAAGCAAGCTCACCATGCTTTTCAGTACTTCCTTCAGCTTATTACCATAAGTACTGAAAAGCAAGCTCTAGCAAGTCGCAGGATCAGATTCCCGTAACTATTGAAAAGCAGCCCAGCATCCTTTTCACTACTTCCTTCAGCTTATTGCCATAAATAAAAAAGCTCATGCAAATAACCGGATCCATGATTACCGTAACTATTGAAAAGCAAGCTCAACATGCTTTTCAGTATTTCCTTCAGCTTATTACCATAAGTACTGAAAAGCAAGCTCTCGCAAGTCGCGGGATCAATGATTACCATAACAATTGAAAAGCAAGCTCAGCATGCTTTTCAGTACTTCCTTCAGCTGATTATCATAAGTACCGAAAAGCAAGCTCTCGCAAGTCGCGGGATCAATGATTACCGTAACGATTGAAAAGCAATCCCAGCACACTTTTCAGTACCCCTTCATCTCCTTACCTTCAGTTACTTTCAGTTAAGTTCTGAAAATCAAGCTCATGGACCATTGGCCACTAGAGCCCGGTGCCCAGCTCCTCACTCCAAGTGGGAAGAAACCGGCCTTCCAGGAAGTTCCCTCTTACACGCACACTGGTTGGGGATTGAATCTGCCCCCAGTGGGGAGACCAGATGACCCCGGGAGACTGTGATTTAAGGGAATGAATTAAAGGCGGGGCGCGGTGGCTCACGCCTGTAATCCCAGCACTATGGGAGGCCAAGGCGGGCGGATCACTTGAGGTCTGGAGTTCGAGACCAGCCTCACCAACATGGTGAAACCCCATCTCTACAAACAAACAAACAAACAAAAAATTAGCCGGGCTGGTGGCGCATGCCTGTAATCCTAGCTGTTCGGGAGGCTGAGGCAGGGAAATTGCTTGAACCTGGGAGGCAGAGGCTGCAGTGAGCCACGTTGGTGCCACTGCACTCCAGCCTGGGCGATTTATAAATTCATTATTTAAAAATAAATAAGGCCCAGGGTGGTGGCTTACCCCTGTAATCCCGGTACTTTGGGAGACCAAGGCGGGCGGATCACTTGAGGTCTGGAGTTCGAGACCAGCCTTGCCAACGTGGTGAAACCCCGTCTCTATTAAAAATAATTTAAAAAAAATTAGCCAGGCGTGGTGGCACACGCTTGTAATCCCAGCTACTCGGGAGGCTGAGGCAGGGAAATTGCTTGAACCCGGGAGGCGGAGGCTGCAGTGAGCCAAGACGGTGCCACTGCACTGCAGCCTGGGCGATTTATAAATTTATTATTTAAAAATAAATAAGGCCCAGGGCGGTGGCTCTCCCCTGTAATCCCAGTACTTTGGGAGGCCAAGGCAGGGGGATCACGTGACGTGGGGAGTTCGAGACCAGCCTGACCAACATGGAGAAACTCCATCTCTATTAAAAATACATAATTAGCCGGGCTTGGTGGTGCATGCCTGTAATCCCAGCTACTCGGGACGCTGAGGCAGGAGAATCTCTTGAATCTGGGAGGCGGAGTTTGTGGTGAGCCGAGATCGCGCCATTGCACTCCAGCCTGGACAACAAGAGTGAAACTCCATCTCAAATAAATAAATTCATTAAATTAAATAAGGGAATTAATTAGAGATGCTCTCTGGTGCCCTGCCTACACACACACACACACACACACACACACACAGAGTGAGCTGGAAATACTCTCTCATCCTCATCCCACTCACTGGATGTTCTCTCTTTTTTTTGAGAGAGAGGGTCTTGCTCTGTTGCCCAGGCTGGTTTTCTTATGTGCGTTGAGAACTGGCTGTTAAGTCTCGGGCGAGGAAATGAGGGACAAATGTAGGGAAACCCTGTTTCCAAAATGTTTATTCTTTATCCTAGAATTCTGTAAGGCTGGGTTTCTTTTTTACTTTTTTATTTTTTAGAGGTAGGGGAAACGGATCTGTTTGAGAATCCGGTGAGAACTATGAACTCTTTATTCGCGAAATTACTTACAGATACTGGGTGCGTTTCCTGGGCTATAATAGGTCACCACAAACTGGAGGCTTAAAACAGCAGAAATTTATTCTCTCCCAGTTTTGAAGCCCATGAGTCTGAGATGGAGATTTCTGAGAGCCGCATTCCCTCTGGAGGTTCTAAGGGAGGATCCTTCCTGCCTCTCCCAGCTCCTGGGGGCTCCAGGTGTCCCTGGGCTTGTGGCCGCATCACTCCAGTCTCTGCCTCCGTCTCCATGTGGCCTTCTCCTCTGTGTCTCCTCTTCTGTCTCTTACAAGGGCACCTGTCATTAGATTTAGGGGACACCCTACTCCAGGATGATCTCACCTCAAGGTCCTTCACCTAATTACATCTGCAGAGAGCCTATTTCCAAATCCGGTCTCATTCCAGGTCCTGGGCTTTAGGATGTGGACAGATGTTTCTGGGGGCCACTGTTCCATTCAGTATAATTATATTCAGTTCCTTCCAGGGTTCTAGGGGAGGCTCCTTCCTACCTCTCCCAGCTCCTGGGGGCTCCAGGCATCCCTGGGCTTGTGGCCCCATCACTCCAGTCTCTGCCTCCGTCTCCACGTGGCCTCCTCCTCTGTGTCTGCATCTCCTCCTCTGTCTCCGAGAAGGACACCTGTCATTGGATTTAGAACCCTTCCTTCTCCAGTATGACCTCATCCTAACTAACTGAATCTATAATGATCCTAACTAACTGAATCTATAATGATCCTTTTTTTTTTTTTTTTTTTTTTTTTTGAGATAGTCTCGCTCTGTCACCCAGGCTGGAGGGCAGTGGTTCAATCTCGGCTCACCGCAACCTCCGCCTCCCCGGTTCAAGCGATTCTCCTGCCTCAGCCTCACTAATAGCTGGGATTACAAGCGCTGGCCACCATGCCTGTATTTTTAGTAGAGACGGGGTTTTAGCATATTGGCCAGGCTGGTCTCGAACTCCTGACTTCAGGTGATCCACCCGCCTCGGCCTTCTAAAGGATCTTATTTTTAAATACAGTTCCATTCTGAGTTTCTGGGGAGTTGGGATTTTAACATATATTTTTGTGGGGGACTTAATTTAGCCCGTAACAGACACACAGGACATTTTCCGCAGAATTTTAGAGAGTTCCTTCCTTCACAAACCTACAGGTTCTCGGAGCTCTGGTGGAAGCTTCTCCTATAAAAGTAATGAGGACGGGTGAACCCCGAGACACCATAAGGTATTAAGGGGAGGAGGGGTACAGGCTAGAGAAAGGGGATGAGGTCAGCCTGTCACAATCAGCTCAGAGAGGAGGGACGTCGCTTCCGTTATTTCTTCTTCTCAGTGAAACCCAGTTCCCCGAAGCACGTGAGATTTTCGTGGCATCAGGATGCAGTGACGGTGACGTGTTCTGACCTGTCCTACGGGGATCTCCTCTATGAGGTTCAGTACCGGAGCCCCTTCGACACCGAGTGGCAGGTGAGCCGGGCGGCCGCGACTCAGGGCGATGGTGGCTGAGCGTCCCCCAGGTGCGGGCTGTGGGATTCGCTGTTTCATCAGACCTCGCTCCCCTCTGTCTACACCTTCCTGAATTCCACTCTGCTGTATCTTCCTGAGAGAGCTCTAGTCCAGCTTGGCTTTTTCATGTTTCTCTCTGTGTCTCTGAGGGGTCTCCAGAGAAAGAGAACCAATAATATGTCTGTCTGTCTGTCTATCAATCTATTTATCTATCTATCTATCAATCTATCTATATCATTCTATTTTATCTCTACCTCTATCTATGTATCTATATCATTCTATTTCCCTCTCTTTCAATCTATCATCTATCTATCTCATTCTATTTTATCTCTATCCCTGTCTTTCAATCTATCTCATTCTATTTTATCTCTATCTCTGTCTTTCAATCTATCATCTATTTTATCTATTAACTCTCTTTGTTCTATCTATCTCTCTATGGCTCTATCCATATCTATTTTATCTACCAACTCTCTTTTATCTATCTATGTATGGTCAATCTTCTATATATATCATCCCTATCTCTATGTAGTTCAACTATCTATCATCTCTATCTAACTACCTACCCATTATCTCTATTCTACCATCTACTATCTTATCTATGTATTTATCTATCTATGTATGTATCTATACATCTATCATCTATCCGTCTCTATCTATCTAAGTATCATCTATCTATCTACTCTGTATCATCTGTCTGTCTGTCTCTCTATCTAATGTATCATCTATTTATCTCTCTATCATCTGTCTATGTATCATCTATCTCTCTATCATTGCTCTATCATCTATGTATCATCTATCTCTCTCTCATCACTCTATCATCTATGTATCATCTATCTCTCTCTCATCGCTCTATCATCTATGTATCATCTATCTATCTCTCTATCATCTGTCTATGTATCATCTATCAACTCTGTCATCTCTCTGTTTTATCTATGTATCTATCATTTCTTTATCTGTCTACCTCTAGTCCTATCTCTACCTGTATCTCTACACACCTGTCTCTCTACACACACACACACACAGACACACAAACACAGGCACACAGGCACACACAGACATGCACAGACACACACAGACACACACAGGCACACACACACAGTCATGTGCTGCCTAACGACCTGTTGGTCATCAGCAGACTGCATGTACCACGGTAGTCTCCTATGATTATCACACAGCTGTCCTATGCAGCTGTCCCAATTATTTTCTTCTATACCATATTTTTCCTGTACCTTCTCTATGTTTAGATACACAAATACTTACCCTTGCATTAGGTTTGTCTGCAGTATTCAGTACAGTAACATGCTGTATGGGTGTGTAGCTGAAGAGCAATTTACTATACAGCCTAGATGTGCAGCAGGCTAGACCAGCTAGGTGTGTGTAAGTAAACTCTAGAATATTCTCATAATGAAGAAATCACCTCACAATGCATTTCCCAGAACATGTCCCCATCGTTAAGCAATGCATGACTGTATATCTACCTATATGTGTGTGTACACACACACATATACACACACATATATGTACGTACCTTGTGTACACAGCTTATATATACATATATACACATGCATATACACACATATAGATACACAGCTTATATACACACATATATACATACCTTATCTATGCATATTTATACACACGTATATACACATCTTATATACACACACATATACACACACACACAGCTTATATACACATATATATACCCACACATATATACATACCTTATATATGCATATTTATACACACGTATATACACATCTTATATACACACATATATACACACACACAGCTTATATACACATATATATACCCACACATATATACACAGCTTATATACACGTATATATATGTATATATGCACCTTATATACACAGCTTATATACACATATTTATACACACGTATACACACACCTTATATAAACACATATACACACATATACACAGCTTATATACACATATACACACACATATATACATACCTTATATACACATATTTATACACATGTACATACACATCTTATATACACACATATATATACACACATATGTGCACAGCTTATATACACGTATATATACACATATATATGCACCTTATATACACAGCTTATATACACATATTTATACACACGTATACACACACCGTATATACACACACATACACACATATACACAGCTTATATACACAGCTTATATACAGGTATATATACACACATGTATATACACACATGTATAGATACACAAACTTTATATATATACACACACAGCTTATATACAATACATATACACATATATACACACCTTATATACACACATATATACACACACATATATACAGAGCTTATATACACAGCTTATATACACATATATATACACACGTATATACACACCTAATATACACAGCTTATATATACACATATATACACACCTTACATACACAGCTTATATATACACATATATACACACACATATAGATACATAGCTTATATATACACATATATACACATCTTATATACATAGCTTCTATACACACAGATATACACACACCTTATACACACAACTTATATATACACAATTATATATACACACCTTATATATACAGCTTATATATACACACATATATAAATATACATATAGAGATATCTTATTGGTACATATATCTACAAACATATATAAACTATATATGTATAAACTGATACATAGAATAGAACATTCATCTGTATCTTTATATCCATTTATATCTGTAAAGATATGTAGATACAGGCTGGATGCAGTGGCTCACACCTTTAATCCCAGCACTTTGGGAGGCCGAGGAGGGTGGATCACCTGAGGTCAGGAGTTCAAGACCAGCCTGGCCAACGTGGTGAAACCTCATCTCTACTAGAAATACAAAAATTAGCCAAGCATGGTGGTGCCTGTAATCCGAGCTACTCGGGAGGCTGAGGCACAAGAATTGCTTGAACCCGACAGGCAGAGGTTGCAGTGAGCCGAGACCGCACCACTGCACTCCAGCCTGGGCAACAGAGCAAGACTCTGTCTCAGTAAATAAATAAATAATATATTAAAATAATAATAAAGTAAATACAGGCCAGGCACAGTGGCTCATGCCTGTAATCCCAGTACTGTTGGAGGCCAAGGCAGGAGGATCGCTTGAGCCCAGGAGTTGTTGACCAGCTTGGGCAACAGAGTGAGACCCCATCTCTTTTTCTTTTTTTAGACACAGTCCCGCTCTGTCACCCAGGCTGGAGTGCAGTGGTGCGATCTCTGCTTGCTACAACCTTCGCCTCCCAGGTTCAAGCGATTCTCCTGCCTCAGCCTCCCAAGTAGCTGGGATTACAGGCACCCGCCACCACGCCTGGCTAATTTTTGTATTATCAGTAGAGACGGGGTTTCTCCATGTTGGCCAGGCTGGTCTCGAACTTGCGACCTCAGGTGATCCACCCGCCTCAGCCTCCCAAAGCGTTGGGTTTACAGGAGTGAGCCACTGTGTCCGGCCTCGCGGCTCCATTCTTGAAGTCAGCGAGACTGTGAACCCTCCGGAAGGAAAACTCTGGACAGACAGGTTACATCACTAATCATTGTGTGTGTGTGTGTGTGTGTGTGTGTGTGTGTGTGTGTGTGTGTGTATGTTTCTCCAGTCCAAACAGGAAAATACCTGCAACGTCACCATAGAAGGCTTGGATGCCGAGAAGTGTTACTCTTTCTGGGTCAGGGTGAAGGCTATGGAGGATGTATATGGGCCAGACACATACCCAAGCGACTGGTCAGAGGTGACATGCTGGCAGAGAGGCGAGATTCGGGGTAATGCTTGTTACGCGGCAGTGTCCCATAGCCTTGTCACCAGGCTGGAGTAGGCATAGCCACTGCCTTCCCGGGAGGTGGGAGGGAGGGTGTCCTGCCTTCGAGGTGGGAGGGAGGGTGTCCTGCCTTCCTGGGAGGTGGGAGGGAGGGTGTCCTGCCTTCGAGGTGGGAGGGAGGGTGTCCTATCTTCCCGGGAGGTGGGAGGGAGGCTGTCCTGCCTTCGAGGTGGGAGGGAGGGTGTCCTGCCTTCCTGGGAGGTGGGAGGGAGGGTGTCCTGCCTTCCTGGGAGGTGGGAGGGAGGGTGTCCTGCCTTCCTGGGAGGTGGGAGGGAGGGTGTCCTGCCTTCGAGGTGGGAGGGAGGGTGTCCTGCCTTCCTGGGAGGTGGGAGGGAGGGTGTCCTGCCTTCGAGGTGGGAGGGAGGGTGTCCTGCCTTCCCAGGAGGGTGTGTCTGAGCAAGCTCAGCCTTCTGTCATCCTCCAGGGCCCCATCTGAAAGTAATTCCTCTCCTTGTTTCATTCTCGGGCTGCTTTCACTTGGGAGAGTTTTCTTTCTTTTGTTTTTTTGAGAAACATTCTCATGGTGCCCAGGCTGGAGTGCAGTGGCGCGATCTCGGCTCCCTGCAACATCTGTCTCCCACGTTCAATCGATTCTCCCGCCTCAGCCTCCCGAGTGCCTGGGATTACAGTGTACACGCCACCACACCTGATTAAATCTTTTTATTTTTTATTTTTTTATTTTTATTTTTTTTTAGAGGGAGTCTCAGTCTGTGGTCCAGGCTGGAGTTCAGTGGCACGGTCTTGGCTCACTGCAACCTCCGCCTCCCGAGTTCAAGTGATTCTCCTGCCTCAGCCTCCCAAGTAGCTGGGACTACAGGCACGCACCACCAAGCCCGCCTAATGTTTGTATTTTTAGTAGGGATGGCGTTTCCCCATATTGGCCAGGCTGGTCTCGAACTCCTGACCTTGTGATCCGCCCGCCTCGGCCTCCCAAAGTGCTGGGATTAAAGGCGTGAGCCACCGCGCCCGGCCTTTGACGTATGTTTTCAGGGGG
Source organism: Homo sapiens (assembly GCF_000001405.40). Lineage (NCBI taxonomy): Eukaryota > Metazoa > Chordata > Mammalia > Primates > Hominidae > Homo > Homo sapiens. The sequence continues at coordinate 1,197,511 of NC_000024.10, read as the reverse complement.
CATGATTTAAGGAGCACAGCCACCAACACACGAAAGCAAGCTCTCATATGCTGTAAACACCTCCAGCAACCAGAAGCCTCCAAAGGCTACATGTTGGACCTGCCCTTACTTCCTCGGGGTGGCTGTGGGATGTGTTGTTGTCCAGAGACACGGTGTCTCTTTCCAGGATATTTTCCATAGGAATGAAAATTTGCTGACACTAACATTCATTAAAAAAAAAAAATAGGTCCATCTCTACTAAAAATACAAAAATTAGCCCGGTGTGGTGGCGGATGCCTGTCATCCCAGCTGCTCGGGAGGCTGAGACAGGAGAATCGCTTGAGTCCGGGAGACGGAGGTTGCAGTGAGCTGAGATGGAGCCACTGCACTCCAGCCTGGGCAACAGAGTGAGGTTCTGTCTCAAAAAAAAAAAAAAAAAGTAAAAGATTTGCTGACACGAATATTTACAAAAAACAAAAACAAAACAAAAAACAAACAACGAGAACCAAGAAAAAAAAACGAACACCAAAAAATGAGGGAGACTGGTTAGGGATGAGATGTAACATCACGTTGAAAACGTACAGCCGCACGTCATGTTGAAAACTGACAGCCGCCTTTTCATTTTGTTTCAGATGCCTGTGCAGAGACACCAACGCCTCCCAAACCAAAGCTGTCCAAATTTATTTTAATTTCCAGCCTGGCCATCCTTCTGATGGTGTCTCTCCTCCTTCTGTCTTTATGGAAATTATGGAGGTAAGGATGACTCCTGCCGCCCGTGGGTGGAGGGACCTGCTTGCACAATGTCTGTGAAGTACGAAAAAAGATTAATCGCCTGATAGAGTCATTTCCCTGGGCCTCAGTTTCCATACAATGCCCACTCTTCTGATGGTGGATTATAAGAAATTTCGGAGGGGCTGGGCATGGTGGCTCACACCTGTCATCCCAGCACTTGGGGAGACCAAGGCAGGCAGATCACGAGGTCACGAGTTCGAGACCAGCCTGGCCAATATGGTGAAATCCCATCTCTACTAAGAATACAAAAATTAGGGTCAGGCACGGTGGTTCACGCCTGTAATCCCAGTATTTTGTGATGCCAAGGCAGGTGAATCATAAGGTCAAGAGATCGAGACCATCCTGGCCAACATGGTGAAACCCCGTCTCTAATAAAAATACAAAAAGTAGCCGGGTGTGGTGGCGTGCACCTGTAATCCCAGCTACTCGGGAGGCTGAGGCAGGAGAATTGCTTGAACCTGGGAGTCGGAGCTTGCTGTGAGCGGAGATTGCGCCACTGCACTCCAGCCTGGGCGACAGAGCGAGACTCTGTCTCAAAAAAAAAAAAAAAAAATTAGCCCTGCCGGGTGTGGTGGCTCATGTCTGTAATCCCAGCACTTTAGGAGGCCGAGGCAGGTGGATCACCTGAGGTCAGGAGTTCGAGACCAGCCTGGCCAACATGAAGAAACCCCACCTCTACTAAAAATATAAAAATTAGCCGGGTGTATAATTATATATATTTATATTTATATATAATTATATATATAAATATATAAAAATATATATAATATATATTTAATTTATATATAAAATATATATAAATATATTTAATGTAATCTATATAAAAATATATAAATACATATTTAATTTAATCTATATAAAATATATATTTAATTTAATCTATATAAAAATATATAAATATATAATTTAATATATAATATATATAATTTAATATATAATATATAAATATATATAAAATTATATAAATATATATATAATATAAAAATATATATATATTTATAAAAATATAAAAATTAGCACCTGTAGTCCCAGCTGCTCCGGAGGCTGAGGCAGGAGAACCGCTTGAACCCAGGAGGCAGAGGTTGCCATGAGCTGAGATTGCACCATTATACTCCAGCCTGGGCGACAAGGGTGAAACTCTGTCTGAAAAAAAGGAAAAAATAAAATTAGCTGGGCGTAGTAGCGTGCACTTGTAGTCCCAGCTATTTGGGAGGCTGAGGTGGAAGGACGGCTTGAGCCTGGGAGTTTAAGGCTGCAGTGAGCTGTGATTGCACCACTGCACTCCACCCTGGGTGACAGAGCACGATCCTGTCTCTCAAAAAGAAAGCTAAAGAAGTCCAGGTAAGCTGTGCAACTTGGTGAGGGCAGCAAGAAGAATGGTCCAAGATCTAATATTGTCTTTGCTCCATCTCTCACTGAATTTTTGGCTTTGAATCCAGTGAGAGTTCTAGACGAAACAATATTCTTTCAGACCACAGAGAACTTTTCAAAAATGTGAGGTTGAGTCATTTTCTTATTTATTGATTTATTTATTTCTGTATTTATTTTGAGACGGAATCTCACTCTGTCACCCAGGCTGGAGTGCAGTGGCGTGATCTCGGCTCACTGCAACCTCTGCCTCCCGAGTTCAAGCAATTCTCCTGCCTCAGCCTCCCCAGTAGGTGGGAGGTTGAGTCATTTTCTTATATATTTATTTATGTATTTATTTTGAGACTGAGTCTCACTCTGTCACCCAGGCTGGAGTACAGTGGCATGATCTCGGCTCACTGCCACCTCCGCCTCCCAGATTCAAGCAATTCTCCTGCCTCAGCCTCCCGAGTAGCTGGGACTACAGGTGCGCGCCACCACACCTGGCTAATTTTTGTATTTTTAGTAGAGACGGGGTTTCACCGTGTTGGCCAGGCTGGTCTCGAACTCCTGACCTCAGGAGATCCGTCCTCCTCGGCCTCCCAAAGTGCTGGGATGACAGGCGTGAGCCACCACTCCTGGCCAACCTTCTCTTCTTATAAAGACCTCAGCCCTGTTGAAACAGAACCCTCCCTAGTGACCTCATTTTACTATCATCACCTTTTTAGAGACTCCCCATCTCCAAATATAGTCTCGTTGTGAGGTCGGTGATTAGAACTTCAACATAGAAACTTTCAGGAATGAGGGTCCCATTTCAGCCCATCCTATCGACAAGGTGGAAATAATCACATATTTAATGCAAATCTGCTGTGTGCACAGGACGTGGCTCACTGTCCGTCACACCTTATCCTGGTGGGAACTTTTATTTTTTTAAGACTGAGTCTCACTCTGTCACCCAGGCTGGAGTGCAATGGTGTGATCTGGGCTCACTGCAAACTCCACCTCCCAGGCTCAAGCGATTCTCCTGCCTTAGCCTCCCAAGCAGCTGGGACTACAGGCATCTGCCACCACACCCGGCTAATTTTTGTATATTTTGTTTTTTTTGAGACGGAGTCTAGCTCTGTTGCCCAGGCTGGAGAGCACTGGTGTGATCTTGGATCACTGCAGTCTCCGCCTCCCAGGTTCAAGTGATTCTCCTGCCTCAACATCCCAAGTAGCTGGGACTACACGCAGACGCCACCACACCCAGCTAATTTTTGTATTTTTTTTGAGATGGAGTCTCGGTCTGTTGCCCTGGCTGGAGAGCAGTGGCACAATCTCAGATCACTGCAACCTCTGCCCCCCAGGTTCAAGCGATTCTCCTGCCTCAGCATCCCAAGTAGCTGGGATTACAGGCAGACGCCACCATGCCCAGCTAATTTTTGTATTTTTTTGAGACGGAGTCTCGCTCTGTTGCCCCAGCTGGAGTGCAGTGGTGTGATCTCAGCTCACTGCAACCTCTGCCTCCCAGGTTCAAGTGATTCTCCTGCCTCAGCCTCCCGAATAGCTGGGATTACAGGCATCCGCCACCACACCTGGCTAATTTTTGTATTTTTTTTTTTTTTTTTTTTTTGAGATGGAGTCTCGCTCTGTCGCCCAGGCTGGAGTGCAGTGGCGCAATCTCGGATCACTGAAACCTCCACCTCCCGGGTTCACGCCATTCTCCAGCCTCAGCCTCCCGAGTAGCTGGGACTACAGGTGCCCACCACCACGCCCGGCTAATTTTTTTTTGTATTTTTATTAGAGAGGGGATTTCACCATGTTGGCCAGGCTGGTCTCAAACTCCTGACCTCAGGTGATCCATCCGCCTCAGCCTCCCAAAGTGCTGGGATTACAGGCGTGAGCCACCACTCCCGGCCTCCTGATGGGAACTTTATGAGGACCCCAGAGGCAGGGTCCCTGGGGAGCGGGAGGAGACACATGTGTCCATGTGGAAGGCCCCGCTCTGCCATTCTTGGTCTGTCCCTGGGGTCCATGCCCTGTAGGTGCTTCTTGCCAACCCTTCCTGCGGGGCTGTGGCCGACCTGACCACGCTCTCCGTCTCTATTTCAGAGTGAAGAAGTTTCTCATTCCCAGCGTGCCAGACCCGAAATCCATCTTCCCCGGGCTCTTTGAGATACACCAAGGGAACTTCCAGGTATCCGCCCTCTCCTTGTGTCTCTTCTCCTCTCCACCAAGCAGGTGCCCCTCTGCCTGCATTCCTATCTCTCTGAGCGCGACCTTTTTAGAGAATGACATTAACAGCCGGGCGCAGTGGCTCACGCCTGTCATCCCAGCACTTTGGGAGGCCGAGGTGGGAGGCTCACTTCAGGTCAGGAGTTCGAGACCAGCCTGGCCAACATGTGAAACCCCATCTCTACTAAAAATACAAGGATTAGCCGGGCGTGCTGGCTCACTCCTGTAATCCCAGCGACTCTGGAGGCTGAGGCAGGAGAATCGCTTGAACTGTGGAGGCAGAGGTTGCAGTGAGCTGAGATTGTACCACTGCACTCCAGCCTGGGTGACAGAGTGAGACTCTGTCAAGAAAAAAAAAAAGAAGGAAGGAAGGGAAGGAAGGAGGGAGGAAAGGGGGAGAGAGGAAGGAAGGAAAGAAAGAAAGAAAGAAAGAAAGAAAGAAAGAAAGAAAGAAAGAAAGAAAGAAAGAAAAGAAAAGAAAAGAAAAAGAAAGAGAAAAAGAAAGAGAAAGAAAAAAGGAAAGAAAGAAAAAAAGAAAAGGAAGAAAGAAAGAGAGAGAAAGAAGGAAAGAAAGAAAGGAAGAAAGGAAGGAAGAAAGAAAAATGGTTTGATCTCGGCTCACTGCAACCTCCACCTCCCAGGGTCAAATGATTCTCCTGCCTCAGCCTCCTGAGTAGCTGGGATGACAGGCGCCCGCCACCACACCTGGCTAATTTTTTGTATTTTTAGTACAGATGGGTTTTTTCACCATGTTGTCCAGGCTGGTCTCAAACTCAAGTCCACCCACCTTGGCCTCCCGAAGTGCTGGGATGACAGGCGTGAGCCACCGCGCCTGGTTTTTGTGTCCTATGTGTTGATTTTAATGCTGGTCAGCTGTGTCAGAATTTCAAAGGGAAGAGGGTATAAAGAAGCATGTCCAACTCTGACTTCCCATTATGGCTCAAACTAGGTTTTTTTTGTTTTTTTTTTTTTTTTGAGACGGAGTCTCGCTCTGTCGCCCAGGCTGGAGTGCAGTGGCGGGATCTCGGCTCACTGCAAGCTCCACCTCCCGGGTTCACGCCATTCTCCTGCCTCAGCCTCCCAAGTAGCTGGGACTACAGGCGCCCGCCACCACACCCGGCTGATTTTTTGTATTTTTCGTAGAGATGGGGTTTCACCATGTTAGTCGGGATGGTCTCGATCTCCTCACCTCATGATCCACCCACCTTGGCCTCCCAAAGTGCTGGGATTACAGGTGTAAGCCACTGCGGCCGGCTGGCTCAAACTAGGTTTTAACTTAACTTTGGAATCACCTTGGCTGACTGGAGAGTCCGTCAGTCTGTTGGAGGGCTTAGAATTTTATTTTTGGGGGCCAGGCACGGTGGCTCGCACCTTTGGTCCCAGCACTTTGGGAGGTCGAGTCGGGTGGATCACCTGAGGTCGGGAGTTCGAGTCCAGCCTGACCAACATGGTGAAACCCCGTCTCTACTAAAAATACAAAATTAGCCGTGTGTGGTGGTGCACGTCTGTAATCCCAGCTACTCAGGAGGCTGAGGCAGGAGAATCGCTTGAACCGGGTAGGCGGAGGCTGCAGTCAGCCGAGATCACGCCGTTGCACTCCAGCCTGGGAAACAAGAGCGAAATGCCGTCTCAAAAAAAAAAAAATTTATTTTTGGTTTACAAGGGTATTGGTGTCAGAGCTCCTGGATGCCCCAAACAAGAGCTTTGTAGGGGCTTAGACCTCCCAGATGAGAGGGCTTTCCTGTTCCATTGGGAATGGTGTTGTTTCTTGGGAAGAAAGAAAGAGAGAAAGAGAGAAAGAAAGAAAGAGAAAGAAAGGAAAGAAAGAAAGAAGGAAAGAAAGAAAGAAAGAAAGAAAGAAAGAAAGAAAGAAAGAAAGAAAGAGAAAAGAAAAGAAAGAGAGAGAAAGAAAGAGAAAGATGTCCAGGGATGTCTGTGGTGGGTACCGTCTGTACGGATGCTCAGGACGCTGTGTGTGGTGTGTCCACTGTGTTTGAGCTAGAATGTTCTTCCTGGTAGGAGTGGATCACAGACACCCAGAACGTGGCCCACCTCCACAAGATGGCAGGTGCAGAGCAAGAAAGTGGCCCCGAGGAGCCCCTGGTAGTCCAGTTGGCCAAGACTGAAGCCGAGTCTCCCAGGATGCTGGACCCACAGACCGAGGAGAAAGAGGCCTCTGGGGGATCCCTCCAGCTTCCCCACCAGCCCCTCCAAGGCGGTGATGTGGTCACAATCGGGGGCTTCACCTTTGTGATGAATGACCGCTCCTACGTGGCGTTGTGATGGACACACCACTGTCAAAGTCAACGTCAGGATCCACGTTGACATTTAAAGACAGAGGGGACTGTCCCGGGGACTCCACACCACCATGGATGGGAAGTCTCCACGCCAATGATGGTAGGACTAGGAGACTCTGAAGACCCAGCCTCACCGCCTAATGCGGCCACTGCCCTGCTAACTTTCCCCCACATGAGTCTCTGTGTTCAAAGGCTTGATGGCAGATGGGAGCCAATTGCTCCAGGAGATTTACTCCCAGTTCCTTTTCGTGCCTGAACGTTGTCACATAAACCCCAAGGCAGCACGTCCAAAATGCTGTAAAACCATCTTCCCACTCTGTGAGTCCCCAGTTCCGTCCATGTACCATTCCCATAGCATTGGATTCTCGGAGGATTTTTTGTCTGTTTTGAGACAGAGTCTCACTCAGTTGCCCAGGCTGGAGTGCAGTGGCGCGATCTTGGCTCGCTGCAAGCTCTGCCTTCCGAGTTCAAGCGATTCTCCTGCCTCAGCCTCCTGAGTACCTGGGATTATAGCTGCCCGCCACCACGCTCGGCTAATTTTTGTATTTTTAGTAGAGATGGGGTTTCACCACGTTGTCCAGGGTGGTCTTGAACTCCTAACCTCAGGTGATCCACCCGCCTTGACCTCCCAAAGTGCTGGGTTTACAGGCGTGAGCCACTGTCCCCAGCATTTTTTTTTTTTTTTTGAGACGGAGTCTCACTCTGTTGCCCAGGCTGGAGTGCAGTGTCACGATCTCGGCTCACTGCAACCTCCACTTCCCATCAAATGATTCTCCTGCTTCAGCCTCCCGAGTAGCTGGGATTACAGGCGGCCGCCACCACACCCGGCTAATTTTTTTTTTTTAGTAGAGACGGGGTTTCGCCATGTTGGCCAGGCTGGTCTCGAACTCCTGACCTCAGGTGATCCTCCTGCCTTGGCCTCCCAAAGTGCTGCGATTACAGGTGTGAGCCACAACCACCAGCTCTCAGAGGAATTTTTTTTGTTTGTTTTTTGAGACAGAGTCTCGCTCTGTTGCCCAGGCTGGAGTGCAGTGGCAGAGTGTTGGCTCATTGCAACCTCTGCCTCCCGGGTTGAAGTGATTCTCCTGCCTCACCCTCCTGAGTAGCTGAGACTACAGGCGCCCGCCACCACGCCCGGCTAATTTTTGCATTTTTAGTGGAGACGGGGTTTCACCACGTTGACGAGGCTGGTCTCAAATTCCTGACCTCTGGTGATCCACCCGCCTCAGCCTCCCAAAGTGCTAGGATGACAGGCTTGAGACATCTCATCTGATTTTCAGAGGATTTTTTTTTTTAAACAAAGAGTAAAGCATTTCATCTTTTTTTTTTCTTTTTTTTGAGACGGAGTCTTGCTCTGTCGCCGAGGCTGGAGTGCAGTGGCATGATCTTGGCTCACCGCAAGCTCCGTCTCCCGGGTTCACGCCATTCTCCTGCCTCAGCCTCCCGAGTAGCTGGGACTACAGGCGCTCACCACCATGCCCGGCTAAGTTTTTGTATTTTTAGTAGAGATGGGGTTTCACCGTGTTAGCCAGGATGGTCTCGATCTCCTGACCTCGTGATCTGCCTGCCTTGGCCTCCCAAAGTGCTGGGATTACAGGCGTGAGCCACCGTGCCTGGCCAGCAACCTTATAGTATATATATACACACACACTATATATATATATATATACACACTATATATATATACACACTATATATATATACACACACTATATATATACACACACTATATATATACACACACTATATATACACACTATATATGGATGTATAGATATATATATAGTGTAAATATATATACACACTATATATATAGATGTATATATAGATGCTAATAGTGGATAGCAATCTTATAGTGTGTGTTATCAATGTTACAGAGTGCATATATATGTATACATATACAAATACATATACATATACATATGCAAATACATATACAAATACATATACATATACAAATACATATACAAATACATATACATATGCAAATACATATACAAATGCATATACATATACATATACAAATACATATATATACACATATACATATACAGTTTCTACTTACAAAGTGAGAACCTGCAGTGTTTGGTTTTCTGTTCCTTTGTTAATTCTCTTAGGATAATGCCCTCCAGCGGCATCCAGGTTGCTGCACAGAACCTTATTTCCTTCATTTTTATGGCTGTGTAGTATATTCCACAGCGTATAGCGTGGAAGGAAAACATCTTGGGCCCCTTCCAAATCAGGAAGCTAAAAGGAAAATTCAAGCTGGGAACTGCTACAGGCAAACCTGCCTCCCATTGTACTCAAAGTCACCCCTCTGCTCAGTGAGATAGACCCACATCTGATCTCCTCCTTCAAAAAAGGTTATCAGAAACTCAAAACAGTGCAACCATCTGTCTCCCACCTACCTGTTACCTGGAAACCTGCTCCTGGCTTTGTGCTGTCCCTGCCTTTCTGGGCGGAAACAAAGGTTCTTTTTTTTCTGTTTTCTTTTATCTTTTTTTCTGAGACAGAGTCTCACTCTGTCACCCAGGCTGGAATGCAGGGGCACGATCTTGGCTCACCGCAACCTCCGCCTCCCGGGTTCAAGCGATTCTCCTGCCTCAGACTCCCAAATAGGTGGGATAACAGGTGCCCGCCACCACACCTGGCTAATTTTTGTATTTTTAGTAGACACGGGGTTTTGCCATGTTGGCCAGGCTGGTCTCAAACTCCTGACCTCAGGTGATCCACCTGCCTCAGACTCCCAAAGTGCTGGGATGACAGGCGTAAGCCACCACGCCTGGCTAATTTTTGTATTTTTAGTAGAAACGGGGTTTCACCACGTCGGCCAGGGTAGTCTCGAACTCCTGACCTCGTGATCCACCTGCCTCGGACTCCCAAAGTGCTGGGATGACAGGTGTGAGCCGCTCAGCCCTTCCTGTATCTCTCTTTTTTTTTTTTGAGACGGAGTCTCACTGTGTCGCCCAGGCTGGAGTGCAGTAGCGTGATCTTGGCTCACTGCAAGCTCCGCCTCCCTAAAATGTATAAAACCAAGCTGTGGCCGGTCACAGTGGCTCACGCCCGTCATCCCAGCACTTTGGGAGGCCGAGGCGGGCGGATCACTTGAGTTCAGGAGTTCAAGACCAGCCTGGGCAACGTGATGAAACCCCGTCTCTACTAAAAATACAAAAATCAGCTGGGCGTGGTGGCGCGTGCCTGTAATCCCAGCTACTCGGGAGCAGGAGAATTGCTTGAACCAGGACCTGGGAGGCGGAGGTGGCAGAGAGCCGAGATGGTGCCACTGCACTCCAGCCTGGGCTACAGAGTGAGACTCCAAACCACCTCTACCCCTACAAAAAAAAACTCAAAACAAAAAAAACCAAGCTGTGCCCCGACCTGTCTCAGGTTTTCTAGGTTTATACATTGTTGCAAATGAAGCCGAGATTGTGCCACTGCATTCCAGCCTGGGCGACAGAGTGAGACTCCCCTAAAAAAAAAAAAAAAAAAAATTACACACAAAAAAAGAATTAACGCAGAAACAAATGATCGCTACTCAACAGTTGTCCAGCCACCAGAGTGCACTGAACAAAGGAGACAGAGTTATTTACAACCTGACACATCTAACCTACTGCTGCATCCACTTTCCATTGACTGGAATAGGACCTCACATTTCATACTTTACCCAATTGGCTATTAGTTTAAAACTTTTTTTTTTTTTTTTTCTGGGACGGAGTCTTGCTCTGTCACCCAGGCCGGAGTGCAGTGGTGCGATCTCGGCTCCCTGCAAACTCCGCCTCCCGGGTTCAAGCAATTCTCCTGCCTCAGCCTCCCGAGTAGCTGGGATTACAGGCACACACCGCCCCACTCAGCTAACTTTTTTTTTGTATATTTTGCATGTAAGTGTATATTTAAAAGTAAGTGTATATAATATACACTATGTATAAAAATAAGTGTATACAGGCGCAGTGGCTCACGCCTGTCATCCCAGCACGTTGGGAGGCCGCTGTGGGTGGATCTCCTGAGCTCATGAGTTCGAGACCAGCCTGGCCAACATGGTGAAACCCCGTCTCTATCAAAAATATAAAAATCAGCCAGGCGGTGGTGGCGAGCACCTGTAATCCCAGTTACTCAGGAGGCTGAGGCAGGAGAATCGCTTGAGCTCGGGAGGCAGAGGTCGCAGTGAGCAGAGATGTTGCCACTGAATTCCAATCTGGCGACAGAGCAAGACCCTGTCCCTGCTCCCCCCGACAAAAATAAAATAAAAATAAATCTCTATTCTACCCATGGCGGGAGCTTACGTAGGTGTTTCTCCAGGGCATCCGTCTTTTTTTTTAGGTGCATTTTTGCTCTTGTCGCCCAGGCTGGAGTGCAGTGGCACGATCTCGGGTCACTGCAAGCTCCGCCTCCCGGGTTCGAGCCATTCTCCTGCCTCAGCCTCCCAAGTAGCTGGGATGACAGGCACCCGCCACCATACCCGCCTAATGTTTAAAGATAAAAGTCAGAAAAGTGATTAAATGGGAACCCAGGGACTCAGGTTTAGGGTCACGATGACAGTGTTCACCCCACAGCAAGCCGATGACCACGTTGTCTTTTTTCCTCAGTGGGGTACTGGAAATTGAGTTTTAAGGCTGTCCGCAGTGGCTGACGTCTGTAATCCCAGCACTTTGGGAGGCCGAGGCGGGTGGATCACTTGAGGTCAGGAGTTCGAGACCAGCCTGACCAACATGGCGAAACCCTGTCTCTACTAAAAATACAAAAATTAACCGGGGGTGGTGGCAGGTGCCTGTTATCCCAGCTACTCGGGAGGCTGAGGCAGGAGAATTGCTTGAACCCGGGAGGCGGAGGTTGCAGTGAGCCGAGGTCTCCCAGCTACTCGGGAGGCTGAGGCAGGAGAATTGCTTGAACCCGGGAGGCGGAGGTTGCAGTGAGCCAAGGTCACACCATTGCACTCCAGCCTGGGCGACAAGGGCGAAACTCCGTGCCCCCCTCCATCCTGCCCCCCAAAAAACCCCCGGCAGAAACAGCCCCGCAGAGCATGTTCTAGAGAATTAGTCATGAGTCACAGATGCTATCTCTCCTTTGGGGAACATTGTGAATCAGAGGGAGGCCCCTGTCCCTCTCCTCTGAAATAATCATTACTTCTGATCAGTAGCAGACATGGCAGGTTCACAGCCGAAAGCCCTAGGTGAAAACCTGGGTGTTCCCGGCCCCGAGTGTGACTTAAAAAGGCAGATAACAAAGAACCGAGAAGCCAGGTGCAGTGGCTTACTCCTGTCATCCCAGTACTTTGGGAAGGCTGGGCTGGGAGGATCCCTTGAGCGCAGGAGTTCAAGACCAGCCTGGACAACACGGCAAGACCCCATCTCTACAAAAAATAATAATAAAAGAAAATTAGCTGGGTGTGGTGGCTAATTTTTGTGATACACTCAGTATTGTCTGAAGATTTTTGCAAAAAAAAAATGTATTTTCAAATGAGCAGATTCCATCTCATAAAAGAAACTACTGGCTGGGCGCAGTGGCTCGCGCCTGTCATCCCAGCACTTTGGGAGGCCGAGGCCGGTGGATCACGAGGTCAGGAGTTCAAGACCATCCTGGCTAACGGGGTGAAACCCCATCTCTACTAAAAATACAAAAATTAGCCAGGTGTGGCGGTACCCGCCTGTAATCCCAGCTATTCGGGAGGCTGAGGCAGGAGAATCGCTTGAACCAGGGATGCAGAGGTTGCAATGAGCCAAGATCGTGCCGCTGCACTCCAACCTGGGTGACAGAGCAAGACTCCATCTCAAAAAAAAAAAAAAAAAAAAAGATATCTTAGTGGTCAGGTGTGGTGGCTCACGCCTGTCATCCCAGCAGTTTGGGAGGTCGAGGCGGGCAGATCACTGGAGGTCAGGAGCTCCAGACCAGTCTGGCCAACACGGTGAAACCCCGTCTCTACTAAAAATACAAAAAAATAGCCGTGCATGGTGGCGGGCATCTGTAGTCCCAGCTACTCGGGAGGCTGAGGCAGGAGAATTGCTTGAACTTGGGGCAGAGGTCGCAGTGAGCCGAGATCACACCACTGCACTCTGGCCTGGGCGAGAGTGAGACTCCATCTCAAAAAAAAAAAAAAAAGATATCTTAGTGGTCAGGTGTGGTGGCTCACGCCTGTAATCCCAGCACTTTGGGAGGTCGAGGCGGGCGGATCACTTGAGGTCAGGAGCTCAAGACCAGCCTGGCCAACACGGTGAAAGCCCGTCTCTACTAAAAATACAAAAATTAGCCGGGTGTGGTGGCGGGTGCCTGTAATCCCAGCTACTCAGGAGGCTGAGGCAGGAGAATCGCTTGAACCTGGGATGTGGAGGTTGCAGTGAGCCGAGATCGTGCCACTGCACTCCAGCCTGGGTGACAGAGCCAGACTGTCTCAGAAAAAAAAAAAAAACCACCCCTATGGCAGAGATATAATCACTGGCATACACCTAAAAGTTGTGGAAAGTTCTGTGAATCACCATCCACATCATGGAGTATTTATAGATTTTTTAACTCACTGTGTCAAAGCAGTGGGTTATACAATGTCTCCTTCCCCAAATTCATGTTCATGCTGTCCTTAAGAATGAGAGTTTATTTGGAAATAGGGTCTTTGCAGGTGTTATCTTAAGGTAAAGATCTTGAGATGAGATCATCCTGGAGTTGGGTGGGTCCTAAGTGCAATGACAGGTGTCCTTCTAAGAGACAGAAGAGGAGACAGACACAGAGGAGAAGGCCACGTGGAGATGGCAGCAGAGACTGGAGTGAGGCGGCCACAAGCCCAGGGATGCCTGGAGCCCCCAGGAGCTGGGAGAGGCAGGAAGGATCCTCCCCTAGAGCCTCCAGAGGGAAGTGGATACACCTGTAGTGAGTTGAACTGTGGTCCTCCCTAAAGAGGTGTTCATGTCCTAATCCCCAGAACCTGTGAATGGGACCTTATTTGGAAAAGTGGTCTTTGGAGATACAGTTAAATGTAGGATATCGAGATAATCATTCTGAATTATCTGGGTGGACCCTAAATCTAATGACAAGCGTCCTTGTAAGAGACAGAAGAGGAGACAGACACAGAGGAGAAGGCCACGTGGAGACGGAGGCAGAGACTGGAGTGATGCGGCCACAAGCCCAGGGATGCCTGGAGCCCCCAGGAGCTGGGAGAGGCAGGAAGGATCCTCCCCTAGAGCCTCCAGAGGGAAGTGGATACACCTGTAGTGAGTTGAACTGTGGTCCTCCCTAAAGAGGTGTTCATGTCCTAATCCCCAGAACCTGTGAATGGGACCTTATTTGGAAAAGTGGTCTTTGGAGATACAGTTAAATGTAGGATATTGAGATAATCATTCTGAATTATCTGGGTGGACCCTAAATCTAATGACAAGCGTCCTTGTAAGAGACAGAAGAGGAGACACAGACACAGAGGAGAAGGCCACGTGGAGACGGAGGCAGAGACTGGAGTGATGCGGCCACAAGCCCAGGGATGCCTGGAGCCCCCAGGAGCTGGGAGAGGCAGGAAGCACCCTCCCCTAGAGCCTCCAGAGGGAACTGGGTACAACTGTAATGGATTGAATGGTGACCCCAAAACATACGTTTATGTCCTACCCCCCAGACCTATGAATGGGACTTTATATTTGGAAATAGGGTCTCCACATATGTAAGAAAGTTAAGGATCTTGACATGAGACCATCCTGGAGTAGGGTGTCTTCTAAATGCAATGACAGGTGTCTTTCTAAGAGACAGGAGACACAGACACAGAGGAGAAGGCCACGTGGAGAGGGAGGCAGAGACTGGAGTGATGCAGCCACAAGTCCAGGGACGCCTGGAGCCCTCAGGAGCTGGGAGAGGCAGGAAGGACCCTCCCCTAGAATCTTCAGAGGGAACACAGCCCTGTCCACGCATTGGTCTCAGACTCCTGCTCTCCAGGACTGGGAGACAATAAATGTGTGTTGTTTTAGCCCCTGGTTTGTGGTCATTTTTTTTTTTTTTTGAGACAGAGTCTTGCTCTGTTACCCAGGCTGGAGTGCAGTGGCAGGATCTCAGCTCACCGCAACTTCTGCCTCCCAAGTTCAAGTGATTCTCCTGCCTCAGCCTCCCAAGTAGCTGGGATTACTGGCGTCGGCCATCACGACCGGCTAAATGTTGTATTTTTAGTAGAGAGGAGGTTTCTCCATGTTGGTCTGGCTGGTGTCGAATTCCTGACCTCAGGTGATCCACCTACCTCGGACTCCCAAAGTACTGGGATTACAGGCGTGAGCCACTGTGCCTGGCCATTGTGGTCATTGTTTATGGCAGCCCTAGCACTGCTGCCATAAAAAATGGGGGAAGGTCATTTTTTACGTGGGGGAAGGTCAGCTGGGCTCTTTAGGGGCAGGGGACTCCACTTGCCCTTCTATGACCCTGCTGGAAGTGGGGCATTTGTCAATGACAACAGGGAGAGGTGGAGGCTTGAAGCTGAGTCTTGTAGGAGCCGTGGCCTCGGTTGGGGATGGCGTCCCAGGGTGGGATGCTTCTGTGACTATTTTATTTATTTTATTTTATTTTATTTCATTTCATTATATTTTATTTTATTTTATTTTATTTTATTTATTTTATTTTATTTTATTCTATCTTATTTTATTTTATTTTATTTTTATTTTATTTTATTTTATTATTTATTTTATTTTATTTTATTTTATTTTATTTTATTTTATTTTATTTTATTTTATTTTATTTTTATCTTATTTTATTTTATTGACAGTCGTGCTCTGTTGCCCAGGCTGGAGTGCAGTGGCGCAATCTCAGCTCACTGTAACCTCCGTCTCTCAGGTTCAAGCCATTCTCCTGCCTCAGCCTCCACAGTAGCTAGGATTACAGGCACCGGCCACTACGCCAGGCTGATTTATGTATTTTTAGTAGAAACGGGGTTTCGCCATGTTGGCCAGGCTGGTCTCAAATTCCTGACCTCAGATGATCTGCCTGCCTCGGCCTCCCAAAGTGCTGGGATTATAGGCGTGAGCCATCATGCCCAGCCTGTGACTATTGTTATACTTAAATATCTCTAACTCAGGAATTTGACATGAAACAGGTGCCCTGCGGAAGGTTACAAAGGCAGAATCCTGGAAGCATGAAGTAACAAGTTAAATGGGCCGGGTGCGGTGGCTCACGCCTGTAATTCCAGCACTTTGGGAGGCCGAGGTGGGTGGATCATCTGAGGTCAGGAGTTCGAGACCAGCCTGACCAACACGGTGAAACCCCCGTCTCTACCAAAAGTACAAAAATTAGCCGGGTGTGATGGTGGCACCTGTCATCCCAGCTACTCGGGAGGCTGAGGCAGGAGAATCGCTTGAACCAGGGAGGTGGAGGTTGCAGTGAGCCGAGATCGCACCGCTGCACACTCCAGCCTGGGCCACAGAGCAAGACTCCGTCTCAAAACAACAACAAGAATAAACAAACAAAAAACCAAGTTAAATGAAACCAGCAGCCTGACATTTCCTAAGAAAGCTTTGACCCTTGTTCTCTGAGCCCTCCCCGGCCCCCTGTTTCGAGACCGTGTGCTGCAGCCAGCAAAGAGGGAAGCCACACTGTTTCCTGAGGCTTCTGAGCAGTTGGACATGTGCTGATTCTCAAAAAAGAAGATAGGAAGCAGCACATGACGATTTCAGCTCACTGCAACCTCTGCCTCCCGGGTTCAAGCAATTGTCCTGCCTCAGCCTCCTGAGGAGCTGAGATTACAGGCAACCGCCACCACGTCTGACTTATTTTTGTAATTTTAGTAGAGACGGGGTTTCACCGTGTGAGCCAGGATGGTCTCGATCTCCTGACCTCGTGATCCGCCCGCCTCGGCCTCCCAAAGTGCTGGGATGACAGGCGTGAGCCACCCTGCCGGGCCACACCTGGATAATTTTGTATTGTTAGTAGAGATGGGGTTTCGCCATGTTGGCCAGGATGGTCTCGAACTCCTGACCTCGCGATCCACCCACCTTGGCCTCCCAAAGTGCTGGGATTACAGGTGTGAGCCACCGCGCCCGGCCTTTTTTTGTTTTTTTTTTTTTTTGTTTTCTTGAGACAGAGTCTGGCTTTGCTGCCCAGGCTGGAGTACAGTGGCTTGATTTCAGCTCACTGCAACCTCTGCCTCCTGGGTTCAAGCGATTTTCCTACCTCAGCCTCCTGAGTAGCTGAGATTACAGGCAACCGCCACCACGCCCAGCTAGTTTTTGTATTTTTAGAAGAGACGGGGTTTCACCATGTTGGACAGGCTGATCTCAAACTCCTGACCTCTGGTGATCCACCTGGCTTGACCTCCCAAAGTGCTGGGATTACAGGTGTGAGCCGCTGGGCCTGGCATATTTTATTTTTTTTCTTGAGACAGAGTCTCACTCTGTCGCCAGGCTGGAGTGCAGTGGCTCAATCTCGGCTCACTGCAACCTCTGCCTCCCAGGTTCAAGCGATGCTCCTGCCTCACTCTCCTGAGTAGCTGGGATTACAGGCATGCACCACCACACCTGGCTAATTTTTGTATTTTTAGTAGAGACGGGGTTTCACCATGTTGCCCGGGCTGGTCTCCAACTCGTGACCTCAGGTGATCCACCTACCTCGGCCTGGCCACTGTTTTCTTTGTTGTTTAAATGGAGATGAAATTTGCATCAGGGAAATGCAGATTAAAATCACACTGAGACATCATCTTGCCCCAGGCAGAATGACCATTATTAAAAAGTTAAAAAAAAATATTGGCATGAGTGTGGTGAAAAGAGAATGCTTTATATATTCCTGGGGGGAACGTAAATTAGTACAAGCTCTAGAAAAAACAGTATGGAGGCCGGGCACGGTGGCTCACCCCTGTCATCCCAGCACGTTGGGAGGCCGAGGTGGGCGGATCACCTGAGGTCAGGAGTTCGAGACCAGCCTGACCAACATGTGGAAACCTCGTGTCTACTAAAAATACAAAATTATCCAGGTGTGGCCGGGCACGGTGGCTCACGCCTGTCATCCCAGCACTTTGGGAGGCCGAGGCGGGCGGATCACGAGGTCAGGAGATCGAGACCCTCCTGGCCAACATGGTGAAACCCCGTCTCTACTAAAAATACAAAAATTAGCCGGGCGTGGTGGTGGGCGCTTGTAGTCCCAGCTACTCGGGAGGCTGAGGCAGGAGAATGGCTTGAACCTGGGAGGTGGAGGGTGCAGTGAGCTGAGAGTGCACCACTGCACTCCAGCCTGGGCAACAGAGTGAGACTCCATCTCAAAAAAAGAAAAAAGAAAAGAATAGACTGAAATAGAGATTTCTACGAAACACCGCTGGATGAAGGCCTCAACCCTGTTTTGGGACTTGGTGACCATTGCTTGTGTCCATCTTCAATTGAGTTCAAATTTAATGTTTAACTTTTCCTCCACACAGCTGTGACAACCTTTTGACATTTTCTTCAACTGAAAAAAAAAATCTCATAAAATGAGTATTTAGGGGCTAGAGACGGTGCCCCCATGCGCTTGCCAAAAACTCCATGAATTTAAGATGAAAAAAAAAATCGCATAAAATGAGTATTTGGAGGCTAGAGACGGTGCCCCCATGCGCTTGCCAAAAACTCCATGAATTTAAGATGAAAAAAAAAATCGCATAAAATGAGTATTTGGAGGCTAGAGACGGTGCCCCCATGCGCTTGCCAAAAACTCCATGAATTTAAGACGTGCTGAGCTCTGTGGGTTGAGAGATTCCCTCCAAGGCTGAAGTTAAAATCGCTTTTTACCAAGTTCTTAGAGGCAAAGTCCACTTAGACACACATACTCACGCATTCATGTTATTAAAAAAAAAATCGTGGCTCCTGCCATTGCAAAGAACAGTTAAATTTTACAAGCGAGCAAGCAATTTTCTATTTTCTTCTTGGCCGAGCCTTATTTCTGGACCCTCTGTGGATCTTGCCTGGGCTGCTGAAGTCACGCACGCTTTGCAGAAAGAAAGTTACGCCTCCTCCTTGCCCTGGCTCCGTGCCTGGCTTTTGCAACTGGGTGGTCGCGACCTGTAATGCTGGAAACACCAGCTTCAAAAAGAAAAAAACAAAAAAACCCCTTAGTTGCACAGGGGACGTTGAGAACCTTTTAATTTCTGCATCGTTAGCGTGTATGCGTTTGCATCCGAAAGCCCTTGGAGGGAAAGGGTCGTAAACGTGGCTAGGAAGATTGTGTTTTTCCTACAGCAAAGGTATTAGTGCATATGTCATTTCATGCTCACACACGTCTTAGGAATTCTGCGGCAATTACACACGTCTCTGGATTTCCTCAAACATAAAACGTGGAGGGTGTTGACGGATGAGCTGCCTCGGTGGCCTTCAGCTATTTTTCTGTGATATAATAATAATAATAAATAATATTTTAAAATAGTATAATAATATATAATTATATATAATAATATAATATAATTATATAAAATAATATAATATAATTATAATATATAATTATATATAATAATATAATATAATTATAATATATAATTATATATTAATAATATAATATAATTATAATATATAATTATATATTAATAATATAATATAATTATAATATATAATTATATATTAATAATATAATATAATTATAATATATAATTATATATTAATAATATAATATAATTATATAATATATAGTATATATAATATAATATAATTATAATTATATACAATAATATAATATAATTATAATTATATACAATAATATAATATAATTATATCATATACAATAATATAATATAATTATATTTTATACAATAATATAATATAATTATATTTTATACAATAATATAATATAATTATATTATATACAATAATATAATATAATTATAATATACAATATATAATTATATACAATAATATGATATAATTATACTATATAATTATATACAATAATATAATATAATTATACTATATAATTATATGCAATAATATGATATAATTATACTATATAATTATATGCAATAATATAATATAATTATACTATATAATTATATGCAATAATATAATATAATTATACTATATAATTCTGTACAATAATATAATATAATTATAATATGTAATATATGATTATAATAATATAATATAATTATAATATATAATATATAATATAAATATAATATAATTATAATATGTAACATATTATATATAATAATAATGTAATATAATTATAATATATAATATATAATAATACATATTATAATAATATAATATAATTATGATACATAATATATAATAATACATATTATAATAATATAATATAATTATAATATATATAACCTATAATAAAATATAATAATATAATTATAATATATTATAGAATAATATATTATCATATAGATTATATAGAATAATATATTATTATATAGATTATATAGAATAATATATAATATTATTATATATTATATTATATAGAATATATAATAATATAATATAATTATAATAATATATAATAATATATATAATAATATAATAATAATAATTTTTTTTTGAGACAGAGTCTCGCTCTGTCACCCAGGCTGGAGTGCAGTGGCACAATCTTGGCTCACTGCAACCTCTGCCTCCCGGGTTCCAGTGATTCTCCTGCCTCGGCCTCCTGAGTAGCTGGGATTACAGCCTGCCACGCCACCCGGCTAATTTTTGTATTTTTAGTAGAGACGGGGTTTTACCATGTTTTCCAGGCTGGTGTCGAACTCCTGACCTCAGGTGATCTGCCCACCTCGGCCTCCCAGAGTGCTGGGATGACAGGTGTGAGCCACTGCACCCAGCCGATTATTATTATTATTTATTTTGAGATGGTGACTTACTCTGTCAGCCAGGCTGGAGTGCAATGGCGCGATCTTGGCTCCCTGCAACCTCTGCCTCCCGGGTTCAAGCCATTCTCCTGCCTCAACCTCCCCAGTAGCTGGGATTACCGGCGTGCACCACCACGCCTGGCTAATTTTGTATTTTTAGTAGAGACGGGGTTTCATCGTGTTGGTCAGGCTGGTCTCAAACTCCTGACCTCGGGTGATCCACCTGCCTCGGCCTCCCAGAGTGCTGGGATGACAGGCGTGAGCCACCGCGCCCCGGCCTGTCCTCTGTTAATAAACGTGCTTTTGCTTTGCACTGTCTTGACTGGCCTTGAATTCTTTCTTGCACGAGATCCAGGAACCTCTCTTGGGGTCTGGACCGGGACCCCTCCTTTTCTGTCACAAAACCAGGCACAGGAGTCCCTGAAACTGTAGGAAGACCAGTCGCAGACAAAACTCCTCAGACACCGGATTAAAGAAGGAACAGGTTTTTTATTCGGCCGGGAGCGTCGGCAGACTCGTGTGGTAAGAGCCGAGCTCCCCGAAATAGAAATTCCTAGCACTTTTAAGGGCTTACAACTCTAAGGGGTCCATGTGAAACGGTCATGATAGATCAAGTAAGCGTGAGGAACGTGACTGGGGGCTACATACATCAGCTAACAGAACAGAAAGTTTCACAGTGCTTTCTCATACGATGTCTGCAATTTACAGATAGCACCAGTAGTTTTGGTCAGGGGTTAATATTATATTATTTTATAATAATAATATATTATTATTATTTTATAATAATAATATATTATTATTATTTTATAATATTTTATTGTTATTTTCTTATAATATTTTATTATTTTCTTATAATATTTTATTATTATTTTATTATATTTTATTATTTTAATAATAAAATATAGATATTATATTATAATAATATTATAATATATTATTATAATATTATTATAATATATTATAGTATATATTATTACAATATATTATTATAATATTATTATAATATATTATAATATAGATTATGATATATTATAATATATATTACGATATCTATTATAATAATATATAATAATATATTATAATATATATTATAATAATATGATTATAATATATATTATAATGATATTACATTATAATATATTATTAATAATATTATGATATTATATTATTAATAATATTATAATATTATAATATTATATTATAATATTATAATATTATAATATTATATTATAATATAATATATCAGTATATTATAATATAATATTATAATAATATAATATATCATTATATTATAATATAATATTATAATAATATAATATATCATTATATTATAATATAATATTATAATAATATAATATATCATTATATTATAATATATTATAATAATATAATATATTACATTATTTTATATATTATATTATTTTATATATTATTATATTATATTTATTATAATATAATATATTATAATATCTATAATATTTATATTTACATATTATAGGTAATATAGATATTATCATATAACAATAAAATATTGTAATAAAATATTATAAATAAAAAAAGTCATCTGGCTATTTATCTTACTTCTGTTTGTTTCCAACTTTTTGCTTTCTCCGTTTTGTCCTGTCTTACAAACTAGGGAGAAGGGGAAGTGGGGGAGAAGCTGGGAAGGACAACAGGAGAAGTGGTGGTCTCATTTCATAAAACCAGGCACATGAGTCCCTGGTCCCTGGTAAGACAAGGTGTGATGAGGAAGTGGCTTAATTGGGAAGAGGTTTTCTCATCTGTCCTTCTTCTCACTGGCTTTCGTTTCAGAAATCTTTGTGACAAAGCCCCATGTTTTGAGGCGGTGTGTTCTGCAGCCTTTGCAGGGCAAAGGAAAGCAGGTGAGAAGAAGGAGAGATGAGGAAACCTCTTCCCGATTAAGGTGCTTTGATTCCAAGGAAGTTCCCGCTACGGAACCTGCTGCTTGTTCCAGGTATATTCCTTTTTTTTTTGTAGTCAGCTATTTAATGAGGTTCTTAAGACATTTAGAACACCAATTTGTGAGGATAGATTCCATTCGTCAGGACAAACACAGATCCTAGGTAGCCCTGGAGCTGAGGAATAGCTTTGATTTTTGGTGAAATCTGTGCGTCCACAGCTTTCTAATCAATCTCACGCTGCTACATAATCTCATATTTCTCTTTTTCTGTGTCGACGATGGCACCTTCCTGGTGTCTGGGCTTCTGCAGCTGCTGCTTCTTGAAGTAAGCATCAGTAAGATGTTTTGGGATTTTTACATTGCTGATACCGATTTTGGTTGAGGTGGCAATGACAAATTTCTGGTGCGTTCTTCGTGGAGGGACTCGATTGAGGACCAGAGGTCCAGTCACGAGTAACAAGCCACTAGCCAGCTGCTTCAGGAAAACCATCACTCTCCTGGTGTCTGGGCTTCCACAGCTTCTTCTTCTTCAAGTCAGCATCACTAAGATGTTTTGAGATTTTTACATTGCTGATACCGATTTTGGTTGAGGTGGCAATGACAAATTTCTGGTGCGTTCTTCGTGGAGGGACTCGATTGAGGACCAGAGGTCCAGTTACGAGTAACAAGCCACTAGCCAGCTGCTTCAGGAAAACCATCACTCTCCTGGTGTCTGGGCTTCCACAGCTTCTTCTTCTTCAAGTCAGCATCACTAAGATGTTTTGAGATTTTTACATTGCTGATACCGATTTTGGTTGAGGTGGCAATGACAAATTTCTGGTGCGTTCTTCGTGGAGGGACTCGATTGAGGACCAGAGGTCCAGTTACGAGTAACAAGCCACTAGCCAGCTGCTTCAGGAAAACCATCACTCTCCTGGTGTCTGGGCTTCCACAGCTTCTTCTTCTTCAAGTCAGCATCACTAAGATGTTTTGAGATTTTTACATTGCTGATACCGATTTTGGTTGAGGTGGCAATGACAAATTTCTGGTGCGTTCTTCGTGGAGGGACTCGATTGAGGACCAGAGGTCCAGTTACGAGTAACAAGCCACTAGCCAGCTGCTTCAGGAAAACCATCACTCTCCTGGTGTCTGGGCTTCCACAGCTTCTTCTTCTTCAAGTAAGCATCACTAAGATGTTTTGAGATTTTTACATTGCTGATACCGATTTTGGTTGAGGTGGCAATGACAAATTTCTGGTGCGTTCTTCGTGGAGGGACTCGATTGAGGACCAGAGGTCCAGTCACAAGTAACAAGCCACTAGCCAGCTGCTTCAGGAAAACCATCACTCTCCTGGTGTCTGGGCTTCCACAGCTTCTTCTTCTTCAAGTCAGCATCACTAAGATGTTTTGAGATTTTTACGTTGCTGATACCGATTTTGGTTGAGGTGGCAATGACAAATTTCTGGTGCGTTCTTCGTGGAGGGACTCGATTGAGGACCAGAGGTCCAGTCACAAGTAACAAGCCACTAGCCAGCTGCTTCAGGAAAACCATCACTCTTGCCCATGTGGCCTCCAGTGAGGAGGATCCGAATGGTCCCGGGCATAATGCTGGCTCGCCGTTTTCTCACGTGCTAACTGGTACATCTTCAGTAGGATTGTCGTACCCAGGCGAGTTAGTGAGAACGCCACACTTTGAGACGAATTAAGAGTCCTTTATTAAGCCGGCGGCCAAAGAGACGGCTAACGCTCAAAATTCTCTCGGCCACGCGGAAGGGGCTCGATTAACTTTTATACCTAGGTTTAGGAAGGGGAGGGGGACTCAAATGTAATAATTCTAGAGAAGTAAAAACATGCAAGAATGAAAAAAATCAAAAGGGTTACAGAGTGATAAACAACTTAAAAGACAAATGGTGACAAGAAGAGCAACGGTAGCAGGTGCAAGGTTCTAAATCTTTCATTATAATTAGATATACGGTCTATGCAGGACACAAACTGAAGGTTTTATGTTGTTATCTCTTGGAGGAAAATTCCTGGGGAACTTCATACATTGTGGGTGCCAGTACCTTATTAGTTAATTGGGCTCGTTTGAAATGCTGAGGATCTGTTTACCCAGGCCAACTCCTTAGGAAAGGGGGTTGGGTGAGGAGCCCTTAGAGTCTTGAAAATTAAGTGGTCAATTGGAGTTTGTCCGGCTTTCCCACCTAGAGAGAGTCTCATTTACATGAGAAGCAGGTCTAGGTGATTAAAGAGACAAGCAGAACAATATTCAAAGTAACAAGTTAAAGTAAAAACAAGGGTAGGCATTTCAGGATAATACCTAGGCATTTTGCGAAGTTTAACCACGCGGGTACCTCCGTCCTTGTCACCGCCAACTGGTTGTGTAACGGTCGCAAGAACCTTCTCCTTCTTTTTCTTTTCAACGTTGGATTTAGTGGCTGAGTACTTCCTCTTGTACACGGCCTTCCCGGAATACACGGGAGATATAGGGATTGCCTGCCAATTCCTCTGACAAGGACACGGTTGTGGCTGCAATGGGGCTTCCTCTTCTTGGGCCTTTTAGCCTTGAGGTGACGGTTTTTCACCTCGCCACCAGCATCAGCCTTCTTGGCTTCAGGTTTCTTCTCTTTAGTATCTGCCTTCTCAACTTTTTCACCTGCCATCGTGCAAGATGGGAAAGAGAGTTTCCAGGGATATTCTTAAGGAAGGAGACCAGTACTCCTCCTGCTGCCATCGTCCCCTCACCTTGCCTAGTTCACAAGACAGGAGGAGAGAAAAAGCAAGAAGTTGGAAAAAAAAACAAAAAAAAAACCCACAAAAGTAATGTAGCAGGACGAGCCTCAGACAAAACCTCTCAGACACCAAGCTGTAGAAGGAAGGGCTTTATTCAGCTGGGAGCATCGGGAAGCTACTGCCTTAAAATCCCAGCTCTCCAAATGCACAATTTCTGTCCCTTTTAAGGGCTCACAACACTAAAGATTTTACATGAAAGGGTCGTGATTGATTTGAGCGGGCAAGGGGTACGTGACAGGGGCTGCGTGCACCTGTGGTCAGAGAGAAACAGAACGGGGCAGGGAGTTTCGCAGTGTTCTTCTATACGACGTCTGGAATCTATGAATAACATCGGTTTCTAAGTTATGAGTTGAGTTTTAACTACTGGGTTTAGGGCCGGCAGCCCCAGGCCTGGTTTCGGGCCTGGCGCCGGGCTGCCTGTCTTTGATCTCACTTCCTTGCTGTTTTCTTAAAACAGGTAATGAGTATAAAACAACATAAAACAATATGAGAGGGTCTCTCTCTTCCCTCAGTGAAGGGGTGGCCTGCCCCTCCACACCTGTGGGTATTTCCAGTCGGGTGGGACGAGAGACTGAGAAAGAGAAATAAAACACAGAGACAAAGTATAGAGAAACAACAGTGGGCCCAGGGGACCAGCGCTCAGCATACCAAGGACCTGCACCGGCACCGGCCTCTGAGTTCCCTCACTTTTTATTGATTATTATTTTCATTATTTCAGCAAAAAGGAATGTAGTAGGAGAGCTGGGTGATAATAAGGAGAAGGTCAGCAACAAACATGTGAGCAAAAGAATCTATGTCGTAATTAGGTTCAAGGGAAGGTACTATGACTGGACGTGCACATAGGCCAGATTTATGTTTCTCTCCACCCAAATATCTCAGTGGAGTAAAGAATAACAAAGCAGCATTACTGCAAACATGTCTCACCTCCCACCATAGGGTGGTTTTTCTCCGATCTCAGAATTGAACAAATGTACAATCGGGTTTTATACCGAGACGTTCAGTTCCCAGGGGCAGGCAGGAGACAGTGGCTTTCCTCTATCTCAACTGCAAGAGGCTTTCCTCTTTTACCAATCCACCTCAGCACAGACCCTTTACGGGTGTCGGGCTGGGGGACGGTCGGGTCTTTCTCATCCCACGAGGCCATATTTCAGACTATCACATGGGGAGAAACAATACCCCGCTTGGACAATTGGACAATACCCGGCTTTCAAGGGCAGAGGTCCCTGCGGCTTTCCGCAGTGCATCGTGCCTCTGGTTTATTGAGACTAGAGAATGGCGATGAGTTTTACCAAGTATACCGCTCGTGAACATTTTGTTAACAAGGCACGTCCTGCACAGCCCTTGATTTCATAACCTCGATTTCATAAACCTTGATTTCCTACAACACATGTTTTTGTGAGCTCCAGGTTGGGTCAAAGTGGCTGGGGCAAACCTACACATTAACAACATCTCAGCAAAGCAATAGTTGAAAGTACAGGTCTTTTTCTAAATGGACTCTCTTATGTCTCTCCTTTCTCCATAGACACGGTCACAGTCTGATTTGTCTTTCTTTTCCCTACACCTCAGTAAGATAAGTAGCCAGACACCCTTGGCACCACCGCCCAGCCCTAGGAGTTAAAAAAAGTAAAAATAATAACATCAACCCCTGACCTAAACTACTTGTGTTATCTGTAAATTCCAGACACTGTATGAAAAAAACATTGTAGAACTTTTTGTGCTGTTGGCTGACGCGTGCAGCCCCCAGTCACATTCCCCACGCTTGCTCCATATATCACGACTCTTTCACGTGGACCCCTTAAAGCTGTAAGCCTTTGAAAAGGCCAAGAATTTCTTTCTCGGGGAGCTCGGCTCTTAAGACGTGAGTCTGCCGACGCTCCCGGCCGAATGAAAACCTGTTCCTTCTTTAATCTGGTGTCTGAGGAGTTTTGTCTGTACAGGCTCATCCTGCTACATTCTTAGCATGCTGGGCACACAGCAGGGGAGAGGAAAACTCTAGACCTGGGTTGGCTTCTGAACAAGCACATCTGTCTTGAGGCACGTGGGACCCTGTACTGTAAAATAATGCCAAGGCCGGGCGCGGTGGCTCACACCTGTCATCCCAGCACTTTGAGAGGAAGGGGCAGGTGGATCACCTGAGGCTGGGAGTTTGAGACCAGCCTGACCAACATAGAGAAACCCTGTCTCTACTAAAAATACAAAATTAGCCAGACGTGGTGGTGAGCGCCTGTAATCCCAGCTACTCGGGAGGCTGAGGCAGGAGAATTGCTTGAATCCGGGAGGCGGAGGTTGCAGTGAGCCCAGATTGCGCCATTGCACTCCAGCCTGGGCAACAAGAGCGAAACTCCGTCAAAAAAAAAAAAAAGAAAAAAAAGATTTCCCAAAGGAAGGAAGACAGTTCAGCAAATATTAAATAATAAAAGGATCAAATAAAAATGTTAAACAACCAGGGGGAGGGGGGAAGGATAGCATTAGGAGATATACCTAATGCTAAAGGACGAGTTAATAGGTGCAGCACACCAGCATGGCACATGTATACATATGTAACAAACCTGCACGTTGTGCACATGTACCCTAAAACTTAAAGTATAATAATAAAATTAAAAAAAATAAAAGCTGCACATACACTGAAAAAAAAAAAAGTTAAACAACCAAAATTAGAGCAGAAGCACCTAGCGAATTCTTTTATGCTGCCGTTCACCAGGAAAGCAAGAAATGCATTTGAAAGACAATTTCCACGAAAGCAAGAAATGCATTTGAAAGACAATTATCACGGAAGCAAGAAATGAATTTGAAAGATAATTTCCAAGAAAGCAAGAAATGCATTTGAAAGACAATTATCACGGAAGCAAGAAATGAATTTGAAAGATAATTTCCAAGAAAGCAAGAAATGCATTTGAAAGACAATTATCACGGAAGCAAGAAATAAATTTGAAAGCCAATTTCCACGGAAGCAAGAAATGCATTTGACAGACAATTATCACAGAAGCAAGAAATGCATCTGAAAGACAATTATCACGGAAGCAGGACATGAATTTGATAGACAATTTCCGCGGAAGCAAGAAATGCATTGGAAACACGATTTCCCTTCCCCCTTCCTCCTCCCTTCCCCCTCCCCCACTTCTCCTCCTCCCTTTCTCCTCCCCCTCCTCCTCCCTCCTCCTCCTCCCTCCTCCTTTTCTTCTCCACTTCTCTTCTCCTGCCCCTCCTCCTCCTACCTTCCTCGTCTCCCATCCTCTTCTCCCCCTCCACCTCCTCCTCCCTCCCCCTCCCTGTCCTCCTGCTCTTCTCCTCCTCTTCCCTTCCCCTCCTCCTCCTCCCTCGTCCTCACTTCCTCTTCCCTTCTCTCCCTCCTCCCACCTTCCTCTCCTCCTATCCTCTTCTCCTGATCCCCCTCCTCCTCCCTCCACCTCCTCCTTCTCTTTTTCTCCTCCTCTTCCCTTCCCCTCCTCCTCCATCTCTCCTTCCTCCTTCTCCCCTCCTCCTCTTCCTCTTTCTCCTCTTTGTTTTTCCCTCCCCCTACTCTTCCTCTCCCTCCTCCCCTCCCCATTCCCTTCTCTTTCTAGTACCATTCCCATTTACATTTTACAAACAGTTCCTCCAGTTCCACAGAAAAAACTATTGAAATGTTGATTTGAATTACATGAGACCTACAAGTGAATCTGAAGACTCCATCAGCCGCCTTAAAATATTGAGTCTCTTAATCGTTATGCACGTGTATTGCACTTTCTCTCCCTTTATACGATTTATTGTAAAGTTTGTTTTTAAGTTTCTATTGAGGCCGGGCGTGGTGGCTCACGCCTGTAATCCCAGCACTTTGGGAGGCCGAGGTGGGTGGATCACCTGAGGTCAGGAGTTCGAGACCAGCCTGGCCAACATGGCGAAACCCCATCTCTACTAAAAATACAAAAAGTAGCCGGGCGTGGTGGTGGGTGCCTGTAATCCCAGCGCTACTCGGGAGGCTGAGGCAGCAGAATCGCTTGAACCCAGGAAGGAGGTGGAGATTGCAGTGGACTGAATCATGCCGCTGCACTCCAGCCTGGGTGACAGAGCGAGACTCTGTCTCAAAAGGAAAGAAAGAAAGAAAGAGAGAGAGAGATGGAGGGAGGGAAAGAAAGAAAAGAAAGAAAGGAAAGAGAGGAAGGAAGAAAGGAAGGAAGGAAGGAAAAGAGAGAAAAAGAAGGAAGGAAGGAAAGAGAGAGACTGAGGGAGGGAAAGAGGAAAGAAAGAAAGGAAAGAAAGAAAGGAAGGAAGGAAAGGAAAGAGAGAAAAGAAAGAAAGGAAAGAAAGGAAAGAAAGAAAGGAAGGAAGAAAGGGAAAGAGAGAAAAGAAAGAAAAAAGAGAGAGATGGAGGGAGGGAGGGAAAGAGAAAAGAAAGAAAGGAAAGAAAGGAAGGAAGGAAGGGAAAGAGAAAAGAAAGAAAAGAAAGAAAGGAAGAAAGAAACAAAGAAAAGAAAAAGGAAGAAAGAAAGAAGAAAGAAAGAGAGAAGGAGGGAGGGAGGGAAAGAGAGAAAATGAAAAGAAAGGAAGGAAGAAGAGAGAAAAAAAGAAAAAGAAAGAAAGAAAAGAAAGAAAGAAAGAAAAAGAAAGAAAAGAAAGGTATTGGTTCGGTCCACAAAGGTGAGACAATTCAAACTGGGGCCTTCCAGGCTATCCGTGAATTGAAACATTGGTTGACAACTGGTTGAGTTTGTTTAAGACCTGGGATCCATAGAAAGGAAATGTTTGGGTTAAGATAAGAGATTGTGGAGACCAAGGTTCTTTTGAGGTCTCATAGTGGCTGCCCTTAGAGACAGCAGAAGACAAATGTTTCCTGTTCAGACCTTGACAAGCTTACTAGACTCCTAGATAATCTCTTTAGGATTGGGAGGGCCTGGAAGAAAAAGATCTAGCTATGTGAATACAGATTCTCTGCAGATGTGAATTTCCCCCCACAAAGAACGGCCTTCCAGGGCCATTTCGAGATATGGCAATGAAATATATTTTGGGGATAAGTATTTTGATTTTTTTTCTTGTCTCATAATGTGATGCTGGAGTCAGGTTGGAAAGTAAGTCATGGTATATAAGGTTAAATAAAACCCATCGGATGAGAATGGATGGTTTGTAGGGCACAACTCCCCAGACCCCTTAGATAGGAATGTGGGCAAGATTTAAAAATGTGTATACATTAACTATATATATTTAATATATATAAAATATATAATATGTACTTTATATATAATATATATATTATATATATAATATATATAATATATAATATAAATATATATAATATAAAATATATATAAATATATTATAAGTATATATTATATATAATATGTATTATAATTAATATATATTAATTATATAATATATAAATATCTTAATATATATTAATTATAATATATTAATAATACTATATAATATAATATATTATATATATTTTTATTTAATATATAATATATAATATATAATGTTATATATAATAGATAATAGATAATAGATAATGTATATAATATATACATTATATATAATGTATATATTTATTTATTTATATATATCAAGAGCCAGGCCTGTAATCCCAGCACTTTGGGAGGCTGAGGCAGGCGGATCATCTGAGGTCAGGAGTTCGAGACCATCCTGGCCAACATGGAGAAACCCCATCTCTACTAAAAATACAAAAATTAGCTTGGTGTGATGGCGCACACTTGTAATTCCAGCTGCTCGGGAGGCTGAGGCAGGAGAAACGCTTGAACCCGGGAGGCGGAGCTTGCAGTGAGTTCAGGTGGCACCATTGCACTCCAGCTTGGGCAACAAGAATAAAACTCTGTTTCAAAAAAAGAAAAACAAACAAACAAACAAAAAAATACTCCGGGCACGGTGGCTGATGCCTGTAATCTCAGCACTTTGGGAGGCCGAGGAGGGTGGATCACCTGAGGTCAGGAGTTCGAGACCAGCCTGACCAATACGGTGAAACCCCGTCTCTACTAATAATACAAAAATTAGTCACGCGTCGTGGCGGGCGCCTGTCATCCCAGCTACTTGGGAGGCTGAGGCAGGAGAATCGCTTGAACCCGGGAGGCGGAGGTTGCAGTGAGCCCAGATCGCGCCATTGCACTCCAGCCTGGGTGACAAGAGCAAACGCCCGTCTCAAAAAAAAAAAAACAAAAAAAAAAACCAGAGCTTCATTCTCAGAACATTTATATACATAGTTTTATCAGTTTTTATTTCTCACGAAGTTTTGCCCAGCAGCGCAATTGTGGATCCTATTTTATTTTAAAGAAGGCTTTGTTGTCAGAGAACAAACACCTCTCTGACTCTGGCAAGCTGCAAGAGTGGGAAGTCCCAGGTAACGGGATTATCCATAATTCTGCAAGCAGCCTTCATGAGCCAGGCTCCAACGCTTTGCACAAAACCACCGCTTAAATCTCGCTGGCCCCAAGCGACGTTCAGCTACAAGAGCAAAACCAGACAGCAGGAAGCCCTGTCTTCCGAAGAAAGGGGGTTGGGGGAAGCAAAAATGCCTCATATTTCACAGCGTATGAAAGAAAAAAATTACAACGTGTGGACTGCTCACTGACAGATAAAATAGGGTTCCCATTGTTAAAGAAAAACAGCACTTCCTCTGAGAAGGCCTGCCAGACATTTAGGAATTACTAAATTCGGAGTGTGTGGCGTTTCTTAAAGACACGTGTATGAGATGTAGGAATCATCCTAAATTAATTAATAAATTTAAGTAATTTATTAAACACTTCATGCACTTTATTAATTAAATCAATTAATAAAATTAATTTAATTAATAAAACAATTAAATCAGTTAAGAAAGTAATTTGATTAATAAATTCTTTTATTATATAATTAATTATAAGTAATTAATAAATAATTAAATTTATAAATAATTAAATTTATCAATTATTTATTTATTAATACTTGTCAATAATTAAATTTATCAACTAACTTATTAATATACAATTAATTAATTAATTAATATTTATTTAATTAATATTTATAATTATTAATAGCTATAAATGTTTATATAATTAATTTTATATAAAATTATATATAAATTTAATATAAAATTAATTATATATAAAATATATAATATTTATATTTGTATAATTAATATTTATATTTATTTGTTTATTAAATTAATATTTAATTATTTAATTATTTAAATATTTATATTTATTTATAATTAATTTAATATAAATAAATAAATAAATTAATTAATTAATTTAATTACTTCATTAATTAAATTAATCAATAAATTTAATTACTTCATTAATTAAATTAATTAATTTAATTTAATTACTTCATTAATTAAATTAATTAATTTAATTATCCTTATTATAAATTTAATCATCTCAATTAAATTTAAATTAAATTAAATCCTAATTAAATTAATTGGGATAATAAACCACCTAAATGCATTTGTCTGGAACTGGCATCTCCCGCCCGGGGTGGAAGTCCCTTGAACTGCAAAAAGCAAAAGGCGTTCTCAGATTCTCAGAGCCTGGGCAACATTTGTGCGAGACATTTGTGCCGTCACCTGCCTGCTCCGAGAGGGCTGACCAGGAGCAAGGGGCCGGGTCCGGCTGTAAATCACTGGCCCGTCTGGTTGTCAAACAAAAGCAACCCCTTCTTTTAGAATTTCCTGTTTTCAGACTTTCTGTGAGCATTTGCAACAGGCTGGCGGGTGCAGGCAACCAGGCGTTAGGATGCTGTGGCTGTTGCAGAATTTAACTCTGCGTCCTAAGAATGAATGGCGTTCGTTCTGAGTTTCTGCCAGTTCTGCAAAAACAGCCATTCAGAGATGAAGAAAACCGGGGGCAGATACTTGAACGATAGTTTTTTTTTTAAATTGCATTATTTTTATTTGTATTTTTTATTTTTACTATTTTTTATTTTATTTTTTATTTGTATTTTTTTCATTGTATTTTAAAAATTGTATTATTATTATTATACTTTAAGTTCTAGGGTACATGTGCACAACGTGCAGGTTAGTTACATATGTATCCATGTGCCATGCTGGTGTGCTGCACCCATGAACCATCATTTAACATTAGGTATATCTCCCAATGCTATCCCTCCCCTCTCTCCCCACCCCACAACAGGCCCCGGTGTGTGATGTTCCCCACCCTGTGTCCATGTGTTCTCATTGTTGAACGATAGTTTTAAAGTGAGGTGAGTCAATAGAACTAGGAATACGGCTCAAGGACCCTGAATTTGAATGATAGTTATTTTATTTTATTTTTGAGATGGAGTCTCGCTCTGTCGCCCAGGCTGGAGTGCAGTGGCGCGATCTCAGCTCGCTGCAACCTCAGCCTCCCGAGTACCTGACATTCCGGGCGACTGCCACCAAACCCGGCTAAGTTTTGTATTTTTAGGAGAGATGGGGTTTCCCCATGTTGGCCAGGCTGGTCTCGAACTCCCAACCTCAGGTGATCCAACCGCCTCAGCCTCTCAAAGTGCTGGGATTACAGGCGTGAGCCACTGCACCTGGCCTCTTTTCTCTGTTCTGTTCTGTTCTGTTCTGTTCTGTTCTGTTCTGTTCTGTTCTGTTCTCCTCTCCTCTCCTCTCATCCTCTCCACTCCTCTTCTCCTCTCTCGCTTCCCTCCCTCCCTCCCTTCTCTCTTTCTTTATCTCCTTCCTTCCTTTCTCTCTCTCTCTCTTTCTTTCCTTTCTTCTTTCCCTCTCTCCCTCCCTTCCTCCCTCTCTTCCTTCCTTCTCTCTATCTCCTTCCTTCCTTTCTCTCTCTCTTTCCTTTCTTCTTTCCCTCCCTCCGTCCCTCCGTCCCTCCCTCCCTCCCTCCCTCCCTTCCCTCCTTCCTTCCTTCTTTCCTTCCTTCTTCTTTCTTTCCTTCTTTCTTCCTTTCTTTTTCTTGTCTTACTCTGTTGCCCAGGCTGGAGTGCAGGGGCACCATCTGGGCTCACTGCAAACTCCGCCTCGTGGGTTCGAAACGTTCTTTTGCGTCAGCCTTCAAAGTAGCTGGGACTACAGGTGCACGCCACCACATCTGAATAATGTTTTCATTTTTTGTAGACACAGGATCTTGCTGTGTTGACGAGGCTGGTCTCAAGCTCCTGGGCTCAAGGGATCCTCCCTCCTCTGGCCTCCCAAGGTGGTGGGATTAGAGGCGTGAGTCATGGCGCCCGGCCCTACTATGAATTTCTACAGTTACATACTTATGTCCCAAAAAGGAAACACTGGGAAATATCCTTTGCATCGTGGCTGGGTCTGCAGTGATGGTACCTGTGTGTCAATGGGGTCAGTTTTTATTTATTTTATTTGATCTTTTATTTTATTTTTATTTATTTATTTATTTCGAGACGGAGTCTCCCTGTGTCTCCCAGGCTGGAGTGCAATGGCACAATCTCAGCTCACTGCAACCTCCGCCTCCTGGGTTCAAGTGATTCTCCTGCCTCAGCCTCCCGAGCAGCTGGAATTACAGGCACCTGCCACCACGTCCGGCTAATGTTTGTATTTTTAGTAGAGATGGAGTTTCACCATGTTGGTCAGGCTGGTCTCGAACTCCTGACCTTGTGATCCACCCACCTCGGCCTCCCGAAATGCTGGCATTACAGGTGTAAGCCACCACGCCCAGCCCTTCCTTCCTTCCTTCCTTTTCTTTTCCTTCCTTCTTTCTTTCTTTCTTTTCTTTCTTTCTTTCTTTTTTCTTTCTTTCTCTTTTCTTTCTTTCTCTTTCTTTTTCTCTCTTTCTTTTTCTTCCTTTCTCTCTTTCTCTCTTTTTTCTTTCTCTCTTTCATTCTCTTTCTTTCTTTAATTCTTTGTTTCTTTCTTTCTCTCTCTCTCTCTCCTTCCTTTCTCTCTCTCTTTCTCTCTTCCTCTCCTCCTTTCCTCTTTCCTTCTTTCTTTTCTTTCTTCCTTTCTTTTTCTTGTCTTGCTATGTGGCCCAGGCTGGAGTGCAGTGGTGTGATCTCAGCTCACTGCAGCCTCAACCTCCTGGGCTGAAGTAATACCCCCCGCCTCAGCCTCCAGAGTAGCTGGGACTGCAGATGGGCACCACCCCAGCCACCTAATTTTACATTTCTTTTTCGGAGGTGAGGCCTTGCTATGTTTCCCAGGCTGGTCTCAAACTTCTGGCCTCGAGCAATACCCCCATCACAGCCTCCCAAAGCGCTGAGATTACAGGAGGGAGCCACCGTGCCTGGCATTGACCTGAAATCTCGGAACACCTGTTGGTGATGGGCACAGACAGGCCCTGCTCTACCTTTCGAGGTAGAGTCTTGTCCTGACCCCCTTTTTAGAAAGAGGGGCCGGTAAGAGATCAGTTGGTATTCACAGCAGCTGCCTGAAATCTTCCCACTCCCCACATTCACTCTACACCCCCATGACCGCACAATGCATCCTCCATGCAGATGACTTAGCATGCTACATTCCACACGCACGTGCACCAGCTGTGGGCATAATGCAATTTATTAAGGATGGGTTTTTTTTTGACATATGTGCAAAAGGCAGTATGGGTGCCCAAATATCAATGAGGCCTGTCTATATTATTTTTTAAATTATATATATGTGTATATATGTATATATGTGTATCTATGTGTATATGTGTATATGTGTATATATGTATATATGTGTGTATATATGTATATATGTGTATATGTGTATATATGTGTATATGTATATATGTATATATGTGTATGTATGTGTATATATGTATATGTATATGTGTATATATGTATATATGTGTATATATCTGTATATGTGTATCTATGTGTATATGTGTATATATGTATATATGTGTGTATATATGTGTATATATGTATATATGTGTACATGTGTATATATGTGTATATGTATATATGTATATATGTGTATGTATGTGTATATATGTATATGTATATGTATATGTGTATATATGTGTATATATGTATATGTATATATGTATATATGTGTATATATGGTATATGTATATACACACACACACACACGTGTATATATATATATGTATATATATATTTGTTTTTTAGATAGAATTTCACTTTCGTTACCCAGGCTAGAATGCAATGGTGCAATCTCCGCTCACTGCAACCTCTACCTCCCAGGTTCAAGCAATTCTCCTGCCTCAGCCTCCCAAGTAGCTGGGATTACAGGCACCTGCCACCACGCCCAGCTGATTTTTGTATTTTTAGTTGAGATGGGGTTTCACCACATTGGCCAGGCTGGTCTTGAACTCCTGACCTCGTGATCCACCTGCCTCAACCTCCCAAAGCGCTGGGATTACAGGTGTGAGCCATTGCACCTGGCCCTATTTTATTTTATTTTATTTTATTGACTACATTATCATAAGAGAATTGGGTCCAGTTTTGACACCTACTGATGTGGTTTGGCTGTGTCCTCACCCAAATCTCATCTTGGACCCTAGCTCCCATAATCCCTCTGTATCGTGGGAGGGACCTAGTGGGAGAGAATTGAATCGTGGAGGCAGTTTCCCCCGTACTGTTCTCAGGGTCGTGAATACGTCTCACAAGGTCTGATGCTTTATCAGCGGTTTCCCTTTTCCCTCGGTTCTCTCTCTTTCTGTCTCTTGTTCTCTCTCTGTCTGTCTCTCTGTCTGTGTGTTTCTCTCTCTCTGTCTCTGTCTCTCTCTGTCTCTCTCTCTCTGTTTCTCTCTGTCTCTGTCTCTCTGTCTCTCTCTCTCTGTCTCTGTCTCTCCCTGTCTCTGTCTCTCTCTCCCTGTCTCTCTGTCTCTCTCTTTCTCTCTGTCTCTGTCTCTCCCTGTGTCTCTCTGTCTGTCTGTCTCTCTGTCTGTCTCTCTGTCTCTTTCTCTCTGTCTCTTTCTCTCTGTCTGTCTCTCTCTGTCTCTCTCTCCCTGTCTCTCTGTCTCTCTCTTTCTCTCTTTCTGTCTCTGTCACTCTCTTTCTGTCTCTATCTCTTTCTCTCTGTCTCTGTCTCTCTCTTTCTGTGTCTCTCTCTCTGTCTCTCTCTCTTTCTGTCTCTGTCTCTCTCTGTCTCTCTGTCTGTCTCTCTGTGTCTCTCTGTCTCTGTCTCTCTGTCTCTCTTTGTCTCTCTGTCTGTCTCTCTGTGTCTCTCTGTCTCTGTCTCTCTGTCTCTCTTTGTCTCTCTGTCTGTCTCTCTGTTTCTCTCTGTCTCTGTCTCTCTCTGTCTCTGTCTCTCTGTCTCTGTCTCTCCCTGTCTCTCTGTCTCTCTCTCTCTGTCTCTGTCTCTCCCTGTGTCTCTCTGTCTGTCTCTCTTTGTCTGTCTCTCTGTCTCTTTCTCTCTGTCTCTTTCTCTCTGTCTGTCTCTCTCTGTCTCTCTCTCCCTGTCTCTCTGTCTCTCTCTTTCTCTCTTTCTGTCTCTGTCACTCTCTTTCTGTCTCTATCTCTTTCTCTCTGTCTCTCTCTTTCTCTCTGTGTCTCTCTCTCTTTCTCTCTGTCTCTCTCTCTGTCTTTCTGTCTCTGTCTCTGTCTCTCTGTCTCTCTGTGTCTCTCTGTCTCTCTTTGTCTCTCTGTCTGTCTCTCTGTGTCTCTCTGTCTCTGTCTCTCTCTGTGTCTCTGTCTCTCTTTCTCTCTCTCTCTGTCTCTCTCCCTCTGTCTGTCTCTCTCTTTCTGTCTCTCTCTGTCTCTTTCTCTCTGTCTCTCTCTCTCTCTGTCTCTCTGTCCCTGTCTCTCTCTCTCTGTTTCTGTCTCTCTCTGCCTCTTTCTCTCTGTCTCTGTCTCTTTCTCTCTCTGTCTCTCTGTCCCTGTCTCTCTTTCTCTCTCTCTTTCTGTCTCTCTTTCTGTGTGTCTCTCTCTGTCTCTGTGTCTCTCTGTGTCTCTGTCTCTCTCTCTCTGTCTCTCTGTCTCTCTTTCTCTCTGTGTCTCTCTCCCTCTGTCTGTCTCTCTCTCTCTTTCTGTCTCTCTCTGTCTCTGTCTCTCTGTCTCTGTCTCTCTCTTTCTCTCTGTTTCTGTCTCTGTCTCTCTCTCTCTCTTTTCTTGTCTGCTGCCATAGAAGATGTGACTTTTGTCGTCCCCTATGTGGAACTGTCAGTCCATTAAACCCCTTCCTGGCTGGGCGCGGTGGCTCACGCCTGTCATCCCAGCACTTTGGGAGGCCGAGGCAGGTGGATCACCTGAGGTCAGGAGTTCGAGACCAGCCTGATCAACGTGGTAAAACCCCGTCTCTACTAAAAATACAAAAATTAGCCGGGCGTGGTGGTGGGTACCTGTAGTCCCAGCTACTCAGGAGGCTGAGGCAGGAGGATCGCTTTAACCCGGGAGGCGGAGGTTGCGGTGAGCCGAGATTGCGCCACTGCACTCCAGGCTTGGCGACAGAGTGAGACTCTGCCTTAAAAAAAATAATAAAAATAAAAACAATAAAAAAATCCTCTTTTCTTTATAAATTACCTGGTGTTGGTATGATTTTATCAGCAGCCTGAAAAGGGACTAATACTAGACCGCCCTCCTTTACTCATTCACTACCCACCACACTCAACTCTGTTACCTCCCTGATTAGCCAGCAGCCTCCCTGACATCCGAATGGACAGAGACTGGTCTGCTACTCTGAGAAAGGTGGGGTCAATGTTACATTGTTAACTGCAGAGACAGCGTCCTCGTCTGCACAGCCTTTGACCCTGAAGACCGCAAAGCCTGTTTCCACTTGTCTTGTTAGGGTTGTTACGGGATCTGGTGCAACCTGGGCTCACCGCAACCTCTACCTCCCGGGTTCAACCGATTCTCCTGCCTCAGCCTCCGGAGTAGCTGGGATTACAGGCACCCACCACCACACCCGGCTAATGTTTGTATTTTTAGTAGGGATGGGGTTTCACCACGTTGGCCAGGCTGGTCTCGAACTCCCGACCTCAGATGATCCACCCGCCTCAACCTCCCAAAGTGCTGGGATGACAGGCGTGAGCCGCCGTGCCCGGCCTTTATTTTATTTATTTTTTTTCTTAGACAGAGTTTCACTCTTGTTGCCCAGGCTGGAGTGCAGTGGTGCGATCTCCACTCACTGTAACCTCTACCTCTCGGGTTCAAGCAATTCTCCTGCCTCAGCCTTCCGAGTAGCTGCGATTACAGGCAGCTGCCACCACACCCAGCTAATTTTTGTATTTTTAGTAGAGTCAGGGTTTCACCGTATTGGCCAGGCTGGTCTCAAACTCCTGACCTCAGGTGATCTGCCTGCCTCGGCCTCCCAAAGTGCTCAGGCATGAGCCACCTCACCTGGCCCTGTTTTTTTGTTTTGTTTTGTTTTGTTTTGTTTTGTTTTTGAGACAGAGTGGCACTCTTGTTGCCCAGGCTGGAGTGCAGCGGTGCGATCTGTGCTCACAGCAACGTCTACCTCCTGGATTCAAGCAATTCTCCTGCCTCAGCCTCCTGAGTAGCTGGGATTGCAGGCAGCTGCCACCACGCCAGGCTAATTTTTTTTTGTATTTTTAGTAGAGACGGGGTTTCATCATGTTGGCCAGGCTGGTCTCGATCTCTTGACGTCATGATCTACCCACCTCGGCCTCCCAAAGTGCTGCGATTACAGGCGTGAGCCACCGCGCCCGGCTAATTTTTGTATTTTTAGTAGAGATGGGGTTTCACCATGTTGGTCAGGCTGGTCTCGAACTCGTGACCTCATGATCCACCCACCTCGGCC
The DNA here is from genome assembly GCF_000001405.40 of Homo sapiens. NCBI lineage: Eukaryota > Metazoa > Chordata > Mammalia > Primates > Hominidae > Homo > Homo sapiens. The sequence goes on along the minus strand of NC_000024.10, from coordinate 1,157,889 downwards.
CCCCAAAGTGCTGGGATGACAGGCGTGAGCCACCGCACCTGGCCACCAGGGAGTCTATGCTTGTCTGTAAAACTGGTCTGCGACCTCTCAGAAAAGCCTTCAGTTTTACTGGTAACTTGTTTTGTTTCACAAACCGGGTAGACGGTGAAGGCGTTGCTCCTCAAATCGCCACTTGGTGGCAGCCAATACCTACAACTTCCAGTGTTGCTTTTGATTTTTCTCTCTTTTTGAGATGGAGTTTTGCTCTTGTCACCCAGGCTGGAGTGCAGTGGTGCGATCTCAGCTGACTGCAACCTCCGCCTCCCGGGTTCGAGTGATTCTCCTGCCTCAGTCTCCCGAGTAGTTGGGATTACAGGCGCACGCCACCACGCCTGACTAATTTTTGTATTTTTAGTAGAGACAGGGTTTCACCATGTTGGTCAGGATGGTGTCAAACTCCTGACCTCAGGTGATCCGCCTGCCTCAGCCTCCCAAAGTGCTGGGATGACAGGCGTGATCCACCACGCCTGGCTAATGTTTGTATTTTTAGTAGAGACCGGGTTTCACCATGTTGACCAGGCTGGTCTCGAACTCCTGACCTCAGGTGATCCACCCACCTGGGCCTCCCAAAGTGCTGGGATGACAGGCATGAGCCATCGCACCAGGCCGAGCGTTGCCTTTTGGTAATACAAGTGTGAAAACTCAGAACCGCAGAGCTTCTCTAGCTGCCCTGACAGGAACACACCTCCATGGCCCCAGTCTCAATGGTGTAGGGACTGTTGGAAGAGCTTAGTGATAAGGAAATGATTCCAAATGAAGTTCCATCTTCTTAAAACTGCAATTCCGATTCTGATGTGACTTTTTTTTTTTTTTTTTTTGAGATGGAGTCTTGCTCTGTCACCCAGGCTGGAGTGCAGTGGTGTGATCTCGGCTCACTGCAACCTCCGACTCCCGCGTTCGAGCGATTCTCCTGCCTCAGCCTCCCAAGTAGCTGGCATGACAGGTGCCCGCCACCACACCCGGCTAATTTTTTTAAAAATTATTATTATCTTTCAGACGGAGTCTCACTCTGTAGCCAGGCTGGAGTGCAGTGGCGCCATCCTGGCTCGCTGCAACCTCCGCCTCCTGGGCTCAAGTGATTCTCCTACCTCAGCCTCCTGAGTAGCTGGGATTACTGGCGCCCACGACCACAGCTGGCTGACTTTTGTATTTTTAGTAGAGACCAGGTTTCACCATGTTGGCCAGGCTGGTCTCGAACTGCTGACCTCAGGTGATCCGCCTGCCTCGGCCTCTCAAAGTGCTGGGATGACAGGCGTGAACCACCGCGCCCGGCCCAATTAAGAGAGGTTTAATTTTGTACGTGGGTCCTATCGGCCACAGGCATGGATGCTGCATAGTTGTTTGGTTTCGGAGATTGAAATGGGCATCCTTTTACTGGGGCAAGAGGAGTGTTTCGGAGGTAAGAACCTTCACTGAGGGTTTGTCCTGCACACTGTCTGACCCTTAGGACTTTTTTTCAGGCCGGTTGCGGTGGCTCATGCCTGTCATCCCAGCACTTTGGGAGGCCGAGGCGGGAGGATCACGAGGTGAGGAGATCGAGACCAGCCTGGCCAACATGGTGAAACCCCGTCTCTACTAAAAATACAAAAAAAAAATGGGCTGGACGTGGAGGCTCACATCTGTCATCCCAGCACTTTGGGAGGCCGAGGCGGGAGGATCACGAGGTGAGGAGATGGAGACCAGCCTGGCCAACATGGTGAAACCCCGTCTCTACTAAAGATACAAAAAAAAAATGGGCTGGACGTGGAGGCTCACATCTGTCATCCCAGCACTTTGGGAGGCCGAGGCGGGAGGATCACGAGGTCAGGAGATCGAGACCAGCCTGGCCAACATGGTGAAACCCCGTCTCTACTAAAAATACAAAAAAAAAATGGGCTGGACGTGGAGGCTCACACCTGTCATCCCAGCACTTTGGGAGGCCGAGGCGGGCGGATCACGAGGTCAGGAGATCGAGACCAGCCTGGCCAACATGGTAAAACCCCATCTCTACTAAAAATACAAAAAATTAGCCAGGTGTGGTGGCGGGCGCCTGTCGTCCCAGCTACTCGGGAGGATGAGGCAGGAGAATCACTTGAACCCGGGAGATGGAGCTTGCAGTGAGCCAAGGTCGCATGACGGCACTCCAGCCTGGGCGACAGAGCGAGACTCCGTCTCAAAAAAAACAAAGTTTCTTTTAGTGCTGAGCAAAACCACAATTGAGAATTGATCACCATCATTATATCCACTCAACAGAAAACCAGGAGAGGCCAAATGCAATAAAAGGACAGAGGTCTTTACCTCTGCGTTTGCAGTTTAGGGCTTTGGATAATCCAAGCAAATAGCGCCTGTTCAGAATTTTCCAGGAGACGGAAACTTTGCAGTAGAATTAAGCCCCATAAAAATATTATTAAAAATCATGTGCAATGAAATGTCCCCTTTTCTTCAGACTTAAATAATTCAAAGTTTCCTTTTTTAAACAGACACACACACACACAGAGAACACAATCATATACAGGTTAACCAAATATTGCATAAAGTTTCTGCAATTCAGAGTCTGCTGTAATTTACCTAATACAGGTAAAACTCATTAATGCTCAAATTCTACAGGTGGGATTTATGGTTATATAATTTCTTAATGCCCTGACTCTTTCCAGTTAAAATGCTGAAGATTTGTTCCTAGTCTTCTTGGGGACCCTTGTCGATGGCTTTGGTAAAAGTCATGTGATTGCATTTTTTTTTTTTTTTTTTTTTCTGAGACAGAGTTTCGCTCCGTCACCCAGGCTGGAGTGCATTGCTGTGATCTCGGCTCACTGCAACCTCCGCCTCCCGGGGTCAAGAGATTCTCCTGCCTCAGTCTCTTGAGTAGCTGGGATTACAGGCACCTGCCCCCACGGCCACCTAATTTTTTGTATTTTTAGTAGAGACGGGGTTTGACTATATTGGCCAGGCTGGTCTCGATCTCCTGACCTCGTGATCCGCCCGCCTCGGCCTACCAAAGTGCTGGGATTGCAGGCGTGAGCCGCCACGCCCGGCCTGTGATTGTATTTTTAACATCTCGACATTTCTCAAAGCTTTTCTCTTCCAGCCCATTGGTTTCTGAAGGTTTCCTAAAAACATCAGCCGGGCGTGGTGGCCGATGCCTGTAATCCCACTTACTCAGGAGGCTGAGGCAAGAGAATCGCCTGAACCCAGGAGGCAGAGGTGGCAGTGAGCTGAGATCCCACTACTGCACTGCAGCCTGGGCGACGGAGTGAGACTCTGTTTCAGAAAAGAAAAGAAAAAAACAGAAGAAAAGAAAGGGGAGAGGAGGGGAGGAGAGGAGAGGAGAGCATCTAAGCAACTCAACTGGTGTGATGGGGAAGCAGGGAGGGGAGGGGAGGGGAGGAGAGGAGAGGAGAGAAGAGGGGAGGAGAGGAGAGGGGAGGAGAGGAGAGGAGGGGAGAGGAGAGCATCTAAGCAACTGAAGTGGTGTGATGGGGAAACAGCGAGGGGAGGAGAGGAGGTAGGGGAGGAGGGGAGGGGAGGGGAGAGGAGAGCAGAGCAGCCATGCGCCCACAGCAGGAAATCTAGGTGCAGTCTTGGGTCAGCACGACCCCAGAACCAAAGTTGTCACGATGTCTCTGTCCATATTAGGGATCCGTGAAAACTCAAAAACAGAATTAGCTACATTCCTCCAGGGTGGTTCCAGACATCAAAGCTTTCAACATGAGGAATTCCTGACTCGGAGACTCCAGCCTCATTCCATGTACGGCCAAATTCCCGCAGGAAAGAAGGTGGTTTATATTATTCTTAAGTAAGGTTTTATTACATCCTGAGGGCAACTGTGATTCAGAGCGGGCTTGCTTTGTAGCAAGGAATATTACAGTGAACGTTAGTGAACAATGAAAGAATCAGATGAACTTTTGCATATAAACTTCTTTTTAAAAATGATGGTCAAAAATACATCATGTAAACTTTACCGTCTTAACCACTTTGAAGTTTATAGTTTTGTGGCATTAATGACATTCACACTGGCCAGCCGCGGTGGCTCACGCCTGTCATCCCAGCACTTTGGGAGGCCGAGGCGGGCGGATCATGAGGTCAGGAGTTCAAGACCAGCCTGGCCAACATGGTGAAACCCCGTCTCTACTAAAATACAAAAATTAGCCGGGCGTGGTGGCGGGCGCCTGTAATCCCAGCTACTCAGGAGACTGAGGCAGGAGAATCGCTTGAACCCGGGAGGCGGAGGTTGCAGTGAGCTGAGATCACGCCATTGCACTCCAGCCTGGGCAACAGAGGGAGACTCTGTCTAAACAATAAAATAAAATAATGAAATAAAAATAAATAAATGAATTAAATACTCTACTTCTCAGTATACATTTATGGATTTATTATTATTATTATTATTATTATTTTAGATCAAGTTTCAGCGATTCTCCTGCCTCAGCCTCCCAAGTAGCTGGGATTACAGGCGCCCACCACCACGCCCGACTAATTTTTGTATTTTTAGTAGAGATGGGGTTTCGCCATGTTGGCCAGGCTGGTCTCGAACTCCCGACCTCAGGCGATCCGCCTGCCTCAGCCTCCCAAAGTGCTGGCATTACAGGCTACAGGCGTGAGCTCCTGCACCCAGTGTCATAGAATCTTAACTTTTTTTTTTTTTAAGTGGAGCGTTGTTCTGTAGCCAAGGCTGGAGTGCAGTGGTGCGATCTTGGCTCACTGCAACCTCCGCCTCCTGCGTCCCGGTTTAAGCAATTCTCCTGCCTCAGTCTCCTGAGTAGCTGGAATTACAGGCACACGCCACCACACCCAGCTAATTTTTGTATTTTTAGTAGAGACGGGGTTTCCCTGTGTTAGCCAGGCTGGTCTCGAACTCCTGACCTCAAGTGATCCACCCTCCTCGGCCCCCCAAAGTGCTGGGATGACAGGCGTGAGCCACCGCGCCCGGCTAATCTTGTATTTTTAGTAGAGATGGGGTTTCCCTATGTTGGCCAGGCTGGTCTCGAACTCCCGACCTCAAGTGATCCACCCTCCTCGGCCCCCCAAAGTGCTGGGATGACAGGCGTGAGCCACCGCGCCCGGCTAATCTTGTATTTTTAGTAGAGACGGGGTTTTCCTATGTTGGCCAGGCTGGTCTCGAACTCCCGACCTCAGGCGATCCACCCTCCTCGGCCTCCCAAAGTGCTGGGATGACAGGCGTGAGCCACTGTGCCCAGCCTGTTTAATTCATGTAAACCTTCATTTCTCATCCTAAATGTCTCTTGTAAAAAAAAATACACTCTCAGCCAGCTGGAGAGATTGAAGACACGCAGAGCAAAAAAAGCCAATGTGGCTTTGGAGGTCGAGGCACAGACTCCTGTGAATCGATTTTGGTCGTGCCTCGATTGGCCAGCTGTGATGGGGAAGCTGTGACCCTCATCATCTCGAGACAGAGGGGTTCCCAGAAGGCAGGCTCTCCTGCCCCAGACTCCAAGGCTGCAAGTTCTGAATCCGGGAAAAGTGGAGGCATTGCCAGGGTGAAATGCACCCTCTCCGTCAGCCCCAGTTGGCACGGCCTCCAGAGGCTGGAGAGAGACCACGGTCTCCCTCCCTCCCTCCTCCCAGCTCCCTCCTTCGTCCTTCCAGGCACAGTGGCCCTTTTAGGACTCACTTTCCCTCACCCCAGCTCCTGGGGGTCTGCGGAGGCCCTGACAAGCCCCAGCTATTGCTGCTGTGTGCACCGAGGCAGGACCAGCCAGGAAAGGTCTTTAGCGGCGACCTGGGCTCATAATTAATGACCTGACCACCAAGGTGAGAAGCCAGGGACGCGCTGGCTAAATAGTTGATTGTTTTGGGGAAAATAAATAAAAGAACTGTTCTGTGGTTACCTCCCCCTCTCCCCCTACTTTTTTTTTTTTTTTTTTAGAAGGAAGGTTGGAAGATGTTAGTGAAAGGGAAGCTTCTGTACCAACCCTGCTAGAAGGACCGTCTGTTAAGTGGGAAATTTGCCCCCCGGGCCTATGGACCCTGTGCAGGAGAAAACCATGATTTCCCAAATGGCATCTGGGTTGCAGACACGGGCTCAGCCCCACCGCAACTGGAAGGCCGGCCTCAATGTGCTCTTTTCCGGGTGCAAAATCCTGACTTCAGAAACGGAGAAAGAGGTGGGTCTTGGTCTCTCTCTCTCTCTCTCCTCTCTCTCTCTTTCTCTCTTTCCCTCTCTCCTCTCTCTCTTCTCTTTCTTTCTCTCTCCTGTGTCTCTCCTCTTTCTCTGTCCTCTCTCTCCCTCCTCTTTCCCTCTTTTCTCTCTCTCCTCTTTCCCTCTTTTCTCTCTCTCCTCTCTCTTTCTCTCTCCTCTTTCTGTGTCCTCTCTTTTTCTCTCTCCTCTCTCTTCTCTCTGTCCTCTCTCCTCTCTGTTTCTCTCTCCTCTCTCTCTCTCCTCTTTCTCTGTCCTCTCTCTCTCTCCTCTCTTTCTCTTTCTATCTTTTCTCTCTCTTCTCTCTCTCTCTCGTCTCTCTTCCGCTTTCTCCTCTCTCTTCCTCTCTCTCCCTGGGACATAAATGGCTACAGGATATTCTGAGTTCCAAAGTATCATCACCCATGGGTAAAACTCTCAGAGTCAGGGAGACATCAGTGGTGAGAGGTCCTCAGCCAGGGGCGATTCTGCACCCGCAGAGGACACTGAGCACTGTCTGGAAATTACCTTTAGTTGTCAGAACTGGGATAGGGGGTGCTCCTGGGGCCCGGTGGGCGAGCCCAGAGATGCTCCTCAGCATCCTACAGGGCACAGGACGGCCCCATCACAGAGTCAGTCATCCAGCCCTAAATGTCAGCAGTGCTGAGGCTCAGACACAAGACACTCCGTCTCTGCATCTGTCTCCCTATTTTTCTTTTTCTTTTCTTTTCTTTCTTTCTTTCTTTCTTTCTCTCTTTCTTTCTTTTTTCTTTCTTTCTTCTTTTTCTCTTTCTTTCTCTTTCTTTTTCTCTTTCTTTCTTTCTTTCTCTTTCTTTCCCTTCCTTCCATCCTTCCTTCCTTTCCTCTCTCTTCTTTCTTTCTCCTTCTTCTTTCTTTCTTTCTCTCTCTCTTTCTTTCCCTTCCTTCCATCCTTCCTTCCTTTCCTTTCTCTCTTTTCTTTCTTTCTTTATTTCTCTCTCTCTTTCTTGCCCTTCCTTCCATCCTTCCTTCCTTTCCTTTCTCTCTCTTTCTTTCTTTTCCTTTCTTTCTCTTTCTTTCTTCCTTTCTTTGATGGAGTTTCACTCTCATCTTCCAGGCTGGAGCGCAATGGCACGATCTCAGCTCACTGCAACCTCCTTCTTCCAGGTTAAAGTGATTCTCCTGCCTCTGTCTCCCAAGTAGCTGGGACTGTAGGTGTGCACCACCATGCCCGAGTAGCTGGGATTGTAGGTGTGCACCACCACGCCCGGCTGATTTTTGTATTTTTAGTAGAGATGGGGTTTCACCATGTTGGCCAGGCTGGTCTCAAACTCCTGACCTCGGGTGATCCGCCCGCCTCAGCCTCCCAAAGTTCTGGGATTGCAGGTGTGAGCCACCACGCCCAGTCCCTGTTTATTTTTCTGTCATTTATTTATCTATCTATCATGTATCTATTTTTTTCTATCTATCTCTATCCATCTATTTTTCTATCTTTGTATCATCTATCTCTATCGATCTATCCATCACCTATCATCTATTTATGTATCTGTCATCTATCTATGTATCTATCTCTATCCATCTATTCCGTATCCATCTATTATCCATTTCTCTATTTTTCTATATTATCTATCTATCTATCTATCTATCTATCATCTCCATCATCTATCTAGCTATCTATCTATCATCTATTTTTTGTATTTTTCTACCTATGCATCCATTTTTCTTTACTTTCTTTTCTTTTTTCTTTTTTTTTTTTTTGAGACAGAGTCTTGCTCCTGCCACCCAGGCTGGAGTGCAGTGGCATGATCTTGGCTCACTAAAACCTCTGCTTCCTGAGTTCAAGTGATTTTCCTGCCTCAGCATCCCAAGTAGCTGGGACTACAGGAACCCGCCACCACACCCAGCTAATTTTTGTATTTTTAGTAGAGATGGGGTTTCACCATGTTGGTCAGGCTGGTATCGAACTCCTGACCTCAGGTGATCCGCCCGCCTCGGCCTCCCAAAGTGCTGGGATGACAGGCGTGAGCCACCGTGCCCGGCCTATGCATCCATTTTTCTATGTATCTATTTATCTATCTGTTTGTTATCTACTATCTCTCTATCTATATTGATACTGACTCCCAACTGCAGATAATTCTGCTCTAAGGTGCCATCGGGCAGTATTTACGGTCATTTTTCATTTTTTGTTGCCCTCACTGGGGAGTGGGTGGTTTTGGAACCTGGTGGGTGCAGCCCAGGGACACTGCTCAACACCCTCCAGTGCCCAGGATGGCCCCACAGCAAAGAATCTTCCAGCCGCAAATGTCAGCAGTGCTGAGGCCAAGAGCCCCTCTCCAGCTTAGTTTGATCTGAGTACATCTCAGCAACTAGCAATCCTGTCTCCGGGTGAAGTTTCTCTCTGTGTGTAAAGGTAGCTTTGCACCCAGTCTTTAAAGAAGTTTGCTTTAGAACTGAATCTACTACTACAAAAAGAATTATTATTATTATTTTTTGGCTCTTCACCACTGTCATTTAAAAGAATGTTCTGGGCTGGGCATGGTGGCTCACAGCTGTCATCCCAGCACATTGGGAGGCCAAGGTGGGTGGATCACTTGAGGTCGGGAGTTCAAGACCAGCCTGGCCAACATGGCAAAACCTTGTCTCTACTAAAAATACAAAAATTAGCTGGTCATGGTGGCAGGTGCCTGTGACCCCAGCTACTCAGGAGGCTGAGGCAGAACAATCACTTGAACCCGGGAGGTGGAGATTGCAGAGAGTCAAGATTGCGCCACTGCACTCCAGCCTGCGGGACAGAGTGAGACTACATATCAAAATAAGTGAGCAAGTAAATAAATAGATAAAATATGGCCGTGCGCAGTGGCTCACACCCATAATCCCAGCACTTTGGGAGGCCGAGGCGGGCGGATCACCTGAGGTCAGGAGTTCAAGACCAGCCTGGCCAACATGGCAAAACCCCGTCTCTACTAAAAATACAAAAATTAGCCGGGCATGGTGGTGGCAGGTGCCTGTAATCGCAGCTACTCGGGAGGCTGAGGCAGGAGAATCGCTTGAACCCGGGAGGCGGAGCTTGCAGTGAGTCGAGATCGCGCCACTGCACTCCAGCCTGGGCGACAGGAGTGAAACTCCGTCTCAGTAAATAAGTAAATAATAAATAATTAAATAAATAAATAAGCTGCAATAAAATAATAAACTAAAAGCACTTTCTGCCCGGCACCACTGCACTGCAGCCTGGACAACAGAGTGAAACTCCGTCTCAAAAAAATATATATATATATAAAAAAAAATAAGTAAATAAATAAAATAAAATAATAAAAATAAAATAAAAGCACGTTCTGCTTCACACCACTATACTCCAGCCTGGACAACAGAGTGAAACTCCATCTCAGATAAATAAATAAATATATAAAATAAATAAATTAATTAAATAAATAAATAAAATACAATAAAATAATAAAAATAAACTAAAAGCACATTCTGCCCGGCACCACTGCACTCCAGCCTGGACAACAGAGCTAAGCTCCATCTCAGAAAAATAAATAAATGTGTAAAATAAATAAATACAATAAATGAAATAAAATAATAAAAATAAACTAAAAGCACGTTCTGCCCCGCCCCGGCTGCCCCACTGGTCATGTGGGCTTCAGAAACCGTCCCCCTGCAGAAGCATCTTCTGTGTCTTTCCGCCCCCATGAAGCCAGTTGCTCAGAAACGCAGCCGCCGCTGCCCACAGGAGGGAGGGAAGAGGAGGAACGGGCTCGACATGAAAGAGAAGGCCCGTTGGGAAAGGCTGTTTTTGCAGCACTGGTGAAGATAAGCCCCTGGTGTTTGAGTTCCGCTGTGAGAAAGCTGACCGGGCTTTGGAACGTGGGAGGAAGTGTGGTGGCAGGTACGCAAACGCTTCACATTGAAGTTCAAGAAGGGAATCTAGACAAAGAAGCCAGGAGGGCCAGTGTGGACGTTGCTGGGCCCCAGGAAACCAGGAGGCGGTTAGCGTCCACCCAGGAATAATAAAAAAGCAGGATCACGTTGCCTCGTAGACCGTGAGGATGAAGGCAGAGACTCGCAGGCCCCAGAGAGCTGGTGAATGGCGTTGTTCAGAGGTGATCCCCCCGGTGAATTCTCTCCTGAAAGCACTGAACAGACGTGAAGTGAGACAGAGGAATGGCATTGAAGGGGCGTACGTAAGAGGAAGAGAAATGCGGAGTCGGGGCAGGTGCAGCCTGCAGTCTTGGGAGACGGGCAGATTTTGCCTCAGCCACGCTCACAAGAAAGGGAAGTCAGGGGAGGATGGAATGGATCCTGGGACAGAGTGAATGGTGGAGGGATAAATAATGTCACTCCCAAAGATGTCCACGTCCTGATCCCCATGTGATAGACAGAATAATGGCCCCAAAGATGTCCACGTCCTGATCCCCATGTGGGAGACAGAATAATGGCCCCAAAGATGTCCACGTCCTAATCCCCATGTGATAGACAGAATAATGGCCCCAAAGATGTCCACGTCCTAATCCCCATGTGGGAGACAGAATAATGGCCCCAAAGATGTCCACGTCCTAATCCCCATGTGATAGACAGAATAATGTCCCCAAAGATGTCCACGTCCTAATCCCCATGTGATAGACAGAATAATGTCCCCAAAGATGTCCACGTCCTAATCCCCATGTGGGAGACAGAATAATGGCCCCAAAGATGTCCACGTCCTAATCCCCATGTGATAGACAGAATAATGTCCCCAAGATGTCCATGTCCTAATCCCCATGTGGGAGACAGAATAATGTCCCCAAAGATGTCCACGTCCTAATCCCCATGTGATAGACAGAATAATGTCCCCAAAGATGTCCACGTCCTAATCCCCATGTGATAGACAGAATAATGTCCCCAAAGATGTCCACGTCCTAATCCCCATGTGATAGACAGAATAATGGCCCCAAAGATGTCCACGTCCTAATCCCCATGTGATAGACAGAATAATGGCCCCAAAGATGTCCACGTCCTAATCCCCATGTGGGAGACAGAATAATGTCCCCAAAGATGTCCACGTCGTAATCCCCATGTGATAGACAGAATAATGTCCCCAAAGATGTCCACGTCCTAATCCCCATGTGATAGACAGAATAATGTCCCCAAAGATGTCCACGTCGTAATCCCCATGTGATAGACAGAATAATGTCCCCAAAGATGTCCACGTCGTAATCCCCATGTGATAGACAGAATAATGTCCCCAAAGATGTCCACGTCCTAATCCCCATGTGATAGACAGAATAATGTCCCCAAAGATGTCCACGTCCTAATCCCCATGTGATAGACAGAATAATGGCCCCAAAGATGTCCACGTCCTAATCCCCATGTGATAGACAGAATAATGTCCCCAAAGATGTCCACGTCCTAATCCCCATGTGGGAGACAGAATAATGTCCCCAAAGATGTCCACGTCCTAATCCCCATGTGATAGACAGAATAATATCCCCAAAGATGTCCACGTCCTAATCCCCATGTGATAGACAGAATAATGTCCCCAAAGATGTCCACGTCCTAATCCCCATGTGGGAGACAGAATAATGTCCCCAAAGATGTCCACGTCCTAATCCCCATGTGATAGACAGAATAATGTCCCCAAAGATGTCCACGTCCTAATCCCCATGTGGGGGACAGAATAATGTCCCCAAAGATGTTCACATCCTGCAGTTAGCCACGTGTGGTGACTCAGGTATGCGGTCCCAGCTATTTGGAGGCTTAGGTGGGAGGACTGCTTGAGCCCAGGAGTTCAAGGCTGCAATGAGCTGTGATTTCACCAGTGCTCTCCAGCCTGGGGGACAGAGTGAGACGTTGTCTCAACAACAACAAAACATAAAACGGGCTCAGTCTGGTCTCAGACTCCTGAACTCCAGTCATCCTCCTGCTTCCCTCTCCCAAAGTGCTGGGATTACGGGCATGAGCCACCAAACCCTGCCAGAAGGAAACTCTTTTTTTTTTTTAAGATGTTTTGCTCTTGTTGCCCAGGCTGGAGTGCAGTGGCGTGATCTCAGCTCACCGCAACCTCCGCCTCCCGGGTTCAAGCGATCCTCCTGTCTCAGCCTCCAGAGTAGCTGGGATTACAGGTGCGCGCCACCACGCCTGGCTAATTTTGCATTTTTAGTAGAGATGGGGTTTCACCATGTTGGTCAGGCTGGTCTCGAACTCCCGACCTGAGGTGATCCACCCGCCTCGGCCTCCCAAAGTGCTGGGATGACAGGCCTGAGCCACCAAACCCTGCCAGAAGGACACTCTTATCAGGCAGAACATTCCAAGGACCCCAGGAAAAACGTCCGCGTTTGCCCGGGTGTCTTGGGCCGTGCTGCGTGGTCTGGGCCACACCAGGTTACTTAAGCTGCCATGTGATCTGCGGCGGGGTTTGGGGGAACATGGATTCACCTTCACCTCTGGAAGGGCTGGATCCTGAAGTCAGCCAAGCAGGAGGTTCCTCCTGTGTAGACCATCCCCCCAGTAAAGACCCTGGAATTCCAGACGTGGATGAACTTATCTACTCGGCAATATCTTGCGTTTGCTGTCACACATCATGGCTGGGAGAAGCTGGGTCTACCCTTCCACTGGGAAGAGACAACAAGAAGCTTGTGCCTGCCTCTCCTATACTCTGCTCCATGTATCTCTTCTCTTGGATAATTTTTTTTTTTTTTTTGACATGGAGTCTCCCTCTGTCTCCCAGGCTGGAGTGCAGTGGTGCAATCTCAGCTGACTGCAACCTCCGCCTCCCGGGTTCACGCCATTCTCCTGCCTCGGCCTCCCTCCTGAGTAGCTGGGATTACAGGTGCCCACCACCACGCCCAGCTCATTTTTGTATCTTGGTAGAGATGGGGTTTCACCATGTTGGCCAGGCTGGTGTCGAACTCCCAACCTCAGGTGATCCGCCTGCATCAGACTCCCAAAGTGCTGGGATGACAGGCATGCACCACCACGCCTGGCTAATTTTTGTATTTTTAGTAGAGACGGGGTTTCTCTGTGTTGGCCAGGCTGGTCTCGAACTCCTGACCTCAGGTCATCCACCTACCTCGGCTTCCCAAAGTGCTGGGATGACAGGCGTGAGCCACGGTGCCTAACGTAATTTATTAATAATTTTATACTATCTCTTCCCTTCTCATTTGCTCAGAAAAATTTGCAATGCTGATGTCATCCGTGTCCTGTTTAGATACACTTTTCCATTACCAATCTTTTATTACCAGGATACCACGAGGCTATAAATAATCTCTCAAGCAGGTATAATCCACCCTAATAAAGACGGGAAGGACGGCCAAGCTATCCTGTGATATTGTATTTCAATTACTTCACTAACCTAATTATCTCTGCTGCTCTGGGCCCAAACAGCCTCCGAGGACTCATTTCCTGTGTGTTGTATATGTTTACGATACTTAAAAATGGAGAAAATTCCTGTCGCTTTAATGAAAAATCCCCTGCGCACCTGTTTGTCTTTGTAGCTGGAGTCTCCCCAGTGCCTTGGAGACGATGCGGTTTTCTGTTTTTTTTTTGTTTGTTTTTTTTTTTGTTTTTTTTTTTTGAGTAGGAGTCTCGCTCTGTGGCCCAGGGGTGCTGGAACATGGTAAATAGTCTCAGCTCCTCGGGACTTTACTTGGTGAGTCTGTGGTCATTTTGTGTGTGTGTGTGTGTGTGTGTGTGTGTGTGTGTTTGAGACGGAGTCTCGCTCTGTGGCCCAGGGGTGCTGGAACATGGTAAATAGTCTCAGCTCCTCGGGACTTTACTTGGTGAGTCTGTGGTCATTTTGTGTGTGTGTGTGTGTGTGTGTGTGTGTGTGTGTGAGACGGAGTCTCGCTCTGTGGCCCAGGGGTGCTGGAACATGGTAAATAGTCTCAGCTCCTCGGGACTTTACTTGGTGAGTCTATGGTCATTTTGTGTGTGTGTGTGTGTGTGTGTGTGTGTGTGTGTGTGTGTGTGTGTTTGAGACGGAGTCTCGCTCTGTGGCCCAGGGGTGCTGGAACATGGTAAATACTCTCAGCTACTCGGGACTTTACTTGGTGAGTCTGTGGTCATTTTGTGTGTGTGTGTGTGTGTGTGTGTGTGTGTGTGTGTGTGTGAGACGGAGTCTCGCTCTGTGGCCCAGGGGTGCTGGAACATGGTAAATACTCTCAGCTCCTCGGGACTTTACTTGGTGAGTCTGTGGTCATTTTGTGTGTGTGTGTGTGTGTGTGTGTGTGTGTGTGTGTGTGTGTGAGACGGAGTCTCGCTCTGTGGCCCAGGGGTGCTGGAACATGGTAAATAGTCTCAGCTCCTCGGGACTTTACTTGGTGAGTCTATGGTCATTTTGTGTGTGTGTGTGTGTGTGTGTGTTTGAGACGGAGTCTCGCTCTGTGGCCCAGGGGTGCTGGAACATGGTAAATACTCTCAGCTACTCGGGACTTTACTTGGTGAGTCTGTGGTCATTTTGTGTGTGTGTGTGTGTGTGTGTTTGAGACGGAGTCTCGCTCTGTGGCCCAGGGGTGCTGGAACATGGTAAATAGTCTCAGCTCCTCGGGACTTTACTTGGTGAGTCTATGGTCATTGTGTGTGTATGTGTGTGTGTGTGTGTGTGTGTGTGTGTGTGTGAGACGGAGTCTCGCTCTGTGGCCCAGGGGTGCTGGAACATGGTAAATACTCTCAGCTACTCGGGACTTTACTTGGTGAGTCTATGGTCATTTTGTGTGTGTGTGTGTGTGTGTGTTTGAGACGGAGTCTCGCTCTGTGGCCCAGGGGTGCTGGAACATGGTAAATAGTCTCAGCTCCTCGGGACTTTACTTGGTGAGTCTATGGTCATTGTGTGTGTGTGTGTGTGTGTGTGTGTGTGTGTGTGTGTGTGTTTGAGACGGAGTCTCGCTCTGTGGCCCAGGGGTGCTGGAACATGGTAAATAGTCTCAGCTACTCGGGAGGCGGAGGTGGGAGAATCAATTGAGTCTAGGGCGTGGAGGCTGCAGTGAGTCATGATTGTGCCACTGGACTCCAGCCTGTGGGTGAGACAGTGAGATCTCGTCTCTTACATACACACACAAACACACACGCTCAACAATTATCCACCAACCAAGCCCTATATACCTGATTTGAGCTATTTAGGAATCACAAACTCTGAATCACACACTTTACTTGGTGAGTCTATGGTCATTTTGTGTGTGTGTGTGTGTGTGTGTGTGTGTGTGTGTGTGTGTTTGAGACGGAGTCTCGCTCTGTGGCCCAGGGGTGCTGGAACATGGTAAATAGTCTCAGCTACTTGGGAGGCGGAGGTGGGAGAATCAATTGAGTCTAGGGGGTGGAGGCTGCAGTGAGTCATGATTGTGCCACTGGACTCCAGCCTGGGTGAGACAGTGAGTCCCGGTCTCTTACATACACACACAAACACACACACTCAACAATTATCCACCAACCAAGCCCTATATGCTTGATTTGAGCAATTTAGGAGTCAGAAACTCTGAATCACACACTTTACTTGGTGAGTCTATGGTGATTTGTGTGTGTGTGTGTGTGTGTGTGTGTGTGTGTGTGTGTGTGTGTGTGTGTTTGAGACGGAGTCTCGCTCTGTGGCCCAGGGGTGCTGGAACATGGTAAATAGTCTCAGCTACTCGGGAGGCGGAGGTGGGAGAATCAATTGAGTCTAGGGGGTGGAGGCTGCAGTGAGTCATGATTGTGCCACTGGACTCCAGCCTGGGTGAGACAGTGAGACCCGGTCTCTTACATACACACACAAACACACACACTCAACAATTATCCACCAACCAAGCCCTATATGCTTGATTTGAGCAATTTAGGAGTCAGAAACTCTGAATCACACACTTTACTTGGTGAGTCTATGGTGATTTGTGTGTGTGTGTGTGTGTGTGTGTGTGTGTGTGTTTGAGACAGAGTCTCTCTCTGCCACCCAGGCTGGAGTACAATGGCACGATCTTGGCTCACTGCAACCTCCACCTTCCGGGTTCAAGCAACTCTCCTGCCTCAGCCTCCTGAGTAGCTGGGATTACAGGTGCCCGCCACCACGCCTGGCTAATTTTTTTGTATTTTTAGTAGAGACGGGGTTTCACCATGTTGGACAGCCTGGTCTGGAACTTGTGAGCTCAGGTGATACACCCGCCTCAGCCTCCCAAACTGCTGGGATTACAGGCGTGAGCCACCATGACCGGCCGGAAGACTCTATTTTTATTTTTTTACTTTTTATTTTTATTTATTTATTTTTAAGATGGAGTCTTGCTCTGTTGCCCAGGCAGGAGTGCAGCGGCACGATCTCAGCTCCTTGCAAACTCCACCTCTGAGGTTCAAGTAATTCTCCTGCCTCAGCCTCCCGAGTACAGGTGCCTGCCACCACGCCCAGCTAATTTTTGTATTTTTAGTAGAGACTGGATTTCACCATATTGGCCAGGCTGGTCTCGAACTCCTGACCTCAGGTGATCTGCCTGCGTCGGCCTCCCAAAGTGTTGGGATTACAGGTGTGAGCCACTGTGCCTGGCCGAAAGAGTCTACTTTCAATTTTTTATTTTTATTTATTTATTTTTCAGACGGAGTCTTGCCCAGGCTGGAGTGCAGTGGTGCGATCTCAGCTCTCTGCAACCTCCACGTCCCGGGTTCAAGCGATTCTCCTGCCTCAGCTTCCCGAGTAGCTGGGACTACAGGCGCCCGCCACCACGCCTGGCTAATTTTTTGTATTTTTAGTAGAGACGGGGTTTCACACATGTTGGCCAGGCTGGTCTCGATCTCCTGACCTCAGGTGATCCACCCGCCTCGGCCTCCCAAAGTGCTGGGATGACAGGCGTGAGCCACCGTGCCCGGCCGGAAGATTCTGTTTTTAAATGTTCCTTCCTGACTTAAACTCGGGGACACTCCCACAGACTTTCCAAATGAAAAAAAGCAACGTAATAATAGTTATCAGCTGGCCATTTTCACAGGGGCCTCCTCTGCAGACCTGGCATCGGCTTTTGGCCTACAGTTGGGGGTCTCTGGGAGTATTCAAGATCCAGGAGCAAAGGAACCCTCAGGAGGGTGGATATCATTCCTGTTGATCCCTGAGACCTGTTTGCTTAGTTTGGAGACAGTTTCCGTGATGGCAAAAAGGCAGAAGATGACCAAAGGCAGAAGATGACCAAAGGCAGAAGATGGCAAAAAGGCAGAGATGCGTGCCAAGGCGGGGAGAAAGATGCCTCTCTGACTGACACGTGTCTGCAGCCGTGCTTTCTCTCAGCCGGCACAGCAGCTAATTAGCACCAATAATAGCTTGACTGACACGTTTTCCCCTCGGGCTCACTGGTGAGAGCCGTTTCTCTGGGGACTCAGAGAGCTTTATTTTAATGGACCTTAAAGTGGGAGCTGGTAAGTGTAAGGTAAATATGAAAGAGGGGATTAACTTAGCCCTTGGATGACAATCATCTCCTACTTACCCATGGTGTGTCTGCGAGCTCAGCTGATTTGTCACGGTGCTCGGCAAAGCTCAGCAAAGGAAATCGTCGAAAGTAGATGACCGTCCCTCATTTTAAGGACGCAGACGTGGATATCACCCCATCCAGGCGTGCCTTGGAGAAAGTGCAAATTGATGTGCAGAGACCATCCCTATAAAGCTCATGTCCCAATAAAGCGAGTCATACACAGTTTTACTTTCCTACTGCGTATACACCTTGCTTAGACTGTAGTCTGGTATGTGTGCAATACCGCTATGTTAAAAAAACAACGTACAGACATTAATTAAGAAACACAGCCCGGCATGGTGGCTCATGCCTGTAATCCCTCCACTTTGTGAGGTTGAGGAGGGTGGATCACCTGAGGTCGGGAGTTCGAGACCAGCCTGGCCAACATGGTGAAACCCCATCTCTACTAAAAATACAAAATTACCCGGGTGTGGTGGTGCATGCCTGTCATCCCAGCTACTCGGGAGGCTGAGGCAGGAGGCTCGCTTAAGCCCGGGAGGTAGAGGTTGCAGTGAGCCGAGATCGCGCTGCTGCACTCCAGTCTGGGTGATAGAGCAAGACTCTGTCTCAAACACAGCCAAAAATAAAAACAAACAGACAAACAAAAAAACAAAACAGCAACAACAAAAGGCCGGTACAGTGGCTGACGCCTGTAATCCCAGCACTTTGGGAGGCCGAGGCGGGTGGATCACCTGAGGTCAGGAGTTCGAGAGCAGCCTGGTCAACATGGTGAGACTCCGTCTGTACAAAAATTACAAAATTAGCCGGGCATGGTGGTGGGTGCCTGTAGTCCCAGCTACTCGGGAGGCTGAGGCAGGAGAATCGCTTGAACCCGGGAGGCGGAGGTTGCTGTGAGCCGAGATCGCACCAGTGCACTCCAGCCTTGGTAACAAGAGCGAATCTCTGTCTCAAAAAACCAAAAAAGAAAAAGAAGGCAAACCAAGCAGCAGGGAGACGATCACACTTTCAAAAACAAGCAGCCAGGGCAGGCTTCCTTTTCTGAGCTAGGCGGGCAGGCCATTCCTACACGGATGATGCTCGGGAATGAGACACAGGCCTTGGTCCCCGGAGCGGAGGTAACTGCAGAGTGTTCAGGGTGCTGAGACACATTCCTCCAAAGCTCCTCATGAAAACCTGGTCAGATTAGAGCCATACATTACACAAATGTGACGCAGAAATGCTGGTGGGTGCCACATCCTCTGCTGGATTTTATTAGCACCTCATCAGGTCTCAGGTCTGCAAGCAGATGCTTACGAGGCTCTGTGAAGCAGGAAAACCTCTGTCTCTCATTAGAAGTGAAAGCAATTTAATAGGTTGAAAGAGGCAGGGAACAGCACGGGCTCATATATCACCTACGCAGAAACGAAAGACAGTCGGGCAAGGAATGTTGATAGCATGAGGCTGACAAGGGGCGAAATGCTCTGTGCCAAAGAGATGGGGGTCACCAAAGCGCTTTCCGACAGCTTCAAAGGTGGTACCCGGGAGGGTTTGAAGTTTCCCTCCTTCATCCCGTAAATGCACATGTCATACGTCAGGCACTGTTTGGAGAGGACAAAACCAAGACCCCCGTCCTGGTGAAACGTACCCCTTCATCAGAGAGAGAAGGAACTCTGAAATAAACAAGAAAATTACATAGTGTGTGAGAAAACCGGTATGTTGATGGAAATGAGAAAAAGTATTCGGGGTCAAAGCCAGCGAGGCAGTGGACAGTTTGCCTCTTAAAAGGAGGGGGGTGGCTCAGGGAGAAGAAGTGAGTTTGTGGCTGACTACATCTTTCCGGAAAAACGTTCTAGAACATTCTATCTGGTGATATGGGGCCAGGCGCGGTGGCTCACGCCTGTCATCCCAGCACTTTGGGAGGCCGAGGTGGGCCTCCCAAAAATAATTTTTTGTATTTTTAGTAGAGACGAGGTTTCACCGTGTTAGCCAGGATGGTCTCGATCTCCCGACCTCGTGATCCGCCCGCCTCGGCCTCCCAAAGTGCTGGGATGACAGACGTGAGCCACCGCACCCGGCTTCAGATATGTCTTTATTAGCGGTGTGAGAATAGACTAACGCAACTGGAGAGAAGTTGCCAGAGGGGTAGGAGGAAGACAGAGAGGGTGTGGAACTCTAGAAGCCGAGTGAGTCAAGGAGAAAGGGGTGATAGCTGAGTCCACCATGCTAGTCGGTGCAGGAAAGGTGACCCAGTGGTGCACTTATCACTGGGGGTTAGTAGGGATCTTGGTGAGACCCAGGTGTGTGCAGTGAAGGAAGTGAGAGAAAAGGGGAGCATGAAGACGATGCTGGAGAAACTCAAGCGCCATCTAAACCCACGTCCTGCTATGCTAGGAAAAGGAGCAAAGAGATGGGGTGAAGGCTTGGGGGAATGTACTCGAAAAAATTGTTTTACCTGAAAAAAATGGCTGTGTGTCTCTCTGCAGATGGGAATGATCTAGTCTAGAGGCAAAAGCAAGGGAGAGAATGTGTTGGGTACTTATGTGTCCAGTTGACTGGGCCACGGGGTGCCCAGATGTGTGGTCAGACACGATTCAAGGTGTGTGGGAGGGTCTCTGGATGAGAGGAGCATTTGAATCCATGCACGGAGCAAAGTAGATTGCCTTTCCCAACGTGGGTGGGCCGTATCCAATCAGTGGAAGGACTGATTGGACAGAACGAAAGGCTTGGCCAGGCGCAGTGACTCACGCCTGCCATCCCAGCACTCTGGGACGCCAAGGTGGGTGGATCACGAGGTCAGCAGTTCAAGATCAGCCTGGCCAACATGGTGAAACCCCATGTCCACTGAAAATACAGAAATTAGCCAGGCGTGGTGGCGCATGCCTGTAATCCCATCTACTCGGGAGGCTGAGGCAGGAGAATCGCTTGAATGTGGGAGGTGAAGGCGGCAGTGGGCTGAGGTCGCAACACTGCACTCCAGCCTAGGCGACAAGAACGAAATTCCGTCTCAAAATAAATAAAATAAAATAAAATAAAATATGAAGTAGCAGCATATTCCAGGTTGGTAGAGGCTGAACTGCATGCTTTCAAAATTCTTATGTTGAAGCCCTAATCCTCAGGACTTCGGAATGTGAATGTACTCGGAGGCAGGGTCTTTAAAGAGGTGATTCAGGTAAAATGATCTCATTAGTGTATCCTTATAAAAAAGGGAGATGAGGGGCCAGGCGCGGTGGCTCACGCCTGTCATCCCAGCACTTTGGGAGGCCGAGGCGGGTGGATCACGAGGTCAGGAGATCGAGACCATCCTGGCTAACACAATGAAACCCCGTCTCTACTAAAAATACAAAAAAAATTAGCCGGGCGTGGTGGCGGGCGCCTGTGGTCCCAGCTACTCGGGAGGCTGAGGCAGGACAATGGCGTGAACCCGGGAGGCGGAGGTTGCAGTAAGCCGAGATCACACCACTGCACTCCAGCCTGGGCGACAGAGTGACACTCTGTCTCAAAAAAAAGAAAAGGGAGATGAGGACACAGACACACACAGAGGGACGACCCTGTGAGGGCACAGGGAGAAGACGGCGTCTCCAAGCCCAGGAGAGAGGCCTCAGGAGGAGCCAGCCCTGCCCACACCTGGATCTCAGACCTCCAGCCTCCAGGGCTGTGGGAGAATCAGTGTGTGTTGTTTACAAGCCACCCAGTCTATGGTATTCTGTGACAGCAGCCTGAAATGGACTAAGACACCTCATAAGAAAAGGAGATGAGGACACAGACACACACAGAGGGATGACCCTGTGAGGACACAGGGAGAAGACGGCATCTCCAAGCCCAGGAGAGAGTCCTCAGGAGGAACCAGCCCTGCCCACACCTGGATCTCAGACTTCCAGCCTCCAGGGCTGTGGGAGAATCAATGTCTGTTGTTTATAAGCCACCCGGTCTATGGTATTCTGTGACAGCAGCCTGAGATGGACTAAGACATCCCATAAGAAGAGGAGATGAGGACACAGACACACAGAGAGGGACGACCCTGTGAGGACACAGGGAGAAGACGGCGTCTCCAACCCCAGGAGAGAGGCCTCAGGAGGAACCAGCCCTGCCCCACACCTGGATCTCAGACTTCCAGCCTCTAAGACTGTGGGAGTCAATGGCTTTTATTTAAGCCACAAACATCAAACAAAAAACAAACAAAAACAACAAACAAACCAAAACAACAAACAAACAAAAACAACAAACTTTTCCTACCATCCGTTTAAAGTAAAAAATAAAACTGTGGGCTGATCTGATCTTTTCTTTTTTTCTTTTCTTTTCTTTTTTCCTTTCTTTCTTTCTTTTTTTTTTTTTTTTTTTTTTTTTGAGACAAGAGTTTTTGCTCTCATTGCCCAGGCTGGAGTGCAGTGGTGCGATCTCGGCTCACTGCAACTTCCGTCTCCCGGGTTCAAGTGATTCTCCCGCCTCAGCCTCCCGAGTAACTGGGATTACAGGTGCCCACCACCACGCCTGGCTAATTTTGTATTTTTAGTAGAGACGGGGTTTCACTATGTTGGCCAGGCTGGTCTCGAACTCCTGACCTCAGGTGATCCGCCCGCCTCGGCCTCCCAAAGTGCTGGGATTATATAGATGTGAGCCACCGTGCCCAGCCTTAACTACCAACTTTTAATCAAGTTTGGCAATTCTCTTTATTTGCAAACAGGGAGCAGAAAACAAAAGCAAAAACAAAAACAGAACAAAACAAAATAAAAAACAAACAATACGGTGCTTATCATGTTCTCTCTCGTTTAAGTTTATTTCGCAGCATGATTTAGAACGCAAGCAGAAGACATCCCAACATACGAATAATGAAGTGTGGCCTTATGAAAAATACGAAACTCATAAAAAGCCATCCGTCTGCCGCCGATCGTAAACCCAACTGCCAGGGAACAAGGGAGGGGTAGAAAAGGAAATTATCACTCATGGAAAAGCACCGTAGCTGTCTCCATTTTTCCCCGATTTCAGACGTGAAATCTGACTTCCTACATTGTTCCCTGAGATTTTCCAGCGAGGTTTTCCTAACTTGATATTTCACGGCGAGGGAAAACAGAGGGAAACCCAGGGTAGCTTTGTAAATGGGGATGATGGAAACTGGCTATAAGATGGAGAGAGGGTTGACCACAGGTGGGATGGAGAGGGTTCAGCGGTAGCATGGATATCGGCTTCCTACATGGGAGAGTCAGAGTTTCACGGTAACTGTTACCAAAGGTACACAGAAAAGTTAGAAGCTTGTGCCAGCCCTGGACATCGTCAAGTCAGGGGATAATGTTGACTGAAAGTGATATTAGGCCGGGCGCGGTGGCACACGCCTATAATCCCAGCACTTTGGGAGGCCAAGTCGGGTGGATCACCTGTGGTCAGGAGTTCGAGACCAGCCTGGCCAACACAGTGAAACCCCATCTCTACTAAAAATACAAAAATTAGCCAGGCATGGTGGTGCATGCCTGTAATGCCAGCTACTTGGGAGGCTGAGGCAGGAGAATCGCTTGAATCTGGCAGGCGGAGGTTGCAGTGAGCCGAGATCACACTATTGCACTCCAGCCTGGGTAAGGAAAGCAAAACCCTGTCTCAAAAAAAAAAAAAGAAAAAAAGAAAGTGATATTGGTGTTTTGTTTATTTTTTTTATTTTTGACAGAGTCTTGCTCTGTCACCAGGGCGTGGTGGCACGTGCCTGTAGTCCCAGCTACTCGGGAGGCTGAGGCAGGAGAATGGCGTGAACCCGGGAGGTGGAGCTTGCAGTGAGCCGAGATCGTGCCACTGCACTCCAGCCTGGGCGACAGTGCGAGACTCCGTCTCAAAATAGATAAAATAAATAAAAAATCATAAAAATAAATGACCCAGTCTCGGGTATGTCTTCACTAGCACCGTGAGAGTAGACGGATACAGACACATCTTGGCATAGAGAAGTTGGATGATCAACAGGGCTGGAGGGAGTAGCCACCAGCAGCAGCATTCAGGGTCAGTCACATCTCACAGTCATGGTGGGAGTTACGCCCGTGGGTCTGGGAAGTCCCCCTTGTCTCGGCCAGCGGGGCTGAGACTATTAGCTTGTCGGTGTGTGCACACTAGCCTACGTGCATACCATGCAGGTCACAGCTGGGGTTGCCTTCAAAAGGAATCGCATGTTCCAAGAATCTATGATGTCCTTGAGTGCTTCCAGGTAGAATGGACGTTGCGTGAAAATGCTGTGAATTTGTTCCTTTTTTCTTTTTTTGAGATGGAGTTTCACTCTTGTCGCCCAGGCTGGAGTGCAATATGGTGTGATCTCGGCTCACTGCCACCTCCGCCTCCCGGGTTCAAGCGATTCACCTGCCTCAGCCTCCCGAGTAGCTGGGATGACAGGCATGAGCCAACAGGTCCGGCTAATTTTTGTGTTTTCAGTAGAGACGGGGTTTCTCCATGTTGGCCAGGCTGGTCTCAAACTCCCGGCCTCAGGAGATCCATCTACCTCGGCCTCCCAAAGTGCTGGGATGACAGGCGTGAGCCACCGTGCCCGGGTCAAGTACCCACACAGGTGGAATTACATTCCCAGCCTCACCAGAGTGGGGAGGGGTGGTGAGGAAGTCCCCTGAAGCCAAATGCTACCCCGGAGGCATCGTCCTCTGGCACACGGCTCAGGTTTGAGATGGAGAAGTTCAGAGGATCAGCCTAGAGTTTGGGGGTTTTCTTACCTACTCAGAAGAGAAAACTGGATCATGAGGAAAAAAAGCTTAATTAAAAAAACAGTCTGGGCATAGTGGCTCACGCTTGTAATCCCAGCACTTCAGGAGGCCGAGGCAGGTGGATCACGAGGTCAGGAGTTCGAGACCGGCCTGGCCAACACGGTGAAACCCCGTCTCTACTAAAAATTCAAAAATTAGCCGGGCGTGCTGGCACGCGCCCGTAGTCCCAGCTACTCTGGAGGCTGAGACAGGAGAATTGCTTGAACCTGGGAGGCGGAGTGAGCCGAGATGATGCCACTGCACTCCAGCCTGGGTGACAGAGCGAGACTGTCTCAAAAAAACAAAAACAAAAACAAACAAAAAAACAAAGGGGTCCTCCTGTAGATGTTGTAACGAAGGACCACAAACTCGTGGCTTCAAATGACACAGGTGTTGTTATCTTACAGTTCTGGCAGAGTCAGAGTCCAAAATGAATCTTAACAGGGCTAAAATCAAAGTATCCCTTACAAGCTCTAGGGGAGAATTCATTTTCCCGGATTTTTTCCTAATTTCAAGAGGTTGCCTGCATTCCTTACCATGGTGTCCCATTTAGGAATGACACTGCAAATTTAGGAATAATTTTTTTTTTTTTCTTTGAGACAGAGTCTCTCGTCTCCCAGGCTGGAGTGCAGTGGTGCGATCTTGGCTCACTGCAACCTCCACCTCCCAGGTTCAAGCAATTCTCCTGCCTCAGTCTCCCGAGTAGCTGGGACTACAGGCATGCGCCACCACGCCCGGCTAGTTTTTGGGTTTTTAGTAGAGACGGGGTTTCACCATGTTGGCCAGGCTGGTCTCGAACTCCTGACCTCGAGATCGGTCCACCCCGGCCTCCCAAAGTGCTGGGATGACAGGCGTGAGCCACCGCGCCCGGCTTCTGCACTCTCTTCTGACGTTATTAGCAAAGATGTTATTTCCCAGCGTAAGTGCACAAAGGAGAAGACAGAAGGACAAAATCAAGGTCCAGCAAAGGCTTCAGACTTTCCCCAGCCTTTTCCAACTCTCCACAGACGGGGATACTCAACTGCATATGGTTCTACCCTGAAAAGACATGAAACAACCGTATCCACCTTCTAGAAACTGATTCAATTTATTCAGCAAAGGATTTCAATGACTAACAGTTAGATTTAAAAGCCATATCCCAGTTAATAACCAGGAGTATGAACGCGTAATTCCATATTTATGAAACACAAATAATTGTGGGTATTACCTTCAAAGGGAATCCCAGATTCCAAGACTGCACGGAGTCGATGAGTGTGCTTTCAGGTAAAAGACCACTTTCATGTAAAACTCTGTGGATTTTCAAAGCTCACGACCGGTTTCATTTTCACGTACACAAGCTTCAACAGACCCAAGTTAATGGAACTGCATGAAATAAATTACAGTAAGTTAAAGCCATTCACCAACGACTTTCACTGAATCTCATTGAAATTGTCCCCCCCAAAAAGGCAGAGGCAGGAGGAAAAAGTATTTCTCCTGTTGTATGAAAGAAGGAGGGTGAAATACTTTTGTTTTTTGAGACAGAGTCTCGCTCTCTCATCCAGGTTGGAATGCAGTGGTGCGATCTCGGCTCACTGCAACCTCTGCCTCCCGGGTTCAAGCGATTCTCCTCCCTCAGCCTCCCGAGTAGCTGGGATTACAGTCGCCCACCACCACGCCCGGCTAATTTGTGTATTTTTAGTAGAGATGGGGTTTCACTGTGTTGGCCAAGCTGGTCTCGAACTCCTGACCTCAGGTGATCCGCCCGCCTCGGCCTCCCAAAGTGCTGGGATGACAGGTGCGTGCCACCACGTTTGGCTAATATTTTGTATTTTTAGTAGAGACGGGGTTTCACCGTGTTAGCCAGGATGGTGTCGATCTCCTGGCCTGGTGATCCGCCCGCCTCGGCCTCCCAGAGTGCTGGGATTACAGACGTGAGCCACCGTGCCTGGCCTCTTATGATTTTTTAAATCAGAGTCACACACTGGAAAGATGTAGAGGTGTGTCTCCACGGCAGACCATGGGACACATAGTATTGAGAGACTCTAAATACAGAATCTTTTGGTAGAAGTGTAGAAGTCTCTCTCCACCAAGGGACTATCCCTGGAGAACCTCAAACATGGAATTCCAGGCACAAATTTGTCCTGACATCTCAGGACCATGCCTCTGAAGTCCATCCCATGAGAGACCACTGTTTTTTTTTTTATTTGTTTGTTTTTTGAGACAGGGTCTTGCTCTGCCGTCTAGGCTTGAGTGCAGTGGCATGATCTCAGCTCACTGCAACCTCCGCCTCTTGGATTCAAGCGATTCTCCCGCCTCAGCCTCCCGAGTAGCTGGGATTACAGGCAGCTGCCACCACACCTGGCCAATTTTTATGTTTTTAGTAGAGATTGGGTTTCACTGTCTTGGCCAGGGCTGGTCTTGAACTCCTGACTTCGTGATCCACCCGCCTCGGCCTCCCAAAGTGCTGGGATGACAGGCGTGAGCCACCGCGCCCGGCTGAGGGACCCCCGACATGCACAATCCTGGGTACAACCTCGTCCAAGTATCTCAGGCTGAGGCCCCGCAAGTACAACTTCAACATCACATTGGTTGAGTCCTATACCTCTGCCAGGTACATGCTATTAGCATTCCATATGCTCACATGAGAAAATGGAGCTGAAATGAGGCAACGGTTAGGAACTCACCCAAGACAACCGTTCGTGGACTTTGGAGGCCAACGAACCAAAACTGGGTGTTCTCATCAAGGGTCACCTACACCATCACTCAGTTATTTTGTCCCAGGCTGTGTCTTCACGTAAAGACCCCATTTTGTGGGCCGGACATAGTGGCTCACGCCTGTAATCCCAGCACTTTGGGAGTCCGAGGCAGGCGGGTCATTTGAGGTCAGGAGTTTGAAACCAACCTGGCTAACACGGTGAATCCCCGTCTCTACTAAAAAATACAAAAAAATTTAGCTGGGCGTGGTGGCGGGTGCCTGTAGTCTCAGCTACTCGGGAGGCTGGGGCAGGAGAATCGCTTGAACCCGGGAGGCGGAGGTTGCAGTGAGCCGAGATGGTGCCACTGCCCTCCAACCTCGGAGACAGAGCGAGACTCGTCTCAAAAAAATAAAAAGAAAAAAGAAAAATCCCATTTTGTCGTAATTTTGTAATTAAGATGCGAGACTTCCTACCAAGCCTCCTGAAAGCAGAAAATCACGTTTCTTGGAATGTCTGATATGCATTTTGCACCTTAAATTTTTGAGTTATATAAAAAGTCTAATTTGTAGATGACGACAAGCATTTATGGGGGACCTGGTCTCTGCCGGGTGTCATACCAGGGGCTGAAGGATGATCCGCTGGGGGGTCCCTACTGCTCAGCCTGGGTCCCTGTGTTTACCAGACTGACGGGTTCCCCATATCCTATACCAGGGGGTCCAGAAAGATGGATATTTGTGTGGTATGCATTATATGTGTGTGTTTGTGTCAGTGTGTGGTGTGTGTGTATCTATGGGTGTAGTGTCTGTGGTGTGTCTAGTACCTGTGTGAGTTATGCATAATTTGCATTAGTGAGCGTGTGGAATAAGTGTGTGCTGTGTGTGAGTGTGGTGTGTATACATGTCTGTGCAGTGTATGTGTGTATGGTGTGTAGTGGTGTGTATTTGTGTGTGGTATGATATGTGTGTTTGTGTGAGTGTGTGGTATGTGTGTAGTCATGTATGCATTATCTGTGACTTTGCATTAGTGTGTCTGGTGTGTATTCGTGTGCGGTGTGATACGTGTGTTTCTGTGTTTGTGTTAGTGTGTGGTATGTGTGTAGTTATGTGTGAGTTATGTGTGACTTCGCATTAGTGTGTGGTATATGTGTGGTGTGTGTGACTGTGGTGTGTATACTTGTGTGTGCAGTGTAAGTCTGGTGTGTACTGGTGTGTATTCGTGTGTGGTGTGATGTGTGTGTGTTAGTGTGTGGTATGTGTGTAGTTATGTATGTGTTATGTGTGACTTTGCATTAGTGAGTGTGTGGTATATATGTGTGTAGTGTGTGCTGTGTATACATGTGTGTGCAGTGTATGTCTGTATGGTGTGTACTGGTGTGTATTCGTGTGTGGTGTGATATGTGTGTTTGTGTGTTTGTGTTAGTGAGTGGTATGTGTGTGGTGTATGTGAGTGTGTGGTGTATATACACATGTGTGCAGTGTGTGTGCATGCTGTGTAATGGTGTGTATTCATGTGTGACTGCATTAACGAGTGTGTGGAATATTTGTGTGGTGTGTGCGAGTGCATGGTGTATATACATATGTGTGCATTGCATGTATGTTGTGCATCGGTGTGTATACATGTGTGTGCAATGTATGTGTGTATAGTGTGTATACATGTGTGGTGTGATGTGTGTGCTTGTGTGTTTGTGTCAGTGAGTGCGTGGTGTATGTGCAGTATCTGTATAAGTTACGTGTCACTTTGCATTAGTGAGTGTGTGGTATACGTGTGTGGTGTGTATATATATGTGTGCACTGCATGTGTGTATGGTGTGTATTGGTGTGTATTCGTGTGTGGTGTGATGTGTGTGTTTGTGTTAGCGACTGTGTGGTGTGTACCCCATTTCCACCCTTCCCCGGGAGTTGGGGAAGGCATTTGCAGCTGTCTTCCCACCTCTGGCTGAATCCTCCTCTCGTGTCATTTTCTTTCCAATGAAATGGTTCTTACAGACAACCTGTGGAGAAGGCGAAGGCATGGACCTGAGTGTGCAAACGTGGAGGAGGTATATGCTTACCCACACCTGTCCCTGTCCCTGCAGTGACATCTGCACCCACACCTGTCCCTGTCCCTGCAGTGACATCTGCACCTCCCCCTGTCCCTGTCCCTGCAGTGACATCTGCACCTCCACCTGTCCCTGTCCCTGCAGTGACATCTGCACCTCCCCCTGTCCCTGTCCCTGCAGTGACATCTGCACCTCCCCGTCCCTGTCCCTGCAGTGACATCTGCACCCACACCTGTCCCTGTCCCTGCAGTTACATCTGCACCTCCCCCTGTCCCTGTCCCTGCAGTGACATCTGCACCTCCACCTGTCCCTGTCCCTGCAGTGACATCTGCACCCACACCTGTCCCTGTCCCTGCAGTGACATCTGCACCTCCACCTGTCCCTGTCCCTGCAGTGACATCTGCACCTCCCCCTGTCCCTGTCCCTGCAGTGACATCTGCACCCCCACCTGTCCCTGTCCCTGCAGTGACATCTGCACCTCCATCTGTCCCTGTACCTGCAGTGACATCTGCACCCACACCTGTCCCTGTCCCTGCAGTGACATCTGCACCTCCCCCTGTCCCTGTACCTGCAGTGACATCTGCACCTCCCCCTGTCCCTGTCCCTGCAGTGACATCTGCACCTCCATCTGTCCCTGTACCTGCAGTGACATCTGCACCCACACCTGTCCCTGTCCCTGCAGTGACATCTGCACCTCCCCCTGTCCCTGTCCCTGCAGTGACATCTGCACCCCCACCTGTCCCTGTCCCTGCAGTGACATCTGCACCTCCATCTGTCCCTGTACCTGCAGTGACATCTGCACCCACACCTGTCCCTGTCCCTGCAGTGACATCTGCACCTCCCCCTGTCCCTGTACCTGCAGTGACATCTGCACCTCCCCCTGTCCCTGTCCCTGCAGTGACATCTGCACCTCCCCCTGTCCCTGTCCCTGCAGTGACATCTGCACCCACACCTGTCCCTGTCCCTGCAGTGACATCTGCACCTCCACCTGTCCCTGTCCCTGCAGTGACATCTGCACCTCCCCCTGTCCCTGTACCTGCAGTGACATCTGCACCTCCCCCTGTCCCTGTCCCTGCAGTGACATCTGCACCTCCATCTGTCCCTGTACCTGCAGTGACATCTGCACCTCCCCCTGTCCCTGTCCCTGCAGTGACATCTGCACCCACACCTGTCCCTGTCCCTGCAGTGACATCTGCACCCACACCTGTCCCTGTCCCTGCAGTGACATCTGCACCCACACCTGTCCCTGTCCCTGCAGTGACATCTGCACCCACACCTGTCCCTGTCCCTGCAGTGACATCTGCACCCACACCTGTCCCTGTCCCTGCAGTGACATCTGCACCTCCACCTGTCCCTGTCCCTGCAGTGACATCTGCACCTCCACCTGTCCCTGTCCCTGCAGTGACATCTGCACCTCCCCGTCCCTGTCCTTGCAGTGACATCTGCACCTCCACCTGTCCCTGTACCTGCAGTGACATCTGTACCTCCCCCTGTCCCTGTCCCTGCAGTGACATCTGCACCTCCGCCTCTCCCTGTCCCTGCAGTGACATCTGCACCTCCGCCTGCCTGTGGCTGTACTTTTACGTATGCCTATACCTGTATCGACACCTCCACCTTTATCTTTACCAGCACCTACATCTATACCTGTACCTGTACCTGTACCTGTACCTGTGTCTGCACTGGTATCTGTACCTGTATCTGTGCCTGAGCCTACACGTGAACCTGCACCTGTACCTGCAAATGCACCTGTATACCTGCACCTGTATTTGACCCTGAACCTGTACCTGCACCCAAAACTGTACCTGCACCTGAATATTCTCCCAAACCCAAGATCTTTAATCACATGTAGAAAGTCCCTTTTGCTGCCTAAAGTAACATGTACCTGTACCTGCACCTGTACCTTTACCTGCACCTCACCTATATCTGCACCTGCACCTCAATCTGTACCAGTACCTGCACTTTCACCTGCACGTGCACCTGTACCTGTTCCCACTCCCATCTAGAAGGCAGCAGAGCCTGACGCACCTGCACCCTCACATGTACCTGCAATTGACCTGAACCCTCACCTGTACCTGCCCTGCACCTGTACTCTATACCTGCGTCTGTACCTGAACTTACACCTGTACCTGTGTTTGTACCTGTGCCTGCACCTGCACCTGTACTCTATACCTGCTCCTGTACCTGTATTTGTATCTGTACCTGCACCTGCACCTGTTCCCACTGTCATCAAGAAGGTGGCCTTTTGATAGCAGAGCCTGATGATGTAAACAGAGGCATCTATAATATGTGTGTGTGTGTGTGTGTGTGCATGTGTGCCTGTTGCCTGGTAGCTTTCCTTACAGATAGACGAATGGAACCGTGTGCTTCTCACGCCCTCCCCAGTACCACCCTCTACTTTTAGCTCTGTGAAGTTCTATGCCTGTAGCCTATGCTGGAGACCACCACTCTAGATCTCAGCCTGAACTATCCTTTTAACCATAACAGCACATTAATAATGCGTCAATATTGGTTCATCAGTTGTGACGATTGTACCCTACAGATATAAGATGCTAAGAATAGGCCAGGCAGGTTGTGGGGTATATGAAGTCTCTCTGTATTATCTGGCAATGTTTCTGTAAGTTAAAAACTGTTATGAAATTAATTTTAATGTATTTTAATTGTTAGATCATAGGCATTATACCTGTATCTTATTTATATATACATTATATGTATATGTACATATACATTATTAATTTTAGTATAAATACATTATAAAATGTAGAGTGTATACGTACATATATGGTACTTTATATCCATGTATATATGTGTATGTACACAATGTCAGTATCTCTGTATACATAGATACTAAACATATATATTATATATACATGATAAACTGTAGCATATATGTATACTTTAGTATATATGTATATGGGTACATATACTAAAAATGTATTCAGTATGTTTCATATATAATTAGCATATATATACATATATACTAAACACATATGCACATATACTAAAGTTTATATATTCAGTTTGTTTAGTATATGGTTAGTATATATGTATACATATATACTCAACATATATGCACATATATGAAGATTTATAATGTATACAATTTATAGTGTATACAATTTATAGTATATACAATATGTACATATTATAATGTGTATATATACGTACATATATATCTATGCTTCTGTCTCTATCACCTGTATCTATCATATATCTATCCACCTATCATCTATCTGTCATCTCTCCATCTGGCTATCCACATCTATCTATGTATCTAATCATTTTTCATTTATTTATCAATCTATATCTACCATCTATCTATCGTTTATGTATCTATCTATCTCTGTTTGTGTATCTGTCTATCATCTATCTATCTATTATCTATGTATCTATCCATCTCTATCTATCCATCTATCTATTGATCACCTCTCTCTCTATCATCTATCTATATCTGTCTATCTAGATATCTATCTGTCTACCATCTATCTATCATCTATGTATCTCTATGTATCTATCTATCTATCATCTATCTATCGTCTATCTATAGCTATAATCTGTCTATCTATCTGTCTAACATCTTCCTCTCTGTCTCTGTCTATCATCTATCTATTGATTATCTCTCTCTGTCTCTATCATCTATCTATATCTACTTATCTATCTATCTATCTATCATCTATTGATTATATCTCTATCATCTATCTATCTATGTATTATCTGTCTATCTATCTATCATCTTCCTCTCTGTCTCTGTCTATCATCTATCTATTGATTATCTCTCTCTGTCTCTATCATCTATCTATATCTACTTATCTATCTATCTATCTAATTATCTATGTATCTATCTATCAATCTATCATCTATTGATTATATCTCTATCTATCATCTATGTATCTATGTATCATCTATCTATCTATCTATGCATTATCTATCTACCTATCATCATCTCCCTGTCTGTCTCTGTCTATCATCTATGTATCTATCTCTGTATCTATGTATCTATATGTCCATATATCTATCCATCGATCATGTCTCTCTCTGTCTCTGCCTATCATCTGTCTATCTACCTACCTGCCTATCTCCCTATCTATCCACTTCCCAAAGGTTTAAATAAATGTAACCACAACGAACTCATGATGAACGCAAAGTCAAAACAGCAGTTTCGGGTGTGTGTGTTCATCACGGTCGGTAAGCCGGTCTCTGGAGACCTTGGACAAGCCTCTCTTTCATGCTCTTTTCAACAAAAGCCTCTGTGTGTGCTGCCATCTCGAGAACTGGTGTTTTCCACAGCAGCCTGGTTTCCGCGTGGAATTATGTTAAGACAACCCAAGCCTTGTAGACGTTAGAGGGTGGGGGATCTTTGGAGTGGCTGGCATGTAGGATATTACTGACATTTTTATCACCTTTTAAAATGCGAAGACTCACATGTGATATGTAATTTGAGATCGGCACACGTGTGTGTGTGTGTGTGTGTGTGTTCTCTATTGGTTAACATTTTAAATAGATGGAGGTCATACATCGGAGAGAAAGAGGAGGTCCCAAAGTGTAAAGCTCTGTTTCAAACTGTGTCTGGCGTGTGCTGACCATGTGTGTGGAGGCTGGAAGGCCCCCCTGCGTTTGCAGCGAAGATGGGGTCCCCTTGGCTATTTGTTAAGTGCTGATATCACTTAAATTGATGCATCCCAGAAAACAAAACAAAAACAACAACAACAAAAAAAGCACCTCACCTTCCTCTGACTGTATTAGATTTCTTTCCTCTGTCCTTCTGCTCACTCCGGATTTCTAATTACACATGAACAAAAGGAAAGGAAATAACACCGTAACCCACTCCCCCCCAACCTCCAACCTAGAACATTAAATCGACTAAAGGTCATAAAAATGATCGAAATCAGAGCAGAGACTTTTCTTTCCACGGGCTCCTGCCGTTCAGGGCTAACCCCAAGTGGCTGAGAATGGAGTTTCCCACCCAGGTTGTAATCAGTGCTGCTGGATTTCACGGCTGGCATTCTGGTGCAACTTCCAGCAACTCAGCTGTTTCCCACCCAGGTTGGAATCCAGCAACTCAGCTGTTTCTCTTTCCCTATAGAGTCTGGGTGGCCTCCTGGGCGGAGGAGAGCGTCACAGCCCTGCTGTCCCCAAAATCATCCTCACTTCCCTTTTTTTTTTTTTTTTGAGACGGAGTCTTGCTCTGTTGGTTAGGCTGGAGAGCAGTGGCGTGATCTCAGCTCACCGCAACCCCCGCCTCTCGTGTTCAAGCCATTCTGCCGTCTCAGCCTCCCAAGTAGCTAGTGTTACAAGAACCCGCCACCCCACCTGGCTAATTTTTGTTTTTTTTAGTACAGACGGGGTTTCACTACGTTGGCCAGGCTGGTCTCGAACGCCTGACCTCAGGTGATCTGCCTGCATCGGACTCCCAAAGTGCTGGGATGACAGACGTGAGCCACCGCGCCCGGCCTCCTCACTTGCTTGTTTATAGTCTTTAAATTCCAGGGTGATTTTGGGGTGCCTGGCCCATCCTCGAAAAGACCCTGCTTGGTTCTGGAGGACAGCGTGGGTCCCCTTTTGTTTGTGTCTGCTACTGTGCCGGGCGCAGAGCTGCTCCCATCAAGCGTAAGCATCTTGACTGGTACAGAGACGTGTACACATGTGTGCACACGTGAAACGCCTCAGGTCCTCGAGGTTGCAGCCTCTTGGGAAGTTGACGGAACAGTTGGACAGTAGATTGGAGGAAGACAGGGAAGCAAAGGAAATCCAGAAGGCTGCCGGAGCCTCACTGTGGCTATGATGGGAGGGATGAACCAAGAGGAAGCTGGGCTCGATGCAGAGTCGGTCAAAGTTATTTATTTATTTATTTATCTATTGAGACAGAGTTCCACTCTTGTCACCCAGGCTGGAGTGCAATGGCATGATCTCGGCTCACCGCAACCTCCGCCTCCCGGGATCAAGTGATCTCCCCTGCCTCAGCCTCCCAAGTAGCTGGGACTACAGACATGCACCACCACGCCCGGCTAATTTTGTATTTTTAGTAGAGATGGGGTTTCTCCATATTGGTCAGGCTGGTCTCGAACTCCCAACCTCAGGTGATCCACCCGTCTCGGCCTCCCAAAGTGCTGGGATTACAGGTGTGAGCTACCACGCCTGGCCTGGTCAAATTTATTTAAACCTTTGGGAAGTGGATAGATAGGTAGACAGGCGGGCAGGTAGAGAGACAGATGATAGACAGAGACAGAGAGAGATGTGATCGATACATAGATGGATAGATAGATATAGAGACAGATAGAGATAGACAGATAGATAGATAGAGACAGGGAGATGATCGATAGATGGATAGATAGATACATATAGATAGATAGATAGATATAGATAGATATAGATAGATGATAGACAGAGACAGAGACATGATCAATAGATAGATGGATAGATAGATATAGACATAGATAGATAAACATATAGATACATAGACAAAGACAGGGAGATGATCGATAGATAAATGGATAGATAGATACATATAGATAGATAGATATAGATAGACCCAAGATAGACAGAGACAGAGACAAACATGATTGATAGATAGATGGATAAATAGATATAGAGAAAGAGATAGGTAGATAGAAAGATAGATATATAGATAGAGACAGATAGGGAGATGACTGATAGATAGATGGATATATACATATAGATAGATAGACAGGTGTAGATAGATAGATGATAGACAAGACAGAGATGACAGGTGGATAGCTAGATATAGATATAGATAGATAGATGATAGATAGATTAGATAGATAGATGATAGATGATAGATAGATAGATGATAGATAGATAGATACATACATAGATAGATACATAGATAGATACATAGATACATAGATGATAGATAGAAAATAAACAGGGCCATGTACAACCTCTTCCCAAACCCCTCATTTTTTTTTTTGAGACAGAGTCTCACTCTGTCTCCCAGGCTGGACTGCAGCGGTGCGATCTCGGCTCACCGCAACCTCCGCCTCCCGGGTTCAAGCGATTCTTCTGCCTCAGCCTCCCGAGTAGCTGGGACTACAGGTGCCGGCCACCACGCCCGGCTAATCTTTGTATTTTTAGTAGAGACGGGGTTTCGCTATGTTGGCCAGGATGGTCTGGAACTCCTGACCTCAAGTGATCCACCCACCTCGGCCTCCCAAAGTGCTGGGATGACAGGCGTGAGCCACCGTGCCCAGCTCATGAGTGTTGTTTAAGCTATAGGAAACTAAAATAGTATCCATTGCTTTGTTGATGAGAATTGGGAAGATGGGGTGAGGAGTTTGGTGTCTTGGGAACGTGGGGGATATGGACCACGCTTGAGCGATCTCTGAGCAACATGTTCTCCCTGCAGGCAGACCTTCCTTCTTCTGGGGTCCTTTATCCCAAGCCCTTTATAGACCTGCAACCAACTTGCCCGACACTTCACCTGTTTTATTCGCAGCAGGTCCTGAATGCAGCTGGAATTTCAGCATGACTCAGCTCCGAACGGAACTCGACTGAATTCTTTAAAATCCTGTTTTCCAAAGTCTGTAAGATACGGAGACTCTCGCTGGGCGCACTGGCTGGCACCTGTCATCCCAGCACTTTGGGAGGCCGAGGCGGGCAGATCACCTGCGGTCAGGAGTTTGAGACCAGCCTGGCCAACATGGTGAAACCCCGTCCCTGCTAAAAATACAAAAATTAGCCGGATGTGGTGGCACACACCTGTCATCCCAGGACTTTGGGAGGCCGAGGCGGGCGGATCACTTGAGTTCAGGAGTTTGAGACCAGCCTGGCCAACATGGTAAAACCCCGTCTCTGCTAAAAATACAAAAATTAGTCAGGTGTGGTTGCTGGAGCCTGTAATCCCAGCTACTCAGAAGGCTGAGGCAGGAGAATTGCTTGAATCCGGGAGGCAGAGGTTGCAGTGAGTCGAGACCACACCACTGCACTCCGGCCTGGGCAACAGAGTGAGACTCTGTCCCGCCAACAAAAATAAAAGCAAAAACCTGGAAATGAGTCAAATGAATTTTTTAAACAGCTAAATAAAATCTAGAAGCCTTCCCTGGATGACTCCGTAGCAGTTAAAATAAGTGGGGGTACATTTGTATTAACTGACCCAGGAATATTTTTAAGACATAATGTTGAGTAAGAAAAGCAGGTTGGCTGGCCACCGTGGCTCATGCCTGTAATCTCAACACTTCGGGAGGCTGAGGTAGGTAGATCATGAGGCCAGGAGTTCGAGACCAGCCTGACCAAAATGGTGAAACCCCGTCTCTGCTAAAAATACAAAAATGAGTCAGGTGTGGTGGCAGGTGCCTGTAATCCCAGCTATTCAGAAAGCTGAGGCAGGAGAGTTGCTTGAACCTGGGAGATGGAGGTTGCTGTGAGCTGAGATTGCACCACTGTCCTCCAGCCTGGGCAACAGAGCGAGACTCCGTCTCAAAAAAAAAAAAAAAAAAGATACAGAGATTCTGAAAGCAAGAAAGAGAAGCTATAGATTTTTCCAGTAGAGGGCATCCCTGGAACACAGATCCAGTTTCTGGCTGTCCAGAGCATGCTACTGCCGAGGCCGGCAGTTCCTGCAAGTCCAAATGCTCCCACTGTCTCTCAGTGAGGCTTTGAGACCTAGAGGACCACACTTCTTATACTGAAATTAAAAGAATAAGACTCTTCTCCCATATGCAAGGATCAAACGCCACCAGCTCATGAATTTCCTGCAGTTCTGAGAGGACATGTACAGAAACTGTAAAATGTCAAAACACACCAAAACCCGGTCAATGTCCCTGGTATAAGAGTGTAGATAAGAGAGACACTTTGAGGCTGAGGTGGGTGGATCACCTGAGGTCAGGAGTTCGAGACCAGCCTGGCCAACATGGTGAAACCCCGTCTCTACTAAAAATACAATAATTAGCTGGGTGTGGTGGTGGGCACCTGTAGTCCCAGCTACTCGGGAGGCTGAGGCAGGAGAATCGCTTGAACCTGGGATGTGGAGGTTGTAGTGAGCCGAGATCGCACCACTGCACGCCAGCCTGGGTGACAGAGTGAGACTCTGTGTGAAAAAAAAAAAATGAATTTATTGTTTCGAAACTTAATGTAGGTGGTCATATTATAACTCTTATTATGAACAAAACTTTTGCATCTCCAAAAGCAGCCCTATTGATTTATAATTTTTATCTTTCTTGTTCCTTTTCCTTGAAGGTAAAGACAAATCATTTCCATGTACCTCTCTCTCCTTCATCTTTCAACACCTCTTCTTACTGATCACCCAGCCCTCATCTTCCGAAGAAAACTATCTGCCAAGAAGTCTCTGTGGATAAATTTACCCTACGGGAAGAAATAAACAAAACAGTATTTATTTATTTTTTTAAACCAGGTTAGGAAAACGTCTTAGCATTCAGGAAATAAGGGGTGATAAGAGAATCAGGACCAAAGAAGAAAAAAAAAGAAAGGAAGGAAGGAAAGAAGGAAGGAAGGAAGAAGAAAGAAAGAAAAAAGAAAGAGAAAGAAGGAAAGAAGAAAAAGAGAAGAAAAAGAGAAAGACAAAAGAAAGATGAAAGGAAAAAGAAACAAAGAAGAAAGAAGAGAGAAAAGAAAGAAAAAAAACAAAGAAAAAAGAAAGAGAAAAGAAAGAATAAAGAAGAAAGAAAGGAAAGAAAGAAAAGAAAGGAAGGAAAGTCCCAGAGCCCACATGGGAACAATGCTGAGGGAAGTAATAAAAGCTAAGTTATAAAGCAGGAGGACTTTTATCAAGGCCTCCGACGAAATCTGAGAAGAAAATGTTATTAGGCAAAAATGAAAATGAAAAATCATACCAGATGCTCTCCTTCTCGCACGCGGAAGAAATAAATGCAAGATTGGACCCAGAAAAGAAAAAAAAAAATCACCAAGATGCTTAAAAAGAGGAGAGAGAGAGAGAGGAGGGAAAATGTTTATTTTTATTACCTAGTATCCAATTTAAGTATTAACAGGTATAGTTGACATCAGACCGTACAGTTTAAACCTCTTTCTTTTCTTTTTTCTTTTCTTTCTCTCTTTCTCTTTCTTTCCTTCTTTCTTTCTTTCTTTATTTCTTTTCTTTCTTTCTTTCATTCTTTTCTTTCTTTCTTTCTTTCTTTTCTTTCCTTCTTTCTTCTTCTTTCTTCATTCCTTCCCTCTCTCTCTCTTTCTTTCTTTCCTTTCTTTCTCTTCCTTCCTTCTCTCTCTCTCCCTCTCTTTCTTTCTTCTTTCTTCTCTTTCCTTCCTTCCTTCTCTCTTTCTTTCTTCTTCCTTCCTTCCTTCTCTCTCTCCCTCTCTTTCTTTCTTCTTTCTTTTTCTCTTTCCTTCCTTCCTTCCTTCTCTCTTTCTTTCTTCTTCCTTCCTTCCTTCCTTCTCTCTCTCTCTCTCTCTCTTTCTTTCTTTCTTTTTTGGAGTCACGCTCTGTCGCCCAGGCTGGAGTGCAGTGGCGTGATCTTGGCTCACTGCAACCTCTGCCTCCCGGGTTCAAGCAATTCTCCTGCCTCAGCCTCCTGAGTAGCTGGGATCACAGACACCCACCACCACGCCTGGCTGATTTTTATATTTTTAATAGAGACAGACAGGGTTTTACCATGTTGGCCAGGCTGGTCTCGAACTCCCGACCTCAAATGATTCACCTGCCTCGGCCTCCCAAAGTGCTGGGATGACAGGCGTGAGTCACCGCGCCCAGCCCATTACTGTTATTTCTAAGGCCATACACAACCTCACTTTTCTTCATCTATCATGCGAATTGAGTAATCTATTATTATTATTTGGAGAGAAAAACAAGTTTTCTATGTTCTGAAAGCCTCTCTAAGGCAGGGAAACTGTAAGTTAACCTGATTGCTATTTACATTAGTCAAAGACAAAGCACTGAGTGTCCTTTTAATTAGAACTCTGCCACCTTCCTTCCCAACTAGATCCACTGTGTCAGCATTTCGACTACAGAAACCTATTTTTAGGGGTTTATAACTCACCTGCTAAAATTCGCTTTAGGCTGAACCCAGGCATGAAATCTCAGCCTGGAAGCAAAAGACAAAATTTAAACACGAATCAAGGCGGGATAGGAAGATAAAATTTGTCCCTTAATCACAGTGCGTTTCAGTGCTTTTGCTTTTCTTTTATTTTTTCAGATGGAGTCTCGCTCTGTCACCCAGGCTGGAGTGCAGTGGTGCGATCTCGGCTCACTGCAACCTCCGGCTCCCGGGTTCAAGTGATTCTCCTGCCTCAGCCTCCCAAGTAGCTGGGATTACAGGCGCCCACCACCACACCTGGCTAATTTTTGTATTTTTAGTAGAGACGGGGTTTCACTATGGTGGCCAGGCTGGTCTTGAACTCCTAACCTCAAGGGATCCGCCCGCCTCGGCCTCCCAAAGTGCTGGGATGACAGGCGTGAGCCACCTTGCCTGGCTAATTTTTTGTATTTTTAGTAGAGACAGAGTTTTGCCATGTTGGCCAGGCTGGTCTCGAACTCCTGACCTCGGGTGAACTGCCCACGTCAGCCTCCCAAAGTGCTGAGATGACAGGCGTGTGCCACCTTGCCTGGCTAATTTTTCTTATTTTCAGTAGAGACAGGGTTTCTCCATGTTGGCCAGGCTGGTCTCGAACTCCTGACCTCAGGTGATCCACCTGCCTCGGCCTCCCAAAGTGCTGGGATGACAGGTGTGAGCCACCACGCCCGGCCCCAGTATCATATTTTTTTCTATTGCTTCACCCCAAGTCCTTCCTGACTGTTTACCCACAGAACGCCTTGGAGTGTTTCAGACAAATGATGTGGCCAAAGAGAGTTGTATGCCCGTCTTTCGAGAGCCTGCCCATCCATCGTGGTGGCACATCCGTTCATTTATTCACTGACTGCGAGACGTGGGAACGCGTCTGTCAGCAAACGCAGACCCGGTGCAAGCTCTGGTGAGCCCAAGAGTCACCTGGGGAAACCAGGAATCATCAGCACGAATAAACTCCAAGTTGTTCAGAGAGTTCTGCCTGTGAATGGGACAGTCTCGATAATTGGAAGGAAAAAAAATGGCATGTACCATGCTTAGGAAATGAAACGAAGCTGTGTGTATGGGTAAGATGAAATAGCAAAGAGAAATATATTGACTGAGGAACGTATAAAAAAAATGTGTGTAAATTCAGGCCAGGCACACCGTCCGTCGCACCTGTCATCCCAGCAATTTGGGAAGCCGAGGTGGGTGGATCACTTGAGGTCAGGAGTTTGAGACCATCCTGGCCAACATAGTGAAACCCCATCTCTACTAAAAATACAAAAATTAGCCGGGCATGGTGGTGTGCGCCTGTAATCCCAGCTACTCGGGAGGCTGAGGCAGGAGAATCGCTTGAACCCGGGAGGCGGAGGTTGCAGTGAGCTGAGATCGAGCCATTGCACTCCAGCCTGGGTGACAGAGTGAGACTCCATCTCAAAAAAAAGAAAAGTGTGTATTGGGAGGCCGAGGCGGGCGGATCATGAGGTGAGGAGATGGATACCATCCTGGCTAACACAGTGAAACCCCATCTCTACTAAAAAAATACAAAAAAACTAGCAGGGCGTGGTGGTGGACGCCTGTAATCCCAGCTACTCGGGAAGCTGAGGCAGGAGAATGGCGTGAACCTGGGAGGCGGCGCTTACAGTGAGCTGAGATTGTGCCCTTACACTCCAGCCTGGGTGACAGAGAGAGAGTCCATCTCAAAAAGAAAGAAAAAAGTGTGTAAATTCAAGAGACAAATGCGACATGGCCTCATGTTATTCTCTAATTTTTGTGCCACTGACGGGGTTGTAAAATATTTAATAAGCTGGTTAGAACTCACGCACCTCTGACCCACTCCTTATAATCAGGAAAGCTCTGGAAATCCTCTACTCTAATTATGAATCTTTTCCTCCTTACCAAAACCCCAGGTTCCTCTCTTCTTATCTTGCTTGTCTGCCAAGTGGCGGGTTAGAACCAGCGAGTCTCCAAGCAAAGCAAATTTATGCCCCGGATTTTAAACGACAAGAACGCCGACCGATGCGTCTTCCGCTGAAATTTCAGATATTTGAGTTTTACAAGAGACTCTCCAAATCTCCAAGCTCACGCTCCCTCTTCCTACTTTAGATTCTTGGCTGATGAAAGGTAGTATGTCTCTTCCGTTGCGTCTCTGTCAGGAGGGATGCCTCTGGGGAGGGGCCAGGACCCCACAGGAGAACTTTACAATTTAGTAGAAATGGGGTTTGAACATGTTGACCAGGCTGGTCTCAAACTCCTGACCTCAGGTGATCTGCCTGCCTTGGCCTCCTAAAGTCCTGGGATTACAGGCGCCCACCACCGTGCCCGGCTAACTTTTGTATTTTTAGTAGAAATGGGGTTTGAACATGTTGACTAGGCTGGTCTCGAACTCCTGACCTCGGGTGATCCGGCCGCCTCAGCCTCCCAAAGTGCTGGGATTACAGGAGTGAGCCACCACGCCCGGCTGATTTTTGTATTTTTAGTAGAGACGGGGTTTGAACATGATGACCAGGCTGGTCTCGAACTCCTGACCTCGGGTGATCTGCCTGCCTCAGCCTCCCAAAGTGCTGGGATTACAGGAGTGAGCCACCACGCCCGGCTGATTTTTGTATTTTTAGTAGAGACGGGGTTTCACCATGTTGGCCAGGCTGGTCTCAAACTCCTGACCTCAGGTGATCCGGCTGCCTCGGCCTCCCAAAGTCCTGGGATTACAGGTGTGAGCCACCACGCCCATCTTCTGGTGATGTTTTCTATTCCTTATTCTCACCACGCTGCAAATTCCCAGGGGCTAAACCAGCTACACTTGGGTCACACTCCTCATGTCACCCTTGGAGTCTGTTCAGGTGCTGTATTAATTCCCGGCAGTTACCAGAACAAACTGCCATAACTGCGTGTCTTAAAACACGAGAATTTTACCCTCTCCTTGCTCTGAAGACCAGAAGCCTCTGATCAAGGTGTTCCTTCTGAAGGCTCTAGGGGAGGGTCCTTCCTGCCTCTCCCAGCTCCTGGGGGCTCCAGGCATCCCTGGGCTTGTGGCCGCATCACTCCAGTCTCTGCCTCCGTCTCCATGTGGCCTTCTCCTCTGTGTCTCCTCTTCTGTCTCTTACAAGGGCACCTGTCATTAGATTTAGGGGACACCCTACTCCAGGATGATCTCACCTCAAGGTCCTTCACCTAATTACATCTGCAGAGAACCTATTTCCAAATCCGGTCTCATTCCAGGTCCTGGGCTTTAGGATGTGGACAGATCTTTCTGGGGGCCACTGTTCCATTCAGTATAATTATATTCAGTTCCTTCCAGGGTTCTAGGGGAGGGTCCTTCCTTCCTCTCTCAGCTCCTGGGGGCTCCAGGCATCCCTGGGCTTGTGGCCCCATCACTCCAGTCTCTGCCTCCGTCTCCACGTGGCTTTTCTGTGTGTCTGTGCCTCTACGTATCCACATTTTTTAAAAAAATTCTACAAAGGCAGCAGTCATTAGATCAGAGCCCATCCCAGTCCACTGCTGCCTCATCGTAACTCGTGATAGCTGCAGACACCGTATTTCCAGAGAAAGTTACATTCTGATGTAGTTGTGGGGTGGGGGGCGGGGAGGTCAGGACTTCTACAAATCTTTTTTGGGGGGATGCAATTTAATTTATAATACGAACAGGGTGAAGAGTATGTTGAGACTTTCTCTGGGCTGAACGGTCCTTCTTTTTATTTTTTTCTTTTTTGTTTTTCTGAGACAGAGTCTCGCTCCGTCACACAGGCTGGAGTGCGGTGGCGCGATCTCGGCTCACTGCAACCTCCGCCTCCCAGGTTCAAGCCATTCTCCTGCCTCAGCCTCCCGAGTAGCTGGGACCACAGGCGCCCGCCACCACTCCCGGCTCATTTTTTGTATTTTTAGTAGAGACGGGGTTTCACCGTGTTAGCCAGGATGGTCTCGATCTCCTGACCTCGTGATCCGCCCGCCTCGGCCTCCCAAAGTGCTGGGATGACAGGCGTGAGCCACTGCGCCCGGCTGGTCCTTCTAATTTCATTAAACACACAGTGCTGTTCCTTGCAGAAATCCATCTACCTGGAAACAGTGGCCAGTTCTTTTGTTTTTTGAGATAGGGTCTCACTCTGTCACTCAGGCTGGAGTGCGTTGGGGCTCATACAGCTCACTGCAGCCTTGACCTCCCTGGGCTCAGGTGATCCTCCCACCTTAGCCTCCCATGTAGCTGGGACTACGGCCTTGCACCACCACACAGAGCTAATTTTTTGTGTTTTCTTTTTGAGATGGAGTCTTGCACTGTCACCGAGGCTGGAGTGCAGTGGCGTGATCTCAGCTCACTGCAACCTCTGTCTCCCAGTTCAAGCAGTTCTCGTGCCTCAGCCTCCCGAGTAGCTGAGAGTACAGGCACCTGCCAACACGCCTGACTAGTTTTAGTATTTTTAGTAGAGACGGCGTTTCACCATGTTGGCCAGGCTGGTCTCAAACTCCTGACCTCAAGTGATCCACCTGCCTTGGCCTCCCAAAGTGGTGAAATTTACAGGCATGAGCCACCTCTCCCAGCCCCGTGTTTTTGTTTGTTTTTAACAGAGATGAGGTTTCGCTGTGTTGGTCAGGGTGGTCTACATCTCCTGGGCTCAAGCAATCCAGCCGCCTTCCTCTCCCAAAGTGTTGGGATTACAGGAGTGAGCTACTGCACCTGACCAGTGGCCAATGCTGGTTAGAAAATAGCATCATGGTGTCTTCTGATTGGAAGAAAAGGTGAAAGACAAATGATATACTACTAGACATATGGGTTGCAGGTAAAAAGGCAAGCTGGAGAAGTTAACGGGGGCCAGGCACAGTGGCTCCCGCCTGTAATCACAGCACTTTGGGAGGCCGAGGTGGGTGGATCACCTGAGGTCAGGAGTTCGAGACCTGCCTGATCAACATGGTGAAACCCCGTCTCTACTAAAAGTACAAAAATATAGCCAGGCTTGGTGGTGGGCACCTGTAATCCCAGCTACTC
Organism: Homo sapiens; assembly: GCF_000001405.40. Taxonomy (NCBI): domain Eukaryota; kingdom Metazoa; phylum Chordata; class Mammalia; order Primates; family Hominidae; genus Homo; species Homo sapiens. The sequence continues at coordinate 1,113,019 of NC_000024.10, read as the reverse complement.
AGGAGGCTGAGGCGGGAGAATAGCTTGAACCTGGGAGGCAGAGCTTGCAGTGAGCGGAGATCACACCATTGCACTCCAGCCTGGGTGACAGACTGAGAGTCTGTCTCAAAAAAACACAAACAAACAAACAAACAAAAAAGTTCATGGGGCATGGAGCCATATTTCCCAGCAGACTTCCTCATGAAGGCACACCCATTGGATTTTCAGCAAACTGGATAAAAAAATGCCTCTAGACGGCCAGTTCGGAGGAGGTGCTTGTAGGAGGGGTCGCCTTATTTTTCCGAATCGGATGCTTCTGCCGATGTGAGCGCCCACTTTTGCAAAATCCATAGGATTTGCTTTTATCATCCAATGAATGTTATTTTTATTTCATTCAAGGCAGCCGATTCAACCCTGGATCCTGTATTTTTGATTCATGGCTACCCTAGAGATGGAGACGCTCATTCATTGTCAATGACCCAGCCTCATAGGTGCATACACTTGTAAATAACACTGAATTTTTACGAAACATGGAGGTCATGTTACAGACCGCCTGTGGATGTGAGGCCCGTTGAGTCAAATAACATTTCACATACCCTTTCAACGGTACAGCTCTTGCATAGTTCAAATGGCTTTTGGATTACATTTTTGATTTCTGAAAGATAATTCAAAGGCATCTTTTAAGTGTGCATGTTTGATCACAACCTCTGTATCCCGTTAAACACAGAAGTAAAAGCACATTTACATTTGCATGCGGTATTTTTATTTTTTTAAATCTAAGGTCATACCTGCAAACAGGAAGGAGCTTTTCTACCCAGAACTCAGAAGTCCCGTGTTCAATGCAAGGGGTTGTGTATCAGGGCCTTCTCTCACCCCAGGGGACGGAGTTCCTAGAAACAGCTTGTCAATGTCCAAGGACCCCCCCCCCCCACCGCTCTTGGCGCACACGGGGTCTTTCTCTTTCTGCTCCCCCTACAGACCACCCCATAGCCGCATTCTAATTCAAGCAACAAAACAAAGACCGCCGCCTGAGCCTCTCTGAAAAGGGCAGCTCTCTTCTTCCTTCTCTCTGAGCTTCCGGGAACCCCCCCCCACCCCAACAGGACCCCAGGAGAGAAGCTGCCGGGAGAAGGGCAAGCTGCAGGTTTGTGCACGAGAGCTGTGGTGTTCGGAGGTAACAGGTGCACTTGCCATCACCACACACCTCACGTTGCATGCATGGATTCTTGCTTTTAAATCATCCTCCTTAGAGAGACAAAAATAAAGCAATGGTGCATTCTTGGAGAAGGAGTTACTCATTTTCGTCTCTCCTCAATGAGCTGGGGGCGGGGTCTATTGGTTATTTGTCATTGCAGGACTTTTTTTTTTTCTTCTTCTTCTTCCCTCTCTCCCTCTCTCTCTCCCTTCATCCTCTTCTTTAATCGCAGTGTCTGCTTGTTGAGCTTCAAATTGCAATATCCTGAACAGATGTAAAAACACATGTGAACCTCTGCGCACAAGCTGTGTGCGCCTTTGTTTCATCTGCTGATGATATGAGCTAAAGGAGATCTTTTTAAAATTTCATCACTATTCAAAAGGATAATTAATACGTACCCGCAGGCTTTGATTATGCTGTGCACCGTGTATACCGCTGCTACAGAGATAATGAGGGCTCATCAGGCGGGATGAATATACACCAGCGATGCTCAGCCTCCATGACAAATTGAAGATGCAAGAGAGGTACCGTGTAGGTGGCTTAATCTCATTTTCATTTGTAACACAATACAATAGGTAAGATCATGTGTTTGTAACCAGCACAGACACTTTGTTTACACGGAACCCCAGTCACCGTTTGGCAGATGGTCTTTTGAAAGGCTTAATTGAAGTTTTCTAATCTCACCTCTTCTCTCTACTCTCTATTATGGCGGAAAAATGACACACACGCACACACACACACACTAGCATGCATGCACACAAACGCACACGTTGCACGCAAATACACTAGCATGCATATACACACGCACACACTAGCACGCATGCATTCAAACATACTCATGTATGCCCACACACTAGCATGCACACACACACCAGCATGCACGCACACACACGTGTGTTCACATACACTAGCATGCATACACACACTAGCATACATATATGTGTTCACATACGCTAGCATGCATGCACACAGACGCCTACATACACACATGCACACGCTAGCATGCATGCACACAAACACACACGCATATGCACACACACTAGCATGTACACACACTTTCATGGACGCACACACACGTGTGCACATACACTAGCAGGCATGCACACACTAGCATACATATACGTGTGTTCACATACGCTGGCATGCATACACACAGAGACGACTACATACACACACATACATACACTAGCATGCATGCACACATACATACACATGCACACACAGATGCGTACATACATGCGCACACACGCATGCACGTGCACTAGCACACATGTACACATGATACATACATACGTACATGCCCACATATGCATACATAAACACACACTAGCATGCATATACACAAACACACGTGCATATGCACACACAATAGCATGCATGCACACACAGAGACGCATACATATATGCACACAGATGCATACACACACACTAGCATGCACACACGTGTGCAATTACACTAGCATGCATGAACACACACTAGCTTGCATGCACAGACAGACGCATACATACACACAGAGATGCATGCATACACATCCACATACACTAGCATGTACGTATACACACAGACACAATGTATACACACACGCACACACACACCAGCAAGCATGCATGCATGCACACACACACACACAAACTAGCATGCATGCACACACACACCCAAATTGACATTGTTTGTCTGGATCCACAGAAAGCTCTCCAGGTCTCCCAGTGTCCTCCTATGCCACCATCACCCCCCTCGGTCCTGCCTCCTGGGGCAGGTCAACAGTTGCAGTGAGTGGGGATCACGGCACTCCACTTTAGCCTGGGTGACAGAGTGTGACTCAGTCTCAAAAACAAAACCAGAAACTTAGCTGTATGTGGTGGTGTGTGCCTGCAGTCCCAGTGACTCAGGAGAGGCTGAAACGGGAGGATCATTTCAGTTCAGCAGTTGGAGACCAGCCTGGACCACATAGCAAGATCCCGTCTCTACAAAAAATAAAAAATTAGCTGGGTGTGGTGATGCATGCACCTGTAGTCCCAGCTGCTCCGGAGGCTGAGGCAGGAGGATCCTTTTGAGCCCAGGGGGTTGAGGCTGCAGTGAGCTATGATGGGACTCCACTGCACTCCAGCCTGGGCAACATAGCAAGACCCCATCTCAAAAAATAAATGCATACATGGGAAACAAAGAGACTTTAGAAGGGAATATTTGGTGCTCCTGTTTCTTCCTTCCTTTCCTTTCCTTTCATTTCCTTCCTTCCCTTCCCTTCCTTCCCTTCCCTTCTTTCCCTTCCCTTCCTTCCCTTTCTTTCCGTCCATTTCTTTCCTTCCTCCTCCCTCCCTCCCTCCCTCCCTCCCTCCCTCCCTCCTTCCTTCCTTCCTTCCTTCCTTCCTTCTTTCTTTCTTGCCCCAGCTGGAGTGCAGCAGCGCGGTCTTGGCTCACTGCAACCTCCGCCTCCCAGGTTCAAGCCATTCTCCTCCCTCAGCCTCCTGAGTAGCTGGGAGTACAGGCATCAACCACCACACCCGGCTAATTTTTGTATTATTAGTACAGATGGGGTTTCACCATGTTGGTCAGGCTGCTCTCAAACTCCTGACATCAGGTGATCCCCTCGCCTCAGCCTCCCAAAGTGCTGGGATGACAGGCATGAGCCACCGCACCCGGCCCTGTTTTATTTCAAACATTTGGGCCAGTGTCATCTTTTCTGGGCTGTAAAACAAAAAGCTCAGCCACACTCTGTAAGCCTGGGTGCTCTTGCTTAGACCCTCAGTCCGTAATGTACCTACGAAGCATGCAAGGGCTCCTCGGAAGCTGGTGTCTTCACGGAATGAATCAAACGACAGGTTTTTCTGGAGCCTCTTTGGGGGCACGATTTGAAAACAGCTGGGCTGCCTGATTGCTTATGGTTTGTGTTTTTTTTGTTTTTTTGTTTTTTTCCCTAGGACTTGAGGCTGCCGCCACTGCCTTTCACAGCTTAACCACTTATGCAAATAGACCTTAACAGGATGCCTTCAGACATTGTTTTCAAAGCTTATGTTGACTCATTTATTCAATAGATTCAACCCTATTTATTCAACAAATTGTATAAGCAAAAGTTACTGATGCCTTAATTTGCACAAGCCCGAAGCTGCTATTTGCCTGGCGTTTCTTCAAGAGGGAAGACGGTGGTTTTGTGCTGCACACACTCTCAAACGGAGGGATTTCTTTCAAAACAAGTCACTTGGAATGCTGCTGAGCCGTAGCCCTTCCCCCTCCCTGGGCCCCAAACCAGCCGCCCACCGCTTTGTCCTGATGTTACTTTTTCTGGAAAGAGGTCCTAAGAAAACAGCTTCTCAAAGGTCATTCAACTTAAAAAAATGTCCTCATAGAATCATAGCATTTCACTGGCCAGGCTCAGTGGCTCACGCCTGTCATGCCAACACTTTGGGAGGCTGAGGTGGGCGGATCACCTGAGGTCAGGAGTTCGAGACCAGCCTGGCCAACATGGTGAAACCCCGTCTCTACTAAAAATACAAAAATTAGCTGGGCATGGTGGCAGGTGCCTGTAATCCCAGGTACTTGGGAGGCTGAGGCAGGAGAATCGCTTGAACCCGGGAGGTGGAGGTTGCAGTGAGCTGAGATTGTATCACTGTACTCCAGCCTGGGCAACAGGAGCCAAATTCCATCTCAAAAAAAAAAATGTCCTTCTCATAGAATCACAGCATTTGACTGGCCAGGCGTGGTGGCTCACACCCGTAATCCCAGCACTTTGAGAAGCTGAGGCAGGTGGATCACCTGAGGTCAGGAGTTCGAGACCAGCTTGGCCAATACGGTGAAACCCCGTCTCTACTAAAAATACAAAAATTAGTAGGGTGTGGTGGTGGACACCTGTAGTTTCAGCTACTCAGGAGGCTGAGGTAGGAGAATCACTTGAACCCGGGAGGTGGAGGTTGCAGTGAGCCAAGATCGCACCACTACACACCAGCCTGGGCAACACAGCGAGACCCTGTCTCAAACAAACAAACAAAAAAATGATAACAGCCCTTTCTCTAAGCAGAGCTCCTTCTTGCCTGGGGAGTAGATTGCCTCTGTAGGACTAACATTAGCCACAAGATTAGATGATGGTTTAGGAGTAATGTAGATGGAGGCTGCAAGATTCTGGCCCTCACTAAAGTGCTCCTAGGATTAGTGCTGGAGATATTGTGGAGACCCTGGATTTCACCATGTTGGCCAGGCTGGTCTCGAACACCTGCCCTCAGGAGATCCACCCCCCTCAGCCTCTCAAAGTGCTGGGATTACAGACACGTGCCACATGCCCGGCTAGTTTTTCTATTTTTAGTAGAGACGGGGTTTCACCATGTTGGCCAGGCTGGTCTTGAACTCCTGACCTCAAGGGATCCACCCGCCTCGGTCTCCCGAAGTGCTGGGAGGACAGGTGCGAGCCACCGCGCCTGGCTGGAAGGTGGCTATTTGTTTCGGTCCTACAGGTCCGTCTGGGAAGGGAATGGTTCTTTGCAGCTGACGGTAGCTCTTGGAGTGGAGTCGGGCTGTGTTGGCATCTGAATGAATGAATGAGTGAAGAAATGAATGGGAGCTCCCAGGCAGGTCCTGACCTCACAGGTGTTGCCTAACCGGATCCATCAACAGCTGTCTGCCACCAACTTCCAGATGTCCCTAATCTAATTATTATGCAAACCAATAATCCGAGACGTCACTGACACAAAAACCTACACAACCAAACGCACAGCTCCCTACACGTGGATGAGGTTCCGTCGGTGATACTGGAAACACACACAGGCACACACACACACACACATTTGCAGTCAGAGGTGGAGGAGTGAACAGCTGGAACACACACAGAGGCACACACAACCACACTCAGAGCTAGCTGCGAGCGTGGCTGACATCCCTCTCTCTCCCTCTCTCTCTCCCTCCCTCCCTCCCTCTCTGTCTCTCTTTCTCTCTTTCTCTCCTCTGTCTCCCTCTCTCTCTCCCTCTTTCTCTTTCTCCCTCCCTCTCTCTGTCTCTCTCCCCCTCCTTATCTCTCTCTGTGTGTCTCTTTCTGTCTCTATCTGTCTCTTTCTCTCTCTTTATCTGTCTTTGTCTGTTTCTCTCTTTGTCTCTCTTTCTCTGTCTCTCTCTTTCTTTGTCTCCATCTCTCTCCTTCTTTCTCCTCTGTCTCTCTTTCTCTCTTTCTTTGTCTCTATCTCTCTCCTTCTTTCTCCTCTGTCTCTCTCTCTCCTTCTCTCTCTCTCCTTCTCTCTCTTCTGTCTCTCTCTCTCTCTTTCTTTGTCTCTATCTCTCTCCTTCTTGTTCTCTCTCCTTCTCTCTCTTCTGTCTCTCTCTTTCTCTCTTTCTTTGTCTCTCTCTCCTTCTTGTTCTCTCTCTCTCCTCTCTCTCCTTCTCTCTCCTCTCTCTGTCTCCTTCTCTCTCTTCTGTCTCTCTCTTTCTGTCTTTGTCTCTATCTCTCTCCTTCTTGTTCTCTCTCTCTCCTCTCTCTCCTTCTCTCTTCCATCTCTCTCCTCTGTCTCTCTCTCCTTCTGTCTCCTCTGTCTCTCTCTCGCTCCTTCTCTCTCCCTGTCTCTCTCTCTCCTTCTGTCTCCTCTGTCTCTCTCTCTCCTTCTATCTCTCCTCTGTCTCTCTCTCCTCTCTCTCCCTGTCTCTCTCTCGCTCCTTCTCTCTCCCTGTCTCTCTCTCTCCTTCTGTCTCCTCTGTCTCTCTCTCTCCTTCTATCTCTCCTCTGTCTCTCTCTCCTCTCTCTTCTGTCTCTCTCTCTCTCCTTCCCTCTTTCTCTCTCTCCTTCCCTCTTTCTCTCTCTCCTTCTCTCTCCTCTTTCTCTCTCTCTCTCTCTTTCTCTCAACGTGGGATTTGAAGAGTTAGTGACCGTAACCCAAACAGCAGACAAGGTTTGTTTCCCAGGCCTAACCTCACAGATGGGCAGGTGCCCTTCTACAATCAACTATTGGTCTTTGAAAACGAAATCTGTGACACCCTTGAGCACCTGCCAATTCACCACCCGTTTCCTGAGCCCGAGAGCTTGGAACGTCCCGGCCACGTTACTGAGATGAGCTTTCTTATTCCAACCTCTGGGGCAGAGCAGCCGAGCCAGTTCTGTGTTCTTTTCCTTGTGGATATTTACCAGTGAAATTTTAGGAAAATTCAAACGGACGAGACACAGTGCTTCTACATGAGAGAGAGAGAACCGAGGTTCTGTTTGAGTGTTTTTGTGAGCAGGTTCTGGGGTCTCTCGTCAAGGCCCATTGTTCAGAGAGCCCTTCACGTTGGCCCAGATAAATCGATGTGGGCCAATCACCCCCCGGAGTGACTTTTGGAGTTTTACCAGACAACGTGGGTCGAGAATGCAGGGGAGTCTCACAAAAAAGTGAGGGGCACAGTGAACTTCTGCAGCTTTCTAAGAATTTGGTCCCAACATGTCATATTTTAAAATCATCAACATGTTTCCTGAAAGCATGCTTTCATTTTTTAATGTTTTTATTTTATTTTATTTTATTTGAGACAGAGTCTCCCTCTGTCGCCCAGGCTGGAGTGCGATGGCGCGATCTTGGCTCACCGCAACCTCCGCCTCCCGGGTTCAAGCGATTCTCCTGCCTCAGCCTCCTGAGTATCTGGGATTACAGGCACGCACCACCACGCCCGGATAATTTTTGTATTTTTAGTAGAGACGGGGTTTCGCCATGTTGGCCAGGCTGGTCTTGAACTCCTGACCTCAAGTGAGCCTCCCACCTTGGCCTCCCAAAGTGCTGGGATGACAGGCGTGAGCCACCGCGCCTGGTCTCTGAAAGCATTCTTTAAATCTCTATGTGCAGGAGAAGAATTTCCAGCCCCATTTTACGCTGTCCAATTTATGTATGTGTATATGCGTGGCATACATATATCTGTGTGTTTATCTATATATTTATACCTATTTATTTCTATGTATATAAAAGTATTGTGTATATATCCAGACCTATTATATCTGTGTCTACATATATCTATATGTAAGTATACTTCAGTGTTTTCTCTATATCTATACCTATGTCTACATATAGCTACACCTAACTTTACTTATTTATATTCATGTCTGTATCTATTCCTATATATGCCTATGAATATCTGTACTATGTGTATTATAGCTATAGGTACACGGATATCTGTATTTATATCTGTGTATAGCTATGTCTATGTCTGTGTCTATCTAAGTATATTCTATATTTATATCTGCATCCATACCTACAGATACATCTGTAGGTCTATGCTTAGCTATACCTATGTATATCAATATCTGTACCTATCTGTTCCTATACATATGTTTGTCTATGTGTATCTATATCAAAGTATACTCTATATACCTCTATCTATACCTGTATCTACCTATCTATGTATACAGATATCTTTTTTTGTTGTTGTTTTTTGGAGACAGAGTCTCGCTCTCTCATCCAGGCTGGAGTGCAGTGGCACGGTCTCAGCTCACTGCAACCTCTGCCTCCTGGGTTCAAGTAATTCTCCTGCCTCAGCCTCTAGAGGAACTGGGATTACAGGCACCCGCCAGCACGCTGGGCTGATTTTTGTATTTTTAGTAGAGACAGGGTTTCACCATGTTGGCCAGGCTGGTCTCAAACTCCTGACCTCAACTGATCCACCCTCCTTGGCCTCCCAAAGTGCTGGGATTACACGTGTGAGCCACCAGGCCTTGTCTTACGACCACGTTTTCTTTATTCACTTATATACTGATGGACACATAGGTTGATTCCATGTCTTGGCTATTGTGTATTTAACACTCCCACTAGAAGAACACGTTGAGCTACATACTTTTTATTTTATCTTTATTATTTTTTAACGTGGAGTCTCGCTGTGTCCTCCAGGCTGGAGTGCAGTGGCACCGTCTCAACTCACTGCAACCTCCGCCTCCCAGGTTCAAGCAATTCTCCTGCCTCAGCTTCCTGAGTAGCTGGAATTACAGGCGCCCGCCACCACATCTGGCTAATTTTGTATTTTTAGTAGAGACAGGGTTTTACCATGTTGGCCAGGCTGGTCTCGAACTGCTGACCTCAAGTGATCCCCCGGCATCGGCCTCCCAAAGTGCTGGGATGACAGGCGTGAGCCACCACGCCTGTCCTAATTCTTAAAAGTATGTTTGGAGGAATATTTTACCTTTCTTTTTACTTTTCTAATGAGGAAGCTTAGGCACAGAGCGATTTTATTTATTCTATTTTTTAAAGTTTGCCAGGTTCACACACAGGAAGAAATAGGAGAGTCACGATTTCATGCTGAGCCCAGCCTGGCCCTGTGTTTGTGGGCTGTGCAGACATAGCAGATACCGATGAGACCACAAGGGGAATTTGACACTAACACTCATGTTTATGTGAAATCGCACCTTGTAATTTAAGACAAAATTGGTGACAATGAGCAGAACACACTTAATTTCAAGCCAGACCTCAAGCCTTGAGGTTTTTTTCACCCTCAATTTTTCAGGCATTTCCATTATGTAAAGATAGAAAAATAAAAAGCTAATGGGTATAATCTGTGTATATGCTTAGTGGCTAAAGAGGTAATTTAGTTTCTATAAGGTGAAATGGGCTACTGTTATTTTTTAAAGCAAGTTTATGTGGACTCATGCAATTAGCTGGCTCAAGAACTTAATTGGAGAGATGTGTTTAATTATAACATTTAGTTCCTAATTCTGATATAAAAATATTTTCACAGCATGCATGTATAAAACCCACTTTCTCCACACCAGTTAAGTGCTCTCAGCTCCATGGGTCAGTGGTCACAGTCCTTAAATAACCCAGGCACAGTTCCGTGGGAGACATGCCTGTGAGTCCCTGTTTCAGCAGCAGCGAGAGCTGGTCCAGGTGAGCTTCAGACTATAGGCCATATGATACCCACACCTGACCCACATGAGCATCACAGACCGTGGGTGAGCTACATACACAGCAGGGGAGCATCACAGACCATGTGTCAGCTCCATCCACACCAGGGGAGCATCACAGACCAAAGATCAGCTACATCCACACCAAGTGAGCATCACAGACCATGGCCCTCCCCCATTCACACCAGGTGAGCATCACAGACCATAGATCAGCTCCATCCACACCAGTTGAGCATCACAGACCATGGATCAGCTCCATCCACACCAGTTGAGCATCACAGACTACAGATCAGCTCCATCCACACCAGGTGAGTATCACAGACCATAGATTAGCTCCATCCACACCAGGGGAGCATCAAAGACCATGGCCCTTCCCCATTCACACCAGATGAGTATCACAGACCATAGATCAGCTCCATCCACACCAGTTGAGCATCACAGACTACAGATCAGCTCCATCTATACCAGGTGAGCATTACAGACCATGGCCCTTCCCCATTCACACTAGGTGAGTATCACAGACCATAGATTAGCTCCACCCACACCAGGTGAGCATCACAGACCATGGATGACCTGCATCCTCACCAGGTGAGTATCACAGACCATAGATCAGCTCCACCCACACCAGATGAGTATCACAGACCATAGATCAGCCCCATCCACACCAGGTGAGCATCACAGAGCATAGGTCAGCTCCACCCACACCAGGTGAGCATCACAGACCATGGATTAGCTCCATGCACAGCAGGGGAGCATCACAGACCATGGCCCTTCCCCATTCACACTAGGTGAGTATCACAGACCATAGATTAGCTCCACCCACACCAGGTGAGCATCACAGACCATGGATGACCTGCATCCTCACCAGGTGAGCATCACAGACCATAGATCAGCCCCATCCACACCCGGGGAGCATCACAGACCATAGATCAGCTCCATCCACACCAGGGGAGTATCGCAGACCATAGATCAGCCCCATCCACACCAGGTGAGCATCACAGACCATGGATTAGCTCCATGCACAGCAGGGGAGCATCACAGACCATGGCCCTTCCCCATTCACACTAGGTGAGTATCACAGACCATAGATTAGCTCCACCCACACCAGGTGAGCCTCACAGACCATGGATGAGCTGCATCCACACCAGATGAGTATCACAGACCATAGATCAGCTCCATCCACAGCAAGTGAGTATCGCAGACCATAGATCAGCTCCATCCACACCAAGTGAGCATCACAGACCATAGATCAGCCCCATCCACACCCGGGGAGCATCACAGACCATAGATCAGCTCCATCCACACCAGGGGAGTATCGCAGACCATAGATCAGCTCCATCCACACCAGGTGAGCATCACAGACCATAGATCAGCTCCATGCACAGCAGGGGAGCATCACAGACCATGGCCCTTCCCCATTCACACTAGGTGACTATCACAGACCATAGATTAGCTCCATCCACCCCAGGTGAGCCTCACAGACCATGGATGAGCTGCATCCACACCAGGTGAGCATCACAGACCATAGATCAGCTCCATCCACACCAGGTGAGCATCACAGACCATAGATCAGCTCCATGCACAGCAGGGGAGCATCACAGACCATGGCCCTTCCCCATTCACACTAGGTGACTATCACAGACCATAGATTAGCTCCATCCACCCCAGGTGAGCCTCACAGACCATGGATGAGCTGCATCCACACCAGGGGAGCATCACAGACCATAGATCAGCTCCATCCACACCAGGGGAGCATCACAGACCATAGATCAGCTCCATCCACACCAGGTGAGGATCACAGACCATAGATCAGCTCCATCCACACCAGTTGAGCATCACAGACCACAAATCATACTTCAAATCTCATACCAAATTCACTTTCAAAGGAGATTAGCTGAGTTGCTTTATTTTACTCACACTTTTTCATTTCTGATCTTTTTAAAAAGTATATTTTTGGAAATTTTGGTTTCAATTGGTTTAGGATATCTTTTTATTATAACTGTGGTTTCAATTGCAGGGGTCAATTTTGCATTTGAATCAGATCCTCACGAGTGGTTGTTTCGTGCCCTTTGAGAGTCCCTGTTCATCTGGATCAAACTTCACATTTCTGATCACAGATTTGTCATTTTAAATGTAGTTACTTATAATACCTTGATATGATATTTATGCAACTTACCTCTCTTAAAACCTCATTGGAATAAAACTTAAAAGGAATAAAAAACCATACAGAAAAGCAACATTATGTGACATTTTCAAAGTTGTTTAAGTCCAGAAAACAATATCTGTTTGCATGTGATTAATTCCTGACAGTGGTATTTTAAAATATTGTGTGGAAATCACGTTCCTGTGTCTTTTTTTTTTTTTGAAGCATGTTTGTCAAACAAAGTAACACGTGGTGCTGATCACCATACCCAAAGCTGAGCACTGTTTCGAGCAGGAAAATCTCCCCACTCTCCTCCATCTCCTCTTCCTCCATCTCCTCCTCCTCCTCCTCTATCTCCTGCATCTCTTCCTCCTCCTCTTCCATCTCCTCCTCCATCTCCTCCATCTCTATCCCCTCTGTCTCCTCTTCCTCCTTCTGCTCTTCCTCCATCTCCTCCTCCTCTATCTCCTCCATCTCTACCTCCTTTGTCTCCTCCTCCTCCATCTCCTCCTGCTCTTCCTCTATCTCCTGCATCTCTTCCTCCTCCTCTTCCATCTCCTCCTCCTCCGCCACCATCTCTTCCATCTCTATCTCCTCTGTCTCCTCTTTCTCCATCTGCTCTTCCTCCAGCTCCTCCTCCTCCTCCTCTATCTCCTGCATCTCTTCCTCCTCCTCTTCCATCTACTCCACCTCCTCCATCTCCTCCTCCTCCCTCTCCTCCTTGTCCATCTCCATCTCCTCTGTCTGCTCTTCCTCCAGCTCCTCCTCCTCCATCTCCATCTCCTCCTCCCTCTCCATTTCCTCCATCTGCTCCTCCTCCATCTTCTCCTCCTCCTCTATCTCTACCATCTCCTCCTTCTCCTCTATCTCCTCCTCCATCTCCACCATCTCCTCCTTTGCCATCTCCTCCTTCTCCTCCATCTTCTCCTCCTCCTCCTCCATTTTCTCCTCCTCTCCATCTCCTCCTCCTCAATCTCCTCCTCCTCCATCTCGTCCTCCTCTTCCATCTCCTCCTTCTCCATCTCCTCCTCCTTTAACTTCTCCATCTCCTCCTCCTCTAACTTCTCCATCTCCATCTCCTCCTCCTCCATCTCCTCCTCCTCCTCTTCTTCCCCCAGCCTGGCTCCCTTCACCTACTCCTTCTCCTGCTGTGTCTTCCTCCCCACCTTCCTCCTGCCCTCTGCCCACACCCTCCCTGAACCCAGGCCAGGGCCACAGGCTACCAGGTGCCCATCCAGCCATGACCCTCTCCAGCCAGCCACCTTCTGTCCAGCTGATTCCAGCACACAGTGGTCTCAGAGCCACCCTTGAGGCTGGGCGGGGCTGAGGGCACCTGGGGAACCCCTGCTTTGGGGAGCAATGATGGCAGATGCCTGCTGACCGGCTCATTCCCACTCGGCGGCTGCCTGATCCTGGAGCAGGTCTCTAGGCTCATCATCTCCTCACACTCATTCCGGGCCTCTTAGCAGCTGTTGGCTTCCATCAGGGGAGAGAGATTGCTCCTTTTGTTTCTGTGGCACGTTATGGAATGCAGGCAGACACCTTGCAATTTCAAATGCCCAACAACCAATGCCACAGATGGATGAGGAAGCCGGCGTGGGGGCTGCTTGCTCCTGGAGCTTCCAAAGGGCACAGCCCATGTGGGTTTTTTTGGGGGTGGCTGCAGATTCCATGGGTGTGAGCCACCTGTCTCGATCCTGATTTTTCACTCCCCTTTGGATTTCTAACCATCTTGCATGAATGTTAAAGCGTCACTCCTCTCTGTCTTTCTGTTCTGCCTTTTTAAAGATCCTTTCTAATTTTTTTTTTTTTTAGACAGGGTCTTGCTCTGTCACCCGGACTGGAGTGCAATGGCACCATCATAGTTCACTGCAGCCTTCACCTCCTGGGCTCAAGCGATCCCCCACCTCAACCTCCTGAGTAGCTGGGACTATAACCATGCATCACCATACCTGGCTAATTTTTAAGTTTTTTTCAGAGACAGGGTCTTGCTATGTTGCATAGGCTGGTCTTGAACTCCTGGGCTCAAGCGATTCACCCACCTTGGCTGCCCAAGTAGCCCAGAGGGATTACAGGAACAGGTCATCATGCTCGGCTATTTTTTTTTTTAGAGATGGGGTCTTGCTATGTTGGCCAGGCAGGTCTTGAACTCCTGGCCTCAAGGAATCTTCTCACCTCCACTTCCCAAAGGGTTGAGATATCATAGTTCACTGCAGCCTCAACCTCCTGGGCTGAAGTGATCCCCCTACTTCAGCCTCCCGAGTAGCTGGGACTGCAACTATGCGTCACCATACCTGACTAATTTTTGAATTTTTTGCAGAGACAGGGTCTTACTATCTTGCCCAGGCTGGTCTTGAACTCCTGGCCTCACGCCATCATGCTTGGCTAATTTTTTGTAGAGATGGGGTCTTGTTATGTTACCCAGGCTGGTCTTGAACTCCTGGGCTCAAGTGAATCACCCACCTTGTCTGCCCAAGTAGCTGGGATTACAGGAACAGGTCATGATGCTCGGCTAATTTTTTTTGTAGAGATGGGGTCTTGCTATGTTGGCCAGGCAGGTCTTGAACTCCTGGCCTCAAGTAATCCTCTCACCTCCACTTCCCAAAGGGTTGAGATATCATAGCTCACTGCAGCCTCAACCTCCTGGGCTCAAGTGATCCCCCTACCTCGGCCTCCCGAGTAGCTGGGACTACAACCATGTGTCACCATACCTGGCTAATTTTTAAATTAGCCGAGATCATGCCACTGCACTCCAGCCTGGGTAACAGAGCCAGACTCTGTCTCAAAAAAAAAAAAAATACAGAAATTAGCCAGGCGTGGTGGCACGTGCTTGTAGTCCCAGCTACTCGGGAGGCTGAGGCAGGAGAATCGCTTGAACCTGGGAGGTGGAGGCTATAGTGAGCCGAGATCGCGTCACTGAACTCCAGCCTGGGTGACAGAGTGAGACTCCATCTCAATTAAAAAAAGAAGAAGAAGAAGTAGAAGAAAAAGGAGGACTTGCAGAAGCCACCCCAGGACTGTGTGCTCCTCCCAGGACCCAGGATTCTGCATATGAGATTTTCACTTCCAGTGTCACCTCAGAGTCCAAAACAGCTGCTGGGGCTCCAGCCCTCACACCCACTTTTCCACCAGCAAGAAGCAGAAATGGCTGAAGAATGTCAAGCTTCCCCTATGTCCATTCCAGCATCACCTCACAGTCCAAGGTGGCTGCTGAGACTCCAGCCCTCTCACCCACCTTTCCTCCAGCAAGAAGCAGGAATGGCTGAAGAATGGCAAGCTCTCTGATGTGTTCATTCCAGCATCACCTCAGAGTCCAAAACAGCTGCTATGGCTCCAGCCCTCACACCCACCTTTCCCCCAAAGAGAAGCAGAAATGGGTGAAGAATGGCAAACTTCCCCATATATTCATTCCAGCATCACCTCAGAGTCCAAGGTGGCTGCTGAGACTCCAGCCCTCACACCTACCTTTCCCCCAGCAAGAAGCAGAAATGGGTGAAGAATGGCAAGCTTCCCCTATGTCAATTCCAGCACTGCCTCAGAGTCCAACGTGGATGCTGGGGCTCCTGCCCTCACACCCACCTTTCTCCCAGCAAGAAGCAGAAATGGGTGCAGAATGTCAAGCTTCCCCTATGTCTATTCCAGCAACACCTCAGAGTCAGAAACAGCTGCTGGGGCTCCAGCCATCACACCCACGTTTCCCCCTCCTGGGTTCAAGTGATTCTCCCACCTCAGCCTCCCAAGTAGCTGAAACTACAGGTGACTGCCACCATGCATAGCTAAGTTTTGTATTTTTATTAGAGACGGGGTTTCACCATGTTGGCCAGGCTGGTCTTTAACTCCTGACCTCAGATGATCCACCCGCCTCGGCCTCCCAAAGTGCTGGGATTACAGGCATGAGCCACTGTGCCCTACATTATACATTTTAATTTTATTTTCAATTTAGTTGCATTTAATTTCACTTTAATTGGAATGCTTTTGAATTTTAAATTAAATTTTAGATTTTACCACATGCCTGTGTTCCAATAAGTTTAACTGGAAACTTAATTTAAAATAAGTTTTGTTGGGCCAGGCGTGGTGGCTCACGTTTGTAATCCCAGCACTCTGGGAGGCCAAGGCAGGTGGATCACGTTAGGTCAGGCGTTTGAGACCAGCCTGGCCAACATGGTGAAACCCTGTCTCTACTAAAATACAAAAATGAGCTAGGTGTGGTGGCAGGCACGTGTAGTCCCAGCTACTCGGGAGGCTGAGGCAGGAGAATCGCTTGAACCCAGGAGCGGAGGTTGCAGTGAGCCGAGATTGCGCCACTGTACTCCAGCCTAGGCGACAGAGTGGGACTCTGTCTCAAAAAATAAACAAATAAAATAAAAATTAAATAAGTTTTGTTGGGCCAGGCGTGGTGGCTCACGGTCGTAATTCCAGCACTCTGGGAGGCCAAGACAGGTGGATCACGTTAGGTCAGGCGTTTGAGACCAGCCTGGCCAACACGGTGAAACCCTGTCTCTACTAAAGTTGTGGGATTCCAGGCGTGAGCCACCGCTGCCTGCCGATAAACTTTTACGTCAACTGACTGCACTGAAGCCGTCACCCCCAGAGTTTGGAAAGTTAGTCTGAAAGTTCGGTCTCATTACCTTACAAAGCAGAAGAAGTCACCTGTCTAAATCAATCTCTGACAATCGCAGGCCATCGGCCCTGTTACCATTTATATCAGCACCGGCCAGGAACTTCACAGGTGGGCCACGTGTGACACTCGGATTCGGCGTGGAGTGACAAAGAAAGCCAGGAAGGCCTCCCCCGGCCATCTGAAGTCTCTCTAGGATTTGACGTCTGGGTGGCAGTGGCGAGTGGAGTTGGGGGGCGATGGCTGTGATGAAGGATGTTGAAGGGGAACTTTCACCTTCTCTGCAGAAATAATGGGAGGTCATTAAAATGGAATAGAAGGATCCGATAATATACCTGAAACCTCATGGCCACCTTACTCTGCAAAGGGGACACGGTTGATTACATATTTGTGCTGGTGAGACATGAACACACTCTTTGGGAGGCCGAGGCGGGCGGATCACCTGAGGTCAGGAGTTCGCGACCAGCCTGGCCAACATGGTGAAACCCCGTCTCTACTAAAAATACAAAAATTAGCCGGGCGTGGTGGCGGGTGCCTGTAGTCCCAGCTGCTCGGGAGGCTGAGGCAGGGGAATCGGACCCAATGGGGAAATAGGAAAGAAAAAAAAAAAAAAGCCAGGCACGGTGGCTCACACCTGTCATCCCAGCACTTTGAGAGGCCAAGATGAGCAGATCACCTGAGGTCAGGAGTTCGAGAGCAACCTGGACAACGTGGTGAAATCCTGTCTCTACTAAAAATACAAAAAATCAATAAATAATAAATAAATAAATAACCGAGCGTGGTGGCGCATGTCTGTAATCCGAGCTACTCGGGAGGCTGAGGTAGGAGCATCGCTTGAACCCAGGAGGCGGAGGTTGCAGTGAGCCGAGATGGCACCACCGCACTCCAGCCTGGGCAACAAGAGTGAAACTCCGTCTCAGAAAAACAAAAACAACCAACCAACCAGGGAACTTGAGAGAAGACACAGTGATTCTCTCTAAATATTCGTACCCTTTAATGCAACTCTCTTTTGGGAGAACTCTCTGCAGACTTTCAGAAAAACATCACAAATCTGCTCGCACACACACAGACACACACTCTCTCCCAGCGCCGCCCCCATCATCCTCAGCCAGCACGTCTATTTAGTCAGCCTCTGCAACACCACGCTGCTGTAACGCCAGACCCAAAGTGTGTTCATGAATGGTGTCAACGTGCTTAATTTATTACTGTAATTATTGTGATAATTTAGAAGAGATAAATTGAAATCTATTAGAATTTAATGTAAAAAGCTGTAATTAGTTTGCCTGAGAGAGGAGGAAAGAGACATTCCGCATCACGGAAAACCCATTAAGCCAATTACGATGTGAGCATGGCAGAGAGTACCCAGCCCCGTGAAATACACCCGTGGCTTTTGCCTGGTTGTACCCTGAGCGCACAGATTCATCTGTCTCATCCCTCATTAATTTAATAAACACATCGAGGCAAAAAGATGGGAGAATTCCTTAATCACCATAATGAACACATCTGTTCAGCTTTGGGTGTTGGGGATGGATTCTGGGAGGAGGGAGCTGGGAAGAGAGGGGAGAAAATGCATTACTTTCAAGCAATTAGCATGCAAACGATAAAACAGCAGAAAGTGTGTTTGTACACGTGCTGTATTTACACACAGCAGAAAAACAAACAAACAACAAAAAACAACTTTGCTGTATGCATGCATGCGTGTGTGTGTGTGTGTGACAGTATGTGTGTGTGTGCATGGACACACCTGTGCCCAGGGCTGTAACGTGAAATGGGAGGAGAGTGCATGGCTAATAAGACCACCAAATGCTTCGCCAGCAAATCCCCAGAAGGGCAAAAATAAAACCTGCTCAGGTGCAATTAAAAAATAGATATTTAAAGAAGGCAGTAACCGCTACCCCCTATTTACTGTCAAATTAATTCAGTCTGTCTGCAGAAGCCATCTGTATCAGCGTCACGAGACGGTGTCAGCGGCTCTCGCAGCCGTCAGGAGAAGAGAGCCCGCTCTTTTGTTTGATGGCTGTGATCGTGTGTACAAACTAACCAACTGCAACAGATATATCATAGATTTTCTCATAATTACCTGACCTGTTACACTGTGTCTGTCTTCCGCCAAACACACTGTTTTTATGTCAGAAGCTGTATGGGCATTTTTGGCTTTGATCATTCTGTATTCTGCAAATGTCAGCCTTACTGTATTTTAATTGACTCTGGGGCAGGATTGGAAAAAAAAAAAAAAAAAAAGCAACGTCTGCTAGACTCGCTCTTGCCTGATGAGGCTGACAAGCTGCCATTTGCAGACACAGGGTCTGGTATGGAGCCCTGACAGGGAGGCCCAGGCACCCCCCTCCGCGTCTCGGAGGGGTGTAACAAAATGATGTCAGGGAACGGGTTCAGGTAGCAGCTCTCTGCGGAGCCCACCTCTCCCTGCTCCCCGCCACCCTACACGTCAACCCGCCAGCCGGCTGCTGTCTGCCTTGCACCCCTGGGTCGTGTCAGGGTGAAGGTGCAGAGTCCCAGATCAAAGACAACATCGGTGCCTGAAGACGGGGTCACTGGTCCCCAGGCAGTGAGGACCAAGACGGGGTCCCCCCAGTCAGTGGGGACCAACCGCACACAGGTTGGTGGATTGAGATGGAAGCCCTTATCTTCCCTTACTGCAGTATTTGTGGCTTGAGATGGAAGCCCTTATTTTCCTTTGCTGGAGTATTTTTTTTTTTTCTTTTAATTAAGAAACAATTCTCCTGGTTGAAAATGTGGGCTGAGAAGCCGTGGCAAAGATTTCCGCTCAGAGGTCAATTTATTTTGTCTTGAGTTTTCAGAGACAGAAAATCTCTCCTTTTCTATCTGGCAGCACAGCAGTGTCATGATGTCACCGAACGCTTCCTGCCTCGTTAACCCAGCCTGGCTGGGGAAAAGCTGTCTTCATCACACAGTCCCTGAGAGACAAACCCTCCCGCTCCACTCCCCCCACCTCGCTGTGTCGAACGGATGTCTCCTGCTCAGAATCACTGTGTGATTATCTGTGTTGAGCCCACTGCTTTCTCAGAAAACCGAAATGAAGAAAAGAACTCACCGAGAGGAGAACGGAAATGTTACAGCAACTGTTTATTTCGAACGGTGAGGAAGGATGTTGTCATTCTGGAAATAATCTACTTTTTTTTTTTTTTTTTTTTTAAGACGGAGTCTCACTCTGTTCCCAGGCTGGAGTGCAATGGTGCCATCTCGACTCGCTGCAACCTCCACCTCCTGGGTTCAAGCGATTCTCCTGCCTCAGCCTCCCGAGTAGCTGGGATTACAGGCACCCGTCACCATGCCCGGCTAATTTTTGCATTTTTAGTAGAGATGGGATTTCACCATGTTGCCCAGGCTGGTCTCAAACTCCTGACCTCAGGTGATCCACCTGCCTCAGCCTCCCAAAGTGCTGGGATTACAGACGTGAGCCACCGTGCCTGGCTAATTTTTGTATTTTTAGTAGAGATGGGGTTGCGCCATGTTGGCCAGGCTGGTCTTGAACTCCTGACCTCGTGATCTGCCCACCTCGGCCTCCCAAAGTGCTGGGATTACAGACGTGAGCCACCGCGCCTGGCTAATTTTTGTATTTTTAGTAGAGACGGGGTTTCACCATCTTGGCCAGGCTGGTCTCAAACTCCTGACCTCAGGTGATCCACCTGCCTCAGCCTCCCAAAGTGCTGGGATGACAGGCATGAGCCACCATGCCCGGCTAATTTTTGCATTTTTAGTAGAGACGGGGTTTCACCATGTTGCCCAGGCTGGTCTCAAACTCCTGACCTCAAGTGATCCACCTGCCTCAGCCTCCCAAAGTGCTGGGATGACAGGTGTGAGCCACCACACCCGGCTAATTTTTGTATTTTTAGTAGAGACAGGGTTTCACCATCTTGGCCAGGATGGTCTCGATCTCCTGACCTGGTGATCCACCCTCCTCCGCCTCCCAAAGTGCTGGGATGACAGGCGATGATCTACTTTTTAGGTGGCAAATACCCATTGGCCTGACGGATGACTGTGAAGAAATGAACGAATGGATCTGAATCTACGAACAGGTGCCGAAGGAAATGATAAAGCTGAATTACTTACTTGAATCATATGCTTCCTTGGTATTGCGTAGAATGTGAGCAGCATCTACAAACTATTATCTAGACTTCCCCAGAGATGGGAAATTGGTGAAGAATGATGACTTGGAGAAGGAAGGGTGCTGGTCCAACTTTCATGCTAAGCACCAACCTGGGTAGAAGGCTGGTTGACTCTGCTGCTGCAAACTGAGTGTATTAGTCGGCTGGGGCTGCCATCACACAATACCATCCACTAGGCCAGGTCCAGTAGCTCACACCTGTAATCCCAGCACTTCGGGAAGCCGAGGCGAGGCGGGTGGATCGCCTGAGGTCAGGAGTTCGAGACCAGCCTGACCAATATGGAGAAACCCCATCTCTACTAAAAATACAAAATTAGCTGGGCATGGTGGCGCATGCCTGTCATCCCAGCTACTCGTGGGGCTGAGGCAGGAGAATCACTTGAACCCAGGAGGCGGAGGTTGCCATGAAGCGAGATCGCGCCACTGCATGCCAGCCTGGGCGACAGAGTGAAACTCTGTCTCAAAAACAAAAACAAACATACAAACAAAAAAACATCCACTATGGGGCACAAACACTACACATTTATTTCTCATAGTTTTGGACACTGGAAGTCCTGCAGTTTGCATGCCACCAGATTCAGTTACTGGTGAGGATTCTCTTCTTGGTGGATAGACAGTATCTTCTCCCTGTGTCCTCGTATGGCAGATAGAGAGAGAGAGAGAGAGAGCTCTGGTGTCTCTTCTACTTCCCGTAAGAACGCTAATCCCAGCTGAGCACGGTGGCTCATGCCTGTAATCCCAGCACTTCGGGAGGCCGAGGTGGGCGGATCCCCGAGGTCAGCAGTTGGAGACCAGCCTGACCAATGTGGTGAAACCCTGTCTTTACTAAAAATACAAAAAATTAGCCGGGCGCGGTGGTGGGTGCCTGTAATCCCCACTACTCAGGAGGCTGAGTCTGGAAAATGGTGTGAACCCAGGAGGTGGAGGTTGCAATGAGCTGAGATCCCGCCACTGCACCCCAGCCTGGGTGACAATGTGAGACTCTGTCTCATAAATAAATAAAATAAGAACGCTAATCCCATCATGAGGGATATATCCTCAAGATTTAATCTAATTTTAATTATCTTCCAAAGTTTCCGTGTCCAAATAACACCCCATTGCAGATGCGGGTTCCAACATATGGATTTTGATGGGATATTTAACCCACTGTGCCAAGACAGAACTCAGTTGGTTATGGCTGCAATTTCTCTATTTCTCTCTGTCTTTTTTTGTTTGTTTGTTTTTGTTTTGAGACAGGGTCTCACTCTGTGGCCCAGGCTGCAGTGCTGTGGTGTGATCTCAACTTGCTGCAACCTCCACCTCCCAGGTTCAAGTGATTCTTCTGCCTCAGCCTCTCGAGTAGCTGGGATTACAGGTGCCTGCCACCACACAAGGCTAATTTTTGTATTTATAGTAGTGACGGGTTTCACCATGTTGGCCAGGCTGGTCTCGAACTCCTGACCTCAGGTGATCCACCTGATCCACCATGATCCATGCCCAACCTATTTTTCTCTCTTACTGCAGAGATAATGGTCCCCAGAGATGTCCCCATCCCCTTCTGTGAGTTTCAACCTTCTCCCTAGGTAGCAATGTCTGCCTTTATTATTATTTTTATGTTTTCTCATATACTCTTTACTGAGTTTCCCTCAGTGGTAACATCTTGCAGTGGTAACATCTTGATAGTACAATATCAAACCCATATATTGACATTGATATAGCCAAGATACAAAACATTTCTATCACTACAAGAATCCTTGCTGTTGCCTATTTGTAGCCATACCCACTTCCCTTCTGCCCCCACTCCCTCCTTAATCCCTGGCAACAACTAATCTGTTTTCCATTTCTATAATTTTACCAGGTCAAGAATGCTACATACATAGAATTACATAGAATGCTACTTTTTCACTTGACATAATTCCCTGGAGATTCACCCAGGTTGTTGCATATGTTAATAATCTGTTCTTTTTTGTTATCAGATAGTATTCTCTGGTAGAGATGTATCACAGTTTGTTTACCTACTCAGCTGATGAAGGACATCTAAATTGTTTCCAGTTTTTGAGTATTACAAACCAATCTGTTACAAACATGACGTAAAGGTTTTTGTGTGAGCAAAAGTCTTCATTTCTCTGGGCTAACTACCCAGGAGTGCAACAGTCAGGTGATTGCTCAATGTCTACTTTTAAAAGAAACTGCCAAACTATTTTCCAGAGCATGTCATTTTTATATCACTAGCATAGACAAAATGGCCCGGTTTAAACCTCATTCTTTCCAGCATGCAGGTTTGAACTCAGTCAACAGTATCAACACATAAGGCAAAGTGCAAAGTTGTGGGATCCCAGCTACCCATTGGAATGAGCACTCACTCACAGAGGCAGAATTCCTGAGAGAGACATGGCCTGGACTTCCGTATCAAGAAAAATCCACCCAACAGGGCACCAACGAGATGCCTTCAGTGATGGTATCTTCATGTAATGGCTGAGGATCCAGTCTCTCCAGGAAAGGACGAAAAGGAGGAAAGGAGGCTTCTAGGAACCGGCTACAGGTTATTATTTAAGGAGATTCACTGAGCTTGAATAAGTCCCCACCAAAGGAAGTGAAAACATCAGCGACTTTTGCACTAAACTCAGCCCAAAGGGAGGTCCTGGAAGATCAATGCTATTTATGCAAAATTATTTCTGGCCGGAGTTATCTGGCAAACAGACAAACACCCACATTTCAGGCAATGAATGAAGATGACTTGGATGAGCCTCCACCAGCTTCTCTGTGGCTATTTATTTACAGTAATACTATTCTGCTCATAGCATCCTTTGCTCTCCAAAGGTTGACTTTGCCACATTGCATCTCATTGTTTAGGGTTGGTCTTTGGTGCTCTATAAGACTAATTTTTTTTTTAATTGAGGCAGAGTTTTGCTCTCATTGCCTAAGCTGGAGGGCAATGGCACAATCTCGGCTCACTGAAACCTCCGCCTCCCGGGTTCCAGTGATTCTCGTGCCTCGACCTCCCGAGTAGCTGGGATTACAGGCGCCCACCACCACACCTGGCTGATTTTTTTGTATTTTTAGTAGAGATGGGGTTTCACCATGTTGGTCAGGCTGGTCTCGAACTCCTGACTTCATGATCCGCCCCCCTCGGCTACCCAAAGTGCTGGGATTACAGGTGTGAGCCACCGCGCCTGGCCAAGACCAAAGTTTTCTTTTCTTTTGTAATATTCGTCCACCACAAGTTATAGGAAGAGGAGTCAGGTTTGACAAGGCTGTTTGAGGATCTGATGAAAGGTATGCATTTGCTCAACCCTAAAAACCTATGGAATTCCTCAACCCTAAAAAGTGTGTACATTCTTTGGCCAGGTGCGGTGGCTCATGCCTGGAATCCCAGCACTTTGGGAGGGTGAGGCAGGTGGATCACACGGTCAGGAGATCGAGACCATCCTGGCTAACACGGTGAAACCCCGTCTCTACTAAAAATACAAAAAATTAGCCGGGCGTGGTGGCGGGCGCCTGTAGTCCCAGCTACTCGGGAGGCTGAGGCAGGAGAATGGCGTGAACCCGGAAGGCGGAGCTTGCAGTGAGCCGAGATCGTGCCACTGCACTCCAGCCTGGGCAACAGAACGAGACTCTGTCTCAAAAAAAAAAAAAAAGAAAGAAAGTGTGCACATTCTTTGGCCAGGTGCAGTGGCTCATGCCTGTAATCCCAGCACTTTGGGAGTCTGAGGCAGACGGATCATGAGGTGAGGAGTTCGAGACCAGCCTGGCCAACATAGTGCAACCCCATCTCTACTAAAAATACAAAAAAATTAGCCGGGCGTGGTAGCGGGTGCCTGTAGTCCCAGTTACTTGGGAGGCTGAGGCAGGAGAATGGCGTGAACCCAGGAGGTGGAGCTTGCAGTGAGCCGAGTTTGGGCCACTGCACTCCAGCCTGGGCGACAGAGAGAGACTCTGTCTCAAAAAAAAAAAAAAATTTGTGTACATTTTTTGGCTGGGCCCGGTGGCTCACGCGTGTAATCCCAGCACTTTGGGAATCTGAGGCAGATGGATCATGAGGTGAGGCGTTCGAGACCAGCCTGGCCAACATAGTGAAACCCTGTCTGTACTAGAAATACAAAAATTAGCCAGGCGTGGTGGTGGACGCCTGTAATCCCAGCTACTCAGGAGGCTGAGGCAGGAGAATCACTTGAACCCGGGAGGAGGAGGTTGCGGTGAGCAGAGATCACGCCATTGCACTTTAGCCCAGTGACAGAGCGAGACTCCATCTCAAAAACAAACACACAAACAATAAACCAACACAACAACAACAACAACAAAAAACCCCAAAAAACTGATACCTTGACCAGGTCTTCTGCCACATTCCCTAATGACCTCTCCCAACCTTGTCCCCATCATGTGGACAATAGCCACCATCATTTTCTCGCACAGATTCTCAACGCGCGCCCACGCTTGCTTTGTTTTACTTGCTCCAGAAATGAAGCACATTTCTGGAATGACCCAAATCTCAACCCACTCCTAGCCTACACCTCTAGGGCTCAATGTAACTCATGAATATCCTGTGGGCACCCCCAATAGCTTCACTTCAATGGCACCCAACCAGGAGTCTCACTTCAAATCAATGGCAGCCAACCTTACGGTCTGCTTCTTGCTGGCCAGAACCATGATACATATATTTTCTTCTATTCATTCTCCTCTCCTCCAGGAGTATCAGACATTTTTTGTTTCCCCTGCCAGCCTCCAACATCTCCTCCAACCTCACCTGATACCCTCCTCTGACATTGAGAATGTGAAAGAAGAAGACACCAGCAGAACACTAATGCCCACCAACCCACCCCCTCACCAGCCGCTGCAGCTATGAGCTCTTCTCTGCATCACTCAAATGACTCGTGGTCCAGTTTAAAACCCATTCTACGCCTGTAATCCCCATGAGTCACAACCCTATACTTTTCAGACTCAGGGATATCAACCCTAAGGGGTTCAATGTATGATATCAACCTCATGAAATCCATTTATATGAGACACACCAATACATGTCCTAGCAGTACGGATTCCAACCCTGTAGAGTCCAGCCCTAAAATTCCCAACTCTACAGACCCCAGACTTATGAGTTCTAGCCTTATAAAATCAAGCAAATATGACCGAGCCCTAATCAGCTCCATTCACTGAATTCCAACCCTATGAATACAACTCTATAGATGCCAGCCCTATGAATCCCAGCCCCATGGGTCACAACCATACGAATCCAGCCCTATGGGTCATAATCCTACAACTCTTAGCCCTCTGAATCACAACTCAGCAAATCCAGCACTATGAGTCACAACCCTATGAATTCAGTCCCTTGGATCACAACCCTATGAATCTAGCTCAACGGGGCATGACCCTACACCTCTAAGTCCTCTGAGTCACAACTCAGCAAATCCAGCCCTATGAGTCACAACCCTACGAATTCAGCCCTTTGGGTGACAACCCTATGAATCCCAGCCCCATGGGCCAAAGCCATACAAATCTAACTCTATGCGTCATAACCCTACAACTCTTAGCCCTCTGTGTCACAACCCTATGAATTGTAGCCTTCTGGGTCACAAATCTACAAGTCCAGCCATTTGGGTCACAACCCTATATATCCCAGCCCCATGGGTCACAACCCAATCAATCTAGCTTTCTAGGGCATAATCCTGCAACTCTTAGCCCTCTGAGTCAAAACTCAGCAAATCCAGCCCTATGAGTCACAACCCTATGAATTCAGCCCTTTGGGTGACAACCCTATGAATCCCAGCCCCATGGACCAAAGCCATACAAATCTAACTCTATGCATCATAACCCTACAACTCTTAGCCCTCTGTGTCACAACCCTATGAATTGTAGCCTTCTGGGTCACAAATCTACAAGTGCAGCCATTTGGGTCACAACCCTATATATCCCAGCCCCATGGGTCACAACCCAATCAATCTAGCTTTCTAGGGCATAATCCTGCAACTCTTAGCCCTCTGAGTCAAAACTCAGCAAATCCAGCCCTATGAGTCACAATCCTACGAATTCAGCCCTTTGGGTGACACCCCTATGAATCCCAGCCCCATGGGCTAAAGCCATACAAATCTAACTCTATGCGTCATAACCCTACAACTCTTAGCCCTCTGTGTCACAACCCTATGAATTGTAGCCTTCTGGGTCACAAATCTACAAGTGCAGCCATTTGGGTCACAACCCTATGAATCCCAGCCCCATGGGTCACAACCCAATCAATCTAGCTTTCTAGGGCATAATCCTACAACTCTTAGCCCTCTGAGTCAAAACCCAGCAAATCCAGCACAATGAGTCATGACCCTACGAATTCAGCCCTTTGGGTGTCAACCCTATCAATCCCAGCCCCATGGGTCAGAACCCTAGGAATCTAGCCCTGTAGCTCATAATCCTACAAATCTCAGCCCTTTGGGCCACAACCCTACAAATTCTAGCCCTCTGGGTCACAACTCGACAAATTCAGCCTTCTGAGTCACAACCCTACGAATCCATCCCTTTGGGTTATAACCCTATGAGTCCCAGTACCATGGGTCACGACCCTACTAATCCAGCTCTATGGGTCATAACCCTACAACTCTTAGCCCCACAGATCGAGCCATCTATATGCCAGAGAGCTGTGGATCTCAGCCTATAATTCCTACAGCTATAGGTCCCAGCCCTATGGCTCCCCTTTTCAGCAAATCCCTCCCCCAAACTCTACCTACTCCTTGGAGCAGAACACAAATCCTTAGACTCTCTTTGGCTCAAAGGGACATATCACATTCCCCAAAGGGCTTCCTCCAAAGGCACCATGAAGCCCATCACCAGGTCTTAGCTCCTCTAAGCTTTACGTACCCGGAGGGCTTGGCACACGGAGTTCGTTTCCCTCCCCACGTCACACGTTCACAGCACCCCAGGAGCAGCCCGGGGGTCTCCCATGGCACCTGGAGGCAAAATTCAAATTAAATCGAAACAACCCTGAGTTTGAGACATACTTTTGAATACCAAGTGAATTAACATTAAAAAAAAAAAGGATGCCAAAAATGGGTGTCTGAAAGCAGAAAGACATATGTCAGGAAGGTTGTGGGACTCTCATAAAACCTGAGTACCACTCATAAAAACATGGCAAATAAAGTTCCCCAGTGTTTCACTGCACGATGGAAAGAGAATTGCCAAAGAGAGAGGAAGGAGCGAAAAGCAATCTCTGCGTGAAGATTGCCCGATGCTCAACATGAGTAACCTCATGCATAAAGAGAAATGAACATGGCAGAACGCAGCCTAGCGTGGAGTGGGCTGGTTCAATCATTACCCAGGTGTAAACAGAGGAATCAGTTTTCCCACAGTCTTTGACTTTCATTGGACAAATCCACCCCTATGAGTCACAACCCTACAAATCCAGCCCTCTGGGTCATAACCCTATGAATCTTAGCCCCCTGGGTCACAACCCTATGAATTCTAGCCCTCTGGGTCATACCCTACGAATCTTAGCCCCCTGGGTCACAACCCTATGAATTCTAGCCCTCTGGGTCATACCCTACGAATCTTAGCCCCCTCGGTCACAACCCTATGAATTCTAGCCCTCTGGGTTGTAACCCTACAAATCTTAGCCCCCTCGGTCACAACCCTATGAATTCTAGCCCTCTGGGTCATACCCTACGAATCTTAGCCCCCTGGGTCACAACCCTATGAATTCTAGCCCTCTGGGTCATACCCTACGAATCTTAGACCCCTGGGTCACAACCCTATGAATTCTAGCCCTCTGGGTCATACCCTACGAATCTTAGCCCCCTGGGTCACAACCCTATGAATTCTAGCCCTCTGGGTCATACCCTACGAATCTTAGCCCCCTGGGTCACAACCCTATGAATTCTAGCCCTCTGGGTCATAACCCTACGAATCTTAGCCCCCTGGGTCACAACCCTATGAATTCTAGCCCTCTGGGTCATACCCTACAAATCTTAGACCCCTGGGTCACAACCCTATGAATTCTAGCCCTCTGGGTCATACCCTACAAATCTTAGACCCCTCAGTCACAACCCTATGAATTCTAGCCCTCTGGGTCATAACCCTACGAATCTTAGCCCCCTGGGACACAACCCTATGAATTCTAGCCCTCTGGGTCATAACCCTACGAATCTTAGCCCCCTGGGACACAACCCTATGAATTCTAGCCCTCTGGGTCATAACCCTACGAATCTTAGCCCCGTGGGTTACAACCCTATGAATTCTAGCCCTCTGGGTCATACCCTACAAATCTTAGCCCCCTGGGTCACAACCCTATGAATTCTAGCCCTCTGGGTCATAACCCTACGAATCTTAGCCCCCTCGGTCACAACCCTATGAATTCTAGCCCTCTGGGTCATAACCCTACAAATCTTAGCCCCCTGGGTCACAACCCTATGAATTCTAGCCCTCTGGGTCATAACCCTACGAATCTTAGCCCCCTGGGACACAACCCTATCAATTCTAGCCCTCTGGGTCGTAACCCTACGAATCTTAGCCCTCTGGGTCACAACCCTACAAATTCCACTGTTTGGGTCACAACCGTATAAACCCTATAAATATAATTTTGGTATTTATCTTGTTTCCATAATTTTTGATTGAGGTTAAAAAAACCCCACATGAGACATAAAATTTACCATCTTGAGCCTTTGTAAGAGGGCAATTTAGCCGTTTTATGTATTTTCCTTTTTTTTTTTTTTTTTTGAGATGGAATCTCGCTCCTGTTGCCCAGGCTGGAGTGCAATGGCGCGATCTCAGCTCACTGCAACCTCTGCCTCCCAGGTTCAAGCGATTCTCCCGCCTCAGCCTCCCGAGTAGCTGGGACTACAGGCACCTGCCACCATGCCCGGCTAATTTTTGTATTTTCGGTAGAGACAGGGTTTCTTCATATTGCTCAGGCTGGTCTTGAACTCCCGACCTCAGATGATCCGCCCCCGCCCACCTCGGCCTCCCAAAGTCCTGGAATTACAGGTATAAGCCACCGTACCCGGTAAGTCTTTTCCCTTTTTATGCAAAAAATCTTTTTGACGTTTCCCGTCTTGCAAAACTGAAACTCTGTCCCCTTTTCTCCCTCCCCAAGCCCCCGGCACCCACGACTCTATTTTCCGTGTCTACAAATTTGACGACTCTAGGGACCTCATATAAGTGGAATCCTAGAGTATTTGTCTTTTTGCATCTGGCTTCTTTCTCTCAGCGTCATGTTCTCAAAGGTCCATCCGTGTTGGAGCAGGTGTTATGCGATGGTTAATACTGAGCGTCAACTTGATTGAACGGAAGGATGCAAAGTATTGTTCCTGGGTGTATCTGTGAGGGTGTTGCCAAAGGAGAATAACATTTGAGTCAGTGGACTGGGAGAGGCACAGCCACCCTCAAGCTGGGTGGGCACCCTCTCATCTGCTGCCACCGCAGCTAGAATAAAGCAGGCAAAGGAGCGTGCAAGGACTAGACTGGCTGTATCTTCCAGCCTCCATCTTTCTCCTGTGCTGGACACTTCCTGCCATTGAAACTCAGACTTCAAGCTCTTCGCCTTTTGGACTCTTGGACTGACACCAGTGGTTTTACCAGGGACTCTTGAGCTTTCGGCCACAGACTGAAGGCTGCCATGTCAGCTTCCCTACTTTTGAGGTTTTGGGACTCAGACTGGCTTCCTGCCTCCTCAGCTTGTAGACGGGCTATTGTAGGGCTTTACCTTGTGATCGTGTGAGCTAATTCTTCCGATAAACTCTTTCATGTACGTCCGTGTGGAGACCACCAAACAGGCTTTGTGTGAGCAATAAAACTTTTAATCACCTGCGTGCAGGCGGGCTGAGTCCGAAAACAGAGTCAGGGGAGGGAGATAAGGGTGGGGCTCTTTTATAGGATTTGGGTAGATAAAGGAAAATTACAGTCAAAGGGGGTTTGTTCTCTGGCGGGCAGGAGTGGAGGTTGCAAGGTGCTCAGTGGGGGAACTTTCTGAGCCAGGATGGGCCAGGAAAAGGATTTTCACAAGGTAATGTCATCACTTAAGGACCGGCCATTTTCACTTCTTTTGTGGTGGAATGTCATCAGTTAAGGCAGGGCAGGACGTTTTCACTTCTTTTGTGATTCTTCAGTTACTTCAGGCCACCTGGGCATATACGTGCAAGTCACAGGGGATGCGATGGCTTGGCTTGGGCTCAGAGGCCTCACAAACTGCCCTGCATATATTCATCTATTTTATTAGTCCTGTCTCTTTAGAGAAACTTGACTAATACATGTTAGCATTTCCGTCTTTTTAACGGTGAATACCATCCCACTGTAGGTTGACGTCAGATTGTTTGTTGTTTGTTTTTGCTGTTGTTTGTTTGATTTTGTTTTTTGTCTTTTCTTTTGAGACAGAGTCTCGCTCTGTCACTCAGGCTGGAGTGCAATGGCACGATCTCAGCTCACTGCAACCTCTGCCTCCCGGGTTCAAGCGATTCTCCTGCCTCAGCCTCCTGAGTAGCTGGGACTACAGGCACCTGCCATCATACCTGGCTGATTTTTGTATTTTTAGTAAAGACGGGGTTTCACCATGTTGGCCAGGCTGGTCTTGAACTCCTGACCTCAGGTGATCCGCCTGCTTTGGCCTCCCAAAGTGCTGGGATTACAGGCATGAGCCGCCATGCCTGGCCGAGAATTTCCTTCTTTGTAACAGTGAATACTATCCCACTGTAGATTTAAGTCAGCTTTTTTTTTTTTTTTTTTTTTTTGAGATAGAGTATCACTCTTGTTGCCCAGGCTGGAGTGCAGTGGTGGGATCTCAGCTCACTGCAACCTCCGCCTCCCAGTTTCAAGTGATTCTCTTGCCTCAGCCTCCCGAGTAGCTGGAACTACAGACATGCACCACCACACCTGGCTAATTTTTTGTATTTTTAGTAGAGATGGGTTTTCACCATGTTGCCCAGGCTGGTCTCAAACTCCTGACCTTAGGTTATCCACCTACCTCGGCCTCCCATAGTTCTGGGATTACAGGTGTGAGCCACCACACCTGACCAATTTTTGTGTTTTTAGTAGAGACGGGGTTTCACCATGTTGCCCAGGCTGGTGTGGAACTCCTGACCTCATGATCCACCTGCTTCAGCCTCCCAAAGTGCTGGGATTACAGGCGGTAGCCACTGCACCCAGCTTTTGCAGTGAGTTGTTTTACTGAGGATTTAAATTGCGGATTCCAAGTTTGAGACTTGGGGAAAGAAGAGGTCAAAGGAATACACCCACTTATTTTTATTTATTTATTTTTTTTTGAGATGGAGTCTTGCTCTGTCACCCAGGCTGGAGTGCAGTGGCGCGATCTCGGCTCACTGCAAGCTCTGCCTCCCGGGTTCACGCCATTCTCCTGCCTCAGCCTCCCGAGTAGCTGGGACTAAGGCGCCCACGACCATGCCCGGCTGATTTTTTTTATTTTTAGTAGAGATGGGGTTTCACCGTGTTAGCCGGGATGGTCTCCATCTCCTGACCTCATGATCTGCCTGCCTCAGCCTCCCAAAGTGCTGGGATTACAGGCATGAGCCACCGTGCCTGGCCACACCCAATTATTTTTTATTCTCTGCCAAGAGGTCCTGGGCAGGCACTGGATACATGTTTGCTGTGTAGTGGGTATTGATAAGGGAACACATCTGTCATTTCTTCCTCCCCATAGAACTACCTTTCTGTCCTTCACAACTGAAAGCTCTTCAGTTCTGGCTCTTTTGGGACTTGGATGAGATCTCTGGGCCAGGCATTTGGGCTGATGGTCCATCCAGTCCCTTCCATGTGGATGGTAAAGCCTGTAATCCCAGCACTTTGGGAGGCTGAGGTGGGTGGATCATGAGGTCAAGAGATCGAGACCAGCCTGGCCAACATGGTGAAACCCCATCCCTACTAAAAATACAAACAATTAGCTGGCCGTGGTGGCGTGCGCCTTGTAATCCCAGCTCCTCAGGAGGTTGAGGCATGAGAATCGCTTGAACCCAGAAGATGGAGGTTGCAGGGAGCCGAGATCGCGCCACTGCACTCCAGCCTGGCGACAGAGCAAGACTCATGCTTGTCATCCCAGCACTTTGGGAGGCCAAGGTGGGTGGATCATGAGGTCAAGAGATCAAGACCAGCCTGGCCAACATGGTGAAACCCCGTCTCTACTAAAAATACAAAAAATTAGCTGGGCGTGGTGGTGCATGCTTGTAATCCCAGCTACTCAGGAGGCTGAGGCAGGAGAATTGCTTGATCCCAAGGAGGCGGAGGTTGCAGGGAGCCAAGATCGCGCCATTGCACTCCAGCCTGGTGACAGAGCAAGGCTGTCTAAAAAAAAAAAAAAAAAAAGACACAGCTGGGCACAGTGGCTCACGCCTGTAATCCCAGCACTTTGGGAGGCTGACGTGGGTGGATCATGAGGTCAAGAGATTGAGACCAGCCTGGCCAACATGGTGAAACCCCGTCTCTACTAAAAGTGCAAAAAATTAGCTGGGCGTGGTGGTGCATGCCTGTAATCCCAGCTCCTCGGGAGGCTGAGGCAGGAGAATTTCCTGAACCCAGGAGGCGGAGGTTGCAGGGAGCCGAGATCGCGCCACTGCATGCCAGCCTGGTGACAGAGCGAGACTCCATCTCAAAAATAAAAAAAATAAATAAATAAAAATAAAAAGACATCAAAGGCAGAGAGCCAGTGAATCCTGACAGAGCATCACGCGTACTCCAAGCTGGAAACAATGCCGTCCACGTTGGACCATAGAACCGCTGTCAGAGTGAACGCAAAAGCCACCACTAACAGCCTTGCACCAACCAGACCTGTTTCCTTAAACCAAACCAGTGCCCACTTCTCACTTTTCTCAGCTGAACCTTTACACAAGGTATCTACTTAACATAATTCATACTCCCCCCATGCCCCGCCTGTGAGTAAAATCTAGTAGAGTAAGAAAATGAGGCTGGGAGCGGTGGCTCGTGCCTGTAATCCCAGCACTTTGGGAGGCCGGGGTGTGGGGTGTGGATCGCTTGAGGCCAGGAGTTCGAGACCAGCCTGGCCAACACGGTGAAACCCAGTCTCTACTAAAAAAAAAATTCAGAAATTAGCCGGACGCAGTGCCTCACGCCTGTAATCCCAGCATGTTGGGAGGCCAAGGCGGGAGGATCATGAGGTCAGGAGTTCGATACCAGCCTGGTCAACATGGCGAAACCCCTGCTGTACTAAAAATTCAAAAATTAGCCGGGTGTGGTGGTGGGCGCCTGTAATCCCAGCTACTTGGGAGGCTAAGGCAGGAGAATCACTTGAACCCGGGAGGTGGACGCTGCAGTGAGCCGAGATCGCGCCGTTGCACTCCAGCCTGAGTGACAGAGTGAGACTCCATCTCAAATATAAAATAAAATAAAAAAGCAAAAATACAGAAATTAGCTGGGCGTGGTGGCAGGTGCCTGTAGTCCCAGCTACTTGGGAGAGGCTGAGGCTGGAGAATCGCTTGAACCCGGGAGGAGGAGGCTGCAGTGAGCCAAGATCGCGCCACTGCACTCCAGCCTGGCTGATAGACAGAGTGAGACTGTGTCACAAAAAAAAAAAAAGAAAGAAAAAAGAAAATGGAATGCAGCTTCCAGAAGAATCAGAATTATTCAGATTTTTGTTTATTCCTTCTGGGACACTCTCAGGCCAATAAGTAACATTGAGCCATCTCAGCACGCTGAGAATTCCAAAACCTTAGACTTTGCTTCTCAGAATTAAAAATTTAAGAGGGCCGGTTGCGGTGGCTCATGCCTGTAATTCCTGCACTTTGAGAGGCTGAGGCAGGAGCATCGCTTGACCCCAGGAGTTTGAGACCAGGCAGGGCAACATAGCAAGACCCCATCTCCACAAAAAAAATTAGAAAAACTTAGCCGGGCATGTGCACGCCTGTGATTGTAGCTACTCAGGAGGCTGAGGCAGGAGGATCTCAGAACCCAGGAGTTTGAGGCTGCAGTGAGCCATGATTGTGCCATTGCATTCTAGCCGGGAAACAGAGCAAGACCCTGTCTCAGAAAAAAAATAAATAAATATGTATATATATATATATATATATATACACACACACACACACACATATGGACAATTTGGTTGGATTATGAGAAATATCCTTGCATTTGCTTTTTGTCTTTGGGTTTTTTTTTTTGAGACAGAGTCTCGCTCTGTCGCCCAGGCTAGAGTGCAGTGTTGCAATCTTGGCTCACTGCAACCTCCGCCTCCCAAGTTCAAGCAATTCTCCTGCCTCAGCCTCCCAAGTAGCTGGGATTACAGGCACACACCAGCATGTCCAGCTAATTTTTTTTATTTTGGATTTTTAGTAGCGACGGGGTTTCACCATGTTGGCCAGGTTGGTCTTGAACTCCTGACCTCAAGTGATCCGCCCGCCTCGGCCTCCCAAAGTGCTGAGATGACTGGCATGAGCCACCGCGACCGGCCGAGAAATAAGCTTGCAGTGTTCACGCCTCATTCTAGCTCAAAGGCAGACAAAAGATAGGACAGTGAAAGCTTCCGTGAAGACCTCCGCTGTTCCTGAGCTTTGTAGAACTGACTTTATCTTGCAGATCAAAAGGACTGTCCCCTGATGTGTGGAATCTTCCTGGACCCAGATGTCGCTGCACGTCTGCAACCTTACAACTCTCCTTTGCACACCTCCTCCTCCTCCCCAGCCATCATCCCTGCAGGCGTGGGGTTTGAGATCTCTTTCCTGTACAGAGAGTGTACTCTGGCAGGGAAGACCTTCACAGTCCCCTGTCATTGATCTGTAGTCTCCAAAATGCCATGTGTGAGCCGACGTGGAACTTCCCCAAAGCCGACGTGCTGGGGAAGTCTTTCAAAGCCTGCCCTCGTGCTCCGCGCCCACGTCAACTGCAAAGCTTTTTCTCCCAGAGTCTTTTTTGTCACAGACACACAGCGCAATTGTTGGAAAGCGTTTCTTTCATTCACAAGAGGTCCCTGGCTGCCAGAAACGCCCGACTGAAGGAAGAAAAGAAAAAAGGGTGATTTCTTCCACCCAAAACTCCTCTTTATAACTCGGTGAGCAGGCGGAAATCCTACAATGTCAGCTGAGGTCGTGATCCGCTGTGATTCTGTCACCGCCAGGCGCCTGACGGTCTCACCCTATGAAACACTCATTGTCACGAATACAACATCCAACATTGCCTTTGTAATTGTCAAGCTGAACTTGTCTTGAATCAAGCCCAGCGTAAGATATGGCTCGGCTCACAAGAATAAGAAGGGGGTATGGGGATATCACAGCAGGAAAACGTCGCTGCTGAACGCCTCCAGCCCACGAGATCCTTCTCAGTGACAACTGCCTTCTCTGTTACGGCCTCATCTCTGCAGGGAGAACACGAAGGAAAGGAGACGGGCAGCCTCGGTTCTTGGGGTTGAGGGAAGTGGAGCAGGTGTGTTTAATTTTAAATCTCTTATTTCCCCATCAGTATACTCTTTTAATTTTTATTTTTCATTGAGGTGAAATTTTCATAGCAAACAATTCAATTTTTTTTTTTTTGAGATGGAGTCTCGCTCTGTCACCCAGGCTGGAGTGCAGTGGTGCGATCTTGGCTTACTGCAGCCTCCACCTCCCAGGTTCAAGCGATTCTCCTGCCTCAGCCTCCCGAGTAGCTGGGATGACAGGCGTGAGCCACCATGCCCGGCTAATTTTTGTGTTTTTAGTAGAGACGGGCTTTCACCATGTTGGCCGGGATGGTCTCGAACTCCTGACCTCAGGTGATCCACCCACCTCGGCCTCCCAAAGTGCTGGGATGATAGGCGTGAGCCTCCACACCTGGCTAATTTTTGTATTTTTAGTAGAGACAGAGTTTCACCGTGTTGGCCAGGATGGTCTCAATCTCTTGACCTTGTGATCTGCCCGCCTTGGCCTCCCAAAGTGTTGAGATTACAGATGTGGGCCACCGTGCCTGGCCTTTTTTTTTTTTTTCTTTCAGTGTATAATTCAGAGGCGTTTAGTACATGGGTGATGGTTATGAAACCATCACCTCTGTCTAGGTCCAGACCACCATAGTCCTCCAAAGTACACCCTGTAACTAATATGAAGCAGTCACTCCCCTTTCTTCCTCCCCAGCCCCTAGCAACCCCAAATCCACTTTCTCCCTCTCTGTGGATTTCCCTGTTCTGGAAATTTCACAGAAGGAAACACTGTGTGGTCTTTTGTGTCTGGCACCTCTCAGTGAGCATGGTGTCCTCAACGTTCATGCACGCGGCAGCCTGTATCAGAGCCTCGTTCCTTTTCATGGCTGCGTAATATTCCACTGTGTGAATCTACCACATTGTGTTTATTCGTATGACCACTGATGCGTGTGGGGTTGGGTCCACCTTTTGGCTGTTGTGAATGCATTAATCAGGGTCTCCAGAGGAACATGACCAACAAGAGATTCTGTATGTATGTATGTATGTATCTATCTATCTATCTATCTAATAAGGAATTGACTCAAGTGAATATGAAGTGTTAGAAACTTTAGGATACAAGGTCAGCAAGCTGGAGACCCAGGACAGCAAATGGTGTGGATTCCAGTCTGAGTCTGAAGGCCTGAGTCTCAGGAGAGCCAAGGGTGTGAGTTCCAGTCTGAAGGCCTGAGACCCAGGAGAGCTGATGGCGTGAGTTCCTGTCTGAGTCTGAAGGCCTGAGACCCAGGAGAGCTAAAAGTGTGAATTCCAGTGTGAGTCTGAAGTCCTGAGACCCAGGAGAGCCGAGGGTCTGAGTTCCTGAAGGGCCGAGACCCAGAAGAGCCGAGGGTGTGAGTCCAGTGTGAGTGTGAAGACCTGAGACCCAGGAGAGCTGAGGGTGTGAGTTCCTGTCTGAGTCTGAAGGCCTGAGACCCAGGAGAGCTGAGGGTGTGAGTTCTAGTGTGAGTCTGAAGTCCTGAGACCTGGAAGGGCTGAGGGTCTGAGTTCCTGAAGGGCCGAGACCCAGAAGAGCCGAGTGTGTGAGTTTCAGTCTGAGTCTGAAGTCCAGAGACCCAGGAGAGCCGAGGGTGTGAGTTCTAGTGTGAGTCTGAAGTCCTGAGACCCGGAAGGGCTGAGGGTCTGAGTTCCGGAAGGCCTGAGACCCAGGAGAGCCGAGGGTGTGAGTTCTAGTGTGAGTCTGAAGGCCTGAGACCCAGGAGAGCCGAGGGTGTGAGTTCTAGTGTGAGTCTGAAGTCCTGAGACTCAGGAGAGCTGAGAGTGTGAGTTCCAGTCTGAGTCCGAAGTCCTGAGACCCAGGAGAGTCGAGGGTGTGCGTTCCCATCTTAGTCTGAAGGCCTGAGACCCAGGAGAGCTGACGGTGTGAGTTCCCCTGTGAATCTGAAGGCCTCATACCCAAGAAAGCTGGTACTGTGAGTTCCAGTCCGAAAGCCTAGGAAGACCAAATCACAGCACCTAGAATCACCTTCAAAGACACACCCAGAATCATGTTTAGCCAAATATCTGGGCACCTCAGAGCCCAGTCAATTGGACACATAACGCCTCCCAGTAAGAAAAATGTGGCTTTGAACATTCGAGGACAAAATCTATTTGGACACTTGTTTTGAATTCTCTCGGTTATACACCTAGAAGTGAAATTTCTGGGTCCTGTGGAAATTCTGTGTTTAACTTTTTTGGGATCCCTCAGACATATTTTTACAGTCTCTGCAGATGACACCTGGGATTCATGGCATGTGATGTGGTCTCTTCCAAGCAGCAACGAAGAGTTGACCCAGAGTGAAATATCCAGTTTCTCTCCTTCTTTAATGTATTCTTTCTAGGACCCTTTGCAACCAAGGTATGCCTCTGATGTCGGGCAGGTGGGTCCTCAAATTAATGCTTAGGCTGGGAGGGTTCTTGGCTTTGTCCAGGAAAGAATTCAGGGTGAGTCGGGAGTGTGAGATGGCAGATTTTATTTTATTTTATATTTTTATTTATTTTATTATTTTATTTTTATATTTTATTTTTTATTTTATATTTTATTTTATTTTTATATTTTATTTTATTTTTATATTTTATTTTATTTTATATTTTATTTATTTTTTATTTCATATTTTATTTTTTTATATTTTTATTTTTTATTTTATTTTACTTTATATTTTATTTTACTTTTACATTTTATTTTATTTTATATTTTATATTTTATTTATTTATTTATTTTATATTTTATTTTATATTTTATCATTTTATTTTATTTTTATATTTTATTTATTTTTTATTTTATATTTTATTTTTTTATATTTTATTTATTTTATTATTTTATTTTTATATTTTATTTTATATTTTATTTATTTTTTATTTTATATTTTTTTTTATTTCATATTTTACTTTATTTTTATATTTTTATTTTATTTTATTTTATTTTTTATTTTACTTTTACATTTTATTTTATTTTATATTTTATATTTTATTTATTTATTTATTTTATATTTTATTTTATATTTTATTTATTTTATTATTTTATTTTATTTTTATATTTTATTTTATATTTTATTTATTTTTTATTTTATATTTTATTTTATTTTTATATTTTATTTTATTTTATATTTTATTCATTTTTTTATTTCATATTTTATTTTATTTTTATATTTTTATTTTATTTTATTTTATTTTTTATTTTACTTTTACATTTTATTTTATTTTATATTTTATATTTTATTTATTTATTTATTTTATATTTTATTTATTTTATTTTTTATTTCATATTTCATTTTATTTTTATATATTTATTTTTTATTTTATTTTATTTTATATTTTATTTTATTTTTAAATTTTTATTTTTTATTTTATTTTATATTTTATTTTTTATTTTATTTTATTTTTATTGTGTTTGTTATGTTATGTTATGTTATGTTATGTTATGTTATGTTACGTTACGTTATGTTATGCTATGTTATTTTATTTTTTAGACACAGTTTCACTCTTGTTGCCCAGGCTGGAGTGCAGTGGCTCGATCTCGGGTCACCGCAAGGCAAAACCCTGTCTCTGCAAATACAAAAAAAAAAAAAAATAGCTAGACCTGGTGGCACCTGCCTGTAGTCCCAGCTACTCTAGAGGCTGAGGTGGGAGGGTCACTTGAGCCCAGCAAGGTGCTGTTTCTTGCAGAGCTTGCAGAGTCGGTCCCGCAGTCTTATTTATACCCGCTGCTAATTACATGCAAATGAAGGGGCGGGTTATGCAACAGCAATTTCTTTTTTTTTTTTTTTTTTTTTTTTGTATTTTTAGTACAGACCGCGTTTCACCATTTTGGCCAGGCTGGTCTTGAACTCCTGACCTCGTGATCCACCTGCCTCGGCTTCCCAAAGTGCTGGGATTACAGGCGTGAGCCTCCGCACCCGGCCCTCTACAGCAATTTCTAGGGAAAGAGTGGCAACTTCCGGGTCGTTGCCATGGAAAGGGGGCGGTACTTCCGGCGTGTTGCCATGGCAACGATACCTGGACCTGCACCCTGCTGGGTGTGTGCGATGGAGGGGGGCTTACACCCCAGCTGTATTTCAGTTGGTTCCCAGTTTGGTCCAGGGTCCAAGCCCTGCCTCCAGAGTCAATTCCCGCCTTATAACCTCATCCTGCAAACAGAAAAACATCCAAGTCGGTTTTTTCCCAGGTCTTTCTTTTTAAAATCAATAACCCCACCTCTTTTGAAAAGGAAAATAGGTATCATCAACCTGGTGCACTTGGAAAATAGAAAACAGAATAAGAAAAAAGACATCCCGGCCGGGCGCGGTGGCTCACACCTGTAATCCCAGCACTTTGGGAGGCCGAGGTGGGTGGATCACCTGAGGTCAGGAGTTCGAGACTAGCCTGGCCAACATGGAGAAACCCCGTCTCTACTAAAAACACAAAAAATAGCCAGGCGTGGTGGTGCACACCTGTAATCCCAGCTACTCGGGAGGATGAGGCAGGAGAATTGCTTGAACCTGGGAGGCGGAGGTTGCAGTGAGCAGAGATCACACCACTGCACTCCAGCCTGGGGACACAGCAAGACTCCATCTCAAAAAAACGAAAAAAAGGAAAAAAGTAAATCTCTCCACTGTCTGTCTTGTAACTCAAAAATGGCATTTTCGGTCAGATGTGGAGGCTCATGTCTGTCATCCCAGCACTTTGGGACGCCGAGGTGGGCGGATCCCCTGAGGTCAGGAGTTCGAGACCAGCCTGGCCAACATGGTAAAACCCCGTCTCTACTAAAAATACAAAAAATAGCCAGGCGTGGTGGTGCACGCCTGTAATCCCAGCTACTCGGGAGGCTGAGGCAGGAGAATTGCTTGAACCCGGGAGGCAGAGCTTGCAGTGAGCTGAGATCGCACCACTGCACTCCAGCCTGGGGGACAGAGGGAGACTCTGTCTAAAAAAGAAGGAAAAAAGTAAATCTCTCCACTGTCTCTCTGTCTTGTAACTCAAAAATGGCATTTCAGGTCACATATGGAGGCTGACACCTGTAATCCCAGTACTTTGAGAGGCTGAGGTGGGAGGATCACTTGTGGCCAGGAGTTTGAGACCAGCCCAGGCAACATGGCAACAGTCTGGCTACAGAAAAATTAACAATTAGCTGGGTGTGGTGGTGCACACCTGTAATCCCAGTTATTCAGGAGGCTGAGGTGGGAAGATCTCTTGAACCCAGGAGGTCGAGGCTGCAGTGAGCCAGGATCACACCCTTGCACTCCAGCCGGGACGACACAGTGAGACCTTCTCACAAATAAATAAATAAATATAAATAAATAATAAAAATTAAAAAAAAGCCAGGCGTAGTGGCTCACGCCTGTAATCCCAGCACTTTGGGAGACAAAGGTGGGAGGATCACGCGGTCAGGATCTTGAGACCAGCCTGGCCAACAGGGTGAAACCCCGTGTCTACTAAAAATACGAAAATTGGTCAGGCACAGTGGCTCACGCCTGTCATCCCAGCACTTTGGGAGGCCAAGGCGGGTGGATCACGTGAAGTCAGGAGTTCGAGACCAGCCTGGCCAACATGGTGAAACCCCATCTCTACTAATAATACAAAAATTAGCCGGGCGTGGTGGTGGACGCCAGTAGTTCCAGATACTCTGGAGGCTGAGACAGGAGAGTCGCTTGAACCCGAGAGGTGGATGTTGCAGTGAGCCGAGATGGCACCGTTGCACTCCAGCCTGGGCAACAAGAGCGAAACTCCGTCTCAAAACAAA
The DNA here is from genome assembly GCF_000001405.40 of Homo sapiens. NCBI lineage: Eukaryota > Metazoa > Chordata > Mammalia > Primates > Hominidae > Homo > Homo sapiens. The sequence continues at coordinate 1,071,068 of NC_000024.10, read as the reverse complement.
ACAAAAGAAAAAAGAGCGATGTATACTTTGGAGAAAGAGACACAATATAACATCAGCGGGTAACAAGTGAGCTATCGAAACAAAAATACAACAGGCAATCTTGCAAGATAAAATTTTCTTTTTTTCTTTTCCTCTTTCTGTTTCTTTCTCTCTTTTTTTTCTGTCTCTTTCTCTCTTTCTTCCTGTCTCTCTTTCCCTCCCTCTCTCTCTCTCTTTCTTTCTTTCTTTCTTTCTTTCTTTCTTTCTTTCTTTCTTTCTTTTCTTTTCTTTCCTTCCTTCCTCCATCTCTCTCTTTCTTTTTCTTTCTTTCTCTCTCTTTCTTTCCCTCCCTCCCTCCCTTCCTTCGTCCTTCCTTCCTTTTCTCTCTCTCTCCCTCCTTCTCCCTCCTCTCTCTCTCTCTTTCTTTCTTTTTCTTTCTCTTTGTCTCTCTCTTTCTTTCCCTCCCTTCCTTCCTTCTTTCCTTCCTTCCTTTCTCTTTCCCTCTCTTCCTCCCTCCCTTCCTCTCTCTTTCTTTCTTTCTTTCTCTTTCTTTCTCTCTTTCTTCCCTCCCTCCCTCCCTCCCTCCCTCCCTTCCTTCTTTTTGAGATAGGATCTCACTCTGTCCACCAGGCTGGAGTGCAGTGGCACAATCACAGTTCACTACAACCTCAACCTCCTGGGATCAAGAGATACTTTTCCCTGTCAGCCTCCCTAGTAGCTGTGCCGCTTGGTGCCTGCCACCACACCCAGCTAATTTTTGTTTTTGTGTTTTTGTAGAGAGGAGGTTTCGCCATGTTGCCCAGGCTGGTCTCAAATTTCTCCCGGGCTCCAGCAATCCGCCCACCTCGCCCTCCCAAAGTCCTGGCATTATAGGCATGAGCTACCATTCACAGCCCGCAGGATAAAATTTTAAATTATGATTATAAAAGCAGTATACATCTATAGAGAAATGGTAGAATTAAAATCATAAACAGGGATGAAGAGGGATTTTTGGAGAAATATAAGAAATAAGAAAGTTTATATTTGGGACAAACCCATCTATATTTTGTTTGTTTGTTTTTTTGAGATGGAGTCTCACTCTGTCGCCCAGGCTGGAGTGCAGTGGCACGATCTCAGCTCACTGCAACCTCTGCCTCCCGGGTTCAAGAGATTCTCCTGCCTCCGCCTCCCAAGTACCTGGGATTACAGGTGCGCACCAGCACGTCCAGCTAATTTTGTATTTTTAGTAGAGACGGGGTTTCACCATGTTGGCCAGGCTGGTCTTGAACTCCTGACCCCAAGTGATCCGCCCGCCTCGACCTCCCAAAGTGCTGGGATGACAGGCGTCAGCCACTGTGCACGGCCCATCTGTCTGTTTTGAAGCACTTGTATTTTTGTACTTTGAAGTGTTTTTAAATTTAAATAAAAAGGAATAAAGTCAACCAAAAAAAGTCATAGGTTCCTCAAAAATGTAAGCACGGCCAACTTCTAAAAATACCCTCTCAGCCCCATCCTGGGGTCCCAGGGACCAAAACAGAACATCATTACTGCCCCTTCCAATTAGCTGGTGTCACAGGAAGCCGGGTAAGTCACCCTGCAAATTGTCACATCCCCCTCCCTTCGCCCCACCCAGGCATTGTCTCTGATCCTTTAATATTAAACAGTGAAGGAGCCGGTCGCCTACAAATTTCTATTCTAACGAAAAAGGAGATCTCTGTGTCGGTAAATAAATGAGTGTCAGGGTCTATGCTCGTCAGCATGAGAGTCTGCAAATCCCAGCCGTGGACCTGCCTAGTTATGTGAGCCTCCCTGAAAGGTGTTAGTCGCCTGGCAGGTGCGGTCGGGGGGAAGAAGACACAGGCGTTGGGTCAAACGCCAGGGAAACGTACCTTATTTATTCAGCTCTTCAGCTGTCTATGGGGAAGAGAGCCTGTGGCAAGTGAGGTTGCCGTAACCCACCCGTGCATTTTAAAATGCCTGCATCCACTTACTTGCCCTTAGGACTCCCAGTGGGATGATTAAGTACAAATCGCGTTTCCATATATTAACTGCCGCAGACTGAATTTCCTATCAATTGTCAGCACCCAGTACTTAGTCTCTGGTGAGATGCCATCTAGAGAAGTCAGTGCCCAAATGGACATGATTATCGTGTGTAAGGAGCGCTATAGAAGGGCTGAAATTAATGGCCCGGATGAGGCATCATTTCGAATCCACAGAACGTGGAGATGAAGGCCTGAAAATTCTGCTGCTGAGAAATACAAGTTTCTTCATCATCCACAGCTCCTTGTCATCACAGGGAGCTTCGTGAAACACACACGCTGGCCGGGCGTGTTGGCTCATGCCTGTAATCCCAGCACTTTGGGAGGCAGAGGCGGGCAGATCACCTGAAGTCAGGAGTTCGACACCAGCCTGACCAACAGGGTGAAACCCTGTCTCTCCTAAAAATACAAAAATTAGCTGGGCGTGGTGGCGCACGCCTGTAATCCCAGCTAGTTGGGAAGCTGAGGCAGGAGAATCGCTTGAACCTGGGAGGTGAAGGTTGCAGTGAGCTGAGATCGCACCATTGCACTCCAGCCTGGGCAATAAAAGCAAAACCCTGTCTCAAAAACAAGGCTGGGCACAGTGGCTCACACCTGTAATCCCAGCACTTTGGGAGGCCGAGGCGGGTGGATCTCCTGAGGTCGGGAGTTCGAGACCAGCCTGACCAACATGCTGAAACCCTATCTCTACTAAAAATACAAAAATTAGCTGGGTGTGGTGGTGCACAGCTGTAATCCCAGTACTTTGGGAGGCTGAGGCGGGTGGATCATCTGAGGTCAGGAGTTCAAGACCAGCCTGGCTAACATGGTGAAACCCCGTCTCTACCAGAAATACAAAAATCAGCTGGATGTGGTGGCTCACGCCTGTAATCCCAGCACTTTGGGAGGCCGAGGCGGGTGGATCACCTGAGGTCAGGAGTTAGAGACCAGCCTGGCCCTGTTTCTACTAAAAATTCATAAATTAGCCAGGCATGGTGGTGCACACCTGTGATCCCAGCTACTCGGAAGGCTGAGGCAGGAGAATGGCGTGAATCCGGGAGGCAGAAGTTGCAGTGAACTGAGATCCCTCCACTGTACTCCAGCCTGGGCGACAGAGTGAGACTCCCTCTCAAAAAAAAAAAAGTGCTAGCCTAGGTTGAGTGTGGTGGTTCACATCTGTTATCATAACCGTTTGGGAGGCCAAGGTGGGAAGATTGCTTGAGCCCAGGAGTTTCAGAGCAGCATAGTTAATATAGCAAGAACCTGTCTCTAACACAATATAAAAAGTAGCTGGGTGTGGTGGTTCACACCTGTAATCCCAGCACTTTGGGAGGCCGAGGCGGGTGGATCATGAGGTCAGGAGATCGAGACCATCCTGGCTAACATGGTGAAACCCCGTCTCTACTAAAAATACAAAAATTAGCCGGGCGTGATGGCGGGTGCCTGTAGTCCCAGCTATTCAGGAGGCTGAGGGCTGAGGCAGGAGAATAGCATGAACCCGGGAGGTGTAGCTTGCAGTGAGTTGAGATCGTGCCACTGCACTCCAGCCTGGGCGACAGAGTGAGACTCCGTCTCAAAAAAAAAAAAAGAAAATTATCTGGGTGTGGTAGTAGAGACTTGTAGTCCCAGCTGCTTAGGAGGCTAAGGTGGGAAGATAGCTTGAGCCCAGGAGTTTCAGACCAGCAAAGATAATATGGCAACACCCCATCTCTACAAAAAAGTAAAAATTATCTGGGTGTGGTGGTGTGTGCCTGTAGTCCCAGCTACTTGGGAGGCCGAGGTGGGAAGATAGCTTGAGCCCTGGAGTTTCAGACCAGCATAGATAATACAGCAACACCCTGTCTCTACAAAAAAATAAAAATTATCTGGGTGTGGTGTTGTGCACCTGTAGTCCCAGCTGCTTAGGAGGCTAAGGTGGGAAGATAGCTTGAGCCCTGGAGTTTCAGACCAGCATAGATAATACGGCAACACCCCATCTCTACAAAAAAATAAAAATTATCTGGGTGTGGTGGTGTGTGCCTGTAGTCCCAGCTGCTTAGGAGGCTGAGGTGGGAAGATAGCTTGAGCCCAGGAGTTTCAGATCAGCATAGGCAATATAACAAGACTCCCTCTCTACAAAAATATAAAAATTAGCTGTGTGTGAGGATATGCACCTGTAGTCCTTTTCTAGATATATATAAACTTGCCGCGAGTCGCATATACATCTGACGTGAGGGCCAGATATTTGCTCCTAAACCGCAGCTTCCCTTCATATATTTCTTCTCATTTTTCTTCCCATTTCTCAGCTCGACGACCTCCTGGTTGCACTTCAGTTACCCCCGCCACCCCCCGTTTCATCTCAGTTACCACTCGGATGGTAAGTATCCTGCCTGTCAGGCTAACTGTGGACATACGGTCTCATCTCTGTCTTTTTTTTTTAATTCACTCTGTTGCCCAGGCTGGAGTGCAGTGGCGCGATCTCGGCTCACCGCAACCTCAGCCTCCTGGGTTCAAGCGATTCTCCTGCCTCAGCTTCCCGAGTAGCTGGGATCACAGGTGCCCGCCACCACGCCCGGCTAATTTTTTATTTTCTTATTTTTTTTATTTTTAGTAGAGATGGAATTTCACTATGTTGGCCAGGCTGGTCTCGAACTCCTGACCTCGTGATCTGCCCTCCTAGGCCTCCCAAAGTGCTGGGATTACAGACATGAGCCACTGCACTCAGCCACATGTTATATATTATACATTTATTTTACTTTATTTTATTTATTATACTTTAAGTTCTGGGGTACATGTGCAGAACGTGCAGGTTTGTTACGTAGGTATACATGTGCCATGGTGGTTTGCTGCACCCATCAACCCGTCACCTACATTTGGTGCTATCTCCTAATGCTATCTCTCCCCTAGCTCCCCACCCTGTTTGAATGAAAAAAAAAAAGAAAAGAAAAAAGAAAGAAAGAAAAAAGGCTGGGCGTGGTGGCTCACACCTGTAATCCTAGCACTTTGGGAGGCCGAGGCGGGTGGATCACTTGAGGTCAGGGGTTCGAAACCAGCCTGGCCAAGATGGTGAAACCCCGTCTCTACTAAACATACAAAAATTAGCTCAGCATGGTGGTGGGTGCTTGTAGTCCCAGCTACTCCAGAGGCTGAGGCAGGAGAATTGCTTGAGCCCAGGAGGCAGAGGTTGCAGTGAGCTGAGATCGCGCCATTGCACTCCAGCCTGGGCAACAAGAGCAAAACTCCGTCTCAAAAAAAAGAAAAGAAAAGAAAAAAACAAAAAACAAAAAACAAAACCCAACGTGGCCCCACTGGAGTAGGTGTTTAATGAAAACAGAACCCTGTACTCAGAGAGGCAACGTGGTAACTAACGAGGAACAGATGCCCAGACACGACCCAAACCCTTTTCTGATTATTCAGAAATGGAATCTACAAAGGCGCTTTGTAAGTTGTTTCATAAGGAGTTAATTTCGCTCAGCAATAACAGGGCCATTAAATCTGCTTAGAGCTGGGATTACAAGAAAAGAAGAATCGTGGTTTTCATACGTGTGTGTGTGTGTGTGTGTGTGTGTGTGTGTGTTTAAATTTTGTCCCTAACTCTTTTCCCTCAAAGATCATCAAAGAGTAAAAGGGCAGAAAGCAGCTACATCGCAGCTCCTGTCCACTTCACTATGTGTAACTGAAAATACCTCTTCACAGTGAGAGGATGAGGTGCACATTCAAATACAAGATCTGACGGGGCCGGGCGCGGTGGCTCACGCTTGTCATCCCAGCACTTTGGGAGGCCGAGGCGGGCGGATCACAAGGTCAGGAGATCGAGACCATCCTGGCTAACGTGGCAAAACCCCGTCTCTACTAAAAATATAAAAAAAAAAATTAGCCGGGCGTGGTGGCGGGCGCCTGTGGTCCCAGCTACTCAGGAGCCTGAGGCAGGAGAGTGGCGTGAACCTGGGAGTCGGAGCTTGCAGTGAGCTGAGATTGCGCCACTGCACTCCAGCCTGGGCGACAGAGCGAGACTCCGTCTCAAAAAAAAAAGAGAAACTGTATTTGCAAACTATGCCTCTGAAATGAGTTAATTTTAATACGTAAGACACTTAGGGCCGGGCGCGGTGGCTCACGCCTGTAATCCCAGCAGTTTTGGAGGCCCAGGCGGGTGGATCAGGAGGTCAGGAGATCGAGACCATCCTGGCTAACACAGTGAAACCCCATCTCTACTAAAAATACAAAAAATTAGCCAGGCGTGGTGGCGGGCACCTGTAGTCCCAGCTACTCGGGAGGCTGAGGCAGGAGAATGGCGTGAACCCGGGAGGCGGAGCTTGCAGTGAGCCGAGATTGCGCCACTGCACTCCAGCCTGGGTGACAGAGCGAGACTCTGTCTCAACAAAACAAAACAAAACAAAAGAACTGAGGGTAGCTCACTAAGTCTGTCTTGCAGAGAACAACGCTTGGAGGATGGGAACCAAATCCTATCCCAAGGTGTCTGTGAGCTTTGGGATCCTTTGGGGAAAATCAGCATCTCCAAGCGTCAGCTTCCCCGTTCCTCATCTGAACTTGAAATTGAGTCTGTTGAGAGAGGACTTTTATGTTTATTTATTTGTTTTTGAGATGGACTTTCACTCTTGTCACCCAGGCTGGAGTACGGTGGTGCGATCTCGGCTGGCCGCAACCTCTGCCTCCCAGGTTCAAGTGATTCTCCTGCCTCAGCCTCCTGAGTAGCTGGGATTACAGGTGCCCACCACCATGTCTGGCTAATTTTGTATTTTTAGTAGAGATGGCAGGGTTTCTCTATGATGGTCAGGCTGGTCTCGAACTCCTGACCTCAGGTGATCCGCCCGCCTCGGCCTCCCAAAGTGCTGGGATTACAGGGGAGAGGACTTTTAAAACCCAGCTGTGTTAGTCTGTGTTCATGCTGCAGATAAAGACGTTACTTGAGACTGGGTGATTTCCAAAAGGAAGAGATTTCATGGACTCACAGTTCCATGGGGCTGCAGAGGCCCTTCAGTCACGGCGGAAGCCGAAAGGCACATCTGACATGTGTGCAGGGAACCTCCCTTTATAAAACCATCAGATCTTGTGAGTCTTATTCACTACCACGAGAATAGCACGAGAAAGACCCCCTTCTTCCCCTTTCCCCTTCCCCATGATTCAATTCCCTTCCCTGGGTCCCTCCCACAACACATGGGAACGGTGGGAGCTACAATACAAGAGGAGAGTTGGGTGGGGACACAGCCAAACCCTATCACCATCCATGGCTCCCACACCCCAAACCCAGCCCTGCTTGTGTGTGTGTGACTTTACCCCGACCCCGATGCCTTCCCATCTGGGCAGAGTTGTTTCAGAAAGACAGAATGAGGCACAGAGAAAACCTTCCTGGGTTTCGGGTTCTCAAAGTGCGTGCATTGATGGCCTATTCCCAGCGGACACGTCTTACTTCAATATCTCGGCTCACTGCAAGCTCCGCCTCCCGGGTTCACGCCATTCTCCTGCATCAGCCTTCCCAGTAGCTGGGACTACAGGCGCCCGCCACCACGCCTGGCTAATTTTTAAAATATTTTTAGTAGAGACGGGGTTTCACCGCATTAGCCAGGATGGTCTCGAACTCCTGACCTCGTGATCCGCCCGCCTCAGCCCCCCAAAGCGCTGGGATTACAGGCGTGAGCCACCGCACCCGGCCCTAAGTGTCTTATAGATTAAAATTAACTCATTTCAGAGGCATAGTTTGCAAATACAGTTCTGCTTTTTTTTTTTGAAACGGAGTCTCGCTCTGTCACCCACGCTGGAGTGCAGTGGCGCGATCTCGGCTCACCTCAACCTCCTCCTCCCAGGTTCAAGTGATTCTCCGGCCTCAGCCTCCCAAGTAGCTGGGATTACAGGCATGCACCACCACACCCGGCTAGTTTTGTATTTTTGGTAGAGACGGGGTTTCTCCATGTTGGTCAGGCTGGTCTCGAACTCCTGACCTCAGGTGATCCACCCTCCTCGGCCTCCCAAAGCGCTGGGATTACAGGCGTGAGCCACCGCGTCTGGCCCACTTATGATTTTTCTTTGTCTATGTTTTGAGTCTAATGATCCTGGCAGGTGCACAAGGATGATTCTAAACCATCGTTTCCTGGGAAGAGGCGGATGTAGCTTTAGTGCTGCTGGTTCAGCTCCTGGCTGCTTCCTTGACTCACATTCTAGGCTTGAGAGAGCTGGTCTTGCTCAGGAGACAGCTGCCCCCAAAGACTGAACCAAACAATTGTGGGTCTTGCTAAGTGTGGACAAGAAGGTAACAGCCATGTAGGGATCTAGAGGGAGAGCATCCCGAGCTCAGGGAGCAGCTCCTGGGCAGGAAAATGTGTACCACATGGAGGAAGAGTGAGAAGTTGTGGATGGTGAAGAGGAGCGAATGCAGACAAAGCCCCCAGGCAGGTGCAGGGATGACCACAGAATGCCGTGGGCTCCATCCCAGTGCTGCCCACCCTCTTGCCCTGGCTGCATGCTCCGAAGCCCCTCTTCACATCCTCACCTGTTTTCACGTGAGCACTTTCCTCCCTTGCTGAGTGGATGAGAATGGGGTCCACCGGGCTGGATGGGGTAGTGTGGACAGGACCAGCATGCTGGAGAAACAGAGAGAGAGAGAGAGAGGGACACACACAGAGAGAGATGAGGGAACGGAGAGCAAAGACTATTTCAATTTGCACCATTCGGCCACCAGGTGGGCACACCTGGCGAAAGGTAAGACCCTGGAGGTGGCAACACAGTAGGACCACCTTGGTCAATGCCCACAGGGTCTCTGGGAGATGAGAGCAGATGAGGACATTGGAGACAGCACAAGACACTCTGCAGGGGACGGAAATTGCGTCCTCTCCAAAATTCACATCCACTCAGAATCTGTGAACATCACCTTCTTTGGAAATACAGTCTTCGCAGTTTTAGTCAAGTTATGGTGAGGTCATATTGGATTAAGGTGGACTCTAAATCCAATGACAGCTGTCCTTGTAAGAGACAGAAGAGGAGACACAGACACAGAGGAGAAGGCCACCTGGAGATGGAGGAGATGGAGATGGAGGCAGAGACTGGAGTGATGTGGCCACAAGCCCGGGGACACCTGGAGCCCCCAGGAGCTGGGAGAGGAAGGAAGGATCCTCCCTTAGAGCCTCCAGAAAGAACTGGATACAACTGGAATGGATTGAGCAGTGATCCCTCAAAAAGATACGTCTACATCCTAAAGCCCAGAACCTGGTAATGAGACCTTATTTGGAAATAGGGGTTTTTGCCGATGTGCTTAGGAAAAGGATCTTGAGATGAGATCATCCTGGAGTATGGTGGCCCTAAATCCAATGACAGGTGCCCTTGTAAGTGACAGAAGAGGAGACACAGACACAGAGGAGAAGGCCACGTGGAGATGGAGGCAGAGACTGGAGTGATGGGGCCATAAGCCCAGGGATGCTGGAGACCCCAGGAGCTGGGAGAGGCAGGAAGGATCCTCCCCTAGAGCCTCCAGAGGGAACTGGATACAATTGTACTGGATTGAACAGTGGCCCCCAGAAAGATCTGTCCACATCTGAAAGCCCAGAACCTGGAGTAAGAACTTATTTGGAAATAGGGTCTCTGCAGATGTGATAAAGTGAAGGGCCTTGGGATGATATCATCCTGGAGTAGAGTAGGGTAGACCCTAAATGCAATGACAAGTGTCTTTTTAAGAGACAGAAGAGGAGACACAGACACACAGGAGAAGGCCACGTGGAGATGGAGGCAGAGACTGGAGTGATGCGACCACAAGCCCAGGGATGCCTGGAGCCCCCAGGAGCTGGGAGAGGCAGAAAGGATCCTCCCTAGAGCCTCCAGAGAGAACTTGATACTTAAGAAGTGGATTGAACTATGTATCCCAAAAAAAGATATATTCATATTCTAACCCAAGAACCTGTGAGTGGAGGTAGAGACTGGAGTGATGCGGCCACAAGCCCAGGGATGCCATTCCAGACCCCTAGAGAGGGAGGACACCTGGAACCCCCAGGAAGGAATTTATGCTAAACAAGGGGTGGATAATTCATGCCTCCCCTTTTTAGACCATATAGGGTAATTTCCCGACGTTGCCATGGCATTTGTAAACTGTCTTAGCGCTGGTGGGAGTGTAGCAGTGAAGATGACCAGAGGTCACTCTCATTGCCATCTTGGTTTCAGTGGGTTTCATTCAGCTTCTTTACTGCAAGCTGTTTCATCAGCAAGGTCTTTATGGCCTGTATCTTGTGCTAACCTCCTGTCTCATCCTGCAGCTTAGGATGCCTTATCCATCTGGGGATGAAGCCCAGTACGTCTCAGCCTCATTTTACCCAGCCCCTATTCAAGCCGAAGTTGTTCTGGTTCCAGTGCCTCTGACAAGTCCCAAAGGCTGGAGTTCATCTTGGGGACACACCCAGAGTACAATTGCTGGGCTGGGGAACCCGTGTTTCTCAGCTTTATAAGATGAGGCCAAACCCTTTCCAAAATGGTGGTCGAGACGGACATTTTGCCCTACGATGTTGAGGAAAGCCAATCTTTGCCACCTATGGCAACATCTGCGACTGTCAGAATTCTTCATTTTTAACATTTTTGCCAATCATATGGTTACAGGCAGGTCTTTGTTCTTACAGCTCCCAAGATGGGGGTAGGCCACTCCCAAGATGGCGGCGGGCCACTCCCAAGATGGTGGCGGGCCACTCCCAAGATGGCAGACGGCCACTCCCAAGATGGCAGCCGGCCATTCCCAAGATGGCGGCAGGCCTTTTGTTCTCTGCGCTGGGGTTCTTGGCCTCACGGATTCCAAGGAATGCAACCTTGGGCCATGCAGTGAGTGTTGTAGCTCTGTTAGAAGCCATGGGTCACGGAAGAGAACCGTGGAACCCAGAGACTAGTGTTCAGCTCCATGAGGATGAACCCGGACACTTAGCCACTCAGGAACAATGATTGGGAGCCGCAGCGGGCGTCTCGCTGGATCAGAAGCACAGCACATACCCTGCCTGATCCGGAGGGGTGGAACTCAAAGGTGGGTCTGCAACGGCGGCGTTCAGCAGTGGTGGACGGCGAGCGAAAGCTCAGCTCGAGCGGGAACAAACATGCATCAGAAGAGTGTACAGTTGCAAGATTTAATAGCGTGAAAACAGAGCTCCCATTCCAACAGGAGGGGACCCAAACCGGCTCAAATGCCTGGGTTTATATCCCAATCATTGTCCCTCCCACTGTGCTCTCAAGTGATAGATGATTTGACTATTTCTTTACCTCCCGCTTTTAGCCTAATTTGTATTTTAGTGAGCTCCCTCTTTACTACCTGATTGGCCGGGTGTGAGCTGAGTTACAAGCCCCGTGTTTAAAGGTGGGTGCGGTCACCGTCCCCAGCGAGGCTTAGGAATTCTGAGTCAGCCTAGGACATCCAGCTAGTCTTGTCTTTCAATATTGGTGTGAAAAGGGTGTCTCACGGCAGTCCTGATTTGCCCATCACGTAATATGTCTAAAAATGTTTACAGTAGCCCTGCCCCAAAATACCCCATAGAAATATTCCTATTTCCATTTTCCTGTTTCCACGAGGAAATAACCTAATGCCCATAGGCAGAAGGATGCATCCATAAGTCGTGGAATATTTCACCCGCTGGGATATTACGGTGTCACCAAAATGAAGAGACAGCAGAAACTCAGTATGGATGAATCTTTGAAATGACGTTTTGAGTGGGAAATGCTGGTCTCAAAAAATTACATAGAGCATGATATACACTTTTCATAAAGTTAGAGACAATTAAAATAGAGAAATGCAATAAAGTGATGTAACAAAGGAAATTCAGAAAATGAAGGATATCAAAGTGCACACAGAGTCACCTTGGGTGGTGGGTAGCGTCGCAGAGGGCTGGATGGGGTGGGAGAAGCGATGGGTTTCCGTTATTCTTAATGTCTCTGTTTATATATTGGTGACGGTTGGACAGATTGCATTAGAGTGTTAAAAGGGACCTCTACCTAACCCCCCTGAAAAAAAATTAACTATAAAATTGTATTGGGGTATTAAGAATACCTAACTAACATCTTAAATATATATATAACTATTAAGATAAAAATGAAGACAAAAATTAAGACTCAAGAGCCGAGAGTCCTAACGGCAGAGCCTGGGAGGACAAATTAAAATAAGAACAACTATAAGGAAAAATGCCCTGATTTGGGGGGTACCTGCTTTGTTGGAAGAAATAATAACATTCCCTTTGATTCTGTCTTCATACAACCCCCTTTCTGCTATTCCCATTAAAGGTGCCCACAACCACACCTCTAAGCGTTTGCAAGTATTGATCCCTCTCCACAAACTCTCCTAAGTCTCCCTGGCAAACTCCTATGCAGTCTGCAAAACCCCATTTACCTGATCCCTCGTGACTCACATTGGTCACCCTTGCAGAAATAAGGCTGAGCTCTCCCTCCTGTGTTTTTGTTTGTTTGTTTGTTTGTTTGTTTTATTTCTTTTTTCGTTTGGGGGATGGTGTTTTGCTCTTGTTGCCCAGGCTGGAGTGCAGTGGCATGATCTCAGCTCACTGCAACCTCCACCTCCTGGGTTCAAGCGATTTTCCTGCCTCAGCCTCCAGAGTAGCTCGTATTACAGGCACCCGCCACCATGCCTGGCTAATTTTGTATTTTTAGTAGAGATGGGGTTTCTCCATGTTGGCCAGGCTGCTCTCGAACTCCTGACTTCATGATCCTCCCATCTCAGCCTCCCAAAGTGCTGGGATTACAGGTGTGAGCCACCGTGCCCGGCTGGTATCTCCTTTCTGTATCTGTCCCGTGTTGGATTAGCCTAGTAGGGACATGAGTTTTCAGAGATGAAGTCATTCATTCTTCCTCACAACCTGCCACTCAGAACTTTGCACATGGTAGGACCTCAGTAAACAGCCTCTAACACACTGATGGGCGTCCGCTCTGGGGCTTCACCTGGTCCTCCAAAGCATAAGCATAGAAATATTAGTTTCCCTCCATCAGGCAGAACATGACGTAAAATACATCATGCCTCTTTTGAGTCCAAAGGTGTTTTTCTTTTTTTTCCTGCTTAGCCTTACTTTACTTAACAAGTTAACATTTATCCTGAAAAAATGGTTTTAAACAGTACCTGGAATCAATGATTTGAGGACTGAACAAAACCTTTGGTGATGCTGAAGGCAGAGACTTCACCACCACGCACAATATCCGTGGAGCAAAACTGCAACTGGAACCCTTAAATCTATACAAATTAAAATTAAAATGTAAAAAAATCCAAAGGAAAGTACTGATCGTCCTTGACTCCATGGAGCAGTCGCCCCTGAGTCCAACCAGGGTTAAAATACTTACAAAAGAAAGGCCGGGTGGGGTGGCTCACACCTGTAATCCCAGCACTTTGGGAGGCTGAGATGGGTGGATCCTTTGAGGTCGGGAGTTCGAGACCAGCCTGGCCAACATGGCGAAACCCCGTCTCTTCTAAAAATACAAAATTAGCCGGGCGTGGTGTCAGGTGCCTTTAATCCTAGCTACTTGGGAGGCTGAGGCAGGAGAATCATTTGAATTGGGGAAGCAGAGGTTGCAGTGAGCTGAGATCACCCCACTGCACTCCAGCCTGGGGAACAGAGCAAGACTCTGTCTCAAAAAAAAAAAAACAAACCATCATATGTGAACCATAATTCGTAAGAAGTTGTGTGTGTGTGTGTGTGTATGTGTGTGTGTGTGTGTGTGTGTGTTTTGAGGAAGAAAAACAAGGTCTTGCTCTGTTGTCCAGGCTGGAGTACAGCAGCATTGTCACAGCTCACTGCAGCCTCAACCTCCTGGGCTCCAGCGATCCTCCTCCCTCAGCCTCCCGAGTAGCGGGAACCACAGGCACTTACCACCATGCCCAGCTATTTTTTCATTTTTTGTAGAGACGGGGCCTCACTGTGTTACTTAGGCTGAGCTTGAACTTCAAGTCTCAAGCAATCTTCCTGCCTAAAGTGCTTTGATCATAGGCGTGAGCAGCCACGCCCAACCTGCTATGAGGTTTGAAAAGGGACAGGGTCTTCCTCCGGCCCCAAAGAGGAGGGCGGATTTTACGGGGAGATGGTCAGGGTTGTACCAGGCCACGAAAACAGCAAGCCACATTTGCTTTGAGCTAAGGCCTATGGAAGACGTGACAACTGTCACACTGGCTTATTTGCTGGTGACCGAAGGTGACAACCGGCTCAATTTCACCCTGAAAGAATTTGTCAACAGTCATTTGGTGCCACCAGCTCCCAGGAAAAGTGACATTTTTGTCAAAGCTTTCCCAGACTTGGCCAGGCGTGGTGGCTCACGCCTGTCATCCTAGCACTTTGGGAGGCCGAGGCGGGTGGATCACCTGAGGTCGGGAGTTCGAGACCAGCCTGGCCAACATGGTGAAACCCTGTCTCTACTAAAAATACAAACATTAGCCAGGCGTGGTGGCAGGCGCCTGTAATCCCAGCTACTCGGGAGGCTGAGGCAGGAGAATTGCTTGAACCCTGGAGGCGGACGTTGCAGTGCACTGAGATCCTGCCACTGCACTCCAGCCTGGGCAACGGAGAAAGACTCTATCTCAAAGAAAAAAAAAAAATTAGCCGGGCCAGGTGCGGTGGCTCACGCCTGTAATCCCAGCGCTTTGGGGGGCTGAGACAAGGCGGTAGGGGGTGGGGGGATCACTTGAGGTCAGGAGTTCGAGACCAGCCTGGCCAACATGGTGAAACCCCGTCTCTACTAAAAATACAAACATTAGCCAGGCGTGGTGGCAGGCGCCTGTAATCCCAGCTACTCGGGAGGCTGAGGCAGGAGAATTGCTTGAACCCTGGAGGTGGAGGTTGCAGTAAGCCGAGATCAGGCCACTGCACTCCAGCCTGGGAGACAGACCAAGACTCCATCTCAAAAAAAAAAAAAAAAATTTGTCTGGCGTGGTGGTGGGCGCCTGTAATCCCAGCTACTCGGGAGGCTGAGGCAGGAGAATTTGCTTGAACCCTGGAGGTGGAGGTTGTAGTGAGCCAAGATGGCCCACTGCACTCCAGCCTGGGCCACAGAGAAAGACTCAGTCTCAAATTAAAAAAAAAAAAAAGAAAATTAGCTGGGCCGGGTGCGGTGGCTCACGCCTGTAACCCCAGCACTTTGGGGAGGCCGAGGCGGGCAGATCACCTGAGGTCAGGAGTTCGAGACTAGCCTGGCCAACATGGAGAAACCCCATCTCTACTAAAAATATAAAAATTAGCTGGGCGCAGTAGCGTATGCCTGCAGTCCCAGCTACTCCGGAGGCTGAGGCAGGAGAATTGCTTTAACCCCAGAGGCGGAGGTTGCAGTGAGCTGAGATCACGCCACTGCGCTCCAGCCTGGGAGACAGAGCAAGACTCCATCTCAACAACAAAAAAATTAGTCGGGTGTGGTGGCGGGCGCCCGTAATCCCAGCTACTCCAGAGGCTGAGGCAGGAGAATCGCTTGAACCCGGGAGGCGGAGGTTGCAGTGAGCCGAGATCGCACCATTGCACTCCAGCCTGGGTGACAGGGTAAAAGTCTGTCTCAAAAACAAACAAACGACAAACAAAAAGAGCAAAAGTTTCCCAAACTCCTTCTTCACCCACGTGATTGTGGATCACTGGGTAATTCTCCAGGCATCCCAGCCAGAGAATGTCAAATCGTTTCCGCCCTTTCTCTTCTGGCCTTTGGTAAGCTGAGATTTCTCTACAAGGTCTCCAGCGGCACAGAAATAAATATCAGGGCTCCCCACCAAAACATCTTAGAGTCTTAATGGGGCCAAAGTGAACACCAGCATTCTGGGCTGTGATTACGGCTCTGAACTTCATTTTGTTTTGTTACACCTTTTTGGGCTATACCTTCACAGAAACCGCAGACTCTTAATGGAATATTATGCAGCCTGGAAAAGGAACAAGTTTCCGACAAAGACAGCAATGTGAATGAAACACATTTTATAAATAAAATTTTATTTTATAAATAAATAAATAAATAAAAATTATAAATAAAATGTGTTTGAAGTTAGAGGGTCAATTACGGGTTAGAGGGTCAATTACGCCAGTCAACGCCCCCAACCCCTCCGAATTACAACAACATTCAGCACAAAGCACTTTAATGCTAGCGCCCTTTGGATGTCTAAATGTGAAACCGCATAAATCGTTCTGGGTATGATGAAAATAAGTAAATAAAAATGGAAGTTCAACTCTGTTATGCCAACCGCACTTTATAAGGGGCAATTGTGGCCAGTTTCAGCTTGTATTTTTGGATTGCATTTGGGAAAAAAAAGAAAAAAAAAAGTTGGATTCTAAGTCAACCAGCAAGAGTGATATAGCGTGTGGAGAAGGCAAGCGTTCTGGAAGATTCTTTTTTTTTTTTTGAGGCAAGAGTTTTTGCTCTGTCCTCCAGGCTGGAGTGCAGTGGCACAATCTCAGCTCACTGTAACCTCTGCCTCCCAGGTTCAAGCGATTCTGCTGCCTCAGCCTCCCGAGTAGCTGGGATTAAGGCGTGCACCACCACACCCGGCTAATTTTTTTGTATATTTAGCAGAGACGGGGTTTCGCCATGTTGGCCAGGCTGGTCTCGAGCTCCTGACGTCAGGTGATCTGCCCGTCTCGGCCTCCCAAAGTGCTGGGATTTCAGGGGTGAGTCACCGTGTCCGTCCATTCTGGAAGATTCTTTACCCAACCTCTCACCTGTTAAAAAAGAAAGTTCAGAATGTACATTCTTTTTATGATGACAAAATACATATATATAAAATTCAGCTTTATAACCGTTTTAAACTGAATGAGTCAGTGACATTTAGTCCATTCACAATGTTGTACAACCATCACCAATCTCTAGGTCCAGAACATTTTCATCACTCCCAAAAGCGCACCCTGTACATGTTGAGCAGTCACTCCCATTTCTCCTCCCCAGGCCCTAGCACCCAAAATTCCACTATCTTTCTCTAGGGGTTTGCCTGTTCAGCACATTTCATTGAAAGGGAATCACACACTGTGTGTCCTTTTGTGTTTGTGCCTGGCTTTTCTCTCTGAGCATGATGTCCTCAGGGTTCATTCACGTTGTGGTCTTTGTCAGAGCCTTGTTCCTTTTCCAGGCTGCATAGTATTCCATTATAATACTGCTGCTGTGTTTATCCATTCCTTCATAGATGAGCAGCAGGGCTGTTTCCAAAAATTCATTCCTGTTGCAGCTTTTGTCAGAGCCTTGTTTCTTTTCAAGGCTGCATAATATTCCATTGCATGGATGAACCATGCTGTGTTTATCATTCCTTCACAGATGAGCAGTACGGGTATTTCCAAAAATTCTTTCATGTTGCAGCCTTTGTCAGAGCCTTGTTCCTGTTCCAGGCTGCATAATATTCCACTATAATATTGCATTGCATGGATGAGCCACATTGTGTTTATCATTCTTTCATAGATGAGCAGTAGGACTGTTTCCAAAAATTCATTCACGATACAGTCTTTTGTCAGAGCCTTGTTCCTGTTCCAAGCTGCATAATATTCCATTATAATATTGCATGGATGAACCACATTGTGTTTATCATTCTTTCATAGATGGTAAGTAGGGCTGTTTCCAAAATTCATTCATGTCATAGCCTTTGTCAGAGCCTTGTTCCTTTTCCAGACTGCATAATATTCCATTGCATGGATAAACAATGCTGTGTTTATCATTCCTTCATAGATGAGCAGTAGGGCTGTTTCCAAAAATTCATTCACGTTGCAGCCTTTGTCAGAGCTTTGTTCCTTTTCCAGGCTGCATAATATTCCATTACAATATTGCATTGCATGATGAATCATGTGGTGTTTATCCATTCATTCATAGATGGGCAGTAGGGCTGTTTCCAAAATTCATTCATGTTGCAGCCTTTGTCAGAGCCTTATTCCTTTTCCAGCCTGCATAATATTCCATTGCATGGATAAACGATGCTGTGTTTATCATTCCTTCAAGGATGAGCAGTAGGGCTATTTCCAAAAATTCATTCACATTGCAGCCTTTGTCAGAGCCTTGTTCCTGTTCCAGGCTGCATAATATTCCATTATAATATTGCATTGCATGGATGAACCACATTGTGTTTATCATTCATTCATAGATGAGCAGTAGGACTGTTTCCAAAAATTCATTCATGATAGTCTTTTGTCAGAGCCTTGTTCCTGTTCCAAGCTGCATAATATTCCATTATAATATTGCATGGATGAACCACATTGTGTTTATCATTCCTTCACAGATGGGCAGTAGAGCTGTTTCCAAAATTCATTCACATTGCAGCCTTTGTCAGAGCCTTGTTCCTGTTCCAGGCTGTATAATATTCCATTGTAATGTTGCATTGTATAGATGAACTATGCTGTGTTTATCCATTCCTTTATAGATGGGCAGTAGGACTGTTTCCAAAATTCATACATAGTGCAGTCTTTTGTCAGAGCCTTATTCCTTTTCTAGACTGAATAATATTCCATTGCATGGATAAAGGATGCTGTGTTTATCACTCCTTCATCGATGAGCATTAGGGCTATTTCCAAAAATTCATTCACATTGCAGCCTTTGTCAGAGCCTTGTTCCTGTTCCAGGCTGCATAATATTCCACTATAATATTGCATGGGTGAACCACATTGTGTTTATCATTCTTTCATAGATGGTAAGTAGGGCTGTTTCCAAAATTCATTCATGTCATAGCCTTTGTCAGAGCCTTGTTCCTTTTCCAGACTGCATAATATCCCATTGCATGGATAAACAATGCAGTGTTTATCATTCCTTCATAGATGAGCAGCAGGGCTGTTTCCAAAAATTCATTCACATTGCAGCCTTTGTCAGAGCCTTGTTCCTTTTCCAGGCTGCATAATATTCCATTATAATATTGCATTGCATGGATGAACCACGTGGTATTTATCCATTCATTCACAGATGGGTATTGGGCTGTTTCCAAAAATTCATTCATGTTGCAGCCTTTGTCAGAGCCTCATTCCTTTTCCAGGTGGCATAATATTCCATTGTATCGATGAACCACGCTGTGTTTATCCATTCCTTCATAGATGAGCAGTAGGGCTGTTTCCAAAATTCATTCATGTTGCTGCTTTTGTCAGAGCCTTGTTCCTTTTCCAGCCTGCATAATATTCCACTATAATATTGCATGGATGAACCATATTGTGTTTATCATTCCTTCATAGATGAACAGTAGTGCTGTTTCTAAAAATGCATTTATGTTGCAGCCTTTTGTCAGAGCCTTGTTCCTTTTCCAGGCTGCATAATATTCCATTATAATATTGCATCACATGGATGAACCATGCTGTGTTTATCCATTCTTTCATAGATGGGCAGTAGGGCTGTTCCAAAAATTCATTCCTGTTGCAGCTTTTGTCAGAGCTTTGTTCCTTCTCAAGGCTGCATAATATTCCATTACATGGATGAACCATGCTCTGTTTATCATTCCTTCATAGATGGGCAATAGGGTTGTTCCAAAAATTCATTCATGTTGCAGCCTTTTGTTAGAGACTTCTTTTTCCAGGCTGCGTAATATTCCATTATAATATTGCATTGCATGGATGAGCTATGCTGTGTTTATCCATTCCTTTATAGATGGGCAGTAGGGCTGTTTCCAAAGATGCATTCATGTTGCAGCCTCTTGTCAGAGCCTTGTTCCTTTTCCAGGCTGCATAATATTCCATTATAATATTGCATTGCATGGATAAGCCACATTGTGTTTACCCATTTATTCATAGATGGGCAGTAAGGCTGTTTCTACTTTTTGGCTACTGTGAATACCACTGCTATGAATACCCCTGTACAAGTTTTTATTTGATAATTGTGACTATTTTACACAAACTTGTGAGTATGAGACACGCGACAAGCTTTTTTAAAAATAGAGGTAAAATTCACATCACATACCTCTGTTTTTTAAACAGCTTGTTGCATACCCCATACTCCCGCATTTGTATGAAATAGTCACAATTATCAAATAGAAACTTACACACATCACATAGCCCAGCACAGTGGCTCATGCCTGTAATCCCAGCACTTTGGGAGGCCGAGGCGGGCGGATCACTTGAGGTCAGGAGTTCGAGACCAGCCTGGCCAACATGGAGAAACCCCATCTCTGCTAAAAATACTGGTGTGGGGGCAGGTGCCTGTAATCCCAGCTACTCGGGGGGCTGAGGCAGGAGAATCGCTTGAATCCGGGAGGCAGAGCTTGTAGTGAGCCAAGATCGCACCATTGCACTCCAGCCTGGGTGACAGAGCAAGATTCTGTCTCAAAAAAAAAAAAAACAAAAAAACAAAAAATTACATCAAGTTAGTTATTTTAAATTATACGAACGGGGCATTTGGTACATTCATCGTGCTCTACAACCACCTCTATGTAGTTTGAGAAAATCTTCATTCCCTTTAAAAGGAAACCCCCATTCCCATCAAGCAGTAACTCCACATCCCCCCCTCCAACCTCTGAGAGTCACAAATTCACTTCCTGTCTCTGTGGATTTGCCTGTTGGGCACGTTTCATAGAAATGGAGTCAGACATCAGTTACTTCTGTGCAGAAAAAAACCCTCTCACCTGGCCTTTCTTCCCCTGCTGCTGGGATTTAGGATGTTCCCCCAAATGTTTAGGCTGCTCTCTCATAACCACACCTTCCTTTGTTTTTCTTTTCCTTTTTTTTTTTTGAGATAGCATCTCGCTGTGTCTCCCAGGCTGGATTGCAGTGGCACGATCTCAGCTCACTGCAACCTCCGCCTCCCGGGTTCAAGCGATTCTCCTGCCTCAGCCTCCCTAGTAGCTGGGATTACAGGCACCCGCCACCACGCCTGGCTAATTTTTGTATTATTAGTAGAGATGGGGGTTTCACCGTGTTGACCAGGCTGGTCTTGAACTCCTGATCTCAGGTGATCCACCTGCCTCAGCCTCCCAAAGTGCTGAGATTACAGCCGTGAGCCACCGCACCCAGCCAAAAAGATATCTTAAAAGATCTGAGCATCTCAGCTCACTGTAACCTGCACCTCCTGGGTTCAAGTGATCCTCCTGCCTCAGCCTCCCAAGTAGCTGGGATTACAGGCGCCCAACACGATGCCCAGCTAATTTTTGTATTATTAGTAGAGACGGGGTTTTCACCATGTTGACCAGGCTGGTCTCGAACTCCTGACCTCAGGTGATCCGCCTGCCTCGGCCTCCCACAGTGCTGAGATTACAGCCGTGAGCCACCGCACCCAGCCAAAAAGATATCTTAAAAGATCTCAGCATCTCAGCTCACTGTAACCTGCACCTCCTGGGTTCAAGTGATCCTCCTGCCTCAGCCTCCCAAGTAGCTGGGATTACAGGTGCCCAACACGATGCCCAGCTAATTTTTGTATTATTAGTAGAGACGGGGTTTTCACCATGTTGACCAGGCTGGTCTCGAACTCCTGACCTCAGGTGATCCGCCTGCCTCGGCCTCCCACAGTGCTGAGATTACAGCCGTGAGCCACCGCACCCAGCCAAAAAGATATCTTAAAAGATCTCAGCATCTCAGCTCACTGTAACCTGCACCTCCTGGGTTCAAGTGATCCTCCTGCCTCAGCCTCCCAAGTAGCTGGGATTACAGGTGCCCAACACGATGCCCAGCTAATTTTTGTATTATTAGTAGAGACGGGGTTTTCACCATGTTGACCAGGCTGGTCTCGAACTCCTGACCTCAGGTGATCCGCCTGCCTCGGCCTCCCAAAGTGCTGGGATCGCAGGCATGAGCCACTGCACCCAGCCGGAGAGTCATTTTAGATAAGCACCAAATGATTTTTCTCATGTAGTTAGGAAAATAAGTGCATGCGTGTGTGTGTGCACGGGTTTGTGCATTTGATCCTGTGTTCTATGCCTCACTCTGTGGGTTTAGGGGCAATGACGGTGACCTTAAACGCTGTTGGACCATGTATTTTAGAAAAATGCAACCCACAGTCTATGTTGGAAACCCACGTGGTAAGCATCAATGATCCCAGCCCCGGCATTGAGATTGGACATTTTGATTTGGTACAGAAGGCACAAGGAGGAAGAGATCCCTCAGAAAACAGGGGCATCTTCACCCTTAAATTCAATGGGAGTCACGACTGGGACCATGGACAGCTGATGGTGATTCGTTACAAATATATTGATTACAGATTGCTAAAGGTGTTCACTAAGGGTCAGAGAGGAGTGAAGGCACTACCCAGAAAGACGTAGACTAGTCAACGTCAATAGGAGAGTAGTTTATTTTATTTATTTGTGTATTCATTTATTTGAGATGGAGTCTTTCTCTGTCACCCAAGCGGAATGCAGTGGCATGATCTCGGCTCTTAGGATTGGAACAGTACCTCATTGTGCCTGGCACTGGAACAAATGAATGCAGGAGATATGCTGGTTTTTTTTTCTTTTTCTTTCTTTCTTTCCTTCTTTCTTTCTCTTTCTTTCTTTCTTTCTTTCTTTCTTTCTTTCTTTCTTTCTTTCTTTCCTTCCTTCCTTCCTTCCTTCCTTCCTTCCTTCCTTCCTTCCTTCCTTTCTTTCTTTCTTTCTTTCTTTCTTTCTTTCTTTCCTTCTTTCTTTCTTTCTTTCTCTCCCTTCCTTCCGTCCGTCCTTCCTTCCTTCCTTCCCTTCCCTTCCCCTTCCTTCCTTCCTTCCTTCCTTCCTTCCTTCCTTCCTTCCTTCCTTTCTTTCTTTCTTTCTTTCTTTCTTTCTTTCTTTCTTTCTTTCTTTCTTTCTTTCTTTCTTTTTCTTTCTTCTTTCTTTCTCTCTTTCTTTTTTTTTTGAGATGGAGTCTTTCTCTGTTGCCCAGCCTGGGGTGGAGTGTCAAGATGTTGGCTCACTGCAACCTCCGCCTCCCGGGCTCAAGTGATCCTCCTGCCTCAGCTTCCTGAGTAGCTGGGATTACAGGTGCCCACCACCACACCTGGCTAATTTTTGTTTTTTTAGTAGAGACAGGGTTTCACCATGTTGTCTAGGATGGTCTTGAACTCGTGACCTCAGGTGATCCACCTGCTTCGGCCTCCCAGAGTGCTGTGATGACAGGCGTGAGCCATTGTGCCTGGCCAGGTGGTGTTTCAGTGTGGTTTCTCCATGTTGGCCAGGCTGGTCTCGAACTCCTGACCTCAGGTGATTCACCCGCCTCAGCCTCCCAAAGTAGTGGGATGACAGGCGTGAGCCACCACACCCGGCCTAAAAGGTTTAAAATATAAATCTATCAAATATTTAAACCCACTTGTAAAAATGCTAGCGTTAAAGACAAATGGAAAATGATTGCATTTAAAAAAATCAGTCATGACATGGCTAAATGTTGAAGAATTCTTTTGTAATTTTTTTTTTCCATTCTGAAAGCCAGCATCATCTTTTATGATTGCTGTCTGCATCTTGGTAAATGGAATTCTTGCAAAAAGGTCTGAGTTTCCAACATGCATAAAACAAAGGAAATCATGTACAAGGCGAAAAAAACAGAGAGAGAGAGAGAGAGAGAGAGAGAGAGAGAGAGAGAGAGAGAGAGAAATATCCTAAAAGAGCCAAGAGTGCTAGAGGAAAAATGCATTTAAAATCCGGCGTAAATGACATTGGACAGCGTTCAGTTGAGCAGCTCTGGGTTGCAGATGACGGGCTGCTCCAACAGGCTGCGAGTGTTACATGATAACAAACATATGTTATGTGAGCAGAAGGAAGATGGTTGCGTTGGAAAGAATGATTGGAGACACAGCCTCGACGGAAGACCGTGTTATTAGCAGACGCTTCAGAACTTGAAAGGGCTTCTGAGAAGCTGCTTAAATGGGTAGCTGGCTGATGCACGATTGGCAAAAAAAAGACCCCCTTACAGAAATTGGAAGGAAAAGAGGCGCTGGTCTAGACAAGAATGCACGTGAGATGTCAGAGTTGCAGTCGCCTAAGAAAAGGTAATTTATGAGCTACCTAATAAAACATAAGTCGGCATCTCTTCTTTGCCGGAAGAGAAATAACTTAGGATATGAACAGTACCTCATTGTGCCTGGCGCTGGAACAAATGAATGCAGGAGGTATGCTGTTTTTTTTTCTTTTCTTTCTTTCTTTCTCTTTCTTTCTTTCTTTCTTTCTTTCTTTCTTTCTTTCTTTCTTTCTTTCTTTCTTTCTTTCTTCCTTCCTTCCTTCCTTCCTTCCTTTCTTTCTTTTCTTTCTTTCTTTCTCTTTCTTTTTCTTTCTTCTTTTCTTTCTTTCTTCTTTCTTTCTTTCTTTTCCTTCCTTCCTTCCTTCTTTCTTTCTTTCTTTTTCTTTCTTTTCTTTCTTTTCTTTTCTTTCTTTCCTTCTTTCTTTCTTTCTTTCTCTCTTATTTGTTTCCATTTTTTTTGATTTTTGAGATGGAGTCTTTCTGTGTCACCCAGGCTGGGGTGCAGTGGCAAGATGTTGGCTCACTGCAACCTCTGCCTCCCAGGTTCAAGCGATTCTCCTGCCTCAGCCTCCCAAGTAGCTGGGTCTACAGGTACATGCCACCACACCTGGCTAATTTTTGTATTTTTAGTACAGACAGGATTTCACCATGTTGGCCAGGCTGGTTTCAAACTCCTGACCTCAGGTGATCCACCTGCCTCATCCTCCCAAAGTGCTGGAATTACAGGCGTGAGCCACTGCACCTGGCCAGTATGCTGTTCTTTAGAAGAAGTTGGAGGAATGGAAATATTAAAAGGGGCTTGGCGACACATATGCCCTCATGAATGAACTTCATTAACTACTCTGTATGGCTACACCTGGGCAGGTGATTTCTCCACTCCATTCCTAGAGATGAAAAGTAGCAAACAGAAGTACTACGAGGAATGCCTGTTCCAGGTATCTGCTGCAGCCTGGGGAGAAGGAATATTCCTTACCACAGACCTATCATCACAGCGGCACAAATGGCTGGGAGGAATTGAGGAGACGTGAAGTGAGAATATTTCTTGCTCCTGCCAAAGTCCCGTGGAGTGTTTGCTGCAGTGATGCAGGCAGAGAAATCTAGGCCGTTCGTGCAAATAAAGAACAGAGAGTAATGCAAATAAAGAACAGGTAATGCAAATAAAAGAACAGTAATGCAAACAAAGAACAGAGAGTAATGCAAATAAAGAACAGGTAATGCAAATAAAAGAACAGTAATGCAAATAAAGAACAGGTAATGCAAATAAAAGAACAGGTAATGCAGATAAAAGAACAGTAATGCAAATAAAGAACAGGTAATGACATCCTCCTGCATGGTAACACCTCACAGTCTGACAGTGTGCCTCATAGTCACAAAGCAGCTGCTGGAGCTCTGAATGTCCTGCCCTCAAAAGAGCATTCCTAGCAGGAAGTGAAGGCATGGGCACAACACAGTTTTCATATTCTTACAAAGTGGCTGCTGAAGCTCCGGACATCACGCCCTTAAGAGAGCATTCCTAGCAGGAAAGGAGGCCGTGGGCACAAGAGAGTTTTCTTACAATCACAAAGTGGCTACTGAAGCTCCATACATCATGCCCTCAAGAGAGCATTGCTAGCAGGAAGGAAGGGCACGCGCACAACAGAGTTTTCTCATACTCACAAAGTGGCTGTTGAAGCTCCGGACATCGCACCCTCAAGAGAGCATTCCTAGAAGGAAGGGAGGCCATGGGCACAACAGAGTTTTCTCATAGTCACAAAGTGGCTGCTGAAGCTCCAGATATTACACCCTCAATAAAGCATCCCTAGCAGGAAATGAGGGCATGGGCATGGCAGAGTTTTCTCATATTCACAAAGTGGCTGCTGAAGCTCTGGACATCACATTCTCAAGATGGCATTCCTAGCAGAAAGGGAGGGTGTGGGCAAAGATAGTTTTTTCCCTGTTCCTCTTTTGCCATGCTTCTCCCACACACTTTACCAAGTCTGAAGCTTGGCTACCAGAAATGGGGAACAGATCGACCTGCCTGGTTCATCCCCTGGGTTGGGGCAGGATCCTGTAAAGGAAATCAGGGTCTTATTAAAGAAGTGAGGGGGCAGGGCGTGGTGGCTCATGCCTGTAATCCCAGCACTTTGGGAGGCTGAGGAGGGTGGATCATGAGGTCAAGAGATCAAGACCATCCTGGTCAACATGGTGAAACCCCGTCTCTACTAAAAATACAAACATTAGCTGGGCGTGGTTGTGTGCGCCTGTAGTCCCAGCTACTTGGCAGGCTGAGGCAGGAGAATTGCTTGAAACCTGGGAGGCAGAGGTTGCAGCGAGCCAAGATCACACCACTGCACTCTAGCCAGGGCAAAAGAGCGAGACTCCGTCTCAGAAAAAAAAGGAAAAAAGAGAGGGCGAATGGCTTTTTAAAAGTTAAGGAGAATGGTCATTGTGGAGGAAAGACACACAAAGTCATAAACTTCAAGAGACTTAGTGCGGGGAGAGGAAATGGGCATGACTGATAATAGGTGCAGGGTCTCCTCGGGTTGCAGAGAATGTTCTAGAAGGAGATGGACTGATGATTTCACAGCACGGTGTAAGTGTTGAATACCATTGAGCTGCTCTCTTCAAGATAGTTAACGGGAATTTCATGCTATGCGAATTTTATCCCAATTTAAAAAAAAAAGTTTAGGCCAGGTGCGGTGGCTCTCTCCTGTAATCTCAGCACTTTGGGAGGCAGAAATGGGCGGATCACGAGGTCAGGAGATCGAGATCAGCCTGGCCAACATGGGGAAACCCCATCTCTACTGAAAATACAAAAAATTAGCCAGGGGTGGTGGTGGGTGCCTGTAATCCCAGCTACTAGGGAGGCTGAGGCAGGAGAATTGCTTGAACCCGGAAGGCGGAGGTTGCAGTGAGCCGAGATCGCGCCACTGCACTACAGCCAGGGTGACAGAGCGAGACTCCGTCTCAACAAAAAAAAAAAAGAAAAAAAAAAGTTGCTGGGCGCAGTGGCTCACGCCTGTCATCCCAGCACTTTGGGAGGCCGAGGCGGGCAGATCACAAGGTCAGGAGATCAAGACCATCCTGGCTAACATGGTGAAACCCCATCTCTACTAAAAATACAAAAAAATAGCCAGGCGTGGTGACGGGCGGCTATAGTCCCAGGTACTTGGGAGGCTGAGGCAGGAGAATGGTGTGAACCCGGGAGGCGGAGGCTGTAGTGAGCCAAGGTCGCGCCACTGCACTCCAGCCTGGACAACAGAGCAAGGCTCCGTCTCAAAAAAAAAAAGTTTACCTTTTGGTGGAGGAAGGCAACTGCATATGTACACACGTACAGACACACATGCCCGCATACATATGTGCATATACACACAAGCAGTTTCTGTTCTTTTAACTAATAAGCTTTCTTATTGGTAAGACAGAGCATTTTCATGTAAATGGTCATATTTTTATAATTAAAATGTGATTTGTAGGGTTTTTTTTCTGTTTTGTGAGCAGTTCTCCTATCTAGTAAAGTTTGATTTTTTTTTTTTTTTTTGAGATAGAGTCTCGCTCTGTCACCCAGGCTGAAGTGCAGTGGTGCAGTCTCAGCTCACTGCAAGCTCTGCATCCCGGGTTCAGGGCATTCTCCTGCCTCACCCTCCTGAGTAGCTGAGACTACAGGCGCCCGCCACCACGCCTGGCTAATTTTTTGTATTTTTAGTAGAGACCGGGTTTCACCATGTTAGCCAGGATGGTCTCGATCTCCTGACCTTGTGATGTGCCTGCCTCGGCCTCCCAAAGTGCTGGGATTACAGGCGTGAGCCACTGTGCCTGGCCAAGTTTGATTTTTTTTAGTTGCCAACTTCATATTTATTTATTTACTTTTAATTTTTTAATTTTTTTAGACAGAGTCTTGCTCTGTCACCCAGGCTGGAGTGCAATGGCAAGATCTTGGCTCACTGCAACCTCCGCCTCCTGGGTTCAAGTGATTCTCCTGCCTCAGCCTCCCGAGTAGTTGGGATTACAAGCGCCCGTCACCATGCCCGACTAATTTTTGTATTTTTAGTAGAGATGGGGTTTCTCCATGTTGGCCAGGCTGGTCTCGAATTCCTGACCTCAGACAATCCACCAGCCTCAGCCTCCCAAAGTGCTGGGATGACAGGCATGAGCCACTGTGCCCGGCCTGTTTTTCTCAGAAAGAGTCTGTGTTGAAGGATTCAGAACCCAAGCTGGGGCCGGGCATGGTGGCTCATGCCTGTTATCCCAGCTACTCGGGAGGCTGAGGCAGGAGAATCACTTGAACCCAGGAGGTGGAGGTTGCAGTGAGCTGAGGTTGTGCCACTGCACTCCAGCCTGGGTGACAGAGTGAGACTCCATCTCAAAAAATAAAATAAAATAAAGCTCTCAAAGTTGCAGATACCAGGACACCCCATCCCACGTCTTGAGGTGGTGTCCATCATGTCCTGATACTGCCCGTTAGCTGGGGTTTGACATCAGACAGTGCCCAGCACACTTTGTTCCTGGTCTTTTACTTTCTCTGCACCTGCTGTGGGAGATCAGTATCTCTCTGTGCTGCCAAGGGGACTCTTGGGATGGTCCAAATTGACCTTCAGTGAGGAACTCGTCACCCGAGTGTTCCAGCTGTACCTCAGATCGTACACAGGTGGTCTTCAACAACAACCACTGGGTCCTGCACTCTTCACAGCTACAACTTCCCCCTCAGTGGTGCCAGTTCTCCCCAATACAGTCACATTAACTGGAGGGGTTCATGGCTGCACCCACAGACCTCACCAGAAGCTCCCATTCCTCAGCCCTCTGTCTTCTGCATGGTCCAGCTGTGATGCATAAGATAGACGGATGGATGGATGGATGGATTGATAGATGGATAGGTGGATGGATGAATGGGTGGATGGATGGATGGATGGATGGACAGATAGTTAGATGATAGATAGATGGATAGATAGATGGACAGACACATGAACGGACAGAAGAAGAGATAGATAGATAGATAGATAGATAGATAGATAGATAGATAGATACAGATAGAGATAGATAGATAGATGGATAGACAGAGGGACAGACAGACAAACTGACAGAAGAATGGATAGATAGATAGAGATAGAGAAAGAGATAGACAGATAAAGAGATCGATAGAGAGCTAGATAAAGAGATAGAAAGATGGATGATAGAGATAGATAAAGATAATAGATGGGTAGATAGACGGATAGATAGATTAGATAAAATAGATAGGCAGGCAGGTAGGTAGATAGATGTATAGATAGAAGAATACATTGATAGATCAATTGGATAGATGAATGGAGATACATAGAAAGATAGATAAATAGAAGGATAGACTGATAAGTCGATAGGATAGATGCACAGAGATGGACAGATAGATGGAGGATAGATTGATACATAATAGGATAGATGATAGATCAATTGATTGATATGATAGATGGATGGATATGGATAGATGGATGGATAGATAGAAGGATAGATAGATAGATAGACCAATAGATAGATAGATAGATACATAGATTGACAGATAGATAGACCAATAGATAGATAGATAGATGATAGATAGATATATAGATAGATACACAGATAGACACATAGACAGATAGGTAGATAGATACACAGATAAATGGACACATAGACAGATGATAGATAGATAGATACACATATAGATAGATAGATACATGGATAGACAGACAGACAAGCAGATAGATAGATAAGTACATAGAGTGACACATAGATAGATAGATAGATGATAGCTAGACACATAGACAGAGATAGATATATAAAAATAGATGAGACCTTTTACTGACATTCAATATATTTTCAGCTGCAAAAGAAGGAAGCTGATCAAAGATCCTCATGTCTTCTTCTTATAAAGGTTCTTAGGGAGGTGGCGCTGGATCACGGGAGGGCCGCAAGGGTTCGGGTTCCAGGAGAGGTGTGATATCCTCCCAAGGAGCCAAGAGGCTGTGGAATTAGCCGTGGTCCCAACAGGCCAGTGAAACATGAGCCTGTGGTGTTCCTCTCTAGACCTCCCAAGTCCAACCTCGGGCTTGGGCGTGCTCCCAGGACAGCCCCGGAGATCTTGGCTGGCTTGGCTGTGTTGCCTAAACCCCTTGGTAAGTTGGCTTCTACAGCAGATCTCACACCTTGTTTAGAACAAGCCCACATCTCCCGCCTCCCTGCCCGGCCTCTGCCCTAATCCGTCTCCCTCTTCATCATCTTGCTTTCATGAGATGAGTCTTTGGGGCAGATGGAAAAGGCAACTGTAAGAAAAATAACACAAAGCAATCAGGCAAGGAGCTAAATCCGCAGGCCAGATAGGTAGCGATGCAGGAGCTTGAGGGAATCAAAGAACGGATAAGATTGGGAACAGATAAGACTGTGTTCATACAGTTTTTCCAAGGTGCAAAGTATGAGGGAATCAGAGAAAACTGGCTAATTGTACAAAAAGCCCATACTGAGTGTGGAGAAAACATGTGACAATCGGTGCCTAGGACAAAGCCCACACTTCCTGGGCCACCAGATTTGAAGTGCAAGAAACAAAAAGGCCATCAAAGGGAAAATGCGTATGACGAGGTGCTCAAGCTTTGAAGACGGAGCAAGGACCGAAGGAGAAATCTCACTCCTTCCTTGTGGACAGGCAGGACACAGGTTAGTGACCTTGGAGAATGAGCTACAGATGAGGCAGTGATTTGGAAATTGTTCAGACAATAGACAAACACAGGGCAGGCTACCTTTACGCAGGCACCATGATCAGAACTGGGTGGACATGGGGAGAAATCGACAGTGGCTTATCTCAGACAGAGCCTGCTATCAGCTCTTCTGTAGACTTTAGATGTGGTCTCTGGTCTGTTGAGTCAGTGTGGCTTTTAAAGAAAGGAGCCTTGGGTTGATGAACCGTTGGAGCCCTGTCCATCAATCATGTCCAAGTGGCCACACCAACTTCTCCACTGGTCACTCTGCTTTCATATACATCCATTGATATATTCTCCAAACCATGTTCAGACCAACTTGAAGGTGGAGGTCAACTTGGAGGTTGGAGGTCAATTTGGTTGGTTGGAGGTCATCTTGGAGGTGAAGGCCAACTTCGAGGTTAGAGCCAGCTTGGAGGTAGAGGCCAGCTTGGAGGTGGAGGCCACTCAACTTGGCAGTGGAGGCCAATGTGGAAGTGAAGGTCAACTTGATGGTGGAGGCCAACTTGGAGGCATAATAAGATATAATAAGCAGATTGATATAATAAGCAGATTGATAATCTCCCAGCTGGTAAATTAGCTAACTTGCAGGTGGAGGCTAACTTGGAGGCGGAGACCAATTTGGAGGTTGAGGCTAACTTGGAGGTGGAGGCCTGTTTGGAGTGTGGAGTCCAGGTTGGAAGTGGAGGCCAACATGTGGGTTGGAGGCCAACTAGGAGGTAGAGTCCAGTTGGGAGATTGGAGGCTAACTTGAAGGTGGAGGCTAACTTGGAGGTGAGGTCAATTTGGAGGTTGGAAGCTAACTTGGAGGTGGAGGCCAGTTTGGAAGCTGGAGTCCAAGTTGGATGTGGAGGCCAACTAGGAGGTAGAGTCCAACTGGGAAACTGGAGGCTAACTTGGAGGTGGAAGCCAATTTAGAAGTTGGAGACTAACTTGGAGGTGGAGGCCATTTGGAGGTGAAGGCCTACTTGAAAGTGGGAGGTGCTCCTGCTAACATTGCCTAGCTGCTGAAGACCATGCAACACCTTCCCTGTTGCTGTTGAAAGAAAGACAAAACTACAGCTCAGGCCCACAAGGACAGCACAGCAGCTCTCAGCTTCTTTGTCTCTTCTTCACAATGCATTTCAGAGTGGACATTAGTCACTACTTCATGGGCCTCCTGTCTCAGGGCTGAGAATGGTCCTGAAACATCTACTCACTGCTTGCCTTCTCTGGAATGCCTTCCACTGTCTATCTCCTATATAAGGTAACCATCCTCTTTTTATTTTTTTAGAGTTGGGGGTCTCGCTTTTTCTCCCAGGCTGGAGTGCCGTGGTGTGCTCATAACTCACTGCAGCCTCAAACTCCTAGACTCAAACAATCCTCCTGCTTCAGCCTTCCAAGTAGCTGTTTCTACAGACATATGCCAACAGACTTGGCTGATTAGTTTTAAAATTTTTATTTTGTAGAGACAGAGTCTTGCTATGTTGCCCAGCCTGGCCTCAAACTTCTAGGCTCAAGCGATCCCCCTGCCTCAGCCTCCCAAAGTGCTGGGATTACAGATGTGAGCCACTGCACCCAGACAGCATGCCTTTTACTTACCTGAATAATGGTTAGTGTAAGGAGAGGAACCATAGAGCTGGCCATATAATTTCTGTCTGATATGGTATGAATGCATTTCCTCCAGAATGCAAGTGTTGAAATTTGATGGCCAATGTGATGGTATCGGGAGGCCTTAAAGAGGTGATTAGACCATCATGGCTCCTCCCTCATAGGGGGGATTAAGGCCTTATAAAGGGGCTTCATACAGCATTTAGCTTTCTCTTGCTCGTCTGCCTTCTGCTATGCGAGGACATAGCATTCCTCTCCTGCAGGAGAAACAGTGACAAGTTTTCATCTTGGAAGCAGACAGCAGCCCTCACCGGACAACAGAATCAATTGATGCTTGGCTGCTTGGCTCTTGGACTTCCCGGCCCCCAGAACTGTAAGAAATACATTTTTGTTCTTTTAAAATTACCCAGTCTTTGTTGTTTTTTACAGCAGCCCAAACAGATAATGACACTGTTCTACTCATTACTGCAAGGAAAGGGGCCGTTACATTGTAAGATTGAAAGTTTCAAGTGCTGATGCTTTTACATCTAGAGCCTCAGGAGCCCCCAAATCCTAGCCATGAGTTCTTTTCATAAGAAGCCCAGAGCTATTGCATGGGGGTTCATGCTCATGAATTCGTCTTTACTTGATTATACCTCTGAAGACCCTATTTCCAAATAAGGTTATACCCACGGATATGGGACACGATTCAATCCAGAACACCTGGTCATAGCTGCATGACTGAGAGAGAATGTGACTCACTGTTTTAATGTGTTTTCCATCCAGCATGCCTGATTATCTATTTCTCTCTCATTGGCAGGCGTCCTATGGTGCTGCATTGTTTTTAATTAATGTATTTATTTTTTGAGACGGAGTCTCGCTCTGTCACCCAGGCTGGAGTGCAGTGGCACAATCTCGGCTCACTGCAACCTCCGCCTCTTGGGTTCAAGCAATTCTCCTGCCTCAGCCTCCCCAGTAGCTGGGTTTACAGGCACCCACCATCACACTTCGCTAATTTTTATATTTTTAGTAGAGAAGGGGCTTCAGCATGTTGGCCAGGCTGGCTTCGAACTCCTGACCTCAAATGATCCACCCGCCTGGGCCTCCCAAAGCGCTGGGATGACAGGCGTGAGCCACCGTGCCCAGCCTATATATGGTATTCTTAATGGAATACTTACATATACATATATATATATATATATATATATATATATATATATATATATATATATAAAGGGGAGTTTACTAAGTATGAACTGACATGATCACAAGGTCCCACCTTAGGCTGTCTGGAGGCTGAGAAGCAAGGACAGCCAGTCCGAGTTTCAAAACTGAAGAACTTGGAATCTGATGTTTGAAGGCAGGAAGCATCCAGCACGGGATAAAGAGGCTGTGAGAAGGATGAACAGATTTTTGGAAGACGCACATTTTTGTAAAGCTAACTCAGATAGACTTCACTCCGTCCTCATGCCCTGCCAGTATCTTTAATTTTAAAAGAGGAAGAAGGAAGCAACGTCTCTTCTCCCCAACAGATAATACTGGGTGCTCTGTGCACAGGGTGACATTAAAAAAATTAAAAAATTAAAGAGGAAGGAAGGAAGCAACGTCTCTTCTCCCCAACAGATAATGCCAGGTGCTCTGTGCACAAGGTGACGTTATCCATTCATTCCTCTCTCAGGTGTGGGAGTGAGGGTAGGGGAGGTCATGGCAACGATGGCCTTTGCCAGGGACCTCTCCAAACACGACCCCGGGCCAGCCAGGGCTGACAAAGGACACAGTTTAAGATGGGCTGGTGGGGCCGGGCATGGTGGCTCACACCTCTCATCCCAGCACTTTGGGAGGCCGAGGCGGGCGGATCACGGCGTCAGGAGATTGAGACCATCCTGGCTAACACGGTGAAACCCCGTCTCTACTAAAAATACAAAAAAAATAGCCGGGCGTGGTGGCGGGTGCCTGTAGTCCCAGCTACTCGGGAGGCTGAGGCAGGAGAATGGTGTGAACCCGGTGGGGGAGCTTGCAGTGAGCCCAGATCGCGCCACTGCACTCCAGCCTGGGTGACACAGCGAGACTCCATCTCAAAAAAAAAAAAAAAAAAAAAGAAAAAGATGGGCTGGTGTGTGTCTTCTTGTGCTTCTCCTTGCGTCCGTTTCTGAGAGTTGGCTGAGAAAATGCAAAAAGCAAAATGCAGGGAGATTGTTGCATTGGTCCCTCAGGGTGGCCATCACCGACTATCACTCACTGGGGGGCTTTGAAACACATAACACTTTCCTCTCACTCTTTCAGAGAACAGAAGCCTCCAGTGAAGATGCTGGCAGGGCTGATTCCTCCTGAGGTCTCTCTCCTGGGCTTGGAGATGCCGTCTTCTCCCTGTGGCCTCACAGGGTCATCCCTCCGCATGTGTCTGTGTCCTCATCTCCTCTTCTTATGGGATGTCTTAGTCCATCTCAGGCTGCTGTCACAGAATACCATAGACTGGGTGGCTTATAAACAACAGACGTTGACTCTCCCACAGTCCTGGAGGCTGGAAGTCTGACATCAAGGTGTGGACAGGGCTGGTTCCTCCTGAGGCCTCTCTCCTGGGCTTGGAGACGCCGTCTTCTCCCTGTGTCCTCACAGGGTCGTCCCTCTGTGTGTGTGTCTGTGTCCTCACCTCCCTTCTGTTTTTTGTTTGTTTGTTTGTTTTGTTTGTTTTTGTTTTTTGAGATGGAGTTTCACTCTTGTCGCTCAGGCTGGAGTGCAATGCCGTGATCTTGGCTCACCGCAACCTCTGCCTTCTGGGTTCAAGTGATTCTCCTGCCTCAGCCTCCTGAGTAGCTGGGATTACAGGCGTGCCCCACCACACCCGGCTAATTTTACATTTTTAGTAGAGACGGGGTTTCTTTATGTTGGTCAGGCTGGTCTTGAACTCCCGACCTCAAGTGATCCCCCAGCCTCAGCCTCCCAAACTGCTCGGATTACAGGCGTCAGCCACCGTGCCCGGCTCATGTCCTCTTCTTATAAAGACACCAGTCCCATTGAATCAGGGCCCACCCTACGGATATCATGTTAACTTTCCAAATCAAAGACCCTGTTGCAAATCAAGTTACGTTCACTGGAGTCTGGATTGCAACACGCTTTCCAGGAGAGACACCGTTCAGCCCACGGCTTTCAGATTGTGGCAGATTCCTTTACATTTACAGCCAATCGACTCTCATTCAAGCGATTCTCCTGCCTCAGCCTCCCTAGTAGCTGGAATTACAGGCACCCACCACCACGCCTGGCTAATTTTTATAATTTTTAGTAGAGGGGGGTTTTGCTAAAGGTCCAGATCCTGCCATCATACTGTTCTTGAGCAAATCCAAACCCCATCCTCAAATCTTGCTAATTTTCCAAAAAGAAGCATTATCAAATTGTTGTCTGAGAAAAGACATAGCTATGGTTTTGACACTATTTGGTAATTTTTTTTTTTTTTCTTTGAGCCGGAGCCTCACTCTGAGTCTCACTCTGAGATCATCGATTTGGCTAAAGGCGACGTAAAATGCACCCACCGGGTGTCTGCTGGATAGCTCAATCCTTCCTTGCTTGGAATTCCAGGGGATCCTTTTTATCGAGAGTGAACTCTGCATAAATACACGTGCAGGGCGTTCCCTGGGGGACCCGTGTCTAGAACCTTTGGGATTTTTCTCAAAATGCATTTTCCCCGGGTGTTTCTCCTCAGCTTCTCTGAGCCCGTTAGAGTCAGCCTCGTCCGAACCGTTCCCAGCCAGAGGGTATTTTCCATAAAGGGCTAACGGGGGGACCTTGGCCACTGCACTCAGCAGCACACTCTAGATCTGGGGACTCCGACACACGGTGCTTTCCATTACACCCGGTTTTATTTCCCGTAAACTGTTTATTTTCTCGGCGAGATTGATGCTGTTAATATTAGCTTTCAAAATGACAGATTAACATCGCCAGTTAATCAGGGCTATTAGCAGATAAATATCTGTAATTCGATCACCAGAGTAATTTCTTTTCCAATAATGCGATTTACAAATGCGAGTGATTAAGTAATTAGCTTCCATCCCCACGGATTACCAGCTCCCCGACGCCTCCCCTTACGGATAATTCGGGGTGATTAGAGGCAGCTTGGCCTCCTCGGAACGCTTCGGAGCCGAAGCTTGCGTTCTTCCTGGGTTCAGAGCATGTCTTGGAGCATTCTTTCCTTCCTACGAGAGCTTGACCCCGCTAGCCATGCAGACCTGCCTTTCCCGGGGACTGCAGAAGCAAGCTTGCTCTCCCTAAATTCCTTCTCGTGGACATCACACTTCCACAGAAGAGCCAGGAGTGTTGCAGAACAATTTTACATGCCCATTAAGAAGGAAAAGAAACAGGTGTGAGATGGCTCAGACTTGTCATCCCAGCACTGTGAGAGGCCGAGGCGGGTGGATCACCTGAGGTCAGGAGTTCAAGACCAGCCTGGCCAACATGGTGAAACCCTGACTCTATTAAAAATACAAGAAATAGAAAAAACAAAACAAAACAATGAGCTGGGCATGGTGGCGGCTGCCTGTCATCCCAGCTACTCGGAAGGCTGAAGCAGGAGAAATGTTTGAACCCGGGAGGCGGATGTTGCAGTGAGCCGAGATTGCACCACTGCACTCCAGCCTGGGCAACAGAGCGAGACTCCATCTCAAAAAAAAAAAAAAAAAAAAGAAAAGAAAAGAAAATGAAAATGTGGTTTATATACACCATGGAATACTACTCAGCCATGAAAAAGAACAAGATAATGTAATTTGCAGCAACTTGGATGGAGCTGAAGATGACTTTCCTAACTAGAGTAACTCAGGAACAGAAAAAAAATACCACATGTTGTCATTTATAAGAAGACACTACGTTCTGGGTACCCGGGGACATACAGGGTAGAATAGTGGACATTGGAGACTCAGAAGACGGGAAGATAGGAGCAGAGTGAGGCATGAAAAATTACCTCTGGGGTTCAATGTATGCTACTCAGTGCACAGGTGTGCTAGCAGCCTAGACTTTACCAAACCATCCATGCAACCAAAAAACATTTAGGCTGGGCGAGGTGGCTCACGCCTGTAATCCCAACACTTTGGGAGGCTGAGGCGGGCAGATCGTGAGGTCAGGAGATCGAGACCAGCCTGGCCAACATAGTGAAACCCCGTCTCTATTAAAAATACAAGAAATTAGCTGGGCATGTGGCGGGCGCCTGTAGTCCCAGCACTTTGGGAGGCCAAAGCAGGCGGATCACCTGAGGTCAGGAGTTCGAGACCAGCCTGCCCAACACAGTGAAACATCATCTCTACTGAAAATACAAACGTTAGGCCGGGTGCAGTGGCTCACGCTTGTAATCCCAGCACTTTGGGAGGCTGAGGCGGGCAGATCATGAGGTCAGGAGATCGAAACCAGCCTGGCCAACATAGTGAAACCCCGTCTCTATTAAAAATACAAGAAATTAGCTGGGCGTGTGGTGGGCGCCTGTAGTCCCAGCACTTTGGGAGGCCGAAGCAGGTGGATCACCTGAGGTCAGGAGTTCGAGACCAGCCTGCCCAACACAGTGAAACATCATCTCTACTGAAAATACAAACATTAGGCCGGGTGCAGTGGCTCACGTCTGTAATCCCAGCACTTTGGGAGGCTGAGGTGGGCAGATCATGAGGTCAGGAGATCGAGACCAGCCTGGTCAACATAGTGAAACCCCATCTCTATTAAAAACACAAGAAATTAGCCAGGCGTGGTGGTGGGCGCCTGTAGCCCCAGCTACTCGGGAGGCTGAGGCAGGAGAATCGCTTGAACCCGGGAGGCGGAGGTTGCAGTGAGCCGAGATCGTGCCACTGCACTCCAGCCTGGGTGATGGAGTAAGACCTTGTCTCAAAAGAAAGAAACAAACAAAAAATTTGTAGTGATCGAGCCTGCTCACTTTCGATGCTTTAAAGACCTATTCCCCACTTTGTGTTTGTACAGTGAGCTTTTGGGAAGGAACCGTGAGTCCATTCAACCTCTTTTTCTTTCTTTTTTATAAATTACCCACTCTTGGGTATGTCTCTTTTTTTCTTTTATTTTTGAGATGGAGTCTCGCTCTGTCGCCCAGGCTGGAGTGCAGTGTCGTGATCTTGGCTCACTGCAACCTCCGCCTCCCGGGTTCAAGCGATTCTCCTGCCTCAGCCTCCTGAGTAGCTGGGATTACAGGCACGCACCACCAAGCCTGGCTAAGTTTTATATTTTCAGTAGAGACGGGTTTTACCATGTTGGCCAGGCTGGTCTCAAACTCCTGACCTCAGGTGATCTGCGTGCCTCGGCCTCCCAAAGTGCTGGGATTACAGGCGTCTGCTACTACGCTCAGCTAATTTTTGTATTTTTAGTAGAGACAGTTTCACCATGTTGGCCAGGATGGTCTCAAACTCCTGACCTCAGGTGATCCACCCACCTCAGCCTCCTAAAGTGCTGGGACGACAGGCGTGAGCCACCGTCCCCAGCCTCGGTTGTATCTTTATCAGCAGCATGAAAACGGACTAAGACAATCAATAATCATCAGGGAAAAGCAAATGAAACACACGTCGGTCGATTATATATGTTTCCCATTGTGAATAGTGTGGGGATCTTCGTCGGAGTGCAGCTGTGTTTTCGATAAACTTTTTGAAAAATATTCAAACAGATGCAATGATGCCGCAGATGAAGAGTCAAAAGGCTGAAGAACAAACCAGCCTTGATCTCCAACTCTGTGTCTTTGCCTCCCCTAAGTCAGCACAGAACGTTTGCA
Source organism: Homo sapiens (assembly GCF_000001405.40). Taxonomy (NCBI): domain Eukaryota; kingdom Metazoa; phylum Chordata; class Mammalia; order Primates; family Hominidae; genus Homo; species Homo sapiens. Next base: position 1,032,346 of record NC_000024.10, on the reverse strand, counting down.
GAGAGAGCTCCGGCGGCAGGTGCATGCATCAGAGTATCCCACCAAGCCCATCAGACAGACACAGATGTTGTCCTTCTCACAAACAGAGGTCCCCAGGAGTGCTTGGAAGCCGCTGGGGAAACAGAGTCACCCTGCGCTTCCTCCTGGAAAACCCGCCCTGGAGAAGTCAGTCTGGGCAGGGCAGGTTGGTGGTGCTACAAGCTAATACCACATGACAGCTCCCTGAGATGAAGCTTCCGACGCCCTCGCCTTTCAAAGCGTCCAGCTCAAGCCACGAACGCTGACTTTTCGGAAAGATCAGACAGCGATGTACCTTGGACCGTGTCCAGACAGACATCCGTCCCCCTTTTCCTACAGAGATGACGTCCCGGTTCAACATGACCACTGGGGCAGATATCAGCCGTGACGAGCCATCACTGGGAGCTCCACTTCTGTGTGTATCTGTCTGGGTAAGGGGCTGCCAGCCCGTGCCCGGCTGCCGATTAATATGAAGCTCCACGTGCCTGGGTGGAGAGGCCGTCCCCAAGCGTCTGAGCTTGTCCTCTGGTTTCCCTGGTAACCGCCTCCAAATGCACCGAGCTGGGCTCTGCTCCTCCTTCCCTGCTGCTGGTGGACCAGGCCCAGGCGGGCCATGTGGGCAACTCCGCACCTCACCTGTCAGCACCGGCGGACACGCCGTTTGATCACGGCAGCCACCTGTCCCACCAAGACCATTCATCCGGTGATCACAGGGCCGTGCTAATGCAGTCAGCTATGGCGACCCTGGGGGAGTCATACCCTGAGATCTGCCAGGGAGTCTCTGATTTTCTTTTTTTTTTCTTTCTTTTTTCTTTGAGACGGAGTTTTGCTTTTGTTGCCCAGGCTGGAGTGCATTGGCATGACGTCGGCTGACGGCAACCTCTGCCTCCTGGGTTCAAGCGATGCTCCTGCCTCAGCCTCCCGAGTAGCTGGGATTACAAGCATGCACCACCACGCCCGGCTAATTTTTGTATTTTTAGTAGAGACGGGGTTTCTCCATGTTGGTCAGGCTGGCCTCGATCTCCTGACCTCAGAGGATCCACCCGCCTCAGCCTCCCAAAGTGCTGGGATTACAGGCGTGAGCCACTGTGCCCAGCCCTTTCTTCCTTTCTTTCTCTTTCTTCTTTCTTTCTTTCTTCTTTCTTTCTTTCTTTCTCTTTCTTTCTTTCTTCTTTTCTTTCTTTCTTTCTTTCTTTCTTTCTTTCTTTCTTTCTTTCTTTCTTTCTCTTTCTTCTTTCTTTCATTTTTCCTTCTTTCTCTGTCTTTCTCCTTTCTCTTTCTTTCCTTCTTCTTTCGCTTTCTTTCTTTCCTTCTTCTTTCGCTTTCTTTCTTTTTTCTTTCTTTCTTTTTTTTTTTTTTGAGACGGAGTCTCACTCAGTCGCCCATGCTGGAGTGCAGTGGTGCCATCTCGGCTCACTGCAACCTCTGACTCCCAACTTCAAGCGATTCTCTTGCCTCAGCCTCCTGAGTAGCTGGGACCACAGGCACCCGCCATCACTCCCAGCTAATTTTTGTATTTTTAGTAGAGACAGGGTTTCACCATGTTGGTCAGGCTGGTCTGGATCTCCCGACCTCGTGATCCACCCGCCTCGGCCTCCCAAAGTGCTGGGATTACAGGTGTGAGCCACTGCACCCCACCTCTTTTTTTTTTTTTTTTCATTTTTGAGACAGAGTCTCACTCTGTCACCCAGGCTGGAGTGCAGTGGTGCAATTTCTGCTCACTGCAACCTCCGCCTCCCGGGCTCAAGCAATCCTCCCACCTCAGTCCCCTGGAGTAGCTGGGATTACAGGCACCCACCACCACACCCATCTAATTTTTGTATTTTTAGTAGAGACGGGGTTTCCCCATGTTGCCCAGGCTGGTCTTGATCTCCTGAGTTCAAGAGATCCACCTGCCTCGGCCTCCCAAAGTGCTGGGATTACAGGTGTGAGCCACCACGCCATTCTCCTGCCTCAGCCTCCCGAGTAGCTGGTACTACAGGTGCTCACCACCGCGCCCGGCTAATTGTTTGTATTTTTAGTAGAGACGGGGTTTCACCATGTTAGCCAGGACAGTCTTGATCTCCTGATCTGCTGATCCACCTGCCTCGGCCTCCCAAAGTGCTGGGATGACAGGCGTGAGGCACCGCGCCCGGCCCTGATTTCATAATTTCTTTGGGCCTTTCCTAGTTTGCAAAGTTTTGAGTCAGACATTGGGTTGGTGGAGGTATTCCTGGCGTGAGCTCATCCTGCAGAATAGTGACGGAAATTCGGTGCCCGACATGAGGGTTGGTGATGTGGGCCCGTTGGAGGTAGATCCCAGCTAACGACACTCCAAATTGGTCTGATTTCAGATTTCCTTTGAGAAAATTAGACTCACCGTGTACCAACCTCTGGGTAAGAAAAATCAAGTTTTTTTTTTTTTTTTTTAATGACCACATTCCTTTACTTCGACTTCACCCACTGGGACTCCAAAGACCATCTAGCCCTTTCTGACTTTCAATATTAAAAATTCCGCCTCATAAAACGTGGATCTAGCCGGCATCAAAGACTCGCATTCCATCGTGAAGGAAAACGCAAAAGCCACACACAGCTCCTCACCTTCCTGCACCCCAGGCAAGACTGTTCATCGCAAACCTTTTTATGCCACAAATGTCGTGGCCTCCATTAGCCCCTCTAGAGAAATCCGGGGCTGGAGCCGGGGGGACAATTCTTCAATACTGCTATCTCTGTGTTTATGATCGGGAGCGTGCTTTGCGTTTTGGAAGTTAGACTTTGACAACAGACTCATACAGTGAGTTGGCGTTTCTATCAGGTCATAGAAAAAATTTGATTGCGATTCATAATTCTGCCAACCTCATTACCTGCCTTGATCCTTGGACACCCAGGAGAGAAATTCAGACCGAGTTGCATTGGCCATTTTTTCCAGCCAAACGGCTGCTTAATAAATGTGCCCGGCTCATCTTGCAGGAGGTGCCGACGTCAACGTGTGGGCTGGTGTTTTTTGAGGACGCTCCTTTCTTTTCTGTATTTCCAGGAAGAGCTTGGAAGATGGACTTTCTGCCATTCTTTCAGCTCGTCCTTCATTTTCCCCTAAGTATAAATTGGCCGATTGTCTCTAGAAATGAAAGGCTGGACGGGAAGTCAGAATCCGCCCCACACATAAGATGACTGTGCTCTTTGCAAATCCTGAGACGCATAATTAAACCATTAACTCAGAGGCCCAAACTTTCATTTTTCAACAACTTTTCCCGGGATCACCACCTCGGTCCTTAATCATTTTAATAAAAACCTCCCTGCCAAAGTATGGGACGGGGCCTGGCGGATGCCTGAGAGTTTCTACGTTCCCTCCACCCAGCTCACTGTGTGGCCTTTGCTGAACTACCATGGGTCTCTGAGGTCCAGATGAAAATTGGCACACACGTTTACCGCCCACCTTCCTACCTACCTCACAGGCGGGCTGTGTGGGGAAGTTAATTTATGCTCAGAGAGCCCTCAGTACCATGTCAGGCCTTACATAATCGGCTCATCTTTTATTTTTTTCCAATTGGCTGAAGCCGGCACAAGATGAGGCCCTCCCAAGCCCACTGGACAGCGTGTTCTCTTCACCCAGCATTTCCCGGACAGGGTTCTGCGTAAAGCCAGGTGCTCAGAAAGCATGTGGTCAGCTGAAGACCTTTCTGCCCCAAGCAATCCTATTCCAGAGTGTTTTGGTCCTTTTCGTGCCCGCAGGAAGACATCTCAAGTTGTCTCACGATAAACCTTGCTCCCAGTGACCCCCAATCCTCTCTCCTGGATGGATATAGAGAATCCAGCCACTCACACGTCTTGGGATGACTTCCCTTGGTTATCATAGCCTTTGGAGGACTGCGATTTTTTTTTTCCTTCTTCTACTTTTAGGCAGACTCTCATGTGACCAGCTCATGTACAAGAGCCCTGATGTAGCTTCAGGCTACCTTTGCAAAGGCATCCCCTGTAAAAAGCAAATTTAGGACTGGGCAGGGTGGTTCATGCCTGTAATGCAAGCATTTTATGAGGCCAAGGCGGGTGGATCTCTTGAGGCCAGGAGTTTGAGAGCACCCTGGCCAACATGGTGAAACCCCGTCTCTACTAAAAATACAAAAAAAGTAGCTGGGCGTGGTGGCGCGTGCCTGTAATCCCAGCTGCTTAGGAGGCTGAGGCAGGAGAATCGCTTGAACCCAGGAGGCAGAGGTTGCAGTGAGCTGAGATTGTGCCACTGCACTGTAGCTTGGGTGACAGAGTCAGACTCTGTCTTGAAAGGAAGGAAAGAAGGAAGGAAGGAGAGAGGAAGAAAGAAAGAAGAAACAAAGAGAAAGAAAGGAAGGAAGGGAGAAAGAAAGAAAAGACAGAGAAAGAAAGGAAGAAGAAAGAGAAAGAAAAAAGAAAGAGAGAAAGAAAGAGAAAGAGGAAGAAAGAAAGAAAACAGAGAGAAAGGAGAGAGACAAAGAAAGTAAGAGAAAGAGAAAGAAAGGAGAAGGAAAGACAAAGAAAGGAGAGAGAAAAAAAAGAAAGAGCAAGAAAGAAAAAAGAAAGAAGAGACAAAGAAAGAAAGAAAACAGAGAAAGTAAGAGAAAGAGAAAGAAGAAAAAGAAATGAGACAAAGAAAGGAGACAGAGAGAAATAGAAAAGAAAGAGAAAGAAGAAAGAAAAAGAAAAGAGAAAGAAAGAGAAAGAAAAGAGAAAGAAGAAATAAGAGAGGGAGAAAGAAAAAAGAAGAAAGAAGAGAGGGAGAAAGAAAGAGAAAGAAAAGGAAGCAAGAAAAAGACAGGAGAGAAAGAAAGAAAGAAAGAAAGAAAAGGCAAATTCCGCAAAACAACAGTAGGCCATAACAGCCTTCCCGTGGGACTTAGGCACAGTGAGAGGGCGTGGGGCGTCCCGGACAGGGTATGGGTTTGTGGGGAAAACGTTTTCTATGACACAAGCCACAAGATGTGCGACACACACAACAGAATAGTCTTCAGCCTGGAAAAGCAAGATGAACCCGGGGGACGTGATGTTGAGGGAAATAAGCCAGGCTCAGACGGACAAATACCGCGTGATCTCACCTCTACGTGGAATGTAAAAAAGTCTAACCCGAGGCAGGTGGATCATGAGGTCAGGCGTTCGAGACCAGCCTGGCCAACATGGCGAAACCCTGTCTCTACTAAAAATAGAAAAATTAGCCGGATGTGGTGGCAGGTGCCTGTCATCCCAGCTACTCGGGAGGCTGAGGCAGGAGAATCGCTTGAACCCGGGAGGCGGAGGTTGCAGTGAGCTGAGATTGTGCCACTGCTCCCCAGCCTGGTGACGGAGTAAGACTCTGTCTAAAAAGAAAGGAAAAAAAGAAAAGAAAAGAAAAGAGAGGAGAGGACAGGGGAGGAGAGGGGAGGAGAGGGGAGGGGAGAGGAGAGGGAGGAGGAGGAGGAGGGGGAGGTGGAGGAGGACGAAGAAGAAGAAGAAAAAAAAGGGGGAAACCGTTGGTAAAATGATACAAAGTTTCAGTTTGACAGAAAGGATGCATTCTAGTGACAGAAGAAAACATTGTAGCCCAGCATGGTGGCAACAGTTAATAGATAATGTATAATTCAAAACTGATAAAAGAACAGATTTTACATGTTTTCACTAAAAAAAGATTAAGCACTTGAAGTGACAGATACGTGAATTAACCTGATGTAATTATTCCACAATGATACATCTATCAAAACGTCATGTTGTGCGCCTTAAAAATATGCAAGTATTGTTTGCCAATTTTATGTAAAGTAAAAAGTTTTTTAAAACACACATAAAACATCTTTGTTCCTGAGCCGGAGTTGTCTGAAACGGTGACTTCTTTTTCTGTATGCCTTTCACCACAGGAAGGAAACCACGAAACCAGTTCCCATTTTAGAATTCAGTAGTGAAGTACAAAGGAAAAAAGTTGAAAAGGGGGATTTTTTGTGTGTGTGTTTGAGATGGAGTCCCACTCTTGTTGCCCGGGCTGGAGGGCAGTGGTGCGATCTTGGCTCACTGCAACCGCCGCCTCCTGGGTTCAAGTGATTCTCCTGTCTCAGCCTCCTGAGTAGCTGGGATGACAGGCGTGCACCACTGTGCCCAGGTAATTTTTGTATTTTTAGTAGAGACGGGGTTTCGCCATGTTGTCCAGGCTGGTCTCAAACTCCTGATCTCAGGTGATCCACCCGCCTCGGCCTCCCAAAGTCCTGGTATTACAGGTGTGAGCCACCGCACCCAGCCAGGGGATGCATTTTTTAAATTTTTTTAAAAATGTAATTTTAATTTAATTTTAGTATTATTATTTTTTGAGATGGAGTCTCGCTGTTTCGCCCAGGCCGGAGTGCAGTGGCGCGATCTCGGCTCACTGCAAGCTCAGCCTCCCTGGTTCACGTCATTCTCCTGCCTCAGCCTCCCGAGTAGCTGGGACTACAGGCGCCCGCCACCACGCCCGGCTAATTTTTTGGATTTTTTTAATAGTGACGGGTTTTCACCATGTTAGCCAGGACGGTCTTCATCTCCTGACCTCGTGATCCCCCTCCCTCAGCCTCCCAAAGTGCTGGGATTACACGCGTGAGCCAATTTTTATTATTTTTGGAGACAGAGTATCACTCTGTCGCCCAGGCTGGAAGGCAATGGCACGATCTCGGCTCACTGCAATGTGTCTCCCGGGGTCAACAGATTCTCCTGCAGTCAGCCTGCTGAGTAGCTGGGATTACACGTGTGAGCCACCGTGCCCAGCCTTGCGAAATGCATTTTCTATACAGCTGCATGACAGCAAACATGATACAGAGAGAAGATCCTTTAGCAGATGTTTGGCAAGAAAAGAGAGGAATTCCACCTAATTCAAAGAAATCAGCCAAGCCTGGCACACACAGCACGTCTCCAGGACACACAGCACGTCTCCAGGACACACAGCTTCCCAATCTTTGTTTTTCTCTACACCCTTCAACTTTCACCCTTGCAAACTCTTTTTTTTAAATTTTATTATTATTATACTTTAAGTTTCAGGGTACATGTGCACAACATGCAGGCTTGTTACATATGTATACATGTGCCATGCTGGTTTGCTGCACCCATGAACTCGTCATTTAACATTAGGTATATCTCCTAATGCTCTCCCTCCCCCCTCCCCCCACCCCACAACAGTCCCCGGTGTGTGATGTTCCCCTTCCTGTGTCCATGTGTTCTCATTGTTCAACTCCCACCTGTGAGTGAGAACATGCATTATTTGTTTTTTTCTCCTTGTAATAGTTTGCTGAGAATGATGGTTTCCAGTTTCATCCATGTCCCTACAAAGGACATGAACTCATCATTTTTTATGGCTGCATAGTATTCCACGGTATATGTGTGCCACATTTTCTCAATCCAGTCTATCATTGTTGGACATTTGGGTTGGTTCCAAGTCTTTGCTATTGTGAATAGTGCCACAATAAACATACGTGCGCATGTGTGTTTATAGCAGCATGATTTATAGTCATTTTGGTATATACCCAGTAATGGGATGGCTGGGTCAAATGGTATTTCTAGTTCTAGATCCCTGAGGAATCGCCACACTGACTTCCACAATGGTTGAGCTAGTTTACAGTCCCACCAACACTGTAAAAGTGTTCCTATTTCTCCACATCCTCTCCAGCACCTGTTGTTTCCTGACTTTTTAATGATCGCCATTCTAACTGGTGTGAGATGGTGTCTCATTGTGATTTTGATTTGCATTTCTTTGATGGCCCGTGAAGATGAGCATTTTTTCATGTGTTTTTTGGCTGCATAAACTCTTAAACGTGTGAGTCGCTTCTCTTTGTACAGAAAACCTTCCTCTTCACCAGCCTTTTCCAAACAGCTCTCTTCATTTACTGGCAACATCCAATTCCGTATTTGTCGTGGGTAATCCGTGCATTTCACCGGGGACCATCTTTCCCCCCTAGAACGCTGGTTGTCTTTCTAAAACAGCCTTTCCTTCTGGCATCAGAACCGGTTTTTAAAACATTAATTTCCAATGTTTGCCTTGGGAGAATGTCTTTTGATCACCACGGCAAATTTCTGCCTGGCAGGCCGAAGTTATCACAGGTGCGGGATATTATTGACCTAATATTGACATGGTTATTAGGCTGAGTAATATCCTCACCAAGTCAGCCTCGGAAAAGACACAGATCGCGGTATTAGAACCCGGGGTGCAGTTTTTCCTGCTTATAAAAGCGGGAAGTTCTTTTGCCTGAGGATTAGACGACCGCTTCAGACTCGGCGGTGGAGGCCTCTCGGGAAAGCAGTCCCCAGGCTCATGCACGAATGGGGGGCCCCACGTGTTGGATCAGGACAGATAAATAAAACAGGGAGATCAAAGATTTGGAAAAGACCCTCCTCCAGAAGAGATTATCCCAGGTCTGCAGGATCCTGAATGTGAGCTGAGTAGAAAAGAGCCGGGATGAACAAGCTTTCTCTGCAGAGAGCTCACGAGCACAGCAAGAGGCCAGACGGATTTGTTGTGAAAGATGAAGACGGGTGCATTTAGCACAGATGGTTCCCATTCCATCATGGTGCCTCCAACAGATGGAACACAACCAGGGACTTCTTTCCAAACGTTAAAAAGAGTTCGGGTGATTTTTTTGGCCGGGCGTGGTGGCTCATGCCTGTCATCCCAGCACTTTGGGAGGCTGAGGCGGGTGGATCACGAGGTCAGGAGTTCGAGACCAGCCTGACCAACATGGTGAAATCCCGTCTCTACTAAAAAATACAAAAATTAGCCGGGCGTGGTGGTGCATGCCTGTAATCCCAACTACCCAGGAGGCTGAGGCAGGAGAATTGCTTGAATCCGGGAGGCGAAGGTTGCAGTGAGCCGAGATCATGCCATTGCACTCCAGCCTGGGTGACAAGAGCAAGACTCCGTCTCAGAATAAATAAATAAATAAATAAATAAATAAATAAATAAATAAATAAAAAGAGTTCAAGTGATTTTAAAGACATATTTTACGGGTCCCCGAAGCACAGGGCATGGTTTGTAAGAGAGAAATATCCTACCTTTGGAAGGACTAGCCGACAAGAAAGAAGTGAAAGCGTAGTCTGCAGATCCTGATAGAAGGGAAATTACGTAATATGTTTTTAATTGACTGTTGAATTCAGAGCCGGATATTGTGTTATTATAAAATAATCCTCCCCCACCCTCACCCCAACCCCTGATATTGTTCATGGTAGAGACATAGCAACCTTGGAAACTTTTTTTCTCTTTTTTTGAGACGGAGTCTCGCTCTGTCTCCCAGGCTGGAGTGCAGTGATGTGATCTCGGCTCACTGCAACCTCCGCCTCCCGATTTCACGCCATTCTCCTGCCTCAGCCTCCCGAGTAGCCGGGATTACAGGCACCTGCCATTGTGACCGGCTAATTTTTGTATCTTTAGCAGAGATGGGGTTTTGCCATGTTGGCCAGACTGGTCTCGAACTCCTGACCCCAGGTGATCCACCTGCCTTGGCCTCCCAAAGTGCTGAGATTACAGGTGTGGACCACCATGCTCCCAGCTTTGAAAAGGTGAAGATGCAAATTATACCAGCCCTGTTTCCACTTAACTGTGACACTCACACATGACTTTTGTGTCTCTATTAGTCTCTGTCTTATTCTCTAGTTAATGACTATGAAAATAATTATGCTTTTTTTCTTTGCACTATGTAAACTTTTTAAAAAATGTTATTTTAAGGTCTGGGGTGCCAGGCACGGTGGCTCACGCCTGTCATCCCAGCACTTTGGGAGGCCAAGGCGGGCAGATCACGAGGTAAGGAGATCGAGACCATCCTGGCTAACACGGTGAAACCCTGTGTCTCCTAAAAACACAAAAATTAGCCGGGCGTGGTGGCGAGCACCTGTAGTCCCAGCTACTCGGGAGGCTGAGGCAGGAGAATAGCGTGAACCCGGGAGGTGGAGCTTGCAGTGAGCTGAGATCGCGCCACTGCACTCTCCAGCCTGGGCGACAGAGTGAGACTCCATCTTGAAAAAGAAAAAAAAATTAAGCTCTGGGGTGTGGGGGAAGGGTGGGCAAGTTTGCTACATAGGTAAACACGTGCCATGGTGGTCTGCTGCACCTGTCAACCTGTCGCCTAGGTATTAAGCACACGATGCATTAGTTATTTTTCCTGTTGCTCTCCCTCCCACCCCTCCACCCCTGGCGGGCCCCAGTGTGTGACGTTCCCCTCCCTGTGTCCATCTGTTCTCATTGTTCAGCTCCCACTTATGCGTGAGGACATGAAGTGTTTGGTTTTCTGTTCCTGTGTGAGTTTGCTGAGGATAAAGGCTTCCAGCTCCATCGACGCCCCTGCAAAGGATATGATCTCATGGGTGAACATATTTTTTTCATCTCCAAATTTTCCTAGAAAAACAGAGCATACTGCTATACCCAAGTTCATAGTGTCATGACTCACAACAGTTCAAACGTGGAAGCAACCCAGGCGCCCATCAGTGGATGAACAGGTAAACAGAATTTACTCTGGGAACACAATGGAATACTATACATCCAGGAAAAGGAATGAGGGTCAGACGCAGGCTGCAGCGTGGATAAACCTTGAAGACCTCAGGCCCAGTGAGAGAAGAGACACACAGTGGAATACTATACAGCCAGGAAAAGGAATGAGGGTCAGACGCAGGCTGCAGCGTGGATAAACCTTGAAGACCTCAGGCCCAGTGAGAGAAGAGACACACAATGGAATACTACACAGCCAGGAAAAGGAATGAGGGTCACATGCAGGCTGCAGCATGGATGAACCTTGAAGACATCAGGCCCAGTGAGAAGAGACACACAATGGAATACTACACAGCCAGGAAAAGGAATGAAGGTCAGACACAGGCTGCAGTGTGGATGAACATTGAAGACATCAGGCCGAGTGGGAGAAGAGACACACAATGGAATACTATACAGCCAGGAAAAGGAATGAAGGTCAGACGCAGGCTGCAGCATGAATGAACCTTGAAGACATCAGGCCCAGTGAGAGAAGGAAGAGACACACAATGGAATACTACACAGCCAGGAAAAGGAATGAGGGTCAGACGCAGGCTGCAGTGTGAATGAACATGGAAGACATCAGGCCCAGTGAGAGAAGGAAGAGACACACAATGGAATACTACACAGCCAGGAAAAGGAATGAGGGTCAGACGCAGGCTGCAGTGTGAATGAACATGGAAGACATCAGGCCCAGTGAGAGAAGGAAGAGACACACAATGGAATACTATATGGCCAGGAAAAGGAATGAGGGTCACACGCAGGCTGCAGCATGGATGAACCTTGAAGACATCAGGCCCAGTGAGAGAAGAGACACACAATGGAATACTACACAGCCAGGAAAAGGAATGAGGGTCAGACACAGGCTGCAGAGTGGATGAACCTTGAAGACATCAGGCCCAGTGGGAGAAGAGACACACAATGGAATACTGTACAGTCAGGAAAAGGAATGAGGGTCAGACGCAGGCTGCAGCATGAATGAACCTTGAAGACATCAGGCCCAGCGGGAGAAGAGACATACAATGGAATACTATACAGCCAGGAAAAGGAATGAGGGTCAGATGCAGGCTGTGGCATGGGTGAACCTTGAAGACATCAGGCCCAGTGAGAGAAGCCAGACAGGAAAGACCACATAGTGTATGACTCCACTTAACTAAAATGTCTAGAACAGGCAAAGATTTCATAGAGACAGAAACTAGAACTGTGGGTGGCAGGGGCTGGGGGGTGAAATGGGGAATTGGTGTTTCATGGGAAGAGAGTTTCTGTTTGGGACGATGAAAACATTTTGGAGGTGGTTAGTGATGATGGTTGCACAATTATTTGAATGTACTATTTTTTTGGGGGGGGTATAGAGTTTTGATCTTGTTCCCCAGGCTAGAGTACAGTGGCGCCATCTCAGCTCACTGCAACCTCCGCCTCCCGGGTTCAAGCGATTCTCCTGCCTCAGCCTCCTGAGTAGCTGGGATTACAGGCATGCGTCACCACTCCCAGCTAATTTTTTGTATTATTAGTAGAGATGGGGTTTTGTCATGTTGGCCAGGCTGGTCTCGAACTCCCGACCTCCGGTGATCCACCTGCCTCGGCCCTCCCAAAGTGCTGGGATTACAGGCGTGAGCCACCATGCCCGGCCGAATTGTACTCTTTAAAATGGCTAAAATGGCAGAGATTATATTATGTGTGCTCTACCACAATTTTAAAAAAGTATATATTGCTATAGACAGGAAAAGAAGCTTTCTTTTGAGGAAAAGGGTACATTCGGTTGGCAACAATGAACATTGCACAATATTTAAATTTTTTTTCTTTTTTTTTTTTGAGATGGAGTCTCGCTCTTGTTGCCCAGGCTGGAGTGCAATGGCACAATCTCAACTCACTGCAACCTCTGCCTCCCGGGTTCAAGTGATTCTCCTGCCTCAGCCTTCCGAGTAGCTGGGATTACAGGCATGTGCCACTACGCCTGGCTAAATTTTGTATTATTAGTAGAGATGGGGTTTTGCCATGTTGGCCAGGCTGGTCCCGAACTCCTGACCTCACGTGATCCACCCACCTCAGCCTCCCAAAGTGCTGGGATGACAGGCACACACCACCACACCGGCTAATTTTTGTATTATTGGTAGAGATGGGGTTTTGCCATGTTGACCAGGCTGGTCTCGAACTCCCGACCTCAGATAATCCACCCGCCTCGGCCTCCCACAGTGCTGAGAGTACAGGCATGAGCCACCGTGCCCGGCCAAAATGTACTCTTTAAAATGGCTAAAATGGCAGAGATTATATTATATGCACTCCTCCACAATTTTAAAAAAGTATGTATTGCTATAGACAGGAAAAGAAGCTTTCTTTTGAGGAAAAGGGTACATTTGGTTGGCAACAATGAACATTGCAGAATATTTAATTTTTTTTCTTTTATTTTTGAGACAGAGTCTCGCTCTTGTTACCCAGGCTGGAGTGCAGTGGCGTGATCTTGGCTCACTGCAACCTCCACCTCCTGGGTTCAAGCAATGCCCCTACCTCAGCCTCCCGAGTAGCTGAGACTACAGGCGTGCACCACCATGCCAGGCTAATTTTTTGTATTTTAGTAAAGATGGGGTTTCACGATGTGGGCCAGGATGGTATCGATCTCCTGACCTCCTGATCGGCCTGCCTCAGTCTCCCAAAATGCTGAGATTACAGGTGTGAAACACCATGCCTGGCCGAATTGTACCTTATTTACAATGGCTAAAATGGCAGAGATTATATTATGTGTGCTCTACCATGTTCTTAAGAAATTATATTGCTATACACAGGAAAATAAAGCTTTCTTTTGTGGAAAAGGGTACATTTGGTTGGCAACAATGAACACTGCACAGAATTAAATTTTAAAAATGCAAAAATTTGTTCTCAGCAGGGCACAGCGGCTCACACCTGGATTCCCTGCTACTTGGGAGGCTGAGGCTGGAGGATCCCTTTAGCCCAGGAAGTTGAGGCTGCAGTGAGGTGTGATCACGCCACTACACTCCAGCTTGGGCAAAAAGACAACACCCTCTCTTGGGGCCAGGCGCGGTGGCTCACGCCTGTAAGCCCAGCACTTTGGGAGGCTGAGGCGGGCAGATCACGAGGTCAGGAGATCGAGACCAGCCTGGTCAACATGGTGAAACCCCGTCTCTACTAAAAAACACAAAAATTAGCCAGGCGTGCTGGCGCATGCCTGTAATCCCAGCTACTTGGGAGGCTGAGGCGGGAGAATCACTTGAACCTGGGAAATGGAAGTTGCAGTGAGCCGAGATCACGCCATTGCACTCCAGCCTGGGCGACAGAGCAAGACTCCATCTCAAAAACAAGAACAAAATACCCATAGGTTTGGGAGGCCGAGGCGGGTGGATCACCTGAGGTTAGAAGTTCGGGACCATCCTGGCCAACATGGTGAAACCGCGTCTTTAGTAAAAATACAAAAATTAGCCGGGCGTGGTGGCGGGCACCTGTAATCCCAGCTACTCGGGAGGCTGAGGCAGGAAAATCGCTTGAACCGGGGAGGTGGAGGTTGCAGTGAGCCGACACCGCGCCACTGCCCTCCAGCCTGGGTGACAGAGCGAGACTCTGTTTCAAAATACAAGAAAGAGAGAGAAATAGAGGATAGAAAAGAAAAATGAAACAAAGAACGATACAGAAAAGACAAAATAAAACACGATTAATATGGAAAAGAGCCCATAAGATGATAGGGGACCTGAAAGAACAAAAAAAAATAAAAAATAAAAAACAAATTGCAGAAAATTGTGCAGAGATCCAAATTTGAAGTTGAAGAAAGAAGAGACATAGAGAATTAACCCAGAATAAGTTCAAAGAACGCAAGACCACCAAATCATCAAATAAAGTGAGACTCATTACTTGTGGTTTCATTCCAACTTCTAGCAACCGTAAAATTGTAAAACCAGTATTTCCCTGAATGTATCAATAAGCAGTAACAATGGAAAATAAGGCGATGCCCATGAGTGACTATTTTTTTTTGTTTGTTTTTTGAGACAGAATCTCGCTGTTGCCCAGGCTGGAGTGCAGTGGCACGATTTCAGCTCACTGCAAACTCAGCCTCCCGGGTTCAAGCGATTCTCCTGCCTCAGCCTCCCGAGTAGCTGGGATTACAGGCGCCTGCCACCAAGCCAGGCTAGTGTTTGTATTTTTAGTAGAGATGGGGTTTCACCATGTTGGCCAGGCTGGTCTCCAACTCCTGACCTCAGGCGATCCACCCTCCTCGGTCTCCCAAAGTGCTGGGATGACAGGCGTGAGCCACCGCGCCCGGCCTCATTTCAGAGTTTGCTTTCATATGCCCCATATAAAGAAGTCATCAGGTGCTCCGATACCGTAGCGTGGAAGGCAGCAGGAACATGTAAATTATACTCACAGGATTTTCCCCAGTTCAGCACATCCAGAAGTTGAAAGGAAGAGAGAAATGGACATTTCAAAGCTGAATCTCTAACAACATCTAACACCTGTTCGGTGGGGCTTGATTTGGCAGGAGTAAATGAACTCGAATCAAATTCAATTACCCTGTGGCCGTACAGGAAGCCACAGGCGTGTACATTACCCATAATGTGTGTTTAACATTTTACAAAAAGATCTGATTTTCTGGTACTTGTTTATTTTCAACCGCAATAAAAAGCCAAAATTTGGTGGAAAACATTTAACATGTGTTTTCTGTAGCGCTCATGAGCTGTGCAATGGTGCTGTTATTTAAGAAAAGGAAAAGAAAAACAGTGGCCGGGCGCGCGGTGACTCACGCCTGTAATCTCAGCACTTTGGGGGGCTGAGGTGGGAGGATCATTTGAGGTCAGGAGTTCGAGACCAGCCTGGCCGACATGGTGAAACCGTGTCTCTACTAAAAATACAAAAAAATTAGCTGGGTTTGGTGGCGGGCACCTGTAACTGCAGCTACTCGGGAGGCTGAGGCAGGCGAATCGCTTGAACCTGGGAGGTGGAGGTTGCCGTGAGCTGAGATCACGCCACTGCACTTCAGCCTCGGTGGGCGAGACTCCATCTCAAAACAAACAAACAAAACAGAAACAAAAACAAAAACAAAAAGACAGGCCCTGTGACTCAGACCTATAATCCCAGTACTATCAGAGGCCAAGGCTGAGGATGCTTGAGCCCAGGAGTTTGAGACCAGCCTGGGCAACATGGTGAAACCCTGTCTGTACCAAGAAAAAAAAAAAATTATCTGGATGTGGTATGAATGCCCATAGTCCCAGCTACTTGGGAGGCTGAGGAAGGAGGATGGCTTGAGCCCAGAAGGTGGAGGCTGCGCTGAGCTGAGATTGCACGACTGCACTCCAGCCTGGGCAACAGAGCAAGATCTTGTCTCGAAAACAAAACAAAACAAAACACAAAAATTAAAAAAACAGATTGAGAACCCTTGGCCCCCACCTCTTACCAGCTCAGTCACAATTGCAAACCAGAGGCCGGGCACGGTGGCTCACCCCTGTCATCCCAGCACTTTGGGAGGCCGAGGCTGGCGGATCACCTGAGGTCAGGAGTTTGAGACCAGCCTGACCATCATGGTGAAACCCCATCGCTACTAAAATACAAAAATTAGCCAGGCGTGGTGGCGGGCGCCTGTAGTCCCAGCACTTTGGGAGGCCAAGGTGGGTGGATCACCTGAGGTGAGGAGTTCGAGACCAGCCTGACCATCATGGTGAAACCCCGTCTCTACTAAAATACAAAAATTAGCCAGGTGTGGTGGCAGCTGCCTGTAATCCCAGCTACTTGGGAGGCTGAGGCAGGAGAATCGCTTGAACCCGGGAGGCGGAGGTTGCAGTGAGCTGAGATTGCGCCACTGCACTCCAGCCTGGGCGACAGAGCGAGACTCAGTCTCGAAAAGAAACGAAACAAAACACTAAACCTAAAATCTGGATTGAGATTCCTCAGCCCCCACCTCTTACCAGATCAGTCAAAATTCCAAACCAGAACGTATCCAGCTGCCTTGGATACCGAGGATAGATGTCATTTCATCTATGACCCTCTCTGCAGCAGGAAAGCAATATTGCCCAGCTGCATTATCAAATTGGGCTCACTCAGCTAATTAAACCTATCAGCAAGATATGCAAACTGGAAGGCTGGGCACGGTGGCTCACACCTGTAATCCCAGCACTTTGGGAGGCCGAAGCAGGCAGATTACTTGAGGTCAGGAGTTCGAGACCAACGTGGCCAGCATGGTAAAACCTGGTCTGTATTAAAAACAAACAAACAAAAAATACAAAAATTAGCCGGGTGTGGTGGCGGGCGCCTAAAATGCCAGCTACTCAGGAGGCTGAAGCAGGAGAATCATATTTACGAGGCGGAGCTTGCAGCAAGCCGAGATCAAGCCACGGCACTCCAGCCTGGGTGACAGAGTGAGACACCGTCTCAAAAAAACAAAACATATGCAAACTGGAATAACCAGGCTATATTACTCAAGGGATACTTTGCTATGAGAATTTCTTAGTCAGCAGGAAAAATAATAATTTCTTGCCTTGTCTGAGGTATGAGTACTTGCATCTGGTGTTCATGTGACTTAAGAATTTGGAGCAATTACGTCGGGCGAGGTGGCTCACGCCTGTAATCCCAGCACTTTGGGAGGCCGAGGCGGGTGGATCACCTGAGGTCAGGAGTTCGAGACTAGCTTGGCCAACAGCTAAACCTGGTCTCAACCAAAAAAACAAAAATTAGCTGGGTGTGGTGGTGGGCGCCTGTAATCCCATCTACTGGGGAGGCTAAGGCAGGAGAATGGCTTGAACCCGGGAGGCGGAGGTTGCAGTGAGCAGAGATCGCGCCACTGCACTCCAGCCTGGGCAACGGAGCGAGACTTTGTCTCAAAAAAAAAAAAAAAAATTGTAGCAGTTTGAAAGCTAAAGTGTGGGCTTTCCTCACCTTCTTCATCAAATGTTATTTCCATGTCTTTTTTTCTTTTTTTGAGACAGGGTCTCCCTCTGTTACCCAGGCTGGAGTGCAGTGGTGCAATCTCAGCTCACTGCAGCCTCAACCTCCTGGGCTCAAGCGGTTCTCCCATCTCAGCCTCCCGTGTAGCTGGGGTGACAGACGTGCACCAGAATGCTATTTCCATCTTCTCAGCATTTAGGAGAGCGTCACATCACATACCCTGACCTCGAGAATGAATTCAAGAAATTCTTTTTTTTTTTTTTTTGAGAGAGAATCTCATTCTGTCGCCCAGGCTGGAGTGCACTGGCCCGATCTCAGCTCACTGCAAGCTCCACCTCCCGGGTTCAAGCTATCCTCATGCCTCAGTCTCCCAAGTAGCTGGGATTACAGGCACCTGCCACCACGCCGGGCTAATTTTTGTATTTTCAGTAGAGACGAGGTTTCACCATGTTGGCCAGGCTGGTCTCGAACTCCCAACCTCAGGTGATCCGTCCGTCTCAGGCTCACGAAGTGCTGGGATTACAGGCGTGAGCCCCCACGCACCCGGTCCAAGCAACTGATTTAGATAAAGGTTCCCCCGGCTCTCATTCTTTCTGACCCTGTTTTATTTCTTTATTTTTGTTTTCTTGCCGTCCTAGAGTGGGAAACGCTGATTTAAGCACCCGTCTTTGCAACTGTTACAGAATTGTCAGGTATTTAACGAAACAATGATCAGATCCCGTATTTGCCAACGAGAACATATTGTACAAATATAGACAAAGTGGCATAATTTACATCCCTCGTTTCAAGTAGACACACGATGAATTTTTCATAGCCTCTCAGCTTTGAACTCCATTATTATGGCTGGATACAATGATTTGTATTCTTCTCTGAAGTCTGTTTTCTGACAGCCACAGTCAGATATTTAGAAGGCGGCTGGTTTTGACAATTTCATGGGGATCATCCTAAAACTGTTTTTTTTTTTTTTTAATTTTTCTCTCCCACTGTGGGTGAGGTCGCGGAGGATGCTGTGTGACTATAAATTGTCTAATTTACATTGTGTTGATCATATATCTTATTTTATTTTATTTTATTTTAATTTTTTTTGATCATATATTTTAGAGATGGAGTTTTGCTCTTGTCACCCAGGCTGGAGTGCAGTGGCACGAGCTCAGCTCACTGCAACCTCCACCTCCTGGGTTCGAGCGATTCTCCTGCCTCAGCCTCCCGAGTAGCTGGGATGACAGGCACCTGCCAACACGCCCAGCTCACTGCAACCTCCGCCTCCCGGGTTCAAGTGATTCTCCTGCCTCAGCCTCCCGAGTAGCTGGGATTACAGATGCCTGCCACCATGCCCGACTAATTTTTGTATTTTTAGTAGAGATGGGGTTTCACCATGTGGGTCAGGCTTGTCTCGAACTCCTGACCTCAGGTGATCCACCTGCCTCGGCCTCCCAAAGTGCTGGGATGACAAGCGTGAGCCACCACACCTGGCCTTATTTTATTTTATGAGACAGAGTCTCGCTCTGTCACCCAGGCTGGAGTGCAGCGGCACGAGCTCAGCTCACTGCAACCTCCACCTCCTGGGTTCGAGCGATTCTCTTGCCTCAGCCTCCCCAGTAGCTGGGATTACAGGCGCCCTCCACCACACCCGGCTAATTTTTGTATTTTTAGTACAGACGGGGTTTCACCATGTTGGTCAGGCTGGTCTCGAACTCCTGACCTCAGGTGATCTGCCCGCCTCAGCCTCCCCAAGTGCTGGGGTTACAGGCGTGAGCCGCCGTGCCCAACCTGTGGTGTGATCTTTCTTTCTTTTCTTTCTTTCCTTTCTTTTTTTTCTTTTCTCCTGTGCTCATGCTGTATTACAGGAGACATCGTCTGTCTCCTGGCTGTCCCGCCATCCACACTCACGTCCCGCTGATCACCTGAGCGTGCCCCACCAACGGCGAATGCTTCAGACTCCGTCACAATCCAGGCCTGTGACAGTGGGGGTCCCCGGGTCACCTTGGTGTGGGCACTTAGCAATGAGAGAGAGGGATACTGGGGAGGGGGTCCCCTGACATCAAAACATATGACTGGATCGGCTGTGAAAGTGGTGAGGGTGCGGAAAATGTTGAACAACATTGAATATATATGCTTCTGTTTATATGGTAATTAAATATTTAATAATTAGTATTTAATTATCAATATTAAATATTCGTGATTATTATTAGATATTAATTAAATATTTAATTAAAATATAAACATTCATATATCTATATATCCATATATTTGCATATATCCATATATTTGTATATGCATATAGATGCATATCTATTGCATAGATATATATGCATAGCTATATATGCATATTGCAATGTATGCAATATAAAGTAGAAATATAAATAAATAGAAATATTGATTAAATATTAACTAAATATAAATTAAATGTTTAATTAATATCTAATAATAAACATTAATATTTATTTAATATTAATATTAAATATTCAATAATATTTAATATTAATATTAAATATTTAATAATATTTAATATTAATAATTAAGTATTTAATAATATTTAATATTAATAATTAAGTATTTAATACTATTTAATATTAATAATTAAATATTTAATTAAAATATAAACATGCATATATCTATATATCCATATATTTGCATATATCCATATATTTTTATATGCATATATAGCTATGCATATACATCTATGCAATAGATATGCATCTATATGCATATTGCAATATGTGCAATATAAAATAGAAATATAAATCAATAGAAATATTGATTAAATATTAATTAAATATAAATTAAATTTAATTAATATGTAATTCATTTAACATCACTTGATATTTTTATAATATAATATATAATAAACAACAAATATAATATAATAATATTAAATATAAATTAAGTATTTAGTTAATATTTAATAATAATTATTTAATATTTAATAACAACAATAATAATGTTTGATAATATTGACTAACACCGACGAGGGTTGATGGACATGGTTGCAGGTAAAAAGACGCACGATTCATCCGTGCAGCGGCGACTCATGCTTGTGATCCCAGCACTTTGTAAGGCTGAGGCAGGAGGATGGCTTGAGGCCAGAGGTTTGAGACCAGCCTGGGCAACATAGTGAGAGCCCCCCCGCCACATCTCTACAAAAAATAAAAAAACAGAAAGAGGCAAGATTCATGAAACACAGAGGGAGGGCTCTGTGATGTTCTAACGGTCTCAGCAATTCTGTGTTGAGCGTTTGCAAGAAGGGATTGTCAGTAAGTAGCTCAAACTATAGGGCAGAGGAGATGGATGCTTCGCTGAGGACGTCTTTATGTTCTTTTATATTTTTTACTTTATTATTTTTTTTTCTTTTAAGATGGAGTCTCGCTTTGTTGCCCAGGCTGGAGTACAGTGGCACAATCTCAGCTCACTGCAACCTCCGCCTCCCGGGTTCAAGCGATTCTCCTGCCTCAGCCTCCTGAGCAGCTGGGATTACAGGCACCTGCCACCACGCCCGGCTAATTCTTGTATTTTTTTTTTCTTTTTTTTTTTTTGAGACGGAGTCTCACTCTGTCGCCCAGGCTGGAGTGCAGTGGTGCAATCTTGGCTCACTGCAAGCTCCACCTCCCGGGTTCACACCATTCTCCTGCCTCAGCCTCCTGAGTAGCTGGGACTACAGGCGCCCGCCACCACGCCCAGATAATTTTTTGTATTTTTAATAGAGATGGGGTTTCACCGTGTTAGCCAGGATGGTCTTGATCTCCTGACCTCGTGATCCGCCCGCCTCGGCCTCCCAAAGTGCTGGGATTACAGGCGTGAGCCACCGCGCCCGGCCGCGGGAAATATTTTTACAGAACTTAGACAGCTTTTGTGATCGATTTTGCATTGAAAGAGTAATTTTTGAATGTTCCCACCATTAAAAAACTCACAGTGATAATAAGGAGGTGAGACGGTGGGTGTGTCAACGTGATTTAACCATTACACATTGCGCACATCGATGAAAACATAACATGACACCCTGGACGCATACATAATTATTTGCCAATTAAAAATAAAGTAGTAGCCGGGCGCAGTGGCTCATGCCTGTAATCTCAGCACTTTGGGAAGTCGAGGCAGGTGGGTCACGAAATCAGGAGTTCGAGACCAGCCTGGCCAACATGGTGAAACCCCGTCTCTACTAAAAATACAAAAATTCGCCGGTCTTGGTGGTGGGTGCCTGTAGTTCCAGCTACTCGGGAGGCTGAGGCAGAGAATCGCTTGAACCCGGGAGGTGGAGGTTGCAGCGAGCTGAGATTGCACCACTGCACTCCAGCCTGGGTGACAGAGCGAGACCCCATCTCAAAATTTAATTTTGTATTTTTAGTAGAGACAGGGTTTCTCCATGTTGGCCAGGCTGGTCTCAAACTCCTGACCTCAGATGAGATGAGTCTGGGCATGGTGGCTCATGCCTGTAATCCCAGCACTTTGGGAGGCCAAGGTGGACAGACCACCTGAGGTGTGGTGCCATTTCACTCCAGCCTGGGCAACAGAGCGAGACTCCATCTCAAAAAAAAAAAAAAAAAGCTTCCAAAGGCAGTTCTCCTGAAAGCGTCTCCAAAAATCCAAGATGACAGATTTGGATCGTTTTAAAGTGGCTGAGGAAGAGAACTGCTTGAACCCAGGAGATGGGGGTTGCAGTGAGCTGCGACTGTGCCACTGCACTCCAGCCTGGGTGACAGAGCAAGACTCCATCTCAAAAAGGAACACCACCACCAAAAAAACAAGAAAACACACGGTGATAATAGGTAGGTGAGGTGGCAGGTGCGTTAACTTGATTTAATCCTTCCCACATTGATGAAAACATATCGTTATACCCTAAACACATACATAATTATTATTTGCCAATTAAAAATAAAAGATTAACCTTCTCGCCTAAGGCTGCCAACATGGTGTTCAGGGAGTTCGTGGAGGTTGCCCGGGTGGCCTACGTCTGCTTTGGACCTCATGCTGGAAAACCGGTCGCGACTACAGATGTTATTGATGGGAAGAGGGCTTTGGTTGATGGACCGTGCACTCAAAGGAGGAGACAGGCCATGCCTTTCAAGCACAGGCAGCTCACAGATTTCCTCCTCAAGCTTCCACACCGCGCCCGCCAGAGGTACGTCCGACAGGCCTGGCAGAAGCTACACATCAACACAGAATGGGCAGCCAGACGAGGGGCCAAGAAGATGGAAGCCAGAGAAAGGAAAGGCAAAATGACACAGTTCAATCGTTTTAAAGTTATGCAAGCAAAGAACATGGGAACACAACCATCAGGAATGAAATGAAGAAGCTTCAAGACCCCGGGCACAATGGCTCACGCCTGTAATCCCAGCACTTTGGGAGGCCGAGGCGGGTGGATCACCTGGGGTCAGGAGTTCGAGACCAGCCTGGCCAACATGGTGAAACCCCGTCTCTACTAAAAATACAAAAATGAGCTGGGCGTGGTGGCGGGTGCCTGTAATCCCAGCTACTCGGGAGGCTGAGGCAGGAGAATCGCTTAAACCGGGAGGCAGAGGTTGCAGTGAACTGAGATGGTGCCATTGCACTCCAGCCTGGGTGACAGAGCAAGACTCCATCTCAAAAAAAAGAAGCTTCGAAAGGCAGCTCTCCTGAAAGCTTCTCCAAAAAGCCAAGACGACAGATTTGGATCATTTTAAAGTTATGAAGGCAAAGAAAATGAGGAACAGAATTATCGAGAATAAAGTTAAGACGCTTCAAAAGGCAGCCCTCCTGAAAGCTTCTTCCAAAAAGGCACCTGCTGCTAAGGGGTACGGCTGCAGCTGCAGCTGCTGGTAAAGTTCCAGCGAAAAAGATGACCGCCGTGCGTAAGAAGGCTACAGCCCAGAAGATTCTTTCCCAGAAAGCCGCAGGCCAGAAGGCAGCGCCTGCTCCAAAAGTTCAGAGGACTCAAAAACTCCAGCTCCTAAAATAGAAGAAACACCTGCCAAGTAGAGTAAGAAGATGGTTACGTCCAGAGAGGCACCTGCTCCAAAAGTTCAGAGGACTCAAAAACTCCAGCTACTAAAATAGAAGAAACACCTGCCAAGTAGAGTGAGAAGACGGTTACATCCACAGAGGCACCTGCTCCAAAAGCTCAGAAGGGTCAAAAAGCTCCAGCTCCGGCCAGGCACGTTGGCTCACGCCTGTAATCCCAGCACTTTGGGAGGCTGAGGTGGGAGGATCTCTTGAGATCAGGAGTTCAAGACCAGCCTGGCCAACATGGTGAAACCCCATCTCTACTAAAAATACAAAAATTAGCCAGGCGTGGTGGCAGGTGCCTGTAATCCCAGCTACTCGGGAGGCTGAGGCAGGAGAATCGCTTGAACCTGGGAGGCGGAGGTTGCGGTGAGCCGAGTTCGTGCCACTGCACTCCAGCCTGGGCGACAGAGTGAGACTCCCTCTCAACAAAACAAAACAACAACAAAAAAGGCTCCAGCTCTAAAATAGAAGAAACACCTGCCACAGAGGCTCCCGCTCCAAAGGCATGTGGCAACAAAGCATAAGAGGCAATTATAGAAAGTAATAAAGGTTCTTTTTGACATGCTGGCAAATCTAAAAAATAGTAATAATGAAAAATAAATAAAATATTAGGAAAACTTATTACAGTTTTATGACCTGCTTTTTCTTCTCTTAGAACTATATTAAAAATATGTTTGTGTGTTAAAAAAGAAAACCAGAAAAGAAAAGCAGAGAATGTGCTTCTAAAAAAAGAAACATTCGTTATGACCCTGGCGGGTGTGAATGAAGCTACCTGGGGCTCAACCACTACCCGAGGGCTGAGTTGTGAGGTGGGACAGGCACCTTTTTTGTCTTTATAAAAAGCAAGATTGACCAGGCGCAGTGGCTCACGCCTGTAATCCTGGCACTTTGGGAGTCTGAGGCGGGTGGATCACTTGAGGTCAGGAGTTCGAGACCAGCCTGGCCAACATGGTGAAACCCCGTCTCTACTAAAAATACAAAAATTAGCAGGGTGTGATGGTGGGCGCCTGTCATCCCAGCTACTGGTGGGGCTGAGGCAGAAGAATCGCTTGAACCCGGGAGGCGGAGGTTGTAGTGAGCCGAGATCATGCCATTGCACTCCAGCCTGGGGGACGGAGGAAGACTCCATCTCAAATTAAAAAAAAAAAAGAAGGATCAGGGTATTTTTCCGTCCTTAAGCCCAGGTAGGACTCAGTAAGTTCCCCTATCTGTATGTACATGCGTCTGACTACTTATGAAATGTTGCCATGTTGTGTTAATCACACCGTTGTTGGATTTCTCTTGATTTTTATTTTTAGACAACAGGGTCCCCGTCACCCAGGCTGGAGTGCAGAGGCTCAGTCACAGTTCACTGCAGCCTTGACCTCCTGGGCTCAAGCCCTCCTCCCACCTCAACCTCCCAAGTAGCTCAGATTACAGGCTCATGCCATCATGCGCACTTAATGTGTCACAGTTTTTGTAGAGATGGGGTCTTGCTACGTTGGCCAGGCTGGTCTCAAACTGCTGGGCTCAAGAGATCCTCGTGCCTCGCCTTGGCCTCCCAAAGTGCTGGGATTACAGGTGTGAGCCACCACGGCCAGCCGCTTCTACCTGTCTTTACCTGCACCTGTTTCTTTAAGATGTGGCTGCCGTGTTCATTGCAGACTTGCGGCATTCTCCTGGATTTTTCAAAATCATTGCAATAAATTATTACTTGTCTCAGTGACTCAGTTTTTGGCACCCTTTTGAATCTGGTGCCCGGCCAGACACAGGGGCTCATGCCCGTAATCTCAACACTTTGGGAGGCCAAGGGCAGTGGATCACCTGAGGTCAGGAGTTCGAGACCATCCTGGCTAACAAGGTGCAACCCCGTTTGTATTAAAAATACAAAAATTAGCTGGGGGTGGTGGCAGGTGCCTGTAATCCCAGCTACTCAGGAGGCTGAGGCAGGAAAATCGCTTGAACCTGGGAGGCAGAGGTTGCAGTAAGCTGAGATCACACCACTGCACTCCAGCCTGGGGAACAAGAGTGAGACTCCATCTCAGATAATAATAATAATAATAATAATAATAATAATAATAATAATAAAAAAATAAATCTGTTGCCCTAGATGAATGCCTCACTCTAGTCCCAGCCCTGAAAGTGACTAAGAATGTTGGAAGTTTGGTATCTACCCCAAATACTACTCAGCCATAAGAAGGAATGAAATGATGGCATTTGCAGCAACCTGGATGGAGCTGGAGGCCATGATTCTAAGGGAAGTAACTCAGGAATGGAAAATCAATCATCATTATGTTCTCATTTATAAGTAGGAACTAAGCTATGAGGACGCAAAGGCATGAGAATGATATAATGGACTTTGAGGACTCAGTAGGAGAGTTAAGCAATGAAAGGAATGAAATAATGGGATTTGCTGCACCTGTAAGTCCACCAGCCAGAAGGGTCAACCTGGAAAGTGCACCTGTATTTAAGAGTGGACATCCGGCCAGGCGCAGTGGCTCACGCCTGTCATCCAGCACTTTGGGAGGCCGAGGCGGGTGGATCGCCCGAGGTCAGGACTTCGAGACCAGCCTGATGAACATGGTGAAACCCTGTCTCTACTAAAAATGCAAAAATTAGCCCGGTGTGGTGGTGCATGCCTGTAATCCCAACTATTTGGGAGGCTGAGGTAGGAGAACTGTTTGAACCCGGGAGGCGGAGGTTGCAGTGGGCCGAGATCGTGCCGTTACCCTCCAGCCTGGGCAACAAGAGCGAAACTGCATCTCAAAAACAAACAAACCAACTAACCAAAAAAACAGCAGATGTCCACGTAGGATGGGGCAGGTGGCTTAACTGGGGGGTCCTTAGGCCAGTGACATCCGCCGTTAGGATGCATCGGAATTCATTTGACATTGAATGGTCAATTCTAATCAGATACCACAATGGCTAAAGTTGTGGACAGGACCTCGTTCCGCCTGGCTCCAACCACACACACACACACACACACACACGCACACACACACACACACACACACAAAGTGCATGCATCAAATAACTGAGGAATCTATTAATTGCTTATTAGGCAATGTATCATGTTGTCCCACAGAGGCCTGATTTGCTAATGAACCAGCCGGGACTCTGAAGATTTCAATTTGTACCCGATAAGTAAGCGAGTGATGATCCGTTCCGTCTCTATTAATGAGCCTGCTGGATCGTTACGGCTGAGGACTTTCAGAAGCTACCTCCAGTCATGTATTTGACGGCAGAGGAAACAGAGGTGGCTGAAATGATGTCTCTGAATATATAAACTAGACGGTGTCCGCCAGCCAGCTGGGAGGATGTCACACTCAGCAGCTTCTCCTGGCATCAGCCGGGAATACCGGAATTAAGGGGCTGCTTTTTTTTCTTTAA
The DNA here is from genome assembly GCF_000001405.40 of Homo sapiens. Taxonomy (NCBI): domain Eukaryota; kingdom Metazoa; phylum Chordata; class Mammalia; order Primates; family Hominidae; genus Homo; species Homo sapiens. Next base: position 1,005,657 of record NC_000024.10, on the reverse strand, counting down.
GTTTTTTTTTTTTTTTTTTTTTTTTTTTTGAGACGGACTCTCACGCTGTCGCCAGGCTGGAGTGCAGTGGTGCAATCTCAGCTCACTGCAACCTCCGCCTCCCAGGTTCAAATGATTCTTCTGCCTCAGCCTCCTGAGTAGCTGGGACTACAGGCGCCCATCACTGTGCCCGGCTAATTTTTTTGTATTTTTAGTAGAGACGGGGTTTCACCATGTTGTCCAGGCTGGTCTCGAACTCCTGACCTCGTGATCCGCCCACCTCAGACTCTCAAAGTGCTGGGATTTACAGGTGTGAGCCACCACGTCTGGCCTAAAGTTGTATTTTTTTTTGAGACAGAGTCTCACTCTGTCACCAGGCTGGAGTGCAACCGTGAGATCTCGGCTCACTGCAACTTCCGCCTCCCGGGTTCAAGCGATTCTCCTGCCTCAGCCTCCTGAGTAGCTGGGATTACAGGTGCCCATGATTACGCCCGGCTAATTTATGTATTTTTAGTAGAGACGGGGTTTCTCCATGTTGGTCAGGCTGGTCTCAAACTCCTGACCTCGTGATCTGCCTGCCTCGGCCTCCCAAAGTGCTGGGATTACGGGCGTGAGCCACCGCGCCCGGCCTCCTTTGATGCATAAAAGAAAACTTGATGCATAAAAGAAAAGGTGCATAATTTAAGGGTACTTTGTAAAAATCAAATCAGTTCACTTGGGATATCTGTCACCTTAAACATTCGTCTTCTCTTAATGCTAGAACCAGTGGAATTCTTATAATTTAAGAGAATTTAAGATTTAATATGAGAATATAATCATTATATATAATTTAATTGGTTCTAGCATAAAGAAAATACAAATATTTAAATTTTATTACATATATTTTATATATATGACTTAAAATATATATTTTATTATATATATATAGTATATATATAGTTTAAAAGAGCACCAAAAACTCAGTCATGAAGAAAAGTGGCCGGGCGCGGTGGTTCACGCCTGTCATCCCAGCACTTTGGGAGGCCGAGGCAGGTGGATCACCTGAGGTCAGGAGTTCGAGACCAGCCTGGCCAACATGGTGAAACCCCGTCTCTACTAAAAATACAAAAATTAGCCAGGCATGATGGTGGGTGCCTGTCATCCCAGCTACTTAGGAGGCTCAGGGAGGAGAATCACTTGAACCTGGGAGGCAGAGGTTGTAGTGAGCCAAGATCGTGCCAGTGCTCTCCAGCCTGGGTGACAGAGGGAGACTTTGTCTTAAAAAAAAAAAAAAAAAGAAAAAGGAAAGAAAGAAAGAGAGAAAAAGAGAAAGAAAGAAAGAAAAAGAAAGAAAAAGAAAGAGAAAGAAAGAAAGAGAGAAAGAGGGAGGGAGGGGGAAGGAAGGAAGGAAAATTAATAATTGAAATGATTTTGAAAAATCACAAGTCTGTGATGAACTTGTTGTGTCTTTATATATACACACGGAAAGAGAAGGAGAGAGACAGGTGTATAAACCGAGCAAGGAGATTTTTTTCCTGGTCAAGATTTTTCTGAGCTGGGCGCAGTCGCTCACGCCTGTAATCCCAGCACGTTGGGAGGCCGAGGCAGGTGGATCACCTGAGGTCAGGAGTTCGAGACCAGCCTGGCCAACATGGTGAAACCCCGTCTCTACTAAAAATACAAAAATGAGCCAGGCATGGTGGCGGGTGCCTGTAATCCCAGCCACTTGGGAGACTGAGGCAGGAGAATCGCTTGAACCCAGGAGGCAGAGGTTGCAGTGGGCTGAGATTGTGCCATTGCACTCCCGCCTGGGTGACAGAGAGAGACTCCCTCTCAAAAAATAAATAAATAAATAAATAAATACTGAGAACTTTTCCTTCTGAGGTATGAAGACCTGCATGACCAGGACGTGCAAAGAATCACCAGTTATACCTGGTTCTGTTGCATTGCAAACTTCACACCCTGTGTCTTGGACCACAGAAGGAAGGGACAGGGGATTCTTATTTTATTTTATTTTATTTTTTGAGACAGAGTGTCGCCCTGTCGCCCAGGCTGGAGTGCAGTGGCGCGATCTCGGCTCACTGCAACCTCTGCCTCCCGGGTTCAAGCGATTCTCCTGCCTCAGCCTCCCGAGTAGCTGGGATTACAGGCACCTGCCACCACGCCCAACCAATTTTTTGTATTTTTAATACAGACGGGGTTTCACCATGTTAGCCAGGCTGGTCTCGATCTCCTGACCTCAGGTGATCCTCCTGCCTTGGCCTCCCAAAGAGCTGGGATGACAGACGTGAGCCACTGTGCCCGGCCAAGACGAAGAATTCTGCAGAGCCTGCCCTTCTCTCTCCTCCTGCCACACTGCCTGGAGAGTCGTGGGTAGCTGTTCTCCTGCAGCACATGAGCAGAAAGGAAATATTCCATGAGGAAAATTAACTCCACACAGACATCTTGGGATGGGATTAAAATACCAAATACACTTGTCTGTCCTGTGCATGAAACGTAAGAATCAATTCTCTGTCCCAGGCATGTAGAGAGGGAGAGGTGGGGGTGAGATTCCACCGTGAGACTATTTGTTGTTTCATAAGGAATTTCACTGAAACCCTGAAACTTTTGATAGGTAATTACAGTCAGGAAGCCCAGCACATATGAATTTTATATTTACAATCCACACTGAGGTCACCCCACAAACTGCCTTCAGAAATGGGTTTGGGGGGTCTGTGTTATTAAAACTGAATTTCCGCTCCCGCTGGTATGGCCCGGCCGAGGAGAAAATGGGAACAGATGTAGCCGGGGACGCCTTCAGAATCTGGCTGTCCCCCGTCTGCCATCGCCATAGACACAACGGGATTTCAGCATCGTCTTCCGAGGGACGCGGGGAGGCCGGACAGCCAGCCTGGACGAGGAAATGGAATGACATCTCCTTCACCTCTGCTCGGTCGTCTTCTAACTCATTGCTGAAGTCATCCACTGCTGAACACTTAATTGTTTATTTAAATAGGATAACTCGCCGGGTGCGGTGGCTCACACGTGTCATCCCAGCACTTTGGGAGGCCGAGGCGGGCAGATCCCCTGAGGTCAGGAGTTTGAGACCAGCCTGGCCAACATGGTGAAACCCCTTCTCTACTAAAAATACAAAACTTAGCCAGGTGTGGTGGTGGGCACCTGTAATCCCAGCTACTCGGGAGGCTGAGGCAGGGGAATCCCTTAAACCCGGGAGTCGGAGGGTGCAGTGAGCCGAGATAGTGCCATTGCACTCCAGCCTGGGTGACAGAGTAAGACTCTGTCTCAAAATAATAATGATAATAATTAAGAAATAAATAGGATAACTATGCATCCCCATGTTCACTGAGGTGAGGAGATCAAGATATTCCTATTTGTATCTTGTAACTACAGCATTCTCTGGACTGTGGATACGGTTGTGGGTGGCCAACCCTGCCCCTCTCCTTCTCCAGGGTCTGAGTTTGAGCCTCTTTCTTCCATTCTCTCTTCCCCATGGCTTCTCCTGACTCCTCTGTTTGTCCGTTCTCTCTCGCTGCAACTTTTTTTGGGAGGGAGTCTCGCTCTGGAGACCAGGCAGAAGTGCAGTGGCATGATCTTGGCTCACTGCAACCTCTGCCTCCTGGGTTCAAATGATTCTCCTGCGTCAGCGTCCTGAGTATCTGGGATTACAGGTGTATGACACCATGCCCAGCTAATTTTTATATTTTTAATAGAGACGGGGTTTCACCATGTTGGCCAGGCTGATCTCGAACTCCTGACCTCAAATGATCCACCTGCCTCGGCCTCCCAAATTGCTGGGATTACAGGCATGAGCCACCGCGCCTGGCTTGCTGTTTTATTTTAAAGACAGGGTCTTGCTCTGTCACCCAGGCTGGAGTGCAGTGACATGACCACAGCTCACTGCAGCCTCCACCACCCGGGCTCAAGCAATCCTCCTGCCTCAGCCTCCCGATTAGCTGGGACCATTGGTGTGGGCCACCACACTCAAGTAGCTGGGACTCCACACTCCTGTAGTCCCAGCTACTTGGGAGGCTGAGGCAGGAGGGTGGCTTTTTTTGTATTATTTGTAGAGATTATTATTTTGTATTATTTGTTGCCCAGGCTGGCCTCAAACTCCTAGGCTCAAGCAATCTTCCCGCCTTGGTCTCCCAAAGTGCTGGGATTACCAGTGTGAACCACCACACTCAGCCGTCATTTTTAATTCTATTTCTCATATATGTGATTTTATTCTATTTTTCACATATTCTATTTTTACATATATCTATTTTTCACCCATATAAGTAAAACATCTCTAAAGCACACAAAGCATCTCTCCTTCCGCACAGACAAGCTTCTCATTTTGGGCGTGTTTGCACTGTGTAATTTTCTTTTTACTGTGATTTCTCCTTGCTTGTTTTGACTTTGTAACACTTGGTAAAAAATGCAATGCCTGGATCCAACGGGATGGGCATTTTCTTTTCTTTTTCTTTCTTTCTTTTTTTTTTTTTTTTTGCTCTGTCGCCCAGGCTGGAGTGCAGTGGTGCGATCTCGGCTCACCGCAACCTCCACCTCCCGGGTTCTAAGAGATTCTCCTGCCTCAGCCTCCTGAGTAGCTGGGACTACAGGCGCCCGCCACCACACCCAGCTAATTTTTGTATTGTTAGTAGAGAACGGGTTTCACCATATTGGCCTGGCTGGTCTCGAACTCCTGACCTCAGGTGATCCACCCGCCTCGGCCTCCCAAAGTGCTGGGACTACAGGCGTGAACCACCGCGCCCAGCCAAGAGAATGGGCATTTTCAAAGCTTCTGAGTTTTCAGCTCTGGAGGGCAGAAAAGCATGCAATGTAGAAAATTCAAGTGAGGTCTCCTTGTTTTAAAGAAAGTATTTCTGTAATCTTTACTGAAGTCGAACGTGTTCTGTTGATTCCGACCGTTTATCTTGTGCCGTTTGACTTTTTCATTGGGGGAAACTTCACGTTTGATTTGAAACACCTCCTTGTGTAGTAATGATGCTTTGGTTTAGAATGTATTTTCCACGTGGTCTCTGAACTTCCCTTTAATTTCGTAAATATTTTGTGACACACAGAAATCTTGGATTTTTTTTTAATGGAATGAATTCGAAAACCACCTCTGTCACGTTATAAACTCTCATTGTGTTACTTATTATTATTATTATTATTATTATTATTATTATTATTATTTTTTTTTTTCTGAGATGGAATCTCACTTGTCCCCCAGGCTGGAGTGCAGTGATGCGATCTCGGCTCACTGCAACCTCCGCCTCCCGGGTTCAAGCGATTCTCCTGCCTCAGCCTCCTGAGTAGCTGGGATGACAGGTGCACGCCAGCCACCCTGCCCGGCTAATTTTTTGTATTTTTGGTAGAGACCGGGTTTCACCGTGTTAGCCAGGAAGGTCTCGATCTCCTGACCTCGTGATCCGCCTGCCTCGGCCTCCCAAAGTGCTGGGATGACCGGCGTGAGCCACCGCGCCCGGCTATTTTACTTTATTTCTTCAGATGGAGTCTCGCTCTGTTGCCCAGGCTGGAGTGCAGTGGCGTGATCTCAGCTCAATGCAACCTCCGCCTCCTGGGTTCAACCAATTCTCTTGCCTCAGCCTCCTGAGTAGCTGGGATTACAAGCACCCGCCACCACGCCCAACCAATATTTTGTATTGTTAGTAGAGATGGGGTTTCACCTTGTTAGCCAGGCTAATGTTTCTACAGAAACATTTGGAAATCTGTGTACTGATTCCCAGATCTGAAAAAAAAAAAGTTTCTGCAGGGATTAAGGCTGTATTTTAATTTGGGAAATACTGATATATTTACAAAATGAAATCTATAAATCCCACAGGACCACAGGCTTCTCTATTTTTTTTTTTTTTTTTTTTTTTTGAGACAGGGTCTCGCTCTGTCGCCCAGGCTGGAGTGCAGTGGCGGGATCTCGGCTCACTGCAAGCTCCGCCTCCTGGGTTCACACCATTCTCCTGCCTCAGCCTCCTGAGGAGCTGAGACTACATGCACCTGCCACCACGCCCGGCTAATTTTTTTGTATTTTTAGTAGTGACGGAGTTTCACTGTGTTAGCCAGGCTATTCTCAATCTCTGGATCTTGTGATCCGCCCGCTTCTTAAAGCATTCTTTTTGTTCCGTTTTGTTTTGACAGTCTCGCTCTGTGGCCCAGACCGGAGTGCAATGGCATCATCTCCGCTCACTGCAACCTCTGCCTCCCGGATTCAAGGGATTCTCCTGTCTCAGCCTCCCAAGTAGCTGTGACTACAGACGCCCACCACTACTCTCGGCTGATATTTGTATTTTTAGCAGAGACAGGGTTTCACCATGTTGGCCAGGCTGGTCTCGAACTCCTGACCTCAGGTGATCCACCCGCCTCAGCCTCCCAAAGTGCTGGGATTACAGGCACCTGCCACCACGCCTGGCTAAATTTTGTATTTTTAGTAGAGATGTGGTTTTGCCTTCTTGGCCAGGCTGGTTTCGAACTCTTGACCTCAGGTGATCCACCCACCTTGGCCTCCCAAAGTGCTGGGATTATAGGCGCCCGCCACCATGCCCAGCTAATTTTTTGTATTTTTAGTAGAGATGGGGTTTCACCATGTTGGCCAGGCAGGTTTTGAACTCCAGATCTCAGGTGATCCACCCACCTTGGCCTCCCAAAGTGCTGGGATTATAGGTGCCTGCCACCAGGCCCAGCTAATTTTTTGTATTTTTAGCAGAGACAGGGTTTTGCAATGTTGGCCAGGCTGGTCTTGAACTCCTGACCTCAGGTTATCCACCCGCCTCAGCGTCCCAAAGTGCTGGGATTACAGGCACCTGCCACCACGCCTGGCTAATTTTTGTATTTTTAGTAGAGACAGGGTTTCGCCATGTTGGCCAGGCTGGTCTCGAACTGTTGACTTCAAGTGATCCACCTGCCTCAGCCTCCCAAAGTGCTGGGATTACAGGCATGAGCCACCGTGCCTGGCCAAAGCCGTCTTTCATTTGCTTCCTGAGTACCCTTCCTGAGCTTCCTGAGCAGGCAGGAAGAATCGCTTGGACAGTTATGGCACAGGTCACAGCTCTGTCACCCAGGCTGGAGCACAGTGACAAGGTCTCTGCTCACTGCAACCTCCGCCTTTCTGATCCAAGCGATTCTCCTGCCTCAGCCTCCCGAGTAGCTGGGATGACAGGTGCCCACCATGACCAGCTAATTTTTGTATTTTTAGTAGAGACGGGGTTTCACCATGTTGGGCAGACTGGTCTCGAACTCCTGACCTAAGGTGATCCACCTGCGTCAGCCTCCCAAAGTGCTGGGATTACAGGCTCGAATCACCGCGCCTGGCCCCTCTACTTTCTTCATAAACTTGCTCTCACTTTACTCTATGGCCTCGCCCTGAATTGTTTCTTGTGCAAGGACCAGGAACCCTCTCTTGGGGTCTGGAGCAAGACCCCTTTCTGGTAACAACACTGCCTTTGAAAAACCCCTATCTCTGAGCCTTGAGTAGGTACTCCGCCTGCCACATGGCATGGCCGGCCTTGTGTCTCTTAAATTCTTTGTCTACGGCAATGCTGTGAGTCTTTATTCAGCAGGCAGGAAGAACCACTTGGACAGTTATGCCACAGCTTAGAAGACATTCTCAGAGTCGCTGCTTGGAAAGTAGACTGGCCTCAGTGAAAATTCGCTCTGAAAGGGTAAGCCTGGCTCTAAGCTGTGAGCTCAGCAGGCTGGTGGTAAACATTGCAGCTGTAAATCCAGGGAGAGCTGTGTTACTGGCGGGAGAAGGGATTTTACAGCCCAGGGGAGGGAGGGAGATTTGAATTTGAAAGACTTTTGCACAAAGGACCCCGTGCCCAGCTGCTGTCCGCGGGGTCCCCTGCTTCTCTGAGCTTCTCACAATGACTCTGGGCCCCTGGGGACAGCCACAGTGACTTCTGAATGTTCTAGCGAAACCTGCAAAGGTCAGTTGGACGCCAGGAATTGTTTCTTGGGTCCTGCTTTTCCTCCAATAGGGGGCCATGTGGCTTTAGCTCTGAGTGTATTTGTGGTTGTGGTTAGTTATGGCGTTCCATTTGGGGGAACTGTAAAAGCGAAAAATCAGAGGAGGTGGCAAGGAACAGACATTTTGTTAAGTTATCAAATCTATAGCTGAGAGAAATTAATGCTTGTCTATTTCAAGGTCTCTCTGCCCAGGCTCTGCTGACATTTGGGGATGGAGGATTCTCCGCGGTGGGGCTGTCCTGGGCACTGTATGGTGTTGAGCAGAGACCCTGGGCTTCACCCACCAGGTGCCAGGACCACCCCCTCCCCAGTTGTGACAACCAAAATTGCCACCAGATATTGCAAAATATCTCCTGGGGGTAAAAGCTCTCTGGTTGCCATAGATAGGTAAGTACACAAGTAGATACACAGGGGGAGGGGGCAGGAGATGGGTGGATAGATGACTGATAGATACACGATAAACAGAAAGATGAGATAGATAAATAGATGGTAGATGATGGATAGATAAATATATACATACATACATAGATGGATGGAAGGATAGATACACAAATACATGGATAGATGGATGGATGGATGGATTGATGGATAGATAGATAGATACATACATACATACATAGATGAATAGATGGATGGATGGATAGATACATACATACATGAGTTGATGGATGGATGGATGGATAGACAGACACATACATACATACATAGATGGATAGATACATACATACACACATACATACATGGATAGATGGATGGATGGATAGATAGACAGACAGATACATACATACATACATAGATGGATAGATGGATGGATACATACATACATGGATAGATGGATGGATGGATGGATACATACATACATACATACATAGATGCATAAATGGATGGATGGATGGATAGATACATACATCCATGAATAGATGGATGGATGGATGGATGGATAGACAGACACATACATACATTCATACATAGATGGACAGATGGATGGATAGATAGATGCATACATACATACATAGACGGATAGATGGATGGACGGATGGATGGATGGATGGATGGATAGATATATATATACGTACATGAATAGATGGATGGATGGATGGACAGACGCATACATACATACTTAGATGGATAGATGGATGGATGGATAGATAGATACATACATACATACACACATGGATAGATGGATGGATGGATGGATGGATGGATAAATCGACAGATAGATAGATAGATAGATACATACATACATACATACATACATACATAGATGAATGGATGGATGGATGGATGGATACATACATACATACATGAATAGCTGGATGGATGGGTGGATAGATACATACATACATACATACATACATGAATAGATGGATGGATGGACAGACAGATAGATAGATAGATAGATAGATAGATAGATAGATACATACATACATACATAAACGGATAGATGGAAGGATGAATAGATGGATGGATGGATAGATAGATAGATTGATAGGAAGAAAAATAAATCTTAGGACTCCCAAATCACTAAGCCAAAGGAAAAAGTCAATATGGAAACGGCATCAGGCAAACCTGCCTCCTATTTTATTCGTAAATAAGATCGCTACAGAGATACAAAGATCACATATGTCCCTCACAATCTGTCCACAAGGAAATTCCTACCTATCACCTATAAGCCCCCTCCTCACTTTGAGCTGTCTCACCTTTCCGGACCAAACCAATGCACAACTTACAGTATCACACATTGATTGATGTCTCATGTCTCTCTAAAATGTATAAAACCAAGCTGTGACCCAACCACCTTGAACACCTGTCGTCAGGACCTCCTGAGGCCGTCTCATGGGTGTGTCTTTAACGTTGGCAAAATAAACCTGCTAAATTGATTGACACCTGTCTCAGATATTTTGGGTTCATGATAGATAGATAGATAGATAGATACATACATACATACATACATACATACATAGATACATAGATGGATGATACATGACATGACTCGAGAGATGATAGATGATATAGGTGGATATATAGATGATAGATTAGTGATAGTGGATAGATAGATAATAGATACGTAGATAGACACATAGATGGATAGATAGATATACATAGATGAATGGATAGATAGATGATAGGTTGGTATATAGATAGATAGATGAAATGGATAGACCGATTATACATAAATAGACAAATAAATAAGATGAATGGGTAGATAAAGAGATGTGATGGATGGATAGATGATAGATAGATAGATAGATAGATAGATAGATAGATAGATAGATAGGGCCAGGCACGGTGGCTCACGCCTGTAATCCCAGCACTTTGGGAGGCCGAGGCGGGCGGATCACGAGGTCAGGAGATCGAGACCACGGTGAAACCCCATCTCTACTAAAAATACAAAAAATTAGCCGGGCATGGTGGCGGGCGCCTGTAGTCCCAGCTACTCGGGAGGCTGAGGCAGGAGAATGGCGTGAACCTGGGAGGCGGAGCTTGCAGTGAGCCGAGATTGCGCCATTGCACTCCAGCCTGGGCGACAGAGTGACACTCTGTCTCAAAAAAAAAAAAAAAAAGATAGATAGATAGATACATAGATAGATAGATAAAGATGGATGGGTAGTTGATAGATGATGAGATGGGTAGATAAACAGATGGTAGATGACAGATTGACAGGTGATAGTACATAGATGGACACACGATAGATTGATAATAGATAAGGTAGATAGATGATGGATATATAGATAGCTTGATTGATAGATGATAGTTAATAGGTAAGTAGATAGATGATACATGGATAGGAAGACAGATGAGATGGATGACTAGATAGATAGATACATAGATGGATAGATGGCAGGATGAATGGATGGATGGATGGATAGATGAGATGGATGAATAGATAGGTAGGTAGATAGATGAGACGAATGGATAGATGATTGAAAGACAGATAGATGTTAGACAGATAGATAGATGATAGGCAGGTAGGTAGGTAGGCATTTAAAGTTAAATTGCATTCCAGAACCTCTCTCAGTAGACCTAGAGAATGCCAAAACCCAATCCCATGTTGTCAGATAGTTTACAGTATGAATATTCAAAGAGTTTGAGACCCAGGATGGCCGTGAAGCTTTCAGAGAATCTCCAAATTTGCAGACGATAACGCTGTTGAAATACAGAAGAGAAGCCGTCCATGTTGAATGTAGTAACTCCAACTCTCCCTTTAGAAGAATCCCAGAGTTTCTTGCGTCTCAACGCTTTTTTGTAATGTTATTTCATTACACAGAATACAGAAACCATAAAAAGTGCACGTAAACATTCAATTAGACTTGATGTGTCTCTGTTGAAATCCATCAGATAAGCTTAAACCATGATTAAGATCCTTTCTTTTCTTTTTTTTTTTTGGACATGTTTCCTGCTAAACAGTCTTTCTGCACTTATTAGCGTTTTGTTGACGGTGTGTCCCGTGCACAGTTAATTTCATTTGTCTCCATGCCGTTTCAATCTTCCCTTGATAACGAAGATAGATTTATAAACCCCACTTACCATTGTGTTTTCCTTTTGCCGAAAGCGATGTGAACAAATCAGAAACACAACGGAGTTTTGGGAAATAAGAGAAAGAGACAGAAAAGAAGGAAAGGAACAGAAATACAGCCGATGTCCCACGGACGACGTGTTGACTAGAGTTCTCTCGGAGAGCTGTGCCTGGGTTCACACTGGGTGTGCCTGTTTGCTGCGCACGTGTGTGATGAGATGTGTGGACAAGGACTGAGAAATACAAAAGACATGGGTTAAAATCAGACTCATGGAGGCCGGGCGCGGCGGCTCACGCCTGTAATCCCACCACTTTGAGAGGTTGAGGTGGGAGCATCACTTACCCCAGAAGTTCGAGACCAGACTGGGCAACATAGCAAGACTCTGTGTATATAACTCTGTTCTCAGGCTGCTAATAAAGACATACCTGAGACTGGGTTATTGATTGATTGATTGATTGATTGAGATGGAGTTTTGCTCTTGTCACCCAGGCTGGAGTGCAATGGTGCCATCTCGGCTCACTGCAACCTCCGCCTCCCGGGTTCAAGCGATTCTCCTGCCTCAGCCTCCCGAGTAGCTGGGATTACAGGCACGTGCCAGCACGCCCTGCTAGTTTTGTATTTTTAGTACAGACAGGGTTTCTCCACGTTGGGCAGGCTGGTCTTGAACTCCCGACCTCAGGTGATCCTCCTGCCTCGGCCTCTCAAAGTGCTGGGATGACAGGCATGAGTCACCGCGCCCAGCCCGAGACTGGGTAAAAGATAAAGGAAAGAGGTTTAACGGACTCACAGTTCCACATGGCTGAGGAGACCTCGCAATCATGGCGGAAGGCAAAGGAGGAGCAAAGTCATGTCTTCCATGGTGGCAAGCAAGAGAAAAGGGGAAAGTCCCCTTTATAAAACCATCTGATCTCATGAGACGTCTTCACTATTGTGTGAACAGCAAGGGAAAGACCTGCCCTGTGATTCAGTTACCTCCCACTGGGTAAGTCCCATGACACGTGGGAATTTTGGGAGCTGCAATTTGAGATTTGGGTGGGGACACAGCAAAACCATATCACTGCGTCTACAAAAATATTTCCTTCCTTCCTTCCTTTTCCTTCCTCTTTCCTTCCTTCTCTTTCTTTCTCTTTCTTTCTTTCCTTCCCTCTTTCCCTTTCTTTCATTCCTTTCTTCCTTTCTATCCCCTTTCCCTTTCTTTCATTCCTTTCTTCCTTTCTTTCCCCTCTCCCTTCTCTTCCTTACCCTTCCCTTTCTTCCCTTTTTTCTTTCCTTTGTTTCTCTTCCTTTTATTTTTCCTTCCTTCCTTCCTTTCTTTTTCTTTCTTTCCTTCTTTCTCTTTCTTTTCTTTTTGTCTTTCCCTTCCTTCCTTTCTTTTCTTTCCTCACTCTGTCACCCAGGCTGGAGTGCAGTGGCACAATCTCAGCTCACTGCAACCTCTGCCTCCTGGATTCAAGTGTTTCTCCTGCCTCAGCTTCCCAAGTAGCTGGGATTACAGGCCCAGCTAATTTTTGTATTTTTAGTAGTGACAGGGTTTCACCATATTGGCCAGGCTGGTTTCAAACTCTTGACCTCAGATGATGCACCCGCTTCAGCCTCCCAAAGTGCTGTGATTACAGGCGTGGGCCACCATGCCCGGCCTTACATTTTTATGTTTTATACAACCAATTGCCAACTAAAGAATCCCTAAAGCCTACCTGTGACTCGTAGGAACCCACTTTGAGATGTTTCATCTTTAAGGCCGAAACAAGGTATACCTTCCATGTAATGATTTATGATTTTACCTACAATTCCTGTCTCCCTGAAATATATACAATAGAACTGTAGGTCGGGCGCGGTGGCTCACACCTGTAATACCAGTATGTTGGGATGCCGAGGTGGGAGAATCAACTGAGGTCAGGAGTTTGAGACCAGCCTGGCCAATATGGTGAAACCTCGTCTGTACTAAATACAAAAAATTAGCCAGGTGTGGTGGCAGGGGCCTGTAATCCCAGCTACTCGGGAGGCTGAGGCAGGGAAATTGCTTGAACCCTGGAGGCAGACGTTGCAGTGAGCCGAGATCACGCCATTGTACTCCAGCCTGGATGACAGAGTGAGACTCCATCTCGATTTAAAAAAAATAAAAATAAATAAATAAATAAAAATGGAACTGTAACCAGACCTCCTGAACACACTTTCTCAGATCTCTTGAGACCATGTAATCCTGGAGCACAGGCGCTCAGCACTCATATTGGTTCAGAATAAACCTCTTTAAATCTCTTGGCAGAATTTGTTCTATTCTGTCATCAGTAGCAAATGCTGACGATTACATACACTCACTTTTTCTAGCTAAGACCCCTGGTGTTGGAAACAGCTACGTCGTGCGGGGTGTATACCCTGGAGTTCCTTGTCTCACTCTGAGAAATAATTGAGGACAGGGAAGAAAGGAGAGAGGAGAGCAGCTCCTTGTGAGACAGACAGAGAGATAGAGAGACAGAGACAAAGAGAGGCAGTCAGACAGAGAGAGACAGACACACACACACAAGTCCAAACAGGAGAAAAGAGAAGAGAGCAGCTCCTTGCGAGAGAGAGAGAGAGAGAGAGAGAAAGACAGACAGACAGACAGAGACAGAGAGACAGACACACACAAACACACAGATACAAAGAGACACACACAGAGAGAAACAGACACACACAGAGACAGAGAGAGAGAGAGACACACACACACAGAGGTCTGAACAGAAGAAAGGAGAGAGGACAGCAGCTCCTTGCGAGAGAGAGAGAGAGAGAGAGGCAGACACACACACACACACAGACACACACAAGCAGAGAGGTCCAAACAGAAGAGAGGAGAGCAGCTCCTTGCGATAGAGAAAGAGACAGAGACAGAGGGACAGAGAGAGACAGAGGGACAGAGAGAGACAGAGAGACAGACAGACAGACACACACACACAGACAAGTCTGAAGAGAAAAAAAGAGAGGAGAGCAGCTCCTTGAGAGAGAGACAGAGACAGAGACAGAGAGAGAGACAGACAGAGAGGAAGAGACAGACAGACAGATATAGAGAGAGACAGAGGGACAGAGAGAGACAGTGAGACAGACAGACAGACAGACACAGGCACACACACTCGTCCAAACAGAAGAAAGGAGAGAGGAGAGCAGCTCGTTGTGAGAGACAGAGAGACAGAGACAGAGGGACAGAGAGAGAGACAGAGAGAGAGAGATGGACAGAGAGAGAGGGAGAGAGAGACAGACTGAGAGACACAGAGACAGAGAGAGAGAGAGACAGAGGGACAGAGACAGACAGAAACACAGACACACACGCAGGTCCTAACAGAAGAAAGGAGGAGAGCAGCTCCTTGCGAGAGAGAGAGAGAGAGAGAGAGAGAAAGAGACAGAGGGACAGAGACAGAAAGACAGACACACACACGTCTCAACAGAAGAAAGGAGGAGAGCAGCTCCTTGCGAGAGAGAGAGAGAGAGAGAGAGAGAGAGAGAGAAAGAGACAGAGGGACAGAGACAGAAAGACAGACACACACACGTCTCAACAGAAGAAAGGAGGAGAGCAGCTCCTTGCGAGAGAGAGAGAGAGAAAGAGACAGAAAGACAGACACACACACGTCTCAACAGAAGAAAGGAGGAGAGCAGCTCCTTGTGAGAGAGAGAGAGAGAGAGAGAGAGAGAGAGAGAAAGGGGGAGGGGGAGAGGGAGTGGGGGAGAGTGAGGGAGAGGGAGGGAAGGGGAGGGAAGGGGAGGGAGGGAAGGAGAGAGAGAGAGAGAGAAAGAGAGCCAAAAAGGTGGGAGGCACCTGACCTCTGCAGACTTTATAGGCAGGCTGGTGAAGGCGGTGTTTCATTTACGTAGGGCTCAAAGATTGGTTCCATCCGGCATGACATCCATAGAGTGCGTGGGGAAGGCTGGTCGCCCCACCCTAATCTTAAGCAAATGGGATTTCCAGTTGATCGGCGCCATCTTGTCTGCTTTTCTTACTGTACATGCGGTTGACAAAGAGGAGGGAAGATGGAGCCGCCATCTTGAACGTGTCTAGTCTCTAGTTCCTGCCGGGAAGATGGAGCCGCCATCTTGAAGGTGTCTAGTCCGTAGTTCCTGCCGGGAAGATGGAGCCGCCATCTTGAACGTGTCTAGTCCCTAGTTCCTGCCGGGAAGATGAAGACGCCATCTTGAAGGTGTCTAGTCCGTAGTTCCTGCCGGGAAGATGGAGCCGCCATCTTGAACGTGTCTAGTCCCTACGTTTTGCCGGCATTCACCCGTGCAAGCTCCCAGCTGGCTTGTCTATGTCTGCAGCTCGATGCAGCTCAATTTTACAGACTGCTCTTTGTTAGAAAATGATTTGGGGCTGGTTTTCATTAAAGAGAAAAGCCTTACTAAGGACTTCCATAGCCTTACCATCTGCCTAAGTGATTTCTTCTTAACTCCTATATAAATGTCTTTATTTCAATTCTCACGATGCCAAAAAAAAAAAAAAAAAAATTGAGGCTCGGTCCTTGCTGTAAAATGCATGCAAAATAATTTGCACTCTGTCAACTTCAAGTTCAGTATAATTTATACATCCTCAACAATGGTTAGACTTGGAAACTGGGCATTTCAAATCAATCAAATGGTTGATGATACCTAGATATACAAGCTGAGTCCTACTTAGTGGATTTAGCCACAGTGAATTCATTAATTTACTCACTATCTTTGTCTACCATTTCAGTAAACCTGTTTTCTGAGCTATATCTCCTACATATTGTATTATACTATATTATATTATCTGTATTATTTTAACAAAATATGTATACTAGCCTGGTATGGTGGCTCATGCCTATAATCCCAGCACTTTGAGAGGCCAAGGCAGGAGGATCACTTGAGACCAGGAATTTGAGACCAGCCTGGGCAACATAGTGAGACTTTATCTCTACAAAAGAAAAAGAGATATATGTATACTATCTTTAAATGTAGCTTATATCTGCTAATACGCAAATACAGAAATATACAACAAAGGAAGATAAACAAGATGTGAATCCTAATATAAAGTGTTTTTTTAAAAAAGTCTATAGTTGATTAAAGACTGTATTTACTGGAATTTTATAAATCCCCCCCAGTGTGTTATAAATTAATAATTTGCTATATTTATTTGTGTGCTGTCTGTGTAATTCAATTATTAATGAATACATTTGTTACATATAAATAATAAAATCTCCATCTCTGACCGCAGCCAACGCTTCATGTTAATATACTGAGAACAGCACATTAATAATGAAATAAAGGTAGAGTAAATAATGGTATTGCAGCTGCCAAGCATTTGTTGTTATTCAAACGCTTCAAAGTAATGTCTGAAAATGCAAGTTTTGAGCTCAAACTTTGGCCTGGAAGTATATTGCAAGCCCACCCTTATATGAATTAAAAGGGAGGTGCAGGGCTGGGCGCGGTGGCTCATGCTGGTAATCCCAGCACTCTGGGAGGCCAAGGTGGGCAGATATCGGTGGTCAGGAGTTCAAGACAGGCCTGGCCAACATGGTGAAACCCTGTCTGTACTAAAAATACAAAAATTAACCGGGTGTGGTGGTGTGTGCCTGTAATCCCAGCTACTCAGGAGGCTGAGGTGGGAGGATCAGTTAAACCTGGGAGTTGGAGGTTGCAGTGAGCTGAGATCGTGCCACTGCACTCCAGCCTGAGCAACAGATTGAGACACTGTCTCAAAAAAATTTATATATACATATATATATAGTAATTAAGAAAACTAATCCTTTATCACAAATCCTTATAGACGAGCACATCTCCCCATGATCTCTCTCTCTCTCTTTTTTTTTTTTTTTGAGACAGAGTCTTGCTCTGTCGCCCACGTTGGAGTGCAATGGTGTGATCTCAGCTCACTGCAACCTCCGCCTCCTGGGTTCAAGCGATTCTCCTGCCTCAGCCTCCTAAATAGCTGGGATTACAGGCATGCACCACCGTGCCTGGCTAATTTGTGTATTTTTAGTAGAGACGGGGTTTCTCCATGTTGGTCAAGCTGGTCTCGAACTCCCCACCTCAGGTGATCCACCTGCCTCGGCCTCCCAAAGTGCTGGGATGACAGGCGTGAGCCACGACGCCCGGCTTGCCCATGATCTTTTTTTAAATCATATATATAAATGAATATTGTACCTAGGGAGGACGCGTTCCTCCTCTTACTTTTGGGAACCCCTTATTCTGTCTGTGCTGAGGAGGATTAGTAAAAGAGGAAGTCCTCTTTGCAGTTGAGGTAAGAGGAAGGCATCTGTCTCCTGCTCATCCCTGGGCAATAGAATGTCTCGGTGTAAAGCCCGATTGTACATTCCATCTACTGAGATAGGGGAAAACCGCCTTAGGGCTGGAGGTGGGACATGCTGGCAACAATACTGCTCTTTAAGGCACTGAGATGTTTATGTATATGTGCATCAAAAGCACAGCACTTTTTTCTTTACCTTGTTTATGATGCAGAGATATTTGTTCACAAGTTTTCCTGCTGACCTTCTCTCCACTATTATCCTATTATCCTGCCACATCCCCCTCTCCAAGAAACGCCAGATAATGATCAATAAATACTAAGGGAACTCAGAGGCCGGTGCCGGCGCCGGTCCTCCGTATGCTGAACGCTGGTTCCTCTGGGCCCATTTTTCTTTCTCTATACTTTGTCTCTGTGTCTTTTTCTTTTCCAAGTCTCTCGTTCCACAGCAACCCATCCCTTCAGTACTTTCAGCACTTTGCTTTCTTAATAATCTTTTTTTTTTTTTTGAGATGGAGTCTCGCTTTTTCGCCCAGGCTGGAGTGCAGTGGCGCCATCTTGGCTCACTGCAACCTCCGCCTCCCGGGTTCATACCATTCTCCTGCCTCAGCCTCCCGAGTAGCTGGGACTACAGGCACCCACCACCATGCCCGGCTAATTTTTTGTATTTTTAGTAGACACGGGGTTTCACTGTGTTAGCCAGGATGGTCTCGATCTCCTGACCTCGTGATCCGCCCGCCTCGGCCTCCCAAAGTGCTGGGATGACAGGCGTGAGCCACCGCGCCCAGCCTGTTTTTGTTTTTTAATGTTTTAGTTTTTGGTGTACAAATCTACTTTCACGATTAATTTCTAAGTGTTTTATTCTTTTTGGTGTTATTGTTAATGTAATTGTTTTCTTATTCTCTTATTTATGTACTTATTTTGAGGTAGGGTCTCACTCTGTTGCCCAGGCTGGAGTGCATTGGCACAATCATGGCTCACAGCAGCCTTGAACTCCTGGGTTCTAGTGATCCTCCCACCTCAGCTTCTCAAGTAGCTGGGACTACAGGCGTGTACCACCATGCCCAGCTAATTTTTTGTATTTTTAGTAGAGACGGGGTTTCACCGTGTTAGCCAGGATGGTCTCGATCTCCTGACCTCGTGATCCGCCCGCCTCAGCCTCCCAAAGTGCTGGGATGACAGGCGTGAGCCACCACGCCCGGCCTTCTTAATAATCTTAAATGCTGTGGAAACTGGGCCTGTCGGATCAATCAGATGGTTGTTGATACCTAGATGTAGAAGCTGAGTCCTCCTTAGCTGGATTTAGCCACAGTGAATTCATCAGTTCCCTCACTATCTTTGGCTACCTTTTCAGCAAACCTGTTTGCTATGGGGTAGCTGTATTTTTGCCACTTTACTTTTGTGATTAACTTACTTTTGCTTTGCACTGTGGACCCGCCCTGAATTCTTTCTCGCACCGGATCCAGGAACCCTCTCTTGGGATCCGGATTGAGACCACTGTCCGGTAACAGGTCCATCTTTCCTTGTACGAGAAGTCTCCTTGTTGGGGGAGCTTCTGCCTTCCTAAGGCAGCGGTGGGTATGGGACTTGCTGTATACATGAAGGTCTTTGGTCTCTACTGCTAGAGGTAGTGGTGTGTCTTCCCTAGGTAGATTTGCAGAGGATAGAGAATAGAACACTTTCTCAAGAGCAAAAACTCAAACGTACCCTTTCAAAGCATCCACATCCCCTTTCTGTGGGAGGAGAATGTTGACACAATACAAGCCACTCACTCGAGACCTAAGCCCCATGCAGTCGCTAGACCAGTCTCCAATCACAGCCCTGTCTTAGAATTAGATTTCCTCACGCCTGTAATCCCAGCACTTTGGGAGGCCGAGGCGGGCGGTTCACGAGGTCAGGAGTTCAATACCAGCCTCGCCAATATTGTGAAACCCCATCTCTACTAAAAATACAAAAATTAGCCAGGCGTGGCGGCACACTCCTGTAGTCCCAGCTACTCGGGAGGCTGAGGTACGAGAATCGCTTGAACCTGGGAGATGGAGGTTGCAGTGAGCCGAGATCGCACCACTGCACTCCAGCCTGGGTGACAGAGTGAGACTCTGTCTCAAAAAAAAAAAAAAAAACAGAAATTAGATTTCCTCACTGGGCACGGTGGCTCATGCTTGCAATCCCAGCACTTTGGGAAGCCAAGGCGGGTGGATCACGAGGTCAAGAGATCAAGACCATCCTGGCTAACACGGTGAAACCCCGTCTCTATTAAAAATACAAAAAATTAGCTGGGCCTGGTGGCGGGCGCCTGTAGTCCCAGCTACTCAGGAGGCAGAGACAGGAGAATGGCGTGAACCTGGGAGGCGGAGCTTGCAGTGAGCCGAGATCGCACCACTGCACTCCAGCCTGGGTGACAGAGTGAGACTCCATCTCAAAACAAAGAAACAATAAAAACGAAAATAGCTAGCTGGGAATGATTGTCACACCTGTGGTCTTGGCTACTTGGGAGGCTCAGGTGGGAGGATGGCTTGAGCTCAGGACTTCAAGACCAGCCTGGGCAACATTGCAAATCTACGGTTCTACAAAAATGACAAAAATTAGCTGGGTGTAGCAGTGCACACCTATAGTCCCAGGTGCTTGGGAGGCTGAGGTGGAAGGTGGAAGGTCAGCTGAGAGAAAGCATGAGGAGACCTAAAATTCCACCATAGTTAGAGTAGGCAGCCTGGCTTACAGAGTATAGCAGGGTTTCATAGGGCCAGAACCAGGTCATGGTGGGGGAGCTGAGCTAGGGGTGCAGGTGTCTTGTCCACATCCTGGAGATGTCTTTTGCCAGCTTTTTTTTTTTTTTTTTTTTTTTTTGTTTTTGGAGACAGAGTCCCGCTCTGTCGCCCAGGCAGGAGTGCAGTGGCGCGATCTTGGCTCACTGCAAGCTGCACCTCCCAGGTTCACGCCATTCTCCTGCCTCAGCCTCCTGAGTAGCTGGGACTACAGGCGCCTGCCACCGCACCTGGCTAATTTTTTGTATTTTTAGTAGAGACGGGGTTTCACCATGTTAGCCAGGATGGTCTTGATCTCCTGACCTCGTGATCCTCCCGCCTCGGCCTCCCAAAGTGCTGGGATTACAGGCGTGAGCCACCGCACCCGGACTAGTTTTTGTATTCTTTGTAAATACAGAGTCTTCCTATGTTGCCAAGGCTGGTCTCGAACTCCTGGATTCAAGAAATCCTCCCACTTCAGCCTCTCAAAATGTTGGGTTTATAGGCATACGCCTCTGTCTCTGGCTTATTTTCTCTAATGAAAAATGCAGTGTTTCTATTGAAACAAGAAATTCATTTCATGCACCAGTTAATGGGAAAAGCATTGCCAGAATCAACTTCTTAGTTAAACTCCACTTCTGTGAACTTTTGGCCAAGGTTCCTGAATGTTTTGGCCATGGTTCCTGAACTTCTTGTTCACAGCTATTGGCTGTGCAGTTGAGTGGTTGCAGTCTCTTTTTCTGGGGTTTGGAGGGTAGAAATGATGGAGGATTTAGTTCTTGGTCACTTTGCAAGCCGGGGACCTCCAGCTGGTGATGCTCCACCAGAGCTAGGCTTAGGCACACCTGTAATCCCAGCTACTTGGGAGGCTGAGGCAGGACAATTGCTTGAACCCAGAAGGCAGAGGTCACAGTGAGCTGAGATTTCACTGTGTTAACCAGGACGGTCTCGATCTCCTGACCTCGTGATCCGCCTGCCTTGGTCGCTCTTGTCGCCCAGGTTGTATTGCAACGGTGAAATCTTGGTTCCCGAGTTGTTGTCCAGCGTCCAAGAAGAATGAGGACATGCTGAGAACTGAAGAGTGAGCAAACCAGGGAGTTTTATTACGTGATGAGACAGCTTTCCTCAGAGAAGGGAAGTGGGGAGGGGCGGGCCATAGGTAGTATTGGAAACGGGAACATTTGATTGATTAAAAGGCATTATTCAGGCTGGGTGTGGTGGCTGACTGACGCCTGTCATTCCAATACTTTGGCAGGCTGAGGCGGGTGGATCGCCTGAGGTCAGATTGGTTAAAAAGCATTATTCAGGCCGGGTGTGGTGGCTGACGCCTGTCATTCCAACACTTTGGGAGGCTGAGGCCGGTGGTCAGATTGATTAAAAAGCATTATTCAGGCTGGGTGTGGTGGCTGACACCTGTCATTCCAACACTTTGGGAGGCTGAGGTGGGTGGATCTCCTGAAGTCAGGAGTTACAGACCAGCCTGACCAACATGGAGAAACCCCATCTCTATTTAAAAATACCAAAATTACCAAGGCGTGGTGGCCAGCAACTGTAATCCCAGCTACTCAGGAGGCTGAGGGAGGACACTTGCTTGAACCCGGGAGGCAGAGGTTGCAGTGAGCTGAGATCTCTCCACTGCACTCCAGTCTGGGCGACACAGCGAGACTCTGTCTCAGAAATAAATAAATAATTAATTTAATTTAATTTAATTAAAAAATTATTCAGAAAGAATCAATTGGGAAAGGGCAGGCAAATAGGAACAGATGTTGTCACTCTGGGTGGCGAGTTTCATTCTGGACCAGCAGGCTGGTCTTTCGGTTCTCAGCCTGTTTTTGACTCGAAGGTGGGGTTTCACCAGGCACCTGCCCCTTCCTGCCTAGGCATCTGGCTGCCTCCTATCAGGACAAGGGGAAGAGAATGCTGTCCACAGAGGGTAAACGAGGAAAACTCCACCTGCAGTGAAATAACAAGGCGGGCTGTGTGGTTACGACACCCGACATCTGGAGGCTTCAGGATCTGGCCCCGAGCGCTGGAATTCCGTAGGATCCTCAAATCTGTTAAAACCCATGTCTACGTATTAGGGAAAAATAAATAAGCTCACA
Organism: Homo sapiens; assembly: GCF_000001405.40. Taxonomy (NCBI): domain Eukaryota; kingdom Metazoa; phylum Chordata; class Mammalia; order Primates; family Hominidae; genus Homo; species Homo sapiens. The sequence goes on along the minus strand of NC_000024.10, from coordinate 983,147 downwards.
CAAGTCCCTCCAGGTTAATTGCAAACGTATCAGAAACGCATGGGTGAATATCGGGGCAAAACGCTCATTAATTTGAGAAAGAAGTAAGTTCTTCTCAAAGAGCATCCCAGGAAGTGGGCAGTGGAAAATTGGTTTTAAGATGTTGCCTTAGGCCAGGTGAGGTGGCTCACGCCTGTCATCCCAGCACTTTGGGAGGCCAAGGTGAGTGGATCATGTGAGGTCAGGAGTTCCAGACCAGCCTGGCCAACATGGTGACACCTCGTCTCTACTAAAAATACAAAAATTAGCCAGGTGTGGTGGCAGGCACCTGTACTCGGTCACCCAGCTACTCGGGAGGCTGAGGCAGAAGAATCGCTTGAACCCGGGAGGTGGAGGTTGCAGTGAGCCAAGACTGCACCACTGCACTGCAGCCTGGGAGACAGGGCGAGACTCCATCTCAAAAGAAAAAAATAAAAGAGATGTTGCTTTGACCGCAGACACGGCCACGCTGGTCTTTCCAATGACACACACGGCTGTTGGGATGCTGCTGATTGCTCCACACATACGTCCCATCAGACACACTCAACCAGATTTCGTTGGTGAGGTCACTTGAGGTCCAGCAGGGCCATCCCAGGCTGCAACTCAAACCCAGGAGACTTCATCGGAGGCTCCTCCGAGGACGACATGCGTCAATCAATCAGCAACGTGTAATGCCTAACCTTGTTTTTTTTACTAACCCTACTTTTAGACGTTCCCTTTTTGTCTCTTTAATGACCTAGCCTTGTTTCCCATGAGAATAGACTCTCTCTCAGCTGGGAAAGCCGGACGCACTCCATTTGGCCCCTTGATTTACAAGACACTAAGTGCTCCTTACCCAACCCCCTTCCTCAAGGAGTTAACCTGTGTAAGCAGACCGTCAGCATTTCAAAGGAGCTCCATTAACTGAGAAGATACTGGAACAAACAATGTATGAAGTTCCCAGGATTTTGCTCAAAAAGGATGACAACAGAAAGCCCCTCGGCCTCCCAAAGTGCTGGGATGACAGGCGTGAGTCACTGCACCTGGCCAGCGATTGGAGTTTTTAAGGATGATTTGGTGGGTGGGGGCTCAGGAAGCAGAGAGTGCTGGTTGGTCAGGTTGAGGGTGAAATCACAGGGGTTTGAAGTGAGTCCGTGCTGTCTTCTGTTCCTGTGTGGGATGGCTGATATCTGGTTGAGCCACGTTACCGGTCTGTGTGGTGTCATCGGCTGCATTGGAATCCGGGATCTGCAAAATATCTCAAACACCGATCTTGGGTTCTGCAACAATGATGTTATCCCCAGGAGCTATATGTGGGAGGTTCAGACTCTTGGAACCAGAGGCTGCATGGTCCTTCAGGCGTAATTCCTAATCTTGTAGCTAATTTATTAGTCCTGCCAAGGCAGGCTGGTCCCCAAGCAAGAAGGTTCCTGCCGTCCCTGCCCTCCCGGAAAAGGGCTATTGTCAGTTTTGTTTCAGAGTTTAAACTATAAACTAAATTCCTTCTGAGGCTACTATGCCCAGGAATGAATAAAGACAGTTTCGAGGTTAGAAAGAAGATGGGGCGGGGGGAGGTGGGTGGTTAGGTCTCTTTCGCTGTCGTAATTTCTTCAGTTATAATTTTTGCAAAGGCGCTTTCAGGAGGACAGGGAGGAATGAGGGCATCATGAGAGAGCCAATTCCTCCTCCATCCCAGCCCCAGGGCTGAGAATGTGGACACAGCCCCTCCTCCTCCTCCTCCATCCCAGCCCCAGAGGGCAGAGTGTGGACACCACCCCTCTTCCTCCTCCATCCCAGCCCCAGTGGGGAGAGTGTGGACACGGTCCCTCCTCCTCCTCCTCCATCCTAGCCCCAGGGGTGAGGGTGTGGACACCAGTCCTCTTCCTCCATCATCCCAGCCACAGGGGGGAGAGTGTGGACACAGCCCCTCCTCCTCCTCCATCATCCCAGCCCCAGGGGGGAGAGTGTGGACACAGCCCCTCCTCCTCCTCCATCATCCCAGCCCCAGGGCTGAGAATGTGGCACGGCCCCTCCTCCTCGTCCTCCTCCATCCTAGCCCCAGGGGTGAGGGTGTGGACACCAGTCCTCTTCCTCCATCATCCCAGCCCCAGGGGGGAGAGTGTGGACACGGCCCCTCCTCCTCCTCCATCATCCCAGCCCCAAGAGAGAGAGTGTGGACACCACCCCTCCTCCTCCATCCCAGCCCCAGGGCTGAGAATGTGGCACGGCCCCTCCTCCTCCTCCTCCATCCCAGCCCCAGGGGTGAGGGTGTGGACACCACCCCTCTTCCTCCATCATCCCAGCCTCAGGGAGGAGAGTGTGGACACGGCCCCTCCTCCTCCTCCATCATCCCAGCCCCAGGAGAGAGAGTGTGGACACCGCCCCTCCTCCTCCTCCATGGACACCGCCCCTCCTCCTCCTCCATGGCAGCCCCAGTGGTTGAGGGTGTGGACACCACCCCTCCTCTTCCTCCTCCATCATCCCAACCCCAGGGTGGAGAGTGTGGACACCTCCCTCCTCCTCCTCCATGGCAGCCCCAGTGGGTGAGGGTGTGGACACCACCTCCTCCATCTCAATCCCAGAGAGTTCAGGTGTAGACACGACTCTTCCTCCATCCCAGCCCCAGGGGGAAGGCATAGCCCTTCTTGCATCCCAAAACCAGCTGCTGAGCAGTTTGGTGACGTCCCCATTGTACCTGGGTCTACAGCATGAAATCTCTACGTCTTTATGGAACCCAGAATTAACCCCCCAACAGCTGTTTAATCTTCAACTGTCCCATATCTGGGGATGCATCTCCTGGTTTGAAATCTCTGCTGTCAAGGTGCCTTTTTCTTTCCAGAATCCCTATTGCACTGTTTCTTTCACTCTGACCTCTGTGTTTCTTGGTGGAGCTGGAATCCTCCGGGCTCCCCTCCCAGGGAGCCTGGCTTGGCCTCCCTCCTCCTCCCCCTTGCAGCCCGTGCCAAAGACCCCTCAGTGTGCGGTGGCCTCTTGTTTTTTATTATTTTAATTGGTGCTTGAGCCCTGCAGGTTTACGACCCCCGTGTTTACACTAACTGTACTTTAATAAGTCGCCTAAGAGGTAACAGGAGCATAGGGCTCTATAAATGTTTTAATTCACACAAACCCACCCAGCTATTTCCATCCACACCCAGTGTGGTCGGGACGTGAAAATCGACAGGGCCAAGGTGCTGGATCAGGCCCCCGACTCCCCCGGCCGCCTCTTCCCTCTTCTTTAAACGTTTCCAGCAGCCTCTCACTTTTATGTTTGCGCTTGTCTAAACGGTGCTCTGAGGCCGTTCACACACCCCCGGAGCCCCATAAACCACCGCTTAGGACAATCTCCTTTTACCACCTGCCCTAGGAGACCGGCAAACCCCACATATACAAACCCCACTGTTTCCAGAGCTCTCTTAGGTTACGAAAGACGCATTTGGGAGGCTCAGGAAGACAGCCAGACACCCAAGAATCTGGGCCTGAAGCATTTCTTCTTGCAATGTGTTTGGGTTTCCTCTGTCTGTCCTCATATTTCTTATCCTAAGACAGATTTCTTATCCTAAGAAATTAGGCTCGGATTTCTTATCCTAAGAAATTATCCAACCTAAGAAGTCAGGCGTGCCAACTGAGGGGACCTGGAATGTATCTATCTATCTATCTATCTATCTATCTATCTATCTATCTATCTATCTATGTATCTATCATCTATCTGTCTATTATGTATTTATTTTGAGACGGAGTTTCGCTCTTGTTGCCCAGGCTGGAGTGCAATGGCACAATCTCGGCTCACCGCAACCTCCACCTCCCGCGTTCCAGCGATTCTCCTGCCTCAGCCTCCTGAGTAGCTGCGATTACAAGCCCGCGCCACCATGCCCGGCTAATTTTTGTATTTTCAGTGGAGATAGGGTTTCACCATGTTGGTCAGGCTGGTCTCGAACTCCTGACCTCAGGCTGGAGTGCAGTGGCGCGATCTCGACTCGCTGCAACCTCTGTCTCCCGGGTTGAATCGATTCTCCTGCCTCAGCCTCCTGAGTAGCTGGGATGACAGGTGCCCACCACCATGCCTGGGTAATTTTTGTATTTTTAGTAGAGTCAGGGTTTCACTATGTTGGCCAGGCTGGTCTCGAACTCCTGACCTCAGGCCATCCACCCTACTTGGCCTCCCATAGTGCTGGGATTACAGGCGTGAGCCACTGCGCCCAGCCTCGTTGAATGCATTTATAGGATGCCAGGGATTTGGGGGCCTAGGCATGGCACATTGTTTTGCAAAATGCCAAGAACCCAGCTTGGGAGAAGATGGTGCCTTGGCATGGAGGGTAAGGAGACGTGTGCAGCCGGGGACGTCCTAAATGTTCGCTGGCACTTTCAACAACCACATTAAACATGGGCTTGGACAGAACGTTGAAAATTGACTCTTTTAGAGATTTCGAAATGTGAAATGTATATAAGCCTATGTCAAAACGTCACATTGTACCCCATAACATATACATTATAGATCCTAATTTCAATTCATTACATGTATATGTATATAATAGGGTATATATGTGTGTGTGTATACATAATAGAGTATAATAATATATATTTATTTTATTATACATTTAATACATATAAATACATATAAATATGTATATGTAAATACATACTTATATAGTATATATTATATGATATATGATATATTACATGCTGTATTATTTTATTATTAATTATAATATATAACATGTATAATTATCATATAATATATAATTATATTGTAATATATTATATTTTATATATAATAATATATTATATTTTATAATGTTATATAATATAATAAAATATACTATATAATAATATATTATTATATTTTATAATGTTATATAATATATGATATAAAACATAATATATAATAATATATTATTATATATTATGTTATATAATATATTATAATAAAACAATATATAATAATATATTATTATATATTATGTTATATAATATATTATAATAAAACATAATATATAATAATATAATATATAACATGTATAATTACTATATAATATATAATATAGTATGTAGTATATAGTATATGTATAATTATAGAATATATAATTAATAAATATATATTATGTTATATATTATATATAAGATATATGATTGCTATGTAATATAGTTAAATATATTATATATCTTTAAATATGTATATTTATAGATATAATATAACATACATCAATATATAATGGGGCACAATGATATATATTTATTTTATTTTAATATAATAAATCAATACATATAACAAACATGCATTTATATGTAAATATATTTAAAATATATGTATTGATTATATTATACATATATTATGCGGTACAATAGTATATATATTTCATTTTACATATAAATAGATATATAAATATATGTATTATATTATATATAATTTAAATTTATATATTTTATATATTCTATGTGTCATATATTATGGGGTACAATGATTGCATATTAAATACATGCAATTATTATTGGTCAATGAAAAATAAAATATGAAAAAAGAAAGAGAAAAAGACAGATGAAACCTGTGGTCAGCTCTTGTGGGAGCGCGGAAAGCAAGTCCAGAGCTCAGAAGTGTCTCTTCTTTTCTGTGGTTTCACGATGCGGCACCGCTATGAGGAATATGTGAGGAATATCTCTTGGCTCGGAGGATGAAGACAGGCAGCTGCTGGCATGAAGACAGCAAAGGCCTTTGGTTCCCATCTGCAGAAGAATATACGTGTCTCACATGAATGCATTGTTCTTCTTGGCCAAAGTCAATCCACAGAAAACATGGTATGAGTTCTCCTCTCTGCTTCTATGAGTTTGACTATTTTAGATTTCTCATTTAAGGGAGATCATGAAGTATTTGTGTTTCTGTGCCTGGCTTATCTCACGAAACATAATGTCCTCCAGGTTCACCTGTGTTGTTGCAAATGGCAAGATTTTCTTCTTTTTCAAGGCTGAGTAATATTCCAATGCATGTATATTATTGATGTCCCAATTTCTTTATCCATGCATCCATTCATGGTCGCTTGGTTTGGTTGCATGTCTTGGCTATTGTGGATAATTCTCCCAATATCTTTATCCATTCCTCCATTCATGGTCTCTCAGTTTCCATTCATCCATTCATGGTCTCTTGGTTTGGTCCATGTCTTGGCTATTGTGGATAATTCTTCCAATTTCTTTATCCAGTCATCCATTTTTGGTCGCTTGGTTTGTCCGTGTCTTGGCTATTGTGGATAATACTTGGTTTGGTCCGTGTCTTGGGTATTGCGGATAATCCTCCCAGTTTCTTTAACCATTCATCCATTCATGGTCACTTGGTTTGGTCCATGTCTTGGCTATTATGGATAATTCTCCCAATTTCTTTATCCATTCATCCATTCGTGACCGCTTGGTTTGGTCCCTGTCTTGGCTATTGTGGATAATTCTCCCAATTTCGTTATCCATTCATCCATTCGTGGTTGCTTGGTTTGGTCCGTGTCTTGGCTATTGTGGATAATTCATCAGTGAGTATGGGAATCCAGGTATTTCTTCAAGATTCTCATGTCAATTCTTTTGGGGCAAAAATAAAGCTGTTTGATATGGTTTGGCTGTGTCCCCCGACCCCAAAACCTCATCATGAATTGTGGTTCCCATACTCCTTATGTGTCATGAGAGGGACCCAGTGGGAGGTAATTTAATCATGGGGACAGTTACCCTCATGCTGTTCTCGTGATACTGAGTGAGTTCTCACAAGATCTGATTAATTTTTTTTTTCTATTTAGGTGGAGTCTCACTCTGTCACCAGGCTGGAGTGCAGTGGCACGATCTTGGCTCACTGCAACCTCCACCTCCTGGGTTCAACCGATTCTCCTGCCTCAGCCTCCCAAGTAGCTGGGACTACAAGTGTGCACCACCACACTCGGCTAGTTTTTGTATTTTTAGTAGAGACTGGGTTTCACCATGTTGCCCAGGAAGGTCTCAAACTCTAGACCTTGTAATGAGCCTGCCTCGGCCTCCTAAAGTGCTGGGATTACAGCAGTGAGCCACCGAGCCCGGCCCAGACATGGTTCCTTCTTACTCATTTCCACTTGATTACAGTAGGATGAAGACACATGGAGCGGTTGGGGCAAATGATGGCTCCCTTCTCTCTCTGCCTCCTCTTAAACCTGCACACACCTGCTATCCAGGATTATCATTTATTTACTTGGTCTCAACCTACTGGGATGAAGTCCCAGAAGAATTGAGCAGAGAAATGGACACCGTTTCAGGACCAGCGTTTCTGTAGCCTTCTCAGTTCTGGGAAGAAGATGGTAACAAAACTTTTTTTTTTTTTTTTTTTGAGACAGACTTTCGCTCTTGTTGCCCAGGCAGAAGTCCTTATAAGAAGAGGAGATGATGACACAGACACACACAGAGGGAGGACCACGTGAGGACTCAGGGAGAAGATACGGTCTGCAAGCACAGGAGAGGGTCCTCAGGAGGAACCAGCCCTGCCCACACCTTCATCTCAGACTTCCAGCCTGCAGGACTGTGGGAGAATCAATGTCTGTTGTTTCTAAGCCACCCAGTCTAATGGTGATCTGTGATGGCAGTCTGAAATGGACTAAGGCATCCCATAAGAAGAGGAAATGAGGACACAGACACACACAGAGGGATGACCGTGTGAGGACGCAAGGAGACTATGGTGTCGGCAAGCCCAGGAGAGAGGCCCCAGGAAGAACCAGCCCTGCCCACACCTTAATCTCAGACTTCCAGCCTCCAGGACTGTGGGAGAATCAATGTTTGTTGTTTCTAAGCCACCCAGTCTATGGTGTTCTGTGATAGCAGCCTGAAATGGACTAAGACATCCCATAAGAAGATGAGATGAGGACACAGACACAGACAGAGGGATGACCCTGTGAGCACACAGGGAGAAGATGGCATCTACAGGGCAAAGAGAGAGGCCTTAGGAGAAACCAACCCTTCCTACACCTTGATCTCAGACTTCCAGCCGCCAGGACTGTGGGAGAATCAATGTCTGTTATTTTGAAGCCACCCAGTCTATGGTGTTCTGAGATGGCAGCCTGAAATCGACTAAGACACCTCATAAGAAGAGGGGATGGGCTGGGCACAGTGGTTCACATGTGTAATCTCAGCACTTTGAGAGGCTGAGGCAGGTGGATCACAAGGTCAGGAGTTCAAGACCAGCCTTGCCAACATAGTGAAACTCCTTCTCTACTAAAAATACAAACAAACAAACAAACAAAATTATCTGGGTTTGGTGGCACGATCTCAGCTCACTGCAAACTCTGCCTCCTGGGTTCAAGTGATTCTCCTGCCTCAGCCTCCTGAGTAGCTGGGATTACAGGCACCCACCATCAAACCCAGCTAATTTTTGTATTTTTAGTAGAGATGGGGTTTCTCCATGTTGGCCAGGCTGGTCTCGAACTCCCGACCTCAGGTGATCCACCTGCCTCAACCTCCCAAAGTGCTGGGATTATAGGCGTGAGCCACCGTGCCTGGCCTGGCAACAAAACATTTTAACACTGGCCACCGTGGCTCATGCCTGTAATTCCAGCTCTTCAGGAGTCCAAGACCTGCAGATGGCTTGAGCTCAAGAGTTGGAGACCAGCCCGGGGAAGATGGTGAAAACCTGTCTCTACAAAAAACCTAAAAACTACTCAGATGTGGTTGTCTATGCTTATAGTTTCAGCTACTTGGGAGGCTGAGGAGGGAGGATCACCTGAGCCTGGGAGGTTGAGGCTTCAGTGAGTCATGATTGCACTATTGCGCTGCAGCCTAGACAACAGAGCAAGACTCCGTTTAAAAAAAAATTTTTTTTGGCCGGCCACGGTGGCTCAAGCCTGTCATCCCAGCACTTTGGGAAGTGGAGGCAGGTGGATCACTTAAGGTCAGGAGTTCGAGACCAGCCTGGCCAACATGGTGAAACCCCGTTTCTACTAAAAATACAAAAATGAGCTGGGTGTGGTGGCGGGCGCTTGTAATCCCAGCTCCTTGGGAGGCTGAGGCAGGAGAATCGCTGGAACCCAGGAGCTGGAGGTTGCAGTGAGCCGAGATCTCACCATTGCACTCCAGCCTGGGCGACAAAGCAAGACTCTGTTTAAAAAAAAAAAAAAAAAGAAAGCTTTTGCATATATTTTATAATCAGGCAGCTACCTAGCTAGGTCGCCTCTTACTCCCTGATGTTTAAATATTCTGATGACCTGTGGGGACAACGGACAGAAGTTGGAAAAACCCCAACTTGAAATAATTCATGTGTTTTTCTGTCTTTTTTTTTTTCAATGCTGGACCGTACGTATTACCATTTGTGTTCTGATTAGCAACCGCCCCGCTAATGGACTTAGCATCCGTGGTTCATAAGCAAATCCTCCCTTCTTACTGCAGAGCTAAACACATAGGAAATTAACAAAATCTGTGACCCCCACAACTAGCAATTCATAAATTCATTAGATTAAAAAAAAAAAAAAACAGGCAAGCCACGCAGCCATCCAGCCATCCTGTTAATAGGTTTTTCTTCTAATGTCTAATTTACATTTCTGCCTGGCCTGGTAAAGATATTACTTCGTTACATCTTTTTTTTTTTATTTTTTTCCTAAATTAGAGAAATTTTAATGACTTCTCTTATTCATTCTTTCCATATGTAAGTAGTTATGTTTCTTACAAATGGAAACGAGACCTTAAAATTACCACAAATGGGGCCAAGCCTCACAGTCCATGTGTTCCTATTTGGAGACGGCCAAGCTGCCTCCTCGAATTACGGTTAACCCTCCTGTCCATTGAACAGACGGTCCTAATAGGTGGGCTTTGAAAGTCGCTCTCGTTAAATTTATTTGGGACCGCCGAGAACACGCCAGTCCAGCTTCAGCAAATGAGCTCTGATAATATTAACCACCTGGTAAGCCCTGGCCCCCGGGGAACCCTGCGTGGCTGCGTCTGACCCCTGGCCCCTTGGCCTTCTGATCCTGGGGCTCAATTCAGACAAGAAGGCGATTCTGAGAAAAAACACCTGTTGGCGTCGCTGACCCCGGAGTCAGGGTTTGGAGGGAAGGGCCTCCGAGTCTTCAGCACAGGTGTTTCCTCCAGCAGGCCCGGGGAGTTTGGGAAGCCACCGGGATGAGGAGGGAGCTGGGCAGCACCGTGTCAGGCAGGGGACGGCACCTTCCACGTCCCGGAACTCTGGGGCACTCCATGGCGGGACAAGACGTGGAAAGGAGGGATTATTCCAGGCTCTACAGAATATCTCATGGACACAGCTTCATGGCTTGCTTCTGCTAGGCAAAAAAGTGAGAGAAAACCCAAGAATAAAACATAGCAGGCTGCAGGTGGACACAAGATTAAGACCAACCTTCCTTCCAAAGATGCCTTACATTAAGACCAACCTTCCTTCCAAAGATGCCTTAGGATAAGACCAACCTTCCTTCCAAAAATGCCTTAGATTAAGGCCAACCTTCCTTCCAAAAATGCCTTATGTTAAGACCAACCTTCCTTCCAAAAATGCCTTAGGTTAAGACCAACTTTCCTTCCAAAGATGCCTTACATTAAGACCAACCTTCCTTCCAAAGATGCCTTAGGATAATACCAATCTTCCTTCCAAAAATGCCTTAGGTTAAGACCAACTTTCCTTCCAAAGATGCCTTAGATTAAGACCAAACTTCCTTCCAAAAATGCCTGAGCAACGACCCTCAGCTACTCAAGGGCAGTGAACAACGAATAGGTCTATCCCAGATTGCAAGGAGAAACCCCAGAAAGTTGATGTGCATATTCATTGCAGAGTGCAGGTAGGTTCCCCAAATAGGGGACACTGGGAATCTATCTCTATTGTAGTGTGGGTGGGTGCCAAGATGGTGGTCACTGGGTATCTCTATTGTACAGTGTAGGTGGATCCCCTGATGGAGGACGCTGAGTGTGTCTATTGTAGATTGTGGATCTACAATAGAGTGTAGGTGGATTCCCAGATGGGTGTGTCTATTGTAGAGTGTAGGTGGATCCCCAGATGGGTGTGTCTATTGTAGAGTGTAGGTGGAGCCCCAGATGGAGGACGCTGAGTGTTTCTATTGTAGAGTGTAGGTGGATCCCCAGATGGAGGACATTGAATGTGTCTAGTGTAGAGTGTAGGTGGATCCCCAGATGGGTGTTTCTATTGTAGAGTATAGCTGGATCCCAAGATGGAGGACATTGAGTGTATCTAGTGTAGAGTGTAGCTGGATCCCCAGATGGAGGACATTCAGTGTGTGTACTGTAAAGGGTAAGTGGATCCCCAGATGGAGGACATTGAGTGTGTCTATTGCAAAGTGTGGGTGGATCCCCAGATGGAGCAAATTGAGTTGGTTTATTGTAGAGTGTAGGTGGATCCCCAGATGGAGGACGCTGAGTGTTTCTATTGTAGAGTGTAGGAGGATCCCCAGATGGAGCACATTGAGTGTGTCTATTGTAGAGTGTAGGAGGATCCCCAGATGGAGGACATTGAGTGTGTCTATTGTAGAGTGTAGGAGGATCCCCAGATGGAGGACATTGAGTGTGTCTATTGTAGAGTGTAGGAGGATCCCCAGATGGAGGACATTGAGTGTGTCTATTGTAGAGTGTAGGAGGATCCCCAGATGGAGGACATTGAGTGTATCTGTTGTAGAGTGTAGGAGGATCCCCAGATGGACGACATTGAGTGTGTCTATTGTAGAGTGTAGATGGATCCCCCCAATGGAGGACATTGAGTGTGTCTAGTGTAGAGTGTAGGAGGATCCCCAGATGGAGGACATTGAGTGTGTCTATTGTAGAGTGTAGGAGGATCCCCAGATGGAGGACATTGAGTGTGTCTAGTGTAGAGTGTAGATGGATCCCCAGATGGAGCAAATTGAGTTGGTTTATTGTAGAGTGTAGGTGGATCCCCAGATGGAGGACGCTGAGTGTTTCTATTGTAGAGTGTAGGAGGATCCCCAGATGGAGCACATTGAGTGTGTCTAGTGTAGAGTGTAGGAGGATCCCCAGATGGAGGACATTGAGTGTATCTATTGTAGAGTGTAGGAGGATCCCCAGATGGAGGACATTGAGTGTGTCTAGTGTAGAGTGTAGGGGGATCCCCAGATGGAGGACATTGAGTGTGTCTATTGTAGAGTGTAGGAGGATCCCCAGATGGAGGACATTGAGTGTGTCTATTGTAGAGTGTAGGGGGATCCCCAGATGGAGGACATTGAGTGTGTCTAGTGTAGAGTGTAGATGGATCCCCCCAATGGAGGACATTGAGTGTGTCTAGTGTAGAGTGTAGGTGCATCCCCAGATGGAGGACATTCAGTGTATCTACTGTAGAGTGTTGGTGTATCCCCCAGACGGAGGACACTGGGTGTGTCTATTGTAGAGTGCAGGAGGATCCCCAGATGGAGGACATTGAGTGTGTCTATTGTAGAGTGTAGGAGGATCCCCAGATGGAGGACATTGAGTGTGTCTAGTGTAGAGTGTAGATGGATCCCCCCAATGGAGGACATTGAGTGTGTCTATTGCAGAGTGTAGGTGCATCACCAGATGGAGGACATTCAGTGTATCTACTGTAGAGTGTTGGTGTATCCCCCAGACGGAGGACACTGGGTGTGTCTAGTGTAGAGTGTAGGTGGATCCCCAGATGCAGGACACTCATTATTTCTATTTTACAGTGTAGGTTAGATGTGTCCTGTTGTGCTCACTGGATATTTCTTTGTAGAGTGTAGCTTGCTTCCCCAGGCGGTGAACCTGGGCATTTTCTCAGGTAAAGGTTATGTTACAATGTCGGCGTGTATTGGGCTATGGGACACTGCCTGATTCCATGACAGCCATCTGTTTGGCCTCTATTGTGCTTAGGTGGCTGAATTTTGCCCTTTCTGAAGGTGTCTTCCATATCTGTCGCAGGCGTCTCTTCTGTGCCTCATCTGTGCTAGTTTGGCGTCACCTAGAACAGCCCCTCTGTTTCCAGAGCAGCCTCCTAGGCTTTCCCGTGTGGCCATTGCAGCTGACATGGAGCTCCAAATCCCATTCCTCATTTTTGTCAACAGCCTGCATTGCGAAAGACACAGGTTTGATCTCTCTTTTATTTATGGAGTGTCTATGGGGAAACAGGGTCAGAGGGTGGGAACCTAACCTGCTTAAATCCTTCCTGTAATTCCTTCCTTCCTTCCCTCCTTCCATCCATCCTCCCTCCCTTCCTTCCTTCCTTCCCCCACTTTTTTTTCTTTGACGGAGTCTCACTCTGTGGCCCAGGCTGGAGTGCAATGGCATGACCTTGGCTCACTGCAATCTTCGACTCCCGGGTTCCAGCGATTCTCCTGCCTCAGCCTCCTGAGTGGCTGGGACTACAGGTACCCACCACCACGCCTGGCTAATTTTTGTATTTTCAGTAGAGACGGGGTTTCGTCATGTTGGCCAGGCTGGTCTTGAACTCGTGACCTCAAGTGATCCGCCCGCCTCGGCCTCCCATAGTGCTGGGATGACAGGCGTGAGCCACCGCACCCGGCCGAAAAACACATTTTTAATCTCTTTTTTATTTATGGACTGTCTATGGTGAAACAGGGTGACGGGGCGGGAACCTAACCTGCTTAAATCCTTCCGGAAATTTCTATCTACACAGATCCCCAAGGTCACGCTCATACACTGGACAGGGCTGCTGCCTCCTTGCTCATTGGGGACTGGCATCACGCTGCCTCACCTGGTAGGGAGCTTCCTATGACCCCAGGCACAAACTTTCCATTTCTGGCATCCTCCAAGACTCTGGCATGCTCAGATATTAAACAGCCAATTTTGGACCATTAAAATAAAAAAAAAAAAAAAAAAGGAGGGGGAGAGGAGAGGGTCGGGTGGCCGTGAATGTACTCAGGGAATTCAGCCTGGTCCTGTCAAAAATCATTTCTGGTTTGGCCACCGAGAGGTTTCAGGTCCACAAGGCTCCCTATCACTGTGGCTGAGGCGGAGCTGCTGTGTTTTGTTCCAGACGTGAAAGGTTAGCTTAGCAGGGGCAAAGTTTCTCATTAAGGCAACCAGATTCTTGAAGCAAAATAAAAAAGAAAAAACGAGAGACAGAGAGAGGAGAGAGGAGAGAGGAGAGAGGATAGAGAGAGAGAGAGAGAGACGGATTATTGGCAAGGCCAACAATGCTAGCAATTACCTTCATCTTTCGCCCAGCATTTTGGCAAGCACAGAAACTCACATCTGAAATCCATCGCCACAGCCTATCATCTTATCAAAACCCGGTGCCATCAGGAGGCACATTCACGCCGCTCTGTTTTTAAGGTTTAAACAATTTGCAGTGTATTTCAGAGATGACTGAGCTGCATATGGAGGGAACACGGGTTCTCTGAGTCAGTCCCCCACTTTTCTCTTGCTGTACATTGAGAACAAGTGAAATCCAATTGCTTTCACCCTGCTGGAAGCAAATCCAACTCATCACTTCGCATAAGGCTGTGGGTATGATTCCTGCCACGGCTGATCAGCGGGTCCTGGGGTTGACGAGGCTCCATCAGCCCCACTTAGCAGTGAGGATGTCAACTTGTCAAGTATTTTTAAGGCTGGGAAGCTGCAGACAACCCTTACCAATTTCTCCGGGAAGCCAGGGGCTTGGATGCCCTCCCCTCTGCAACATCCGTACTTCATAGAGTAAGTTAATGTCAAGGCAAATGCTGGGCACTTGGGAAGCTGGGCACGCAATTTTTTAAAGATCATTCCCCAGGGAATCTAAAAGGACAACACCATCACTGCCTTTCAGAGAAACTCCAGGCTTTTCTGCCGGCAAAATAACAATTAAATGGAAATGGGATAATGAATCTTCCCATTTCAATGAGGCTGCCAGGGATGCCTGTTTTAGAGAAAGCCTCTCTGGCTGCCAGGCTACTGGGCTCTCTGTCTGTTCTGCAGGGTTAGAGCTGGATACCTCCTTTTGGCAATTGTCCTTGCCAATGGAAGGCTAGCAGAGAGGCCCTAAAGGGGTGGAAAGAACCCTAAAAGGCCCACATCTCCATGCAGGGGAGCTGGAGAATATGAAGGAGAACTGAGGGTGTTCAGACGTTCAAAGGCCATATAGTCCCAAGTCGCTGGACACATTCTGGAAATGGATGGTTCACACTTGGGGAGAAAGTATACTGAACGGCTGGGCCACCCCACCCCTTTTTTTTATTTTTATTTTTTTTGAGACAGAGTCTTGCTCTGTCACCCAGGCTGGAGTACAGTGACGCGATCTCGGCTCACTGCAACCTCTGCCTCCCGGGTTCAAGCGATTCTCCTGCCTCAGCCTCCTGAGTAGCTGGGATGACAAGCACCTGCCACCATGCCCGGCTAATTTTTTCTATCTTTAGTAGAGACAGGGTTTCTCCATGTTGGCCACAGTGGTCTGGAACTCCTGACCTCAGGTGATGCACCCACCTTGGCCTCCCAAAGTGCTGGGATTATAGGTGTGAGCCACTGCTCCCGGCTGGAGTACAGGGGCATAATCTTGGCTCACTGCAACCTCTGCCTCCCAGGTTCAAGTATTCTCCTGCCTCAGCCTCCCAAGTAGCTGGGATTACAGGTGCCCGCCACCACGCCCAGCTAATTTTTTTTTATATTTTTAGTGGTGAGGGGTTTTTCACCATGTTGGCCAGGCTGGTCTCGATCTCCTGACCTCAGGTGATCTGCCTGCCTCGGCCTCCCAAAATGCTGGGATTACAGGCATGAGCCACTGTGCCTGGCCTTTTTTTTTTTTTTTTTTTTTTTGGAGACAAAAATCTTGGTCTGTCACCCAGGCTGGAGTGCAATTAATTAAACTGAAACTATAGAAAAATGTTTAAAGGTGTTTTTGTTTTAAATTCAGACATGCAGCATTGTTGGTGCGAAATAATATATATAATATATAATACATATCTAATATATAAAATTCTGTAAATTATATAATATACAAATTTATATAACTATATATAAAATATATATGTGTATATACATAGTGATGCCACTTTTGTCTGTAAGCTGAACGTCCAAAGAAACCAGACAGATATCTTCATGCTCAGCCTTGCACCATTTCCACGTTTCAGCCGTTGTGAAAACCCACGCACACGTTCTCATTTGAACACCTCCTTTCCCAATACCTTTTGGGCGTACCCGGGAGAAACACCCGTGAGGTCTTAAAAACTCGCCTCCTCCTCCTTCTCCCCCGATGCCCAGGTGGGCAGGCCCAGGATCCCGTGCAGGTGCAAAGCTGAACATCTTTTTTTTTTTTTATCACCCACTTACACTTCAGTCCCCAGCATTCCCAGCATTTCTCTTGGCAAGAAACCACCTCGAGCTGTTCACACGGGGGCCCCGCGCTGCCGCCCTCGAGTTTGCCAACGGGTCAGAAACATTGCAAGGATATAACGGTGGAAAAAGTTTGCTCGGGACGCAGGGGAGGGGAGGGAAATGAAGGCTGGGGAGTGACTGCCAGCCAGGACGGCGTGTGAGATTTACAGTATGACTCCACAGCCCCATAAAACCAGGTTATAGGCCCACTGGACCTATTACTTAGACTGAATAAAGGAGGGGCTTTGAGTGGCGGCTGTGTATTCTCCCAAGGAGCGTCATGCACCTACCTGCCACCTCTGGGCAGATTCCAGGGCTCACCGGGCCTGGTAGGACCCACACACAGAGACAGAGAGAGAGAGCACAGGAAGAAACCAGCCCCACCAGGCAGGTGAGCTCAGGGAGGTCTCTGGCACAGCTCACATCAGCAACGCCTGGGAGACCTGTACCCTCAGCAGTGGCAACCCTCAGGGCTGACAGCATCTTTCTGGCAGCCAAAATGCTTTGCAGTGCTTAGAAGCCGTACTATCTTTCAGACTTTCTTGCAAACAGTGCACATAGATCTTGAAAAGACAAAGATGCCTTTTTTTTTCTTTTCTTGAGACAGACTCTCACTCTGTCACCCAGGGTGGAGTGCAGTGGTGCAATCTGGGCTCACTGCAAGCTCCACCTCCCGGGTTCACGCCATTCTCACACCTCAGCCTCCTCAGTAGCTGGGAGTACAGGCACCCGCCACCATGCCTGGCTAATTTTTTGTAGTTTTAGTAGAGACGGGGTTTCACCATTTTAGCCAGGATGGTCTCGATCTGCTGACCTCGTGATCCACCTGCCTCGGCCTCCCAAAGTGCTGGGATGACAGGCGTGAGCCACTGCACCCGGCCCAAAGATGCCTTTTAAGAAACAAGATATTTGGGAGGCTGAAGAGGATGGATGACCTGAGGTCAGGAGTTCGAGACCAGCCTGGCCAACAACCCTGTCTCTACTAAAAAAAAAAACACACAAAAATTAGCTGGGTGTGGTGGCGGGTGCCTGTAATTCCAGCTACTTGGGAGGCTGAGGCAGAGAATTGCTTGAACCTGGGAGGCAGAGGTTGCAGTGAGCCGAGATCACACCATTGCACTCCAGCCTGGGCAATAGATTGAGACTCCATCCCCCACCTCCCCCCCACAAAAAAAAACACAAAACACAGAAGAGGAGACACAGACAAGAGAAGGCCATATGGAGATAGAGGCAGAGACTGGAGTGCTGCGGCCACAAGCCCAGGGATGCCTTGGAGCCCCCAGGAGCTGGGAGAGGCAGGAAGCATCCTCCCTGAAAGCCTCTGGAGGGAACTAGGCACAAGTGAAGTAGATTGAACTATGATCCCCCCAAAAAGGTATATCCAGGTCCTGATCCCCAGAACCTGTGAATGAGACCTTATTTGAAAAGGGGTTTTTGCAGATGTAACTAAATAAAGGACCTTAAGATGAGATCATCCTGAATTATCTGTGTGGTCCCTAAATCCAGTGACAGGTGTCCTTCTGAGAGACAGAAGAGGAGACAGACACAGAGGAGAAGGCCACGTGGAGACGGAGGCAGAGACTGGAGTGATGCTGCCACAAGTCCAGGGACGCCTGGAGTCCCCAGGAGCTGGGAGAGGTGGGAAGGATCCTCCCCTACAGCCTGTGGAGGGAGCTCAGCCCTGAGACACCTTCCTCTTAGACTTCTGGTCTCTAGGAGAGGGAGATGCTAAGTCTCTGTAGTTTTAATGCTCAAGCCTGTGGTCATTTATTACAGCAGGTTTTGCAAACGAATCCACTAAATGGTGACTTCAAAGACCAGTGCACGGCAGAGGCTCTTTGAAGCCCCGACTCCATGACCAGACAGACAGACACAGACCTTTTCTTGCCAAAATGAAAGCAAAACCTTATTAGTCTCTGCTGCAGCTCTAATGTCCTGTCCGATGAATGAGGTTTCAGGGTGCCCCGAAAGAGCTTCATGACCAGTTTAAAAAAAAACAAAAACAAAAGAAGAAACAAATAGAAATTCAGGAGACGTTCTGCGGTGTCTGTGAGCCTGGGTTGTATCTTGTTAATGCAATGTGCCCTGATGTAATAGGGGAAGGTCTTCACAGCCCTAAAAATCTCTCTTTGATGATGAGTTCATGTCCTTTGCAGGGACATGGATGAAGCTGGAAACCATCATTCTCAGCAAACTCACACAGGAACAGAAAACCAAACACTGCATGTTCTCACTCCTAAGTGGGAGTTGAACGATGAGAACAGAGGGAAACAGGGAGGGGAACGTCACACACCAGGGCCTGTTTGGGGCTGGGGGGCCAAGGGGAGGGAGAGCATTAGGACAAATACCTAATGTAGATGACGGGTGGATGGGTGCAGCAAACCACCATGGCACGTGTATACCTATGTAACAAACCTGCACGTTCTGCACACGTACCCCAGAACTTAAAGTATAATAATAAAGAACAAAAGAAAAGAAAACAAAATCTCTCTTTTAATCAACCAAAGGAAAAAGAGTGGGTCAGAACTTCTTACTTCAAAAAAAAAAATGGCATATTAAAAAGAAAAGCTAAAACAGTAAATTTGGCAATTATGTGATTTTTAAACATTGCTTTTAAAGAACCATTAACATCAAACTGCTTATGCAAAAGAGGTGTTTGAGGCAAGTCAGTAACCCACTTTTTTTTTTTTTTTTTTTGACCTGGAGTCTCGCTCTGTCACCCAGGCTGGAGTGCAGTAGCGCGATCTCGGGTCATTGCAACCTCCACTTCCAGGGTTCAACCGATTCTCCTGCCCCAGCCTCCTGAGTAGCTGGGACTACAGGCGCCCGCCACCATGCTGGGCTAATTTTTTGTATTTTCAGTAGAGACGGGGTTTCACCATGTTGACCAGGCTGGTCTCGGTCTCCTGACATGGTGATGAGCCTGCCTCAGCCTCCCAAAGTGCTGGGATTACAGGTGTGAGCCACCACCCCTGACCAAATCTCTGTCTCTTTTAATCAATCAAAGGAATGAGAGTGGGTCAGAACTTCTAACATCAAAAAAAAAAAACCCATATATATATATTTATATATGTATATATATGTATGTATATATACATGTATGTATATATGATATATATGTGTGTATATATACGTACATATGTATATATACGTATATATGTGTATATATACGTATATACACACATATACATGTATATATGTATATATACACATATACGTATATGTATACATATACACATATATACGTATATATACATATACACATATATACGTATATATACACACATATATATGCATATGGCATATATATATGGCCTATTAAAAAGAAAAGTTAAAATAGTAAATTTGGCAATTATGTGATTTTTAAACATTGCTTTTATATATATATGGCATATTAAAAAGAAAAGTTAAAACAGTAAATTTGGCAATTATGTGATTTTTAAACATTGCTTTTATATATATATGGCATATTAAAAAGAAAAGTTAAAACAGTAAATTTGGCAATTACGTGATTTTTAAACATTGCTTTTCAAGAGCCATTAACATCAAACTGCTTATGCAAAAGAGGTGTTCAAGGCAAGTCAGCGACCCACTTTTTGGCTTTTTCTTTTTTTTTTTTTTTTTGAGACAGAGTCTTGCTCTGTCACCCGGGCTGGAGTGCAGTGGTGTGATCTCGGCTCACCGCAACCTCCACCTCCTGAGTTCAAGCAATTCCCCTGCCTCAGCCTCCCCAGTACGTGGGATTACAGGCATGCATCACTATGCCCGGCTAATTTTTGTATTTTTAGTAGAGACAGAGTTTCACCATGTTGACCAGGCTGGTCTCGAACTCCTGACCTCAAGTGATCCACTCACCTCAGCCTCCCAAAGTGCTGGGATGACAGGCATGAGCCACCATGCCTGGCCCATCACATCTTTCTGGAATTGCCGAGCCTTTGGAATATTTCATCTCTTTGCTAATTGACCTCCGTAGTGTATGCGGCTTCTGCAAGGATACTCACATTGGGTGGACACGGAAACTTTAGCAAATGGCAGTCACTTCTGCTATAAACAACAGGCACATTTCTTGAGTATCATCTGCCTGTACTCAGTCACTCCACGGCCACAGATGTCGAGAAATGGAAATAGGGATACTTTTTTTTTTATTTTTTGAGATGGAGTTTCGCTCTTGTTGCCCAGACTGGAGTGCAATGGTGCCATCTTGGCTCACCACAACCTCCACCTCCCGGGTTCAAGCGATTCTCCTGCCTCAGCCTCCCGAGTAGCTGGGATGACAGGCATGCACCACCACGCCTGGCTAATTTTTGTGTTTTTAGTAGAGACAGGGGTTTCACCATGTTGGTCAGGCTGGTCTCGAACTGCCGACCTCAGGTGATCCACCCACCTAAAAAAGACAACAATGTAATCAAGTGGTAGCGTGTTTTTATGCATGTTAACTGCTCACAAAATGTATACATATGGCCGGGTGAGGTGGCTCACGCCTGTAATCCCAGGACTTTGGGAGGCCGAGGTGGGCAGATTGCCTGAGGTCAGGAGTTTGAGACCAGCCTGGCCAAAATGACGAAACCCTGTGTATACTAATAATGCAAAGATTAGTCAGCCATGGTGGCAGGTGTCTGTAATCCCAGCTACTCTGGAGGCTGAGGCAGGAGGATCGCTTGAACCCGGGAGGCGGAGGTTGCAGTGAGCCGAGATTGTGCCTCTGCACTCCAGCCTGGGCGACAGAGCAAGACTCTGTCCCAAAAAAAAAAAAAAATATCTGGGTGCAGTGGCTCACTTCTGTAATCTCAGCACTTTGGGAGGCTGAGGCGGGCAGATCATGAGGTCAGTAGTTCAATACCAGCCTGGCCAAAATGAAGAAACGTCCTGTCTACTAAAAATACCAAAATAAGCCAGGTGTGGTGGCAGGTGCTTGTAATCCCAGCTACTCAGGAGGCTGAGGCAGGAGAATCATTTGAACATGGGAGGCAGAAGTTGCAGTGAGTCAAGATCATGCCACTGCACTCCAGCCTGGGTGACAGAGCGAGACTCTGCCTCAAAAAGAAAAAAAGAAAATAAAAAAGCAGGCTGGGCGTAGTGGCTCACGCCTGTAATGCCAGCACTTTGGGAGGCTGAGGTGGGCAGATCATGAGGTCAGTAGTTCGATACCAGCCTGGCCAAAATGAAGAAACGTCCTCTCTACTAAAAATACCAAAATAAGCCAGGTGTGGTGGCAGGTGCCTGTAATCCCAGCTACTCAGGAGGCTGAGGCAGGATAATCATTTGAACCTGGGAGGCAGAAGTTGCAGTGAGTCAAGATCATGCCACTGCACTCCAGCCTGGGTGACAGAGCGAGACTCTGTCTCAAAAAGAAGAAAAGAAAAGAAAAAAAGCAGGCTGGGCGCGGTGGCTCATGCCTGTAATCCCAGCAATTTGGGAGGCTGAGGCGGGCAGATCACGAGGTCAGTAGTTCGATACCAGCCTGGCCAAAATGACGAAACCCCCTGTCTACTAAAAATACCAAAATAAGCCAGGTGTGGTGGCGGGTGCCTGTAATCCCAGCTACTCAGGAGGCTGAGGCAGGAGAATCGCTTCAACCCGGGAGGCAGAAGTTGCAGTGAGTCAAGATCATGCCACTGCACTCCAGCCTGGGTGACAGAGCGAGACTCTGCCTCAAAAAAAAAAAAAAAAAAAAAAAGCCATTTTAAAGTCTTGAGTTAGCCATGCACAGGCAAGCCGCATCCATTAAAAACATTCCTCCAGGATCCCCAAGTTGGGAGAGTTCAGGAGACAGTATCCGGTGCCGTCTGGGGGCTTATGATGGAAAAATATCCCTCATCTGTCTAATAGCATAGACGCTGGGGCTGAACACAGGACAGGTCGGCTTCGGAAAGGCTTGGGAGGAGGCGGCAGTTGCATAAATACAACCCGGCATTTGCAGCATTTGCAAGCTCAAGCCCCTGGCAGGTGCACATGTGGATGAAAAAAGCCAGCTGTGCATTTATCTTGAGACAATGTTTTAATTGTATCCAGTGTTCCCTGCCTGGTGAAATTAAGGCAAAGGGGTAACTGCCTTAGAAATCCTACTTGTTTTGTTCCATCTTTAAATCCTACTTGTTTTGTTCCGTCTTTAAAACCTATGCTCTTCCTTGTGGAGGTCAGCTTGCAAGATCTCTCCAGCGTCCCCTGCAATGACACCAGGAAGAGAAAATACCCCAGCAACTGTACCCACTGGGGCATAGACTGGAAATAGAGTCTGGGGTGTCGTTTTTCCAAATCCCCTGTCCCCCCCCCCTTCCCTGCAAGAGAAAAGCTTCTGAAGCAACCAGATACTGCTATTCTCTCTCCCTGGGTTCTAAACTTAGAAAAATGCTAAATGATTTTCATCTCGGGATTTGCATCTTCCACACATTTTTTTTATTGATGATGACTCTTCTAATTTATTTGGGAACGAAATCTACAAAGGTACATGTTAGACAATACTGAAGGGTACATGAAGAGGAGGTGACCGTCGCTATTTTAATTTCATTAGAAATGTTTCCAGGCTATTTTTAACTAATCAAGTCCACATTGTGGCAGAACAGAGCGTGGGGCTTTGTTTAAGGACGGAAACTAAAAATAAACTCCCCTAAACATCCTAAGGAATTCTAATATTTAGAGTGTGTGTTAAAGTTCATCACGGCTGAAATGCAATTATTTTGCCCTCATATTCAGTGAAAATACTCAAACCGCAGGCAGAAAAAGCATCTCAGAAACATAAAAGTTTGCATGGGCAAATTGCTTCTTTTTTGCTAGACCATCTAACAAACAGGTATAGCTGTGGGATCTTTTTTCTTCGGTGGCTCTTCAAAGCGAGATAAAAATGTTCTGGTAAACCGTGCCTGCATTTTATTTTGAATCAAAGTGCTTTTTTTTTTTTTTTTTTTTTTTTGGACAGGAACAAATGTTCCACAATGGTTTTATTGGCCCGTGGTGAGATTAAAAAAAAATCGGTAGGACTATAAGGAAAGGTTTAATTCAAATTGTTGATCTGTCATCTAGGTGCATTTGTAGCAGAGGAAAATCAGGCGAGAATTCATGAGCCTGCATAGCTCACTTATTATGCGGCCGGCAGGCTGGGCCGCGCTGCACACAACCGAGAGACATCCCAGAAGCAGGGGGAAGATATTTCGTATAGAACAGTTCATTTTCATATGGCTTCATTTTCGCTGTATGTATTTTTGAGGCACTGAGTGAGGGAGGGGGGGAAGGACCATGCACATGTCTGAATAAAATTGATTTTCAGCTGAGTTTATAGAGGAAGGAGGCAATTGCCTGACTGAGCACTGAAGCCTGATGACCACAGATTTTCCCTCAATTAAAAAGGCATGTTTGTAAACGGCGCTGTTTATTTATCGTTAGAACTCAAACTGGGGGGAAAAAAAGAGGGAAGGGTGGGGGATTCTGTGCAAAGACAGCGTTGCATTCAGAAGGATTTGTGTCAAAAACTGGATACAGAAGGAAAACCTGCCTCACCCATTTCAGGCACAAAAATAAGCAAAGTGGAAGAGGATTTAGTTGGCCCTTTGTCCATCAGGATTCTTCCAAAAGCTCGCGGACATCCTACGCACATAAACACAGCTCATTCCCTGGAAGTGCGTGGCAGGTAAAATACTGGAAAGTCTCTGGTTGTGGAACTCAAATGGCTGGGAATGGGAAGTAACAGCGTTGCATTCAGAAGGATTTGTGTCAAAAACTAGATACAGAAGAAAGACCTGCCTCACCCATTTCAGGCACAAAAATAAGCAAGGTGGAAGAGGATTTAGTTGGCCATTTGTCCATTAGGGTTCTTCTGAAAGCTCGCGGATATCCTATGCACATAAACACAGCCCATTCCCTGGAAGTGCATGGCAGGTAAAATACTGGAAAGTCTCTGGTTATGGAACTCAAATGGCTGGGAATGGGAAGTAACAGCTCCGCTCGCTAAAGAGAGAGAGGGTCGTCGTATGCAGCTGCTATAAACACACCTCTGCGTTACTGGAATCACTCCTCATTATAAGATCCATCCCAAAATATTAACACCGGAGCAGGGCACGAATGTAGCATCTACCAGAATGTCTATTCCTTGGAATTCCTCAGGCGTCTTCCCATGGCCACTCCGCGTGTCTTCGCCACCAAGCAGGTGCGTTGCAAAGCTTCTCTGATTAATAACAAGAGACCAGGACTCAAGGAAAGACTGGGGTTATTTCAGGGTTCTCGATGACAGGAAGGAATGCTCAGCCAGGAAGGAAACTCAGGTGGTGTGGCTGGGATTACAAAGACGACGGTCGCCTTTGAAGAAAACAGAGAGCTGAGGCTGTTTTCCAGGATGCAGAAGTCATGCTCTATTTAGACCGAGCTGCTTTTATTCCTACACAGAGACACCCCTACATGCATGAGGTTTCTTTCCACTGCACTTTCCCCATAAACAGACAATCTTTTTCTAAACACTAATGTCCCTGCTGTCACAGAGGTGTGGGAGTTTTCTGACCTTGGCATTGTTTGTCCTCCAAATAACAGAGGAATCTGCAGAGATCAAAGGGCACCAGGGGTAAGTCCAAGTTTTTCTGCTGGCAACTTTACGAAAGAGGACCTGAATCAAAAACTTGCTGACTGGCAACAACAGATGGTGGAGAGGATGTGGAGAAATAGGAAGGCTTTTACACTGTTGGTGGGAGTGTAAATTAGTTCAACCATTGTGGAAGACAGTGTGGCAATTCCTCAAGGATCTAGAACCAGAAATAACATTTGGTCCAGCAATCTCATTACCGGGTACATACCCAAAGGATTATAAGTCATTCTACTATAAAGACACATGCACACATATGTACATCATAACACTGTTTGCAATAGCAAAGACTTGGAACCAACCCAAATGCCCATCAGTGAAAGACTGGAGAAAGAAAATGTGGCACATAGACACCATGGAATACTATGCAGCCATAGAAAAGGACGAGTTCGTGTCCTTTGCAGGGACATGGATGAAGCTGGAAACCATCATTCTCAGTAAACTATCACAAGAACAGAAAACCAAACACCGCATGTTCTCACTCATAAGTGGGAGTTGAGCAATGAGAACACATGGACATAGGGAGGGAAATATTACACGCTGGGGCCTGTTGGGGGATTGGGGGGCAGGCAGAGGGAGAGCATTAGGACAAATACCTAATGCATGTGGGGCTTAAAACCTAGATGATGGGTTGATGGGTACAGCAAACAATCATGGCTAAAAATACAAATACAAATACAAAATACCTAGTAGCTGGGGCTACAGGTGCCCGCCACCACACCTGGCTAATTTTTGTATTTTTAGTAAAGATGGGGTTTCACCATGTTGGCCAGGCTGGTCTCAAACTGCTGACCTTGTGATCCACCTGCCTCAGCCTCCCAAAGTACTGGGATTACAGGCGTGAGCCACCCCACCTGGCCCTAAACTCTCTTTTGTCTACACTACCAAGCAGCCTTCAGTAGAAAAAGCCTCTCTTCCATCACCCACACCCAGAGGTAAAATGCCTCTAAGACACAATGGGAAGTGGATGGAAACAGGACATAATCAATCAATATCCATTAGACCCGCTCACCAATTGGGTCTGCCTGAGTATTATTTTTAAACTTCGAAGCTGACAGGTCTGGCTTATTTTGTCACTCGAATAATTAGTACCATTTAGTTTCAAAATCGAAGATTTAAAGGCTCATCTAAACCTGACTACATTTGGGTTACTTAATAGAGCCTTCGGTGAAACCATTATTAAATAATAAGCCATATGTTTGGAATTCTCACCTGAATCCTGTCAAAGCAATTATTTTATTTCATGACGAGAAAATCAACGGAGCCAGCGCCGGGAAGGAAAACGTGAATCCAGTCCGGTTGAATTCCATTAGGACCTGACAGAGCCCCAGATAACCATCTCATCAAGAAACCAGAAAAAGGTAGGAAGGGAAGGATCATTATACAGCAACCGTCTAAAAACTCAAGGACGGTGGAGTAATCATTAATGATTTCATGTCAGGTTGGTAAGTCGTGAGAAAGGTCTACAGACCTCTGATACCCATGCACTATTGTACTGTAGCTTTATTAACTCAAAGAGGGGACCACAGTTTGATACTCTTGACAGATGCTATGAAAGCAGCAGAGATCATAAACTCCTTGAAAAAGTACATTAAAATACAGCACGGCTTGGAAGGGAGGGCAATGAATTCAGGAGAGACCCGTGTGAGCTGGTCAGCAGCCCTGAGCTGTCAGGAGAGGGGTGACGGCGGCTCTATTGGGGAGGAAGACTCTGTGACCCAACAGGAAACTACACCAGCTGCCAGGCGTTTGGTCTCTCCAAGGGCGACTGTGTGGAGATACCCAGAAAGGGACAGAAGCAAGCCCACTAGTATATGTGCAAAGGAAGATCTCCAGAGTTAAAGGCTCCCAGAACAGAAAGGTGGAGGACCTTGTTTCTTTTCAAATGGAGTGCTATATTCTTAGAATAAAAGCGGACGCCTGGAATGTTCATGATTTTAACTGATTCCCTTTCTATGACACCAACATGGCACCTGAGAGCAGAATGTCCTGGTGTCAGGTCATCCTGGGTGAAGCCATATTTCAGAGAGATGTGAAGATGTGCACAATGCTTAATGTTTTGTCCTCAAGGTGCTCTCCCTCTTACTCCCCACTCAGGGCTGACTGCGTGGTGTGGACTACATGGCCCCTCACTCAGCGTTGACTGAGTCAACTCACTCAGCATTGACTGCATAACTGACGTGTCTGCACTCCGGCCATACCTCTTGGGAAAGCCCCAGGGAGAAGTTAGTTTCTCTTTACCCACTCTGCAGACGGGTGTCTCTGTAGAGTCTTGGTGGGATAAAGACAAGATGGATGGATGGATGGATGCATGGATGGATGGATGGATGCATGGACTCATGGATGGATGCATGGATGGATGCATGGATGGAATGGTAGATAGATGGATGGAATGGTAGATGGATGGACAGATGAACGGATGGATAGATGCATTGGTGGATGCAAGAATGGAATGGTAGATAGATGGATGGAATGCTAGGTGGATGGATGAATGGATGAATGGATGCATGGATGGATGCATGGATTCATGGACGAATGCATGGATGGAGGCATGGATGGAATGGTAGGTAGATGGATGGATGAATGGATGGATGGATGCATGGAAGAATGCATGGATGGATGCATGGATGGAATGGTAGATAGATGGATGGAATGGTAGATGGAGGGATGAATGAATGGATGGATGCATGGATGGATGCATGGATGGAATGGTAGATAGATGGATGGAATGGTAGATGGAGGGATGAATGAATGGATGGATGCATGGATGGATGCATGGATGGAATGGTAGATAGATTGATGGAATGTTAGATGGATGGATGAATGGATGGATGGATGCATGGATGGATGCATGGATTCATGTATGAATGCATGGATGGATACATGGACGGAATGGTAGGTAGATGGATGGATGAATGGATGGATGGATGCATGGATGGATCCATGGATGGATGGAATGGTAGATAGATGGATGGATGGATGTGTGGATTCATGGATGGATGGATGCATGGATGGAATGGTAGATAGATGGATGGATGG
The DNA here is from genome assembly GCF_000001405.40 of Homo sapiens. Lineage (NCBI taxonomy): Eukaryota > Metazoa > Chordata > Mammalia > Primates > Hominidae > Homo > Homo sapiens. Next base: position 955,303 of record NC_000024.10, on the reverse strand, counting down.
ATGGATGGATGGATGGATGGATGCATGGATGCATGGATACATGGATGAATGCATGGATGAATGCATGGATGGAATGGTAGATGGATGCATGAATGGATGGATGGATGCATGGATGCATGGATGGATACATGGATGAATGCATGGATGGAATGGTAGATAGATGATGGATGGATGCATGGATGGATGGATGCATGGATGGATGCGTGGATGGATGCATGGATGGAATGGTAGATAGATGGATGCATGGATGGAATGGTAGATAGATGGATGCATGAATGGATGGACAGATGGACGGCTTCCATCGTCACGTGCTGCCTACAGCTGAATATAAAGGCAGGGCATCCTCATTGTGGCTCAAGGACACCTTAGCTGCATTGAAAGCAAGGAGACACCTGTTTGTTGGTTGCTTGTGCGGTTTCCTTAGGTTTATTTTAAATCAATCTTGTAAAATTGCAAATAGTACCTCCCTGATGGGGATACTGTAAGGGACGCCCACTGGAAGTTACCTGTTTTTGCGTGATTATGTTGCAGAAGTCCTCTTTAAGTGGCTCAAACTGGGTTATGGCTTCATGATTCTCCCTCTCCCACACGGCTTCTGGGGCTGCTCCTCTGTGTCCAATGACCTTGTTGGCGTCATTCAATTTGCCCACACACCTCCATGATAATCAGCTTCCCCAGGGGATAGTGAGCTCTTCTTGGGCAGAGGGGTATGTTTCGTTCATCTCTCAGTGAGTGAAGGAAGGATGGACGGATGGATGGATGGATTGATGGATGGATGAATGAATGGGTGGATGGATGGATGGATGGACAGATGGGTAGGTGGCTGGCTGGCTGGATGAATGGATGGATGAGGGGATGGATGTATGGATGGGAGGGTGAATTGGTGGGTGGATGGATTAATGATGGATGAATAAATGGGAGGGTGAATGAATGTGTGGGCATGTGGGTGGATGAATGAGTGGATGGATGAATGGATAGATGGATGGGTGGAAAGATGGATGAATGAGTGGATGGATGGATGGATAAACATGTAGGTGGATGGATGGATGAGAGGGTAGATGAATGGATGGATGAATGGATGCATGGATGGATGGATAGATGGAGGTGGCTGGATGGATGAATAGATGGGTGGATGGATGGATGCATAAATGAAATGGTAGATAAGTGGATGGATGAATGGATGGATAGATAGATGGGAGGGTGGATGGATGGATGGATGGAATGATAGATAGATGGATGGATGAATAGATGGGAAGGTGGATGAATGGATGGATGGGTGGATGGATGGATGGATGGATGGATGGATGGAATGCTAGATAGATGGATGGATGAATGAATGGGAGGGTGGATGAATGGATGGATGAATGGATGGATAGATGGATAGATGGATTGATGAATGGATGGATGGATGGATAGATGTGTAGGTGGCTGTCTGGCTGAATGAATGGATGGATGAGGGGATTGAAGGATGGATGGGAGGGTGAATGGGTGGGTGAGTGGATGGATGAATAAATGGATGAATAAACGGGGGAGTGAATGAATATATGGGTGTGTGTGTGGATGAATGGGTGGATGGATGAATGGATAGATGGATGGGTGGAAATATGGATGAATGAGTGGATGGGTGGATAGATAAATGTGTAAGTAGATGAATGGATGGGTGGGTGGATGGATGGATGGACAGATAGATGGGAGAGTGGAGGAATGGATGGATGGGTGGGTGGATGAATGGATGGATGGAATGGTAGATAAATGGATGGACAGATAGATGGGAGGGTGGATGGATGAATGGATGGATGGATGAGTGGAATGGTACATAGATGGATGGATTAATGGATGGACAGATGGATGGAAGGGTGGATGAATGGATGGATGGACAGATGGGTGGATGGATAGATAGATAAGTGGATGGATGGGTGGATGAGTCTATGGATGGGTAGGTGGATGGGTGAATAGGTGGCTGGACACATAAATAAATGGATGAGTGGATGTGTGGGTAAAGAGATGAGTGGATGGATGGATCAATGAATTGATTGATCAGTGCATTAATGGATGAACGGATGGCAATATGTTTGCTGCATTAAACAGAACCCTTCATCACGGTCTTAGAGCAGAAGGCACATGGATGGGTTCTTGAGCATCTTGAGAAGGGCAGGGAGGAGAATGACCCCAGGGCAGGAGGCTGTAGAAGCACATAACACAGATGTGAAGGGTAGTCTCTCTCCCCAACCCCCGAAGGTCACCAGAGCATACTGGGCCAGCCCTCTTCAGAAACCAGGTGGCTCCCCTGAGAAAGCTGCAGTTGTGACCAGAAACCTTTTGCTTGAGGATGCCAAAGGAGAGATCAGACTCTGGACACAACCCTCTGCCCCCGTGTGGAGCCCACCTCTTACCATTGGCACATTTGCAAACATGAAGCCCATTGAAGAGGTTGCTGTTTATATGGTTACCCCAAACACCGTGTAATTAAGGTTAATTTGTACGATCTCTCTGGGTTCATAAACCCGGTCATAGAAACACAGCTCTGAACCGCAAATGAAAGGCCAAATTCATCCTAATTGGATTGTATTCAATTTGACTTTTCAAAGCCCCGAGACTTTGTTCATTGAAGTTTGAATGTGAGAGAAACAGAAGAAAATGAGGAATTGATTTTAGCAGCTCCCCCTCTATTTCGGGAGGGTTTACAATTTCCTCTTAATTTGTGATGGACAGATATAATTATAATAATTTAAAATGCTTTCCTGGTTCCGTTTTCCTTTTTCTTCATATGCCACGATAACTTTACATCACAGAAATTATTAACTCCCAGCATATGGATCAATCAACTCTTTGGAGATATTTCAAACATTTCCTAGAGCACTTTTTTTTTTTCCAGAAGAAATTTTATCCCAAAGACAATACTGTCCCTTTAAGTGCTGCTTCTAGGAATGACTTTTATGGTCGGGTTTACCAGCTGTTACTAGAAACGGGCAGACGTTTCTGTGAGCTTTTCTGGGGAAAACGAGAGACAATCTTATTCATAACTGAGAATTCAATTTTGCCAAATGTTCAAGGGTGTGGGTTGCTGTTGGTTTTCAAGTTCTTAAGTTTCTGAAAACTTGCAGAATGATTATATTTTCCAAAGTAGTTTTGGAGTTTTAATATATCTAATAACATGAGATCAATAGTATCAATGCCACATGGTGTATTACAGAAAGCAGAAATACCTACATAGGGAGACTAAGTGAATTTACCCACGTGTCGGCCCCGTGAGCTTGTCTATAATTGGCCAGAAGGCTTTCAGGGAGAGAAAATTAATGCGCTGAATTTTAATGCCTGCAACTTTCTCCAACGTGGTATAATACAAAAGATATTAACTATTATAAAGCAAGTATTTTGGGAGGTGTTTAGACATGCAAACTTTTCTTGCAAACATTTTTTTTAATAAAGGAATATTCTGTTTTATCTGAGCTCTGTCTTATTTTAGCTTTATTATAGGCAGATGGTTCTTATTTAAAATATTACATATAACTATGTGGTTTGCTTTTTCAATAATATCCGTGCCTGAGAGTTGAGTGAGATTTCTGTTTCTTTTTCCTGAAGAGGGATCTACGTTTTAATTTTACTAAGATTTTTATAACCTTAAGTTACCATGTGTAATTTCTAGGACAATTAAAATTCTTGGCAGGGATGTAGATGTTTAACAAAAATGTTTACAATGAATATAGGGAAACCAGGTCAGTATACAGACTTCACCTCCATTTGCATTTTGGAGACAAGTGCAATGTACCTTAAATGGATTTTTTTTGGTTTGTTTTTTAAGAGACAGGGTCTTGCTCTGTTGCCCAGGCTAGAATGCAGTGGTGCCATCACAGCTCAATGCAGCCTCAAACTCCTGGACTCAAGCAGCCCTCATACCTCAGCCTCCTGCGTAGCTGGGATCACAGGCACACGACACCATGCCCAGCTAATTTTATATTTTTAGAGATGGGGTCTTGCCCTGTTGTCCAGGCTGGTCTCAAACTCCTGGACTCAAATGATCCTCCCACCTTGGCCTCCCAAAGTGCTGGGATTGTGGATGTGAGCTGCTGCACTCGGCTGTAGGCTTGTTTTAAAAACCTAAAACTGGCTGGGTGCAGTGGCTCACGCCTGTAATCCCAGCACTTTGGGAGGCTGAGGCGGGTGGATCACCTGAGGTCAGGAGTTTCAGACCAGCCTGGCCAACATGGTGAAACCCTATCTCTACTAAAAATACACAAGTGAGCTGGCCATACCTGCTTGTAATCCCAGCTACTTGGGAGGCTGAGACAGGAGTAACGTTTGAACCCAGGATGCAGAGGTTGCAGTGAGCTGAGATCGCACCACTGCACTCCAGCCTGGATGACACAGGGGGACTCCATCTCAAGAAAAAAAAAAGAGAGAGAGAGACAGAGAAAGAAAAGAAGGAAAGAAAGAAAGAAAGAAAGAAAGAAAGAAAGAAAGAAAGAAAGAAAGAAAGAAAGAAAAGAAAGAAAGGAAGAAAGAAAGGAAGAAAGAAAGAAAGCGGGGAGAAAGAGAGAAAAAAGAGAGAAAGAAGAAAGAGATAAAGAAGGAAAAGAGAGAGAAAGAAGAAAGAAAAGGAAAGAAGAAAGAGAAAGGGAAAGAAAGAAAGAAAGAAAGAAAGAAAGAAAGAAAGAAAGAAAAAAGTTTTCTTGTCTCTTCAAGTGTCTATTTTACTTCTATTTTACTAGGCAATGTGTTCTGAGATATTAATATAGCTTATGTGCTGCTGAAGCAAGCACATGTTCTGAGATATTAATTCCACTATTTTGGAAAGGATCCTTTCTAGGGTATAGTGCCAGACACATTGGACTTAATAATAAGTAAAAATAAGGATTAAAATAAAGATCACTTGAGCCCAGGAGTTTGGGACCAGCCTGGACAACATAGCAAGACCCCTTCTCTACAAAAAAAATCTAAAAACTAGCTGGGCTTGGTGGTGCATGGTTCTAGTCTCAGCTCCTTGGGAGGCTGAGGGAGGAGGATTGCTTGAGCCCAGGAGGTGGAGGCTGCAGTGAGCCCTGATCATACCACTGCACTCCAGCCTGGAAAACAGAGCAAGATCCCATCTCTACAAAAATAAAAAATTTAACCAGGCAGGCATTGTTGTGCATGCCTGTAGTCTCAGCTCCTTGGGAGGCTGAGGCGGGAGGATCACTTGAGCCCAGGAGGTGGAGGCTGCAGGGAGCTATGATCATACCATTGCACCTCAGCATTGGACAATCAATGCAATGTACCTGAATCCTTCCAAAACCATCCCAGCACCAATCCATGGAAAAATTATCTTCCACAAAACTGGTTCCCGATGCCAAAAAGGCTGAAGACAGCTGGTCTCTGGGTTTGAACAAAGATATAATGCCACACATCCACCACTGTAAGATTCCACAGAATACTTTCACTGCCCTGAAAAGCCTCCACTCCCCTCCTATCCATCACTGCATCCTCACTCTTTGCAACCACACATCTTTTCACCATCTCCACAGTTTGACCTCTTCTACCATATTCTATTATTGGAATCCTGTAGCAAGTGCCTATTTGTTTATTTAGAGACGGAGTCTTGCTCTGTCATCCAGGCTGGTGCACTATCTTGCCTCACTGCAACCTCTGCCTTCCGGTTTCAAGCCATTCTCCTGCCTCAGCCTCCCGAGTAGCTGGGATTACAGGTGCCTGCCACCACGCCCAGTTAATTTATCTATTTTTAGTAGAGACGGGGTTTCACCATGTTGGTCAGGCTGGTCTCAAACTCCTGACCTCATGATCCACTTGCCTTGGCCCTCCAAAGTGCTGGGATTACAGGCGTGAGCCATCGCTTTTAGACTAGCTTCTTTCTCATCCGTGTGGCTTTTGTGACACGCACAAAGCAATCCTGAATGTTGCTTGTTGATATATCAGCCTTGAACGTGTTAAGAACGGAGGTGCAGGAAAAACACTCCAATACAGAGAAGTTGCTCTGGGGAAGGAGGGTCTGTAGTGACCAGGAGGTTTCCAGGGAGAACCTCAGCTGTGTTTCTGTCTCTTAAAAGAGAATGAACCTGACTGGGCGAGGTGGCTCACGCCTGTAATCCCAGCACTTTGGGAGGCCGAGGCGGGTGGATCACATCAGGTCAGGAGTTCAAGACCAGCCTGGCCAACACAGTAAATCCCCGTCTCTACTAAAAATACAAAAATTAGCCGGGCATGTTGGCGGACGCCGTAATCCCAGCTTCTCGGAAGGTTGAGGCAGGAGAATTGCTTGAACTCGGGAGGCGGAGGTTGCAGTGAGCTACAATCACACCACTGCACTCCAGCCTGGGTGACAGAGTGAGACTCTGTCTCAAAAAGGAAAAAAAAAAAAGACTGAGTCTTAAATCTTCCATTCCTGTTGGGTGCTGAGTCTACTGTCTCTGCCCCATTGCTCTCTGTACCTGTCAGTCTATTTAAAACCTTACAAAACTAAGAAAAGTCTCAGGCTGGGCACCGTGGCTCACACCTGTAATCCCAGCACTTTGGGAGGCTGAGGTGGGTGTATCACGAGGTCAGGAGTTCAATACCAGCCTGGCAAAGATGGTGAAATCCCATCTGTACTAAAAATACAAAAATTAGCTGAGTGTGGTGGTGGGCGCCTGTAATCCCAGCTACTCAGGAGGCTGAGGCAGGAGAATCGCTTGAACCCAGGAGGTGGAGGTTGCAGTGAGCTGAGATCATGCCACTGCACTCCAGCCTGGATGACAGAGCGAGACTCCATCTCAAACTCAAAGGGTCTCATCGCAGGTCAGGGTGGAGGCAAAGATGCTAGGCTCAGAGCCAAGACACTTGAGTGTCTGACTTTGAAGGACTTGCTTTGTTTTCCTGAGTCATGTTCCTCTTTGTTTTGAGAGAGCTTCCACCTCTAATGCTCCTTCCAACAAAACAATCCCAAGACATTCCAGACCACCATTGCTTGAGCGTGTTCATCTTGAAGGAGAAAAGGGTAGATGGATGAGGTCAGTTCTTCCTCTTGGAAGCCTCACCCATCTGCCATTTTCTTGGAAGAATCAGGAAGGGACCAAGGTCTCCACATTCACTCTTCTTGCTATGAGATTTCAGCTAAATTCCCACAGGACCATTATCTCTAGGCTGGACACCAAGATAGACACTCCAGTGTAGAGAGGTCACTCTGGGGAAGGAGGGTCTGTGGTTGAAGGCCATGGATTCCTTTGTTTTAGATGTAGAGAGGGAAAGGTTATTAAGGAAGATGCTTTGCTGAGTCCAAGAGAATTGGCCAATCAATATGGTGGCATCTTCTGGCTTGAAGATTGGAAAACATTGACTATGCTCAGTCCTTGGGACCCTTGAGGGACCCGTGGTATCTGGTCTGGTTTGAAGATTGTGAAACATGGACTTTGCTCACCCCTTGGGATCCTTGAGGGACTCGTGGTATTTGGCCTGGTTTGAAGAGCAGAAAACATGGACTTTGCTCACCCCTTGGGACCCCTGAGGGACCCGTGGTATTGGCCTGGTTTGAAGATTGGAAAACATTGACTTTGCTCACCCCTTGGGACCCTTGAGGGATCCATGGCATCTGGTCTGGTTTGAAGATTGGAAAACATTGACTTTGCTCACCCCTTGGGACCCTTGAGGGATCCATGGCATCTGGTCTGGTTTGAAGATTGGAAAACATTGACTTTGCTCACCCCTTGGGACCCTTGAGGGATCCATGGCATCTGGTCTGGTTTGAAGATTGGAAAACATTGACTTTGCTCACCCCTTGGGACCGTTGAGGGACCCGTGATATCCGGCCTGGTTTGAAGATTGGAAAACATTGACTTTGCTCACCCTTTGAGATCCTTGAGGGACTTGTGGTATCCGGTCTGGTATGAAGATTGTGAAATGTTGACTTTGCTCACCCTTTGGGACCCTTGAGGGACTCGTGGAATCCGGCCTGGTTTGAAGAGCAGAAAACATTGACTTTGCTCACCCCTTGGGGCCTTTGAGGAATCCATGGTATCTGCTCTGGTTTGAAGATTGGAAAACACTGACTTTGCTCACCCCTTGGGGCCTTTGAGGAATCCATGGTATCTGCTCTGGTTTGAAGATTGGAAAACATTGACTTTGCTCACCCCTTGGGGCCTTTGAGGAATCCATGGTATCTGCTCTGGTTTGAAGATTGGAAAACACTGACTTTGCTCACCCCTTGGGACCCTTGAGGGACACCTGTTATCCAGAGGTCTAGAGAGGACAGAGAAGGTCCAGTCCACTTTTTTCCTTTTTCCTTCTTGGGCACAGTGGACGCTTGGTTCCCTGAGAGACCCAGAGAGGCCAGGGAGCCATCGTACACTATAATACAAAACAGAAACACAAAGAAAACCAATGGCGCCGTTCCAAACAACATGAGCAGAGGGCTTGGTGCTGAGACCTACTCTCTTTGTCTCGAGACCCCGTTGTGGGTGGAGACGCCTTGCAAACATGAGCTTTGCAACAGTATTTCATAAATTTCTTATTTGCAAATACATCCATCTTTGCTTGCAACCTTGTTGAGGGAAATATCCTACACTGCTCTTTCCAATTTTTTCTCTAATATCTTATGTTGGCGAGACTGCCTCATAAGTGTCTCTCTCTGCGTCTAATATAAAAATTGGGGAGCAATTTGCACCGCATTTCAAGAGGACCAGCCTCCAAATTTCTACTTTAAATGTATTTTTGGTAGCAAGTCAGATAACAGGCTGGAAACCGTTCTTTAGTGTAGGCTGTAGTTTGGCTTAAAATACTTTCCAGGTACAGCTTGGAACGCCTTTGCCCCTTGAATTATTAATAAGTCTCCTTTCAAAATGTCCCCTGAAAATATTTCTTTCTCTCTGTCTCTCGACATCCAAATGCCCAAGAGTCCTCCCTCACATCCTACTCCTAAATAAAATGATTCCTTTGAACGTATTCTCATCGCACCCCTATTTAAATCATATCTGCCAGTGCAATAAAAACGTGGCTTTCAATCGCGTCACTGCTGGCTTTTCCCAATTTTGCCCCTGTTTTGTGGACGTGGGTCTCTGTTCCGGGTGGCGACCTTGCCTCATCCTACCCCTTCCCATTGGCAGATACCGCATAAAGCTGGTTGTATCTGCCTTGAAGTCCTTGGCTGCCAGATCTCACACCCGGTCTGTGGTCTGTGATGCCCACAGCCTCTTCCTACCCTGCTGTGGACAGGGCACCTTCACTTGAGTGAGGCACTCACACTACCTCACCCGTTTCTACCTGTATTAATCAGGGTTCTCTAGAGGAACAGAACTAATAAAATCTATCTATCTATCTATCTATCTATCTATCTATCTATCTATCTATCTATCATCTATCTGTCTATCTATGTATCTATGTATCTATCTGTGTATCTATGTATGTATGTATCTATCTATCATCTATCTATCTATCTTCTGTGTATCTATGTATCTATCTGTGTATCTATGTATGTATGTATGTATCTATCTATCTATCTATGTATCTATGTATCTATCTATCTATCATCTATCTGTGCATCTATGTATCTATCTGTGTATGTATCTATCTATCTATTATCTATCTATCATCTAACTGTGTATCTATCTGTGTATGTATCTATCTGTGTACATATGTATGTATGCATCTATCTATCTATGTATCTATGTATCTATCATCTAACTGTGTATCTATGTATCTATCTGTGTATCTATGTATGTATGTATGTATGTATCTATCTATCTATCTATCTATCTATCTATCTATCTATGTATCTATCTATCTATCATCTATCTGTGCATCTATCTATCTATCTGTGTATGTATGTATGTATCTATCTATTATCTATCTATCTATCTATCATCTAACTGTGTATCTATGTATGTATGTATGTATCTATCTATCTATCTATCTATGTATGTATCTATCTATCTATCATCTATCTGTGCATCTATCTATCTATCTGTGTATGTATGTATGTATCTATCTATTATCTATCTATCTATCTATCTATCTATCATCTAACTGTGTATCTATGTATCTATGTGTCTGTGTATGTATGTATGTATCTATCTATCTATGTATCTATCTATCATCTATCTGTGCATCTATCTGTGTATGTATATATCTATTATCTATCTATCATCTATCTATCTATCTATCATCTAACTGTGTATCTATCTATCTATGTATCTATCTGTGTATGTATGTATGTATGCATCTATCTATCTATCTATGTATCTATGTATCTATCTATCTATGTATCTGTCTATGTATGTATGTATGTATCTATCTATCTATGTATCTTTCTATGTATCTATGTATGTATGTATCTATCTATGTACCTATCTATTTATCTATGTATGTATGTATCTATCTATGTATGTACCTATGTATCTATGTATATATGTATCTATGTATATATGTATATATGTATGTATGTATCTATCTATGTATCTATGTATGTATGTATCTATGTATCTATGTGTTTATGTATGTATGTATGTATGTATCTATCTATCTATGTATCAATCCGTCTACCTATGTATCTTTCTATCTATCTATGTATCTGTATATCTATCTATGTATCTATCTGTCTATCTATCTATCTATCATCTATCTATGTACGTACGTATGTATGTATGTATGTATGTATGTATGTATGTATGTATCTTTCTATCTGTGTATCTATGTATCAATCTATGTATCTATCTATGTATCTATGTATCTATCTATCTATCTATCTATCTATCTATATATCTATCTGTGTATCTGTCTATGTATCTATCTATCTGTCTATCTATCTATCTATCTATCTGTCTGTCTGTCTGTCTATCTATCATCTATCTATCTATGTATCTATCTATAAATGGGAGTTTATTAAGTATGAACTCACACAATCACCAGGTCCTACAACAGGCTGTCTGCAGGCTGAGGAGCAAGAAGAGCCATTCCCAGTCCCAAAACTGAAGAACTTGCAGTCAGATGTTCGAGGGCAGGAAGCATCCAGCATGGGAGAAAGATGGAGGCTGGGAGGCTAGGCCACTCTCTCTTTGCACATTTTTGTGCCTGATTATATTCTAGCTGTGCCAACAGCTGATTAGATGATGCCTGCCCAGATTGAAGGTGATTCTGCCTCTCCCAGCCCACTGACTCCAATGTTGATATCCTTTGGCAACACCCTCACAGACACACCCAGGATCAATACTTTGCATCCTTCAATCCAATCAACTTCACATTCAGTATTAATCATCACGGTACCCAAACCTGGTATTCTCCAGCTGTCTTGCTTGGCAAATGGTGCTGCATTTTTTTTTTTTTTTCTGGGACCGAGTTTCTTTCTGTCGCCCAGTCTGGAGTGTAATGGTGTGATCTCGGCTCTCTGCAACCTCCGCCTCCCGGGTTCAAGCGATTCTCCTGCCTCAGCCTCCGGAATAGCTGGGATGACAGGCACCTGCCACCACACCTGGCTAATTTTTGTATTTTTAGTAGAGATGGAGTTTCTCCATGTGGGCCAGGCTGGTCTTGAACTCCTGACCTCAAGTGATCCACCTGCCTTGGCCTCCCAAAGGGCTGGGATTACAGGTGTGAGCCACCGCCTCCAGCCTGGTGCTGCTTTTGACACGAGCAACTAAGACAAAAATATCAAGGCCCTCCTAGAATCCCTGTTTGGCCTTTATTGGGTAATAATGCTGGTATATCGAGTCTGACTCTCAAACTCGCATCACGGTTTTGGGTCATCCTTTCCCGTGTGTCTTGCTGCAAATGCCTTCTACCCTCTCTTCTGTCTACAGTTCAGCTGCTTCACTGTCTATCCTGGTGGGCTTGTGTGTGGACCAGCAAATGAAGAGCCGCTGACTCTGTTTCTTTATCTCTCCTTCTCTTTATTTCCTTCTCTCACTCTTTCTCAGTACCTCTCTCTTTCCCCTCTCCTCTCTTTCTCTCTCTCTCTTTTTCTGTACACCCTCCTCTCTCTCCTCTCATCTCTTCTTCTCTCTCTCTCTCTCGCTTTCTCAGTACCTCTCTCCTTCTATCCCCTCTCCTCTCTCCTCTCTCTCTGTCTCTCTCACTCTTTCTCTGTATGTTCTCCTCTCTCTCTTTCTCAGTACCTCTCTCTTTCCTCTCTCCTCTCTCTCTTTCTTTCTCTCTCTCTTTCTCTATACACCCCCCTCTCTTTCCTCTCCTCTCTTCTTCTTTCTCTCTCTGTCTCTCTCCCTCTCTCTCTTTCTTGGTACCTCTCTCCCTCTATCTCCTCTCCTGTCATCTCTCTCTGTCTCTCTCTTTCTCTGTATTTTTTCCTCTCTCTCTTTCTCAGTACCTCTCTTTCCCCTCTACTCTCTCTCTGTACACCCCCTCTCCTCTCCTCTCTTCTTTCTGTCTTTCTGTCTCTCTGTCTCTCTCTCTTTCCTGGTACGTCTCTCCCTCTATCTCCTCTCCTCTCATTTCTCTCTTTCTCTCTCTCTCTTTTTTCTCTCTTTCTCAGTACTGCTCTCTTTCCCCTCTCCTCTCTTTCTTTCTTTCCCTCTCTCTCTTTCTCAGTACACCCCCTCTCTCTCCTCTCTTCTTCTTTCTCTCTGCCTCTCTCTCTCTCTTTCTTGGTACCTCTCTCCCTCTATCTCCTCTCCTCTCGTTTCTCTCTGTCTTTCTCTCTCTCTCTTTATTGTCTCCTCTCTCTCTTTCTCAGCACCTCTCTCTTTCCCCTCTCCTCTCTCTTTCTTTCTCTCTCTCTTTCTCCATACACCTCCCCTTTCCTCTCCTCTCTTCTTCCTTCTCTCTGTCTCTTTCTCTCTTTCTTGGTACCTCTCTCCCTCTATCTCTTCTCCTCTCGTTTCTCTCTGTCTTTCTCTCTCTCTCTCTTTATTTTCTCCTCTCTCTCTTTCTCAGCACCTCTCTCTTTCCTCTCTCCTCTCTCTCTTTCTCAGCACCTCTCTCTTTCCTCTCTCCTCTCTCTCTTTCTCAGCACCTCTCTCTTTCCTCTCTCCTCTCTCTCTTTCTGTCTCTCTCTCTGTTTCTCTGTACACCCCCCCCCCTCTTCTTCTTTCTCTCTGTCTGTCTCTTTCTCTTCCTTTTCTCCTACTTCCCTCTCTTTCTCGGTACCTTTCTCTTTCTCTCTCTCTTTGTCTCTCTCTCCTCTCATGTCGTCTCCTCTTTCTGTTTCTTTCTCTCTCTGTCTCTCTTTCCCCCTCATCTCTCTCTTTGTTTCTCTTTCTCTGTACACCCTCTCTCTCTCTTCTCCTCTCTTCTTCTTTCTTTCTGTCTCTCTCTCTCTCTCTCTCTGCAGGAGCATACACACCTGGGAAAGGCCCTGAGAGGATAGAGCGAGAAGGCGGCTGTCTCCACCCTCGAAGGAGGAAGGAAGCCCTTGATAAAAGCCACCCATGCCAGCGGGTGGCCAGAGCCGCTGACTCTGTGAGTGAATGAATATGACTTAGGCCGCCTGAGACTCTCTAAACCTGCAAAGGCCCTAAGCCTCACACACCAGTGAACACCCTGTGCTCTCTGCAGTGAGAGCTTTGACAGAGCCCTCCAAGCTCCACAGGGTCCCATGGAGAAGCTACAGACCCTTCTTGACGCCCAGATCCTTCGTCTCAAAAGGAGGGGCTCTGTTTTGATCTCAAATCGCTCCATGGCTTAAAGGATGTTTCCTAAATACTGAGACGGAATAAAGAAACAAGTTTGGGGCCGGGAGCGGAGGCTCATGCCTGTCATCCCAGCACTTTGGGAGGCCGAGGCGGGGGGATCACCTGAGGCCAGGAGTTCGAGACCAGCCTGGCCAACACGGTGAAAACCCCATCTCTACTAACAATACAAAAATTAGCCGGGTGTGGTGGTGGCACCTGTCATCCCAGCTACTTGGGAGGCTGAGGCGGGAGAGTCGCTTGAACCTGGGAGGCGGAGGTGGCAGTGAGCCGAGATCACACCAGCCTGGGCGACAGAGAGAGACTCCATCTCAAAAATAAAAATAAATAAATAAAAATAAAAAGAAATCAGTTTGGTTAAGCCGCCGTTGAGGCCTCCTAGAGGAGTGGGTGATTGTACTCAGATGGTTCATATTTATTAAAAACTCTTGCAACAGAGCACACGTAATCAGTTTATCATGTTTGGGGGCAGTTGGACTGGACCGTCATAAAAAATAGTCCAATCGGTACGAAAAAGGCCTAATTAAGTAGAAACACTGGCCGAGACATGTTCCCCATTAAGCCTGGCCCTGAACGCCGAGCTCTTTGGACCCAGCTTGTCACGTCGGGCACCACTGCAAAGTCTGTCAGCAGCTTCCTCTAAAAGGAGTGAAGACGCTTTTACAGAAATGAGCTTTTCCTGACAGCTTCGGGACCTTCCAGGGCCGTGGGGATGGGTCGACAACATGAGGCGCTTGCCAGTTTTGTCCTGAGCTAGGAGGGAATGTTGGGTGGATCCTTATGTACCTGAGCCTACACAGCGCAGTTCGTCAGCTCGGGCTGGTTATTGCAAAACAGCTCAGAATGTGCAGCCTGCAAAAGAGACCTTTATTTTCTCACAGCTCTAGAAGCTGCAAGTCCAGAATTGGGGAGTCGCTGGCATGGGTGGGTTTTGGAGAGGGTTCCCTTGCCCCTTCCAGGGTGCAGACAGCTGCCTTCCCTCTCTGTCCTCACAGGGCATTTCCCTGATGTATGCTTCTGCAGACAGAGAGAGGGAGGGAGAGAGAGAGAGGGAGGGAGAGAGAGAGAGAGAGAGGAAGAGAGAGACAGAGAGAGATAGAGAGAGGAAGGGGGGTACAGAGAAAGAGAAAGACAGAAAGAAAGAAAGAGAGAGGAGGGGGAAAGAGAGAGGTACTGAGAAAGAGATAGAGGAGAAAATACAGAGAAAGAGAGAGAGAGAGAAGAAGAGAGGAGAGGAGAGAGAGAAGGGGGTACAGAGAAAGAGAAAGACAGAGAGAAAGAAGAAGAGAGGGGAGGAGAAAGAGAGAGGTACTGAGAGATAGAGGAGAAAATACAGAGAAAGAGAGAGAGCGAGTGAGACAGAGAGAAAGAACTGCACACAGAGAAAGAGAGAGAGAGAAAGAAGAGAGGAGAGGAGAGAGAAAGGTGGGTACAGAGAAAGAGAAAGACAGAAAGAAGGAGAGAGGAGAGGGGAAAGAGAGAGGTACTGAGAGATAGAGGAGAAAATACAGAGAAAGAGAGAGAGTGAGTGAGACAGAGAGAAAGAACTCCTGCACACAGAGAAAGAGAGAGAGAGAAAGAAGAAGAGAGGAGAGGAGAGAGAAAGGTGGGTACAGAGAAAGAGAAAGACAGAGAGAAAGAAAGAGAGAGGAGAGGGGAAAGAGAGAGGTACTGAGAAAGCGATAGAGGAGAAAATACAGAGAAAGAGAGAGAGGGAGAGAGAGAGAAGAGAGGAGAGGAGATAGAGGGAGAGAGGTACCGAGAAAGAGAGAGAGAGAGAAACAAAGAGGAGAAGAGACGAGAGGAGACACAGAGAGAGACAGGTACCGAGAAAGAGAGGGAGAGAGGAGAAAATAAAGAGAAAGAGAGACGGACAGACAGACAGAGAGAGAAGAGAAAAGAGGAGGAGGGGGGTACCGAGAAGGAGGAGGAGAGAAATAAACAGAGAGAGGAGAAGAGAGGAGACGAGAGAGAAGTACCGAGAAAGAGAGACAGAGGAGAAAATAAAGAGACAGAGAGAGAGAGAGTAGAGAGGAGAGAGAGAGATCAAGAAAGAGAGACAGAGAGAGAGGAGAAAATACAGAGTAAGAGAGAGAGACAGAGAGAGAAAAGAGGAGACAAGAGGGGAAGGGGTACCAAAAAGCAGAGGGAGAGAAAGAGACAGAGGAGAAGAGAGGAGAGAGAGGAAGGTACTGAGAAAGAGACAGAGGAGAAAACAGAGAAAGGAGAAGAGAGGTGAGGAGAGAGAGAGAGAAAGAGAGATACCAAGAATGACAGAGAGAGGAGAAAATAAGGAGAAAGAGAGAGAGGGAGGAGAAAAGAAGAGGAGAGAGAGAGCATGGTATCGAGAGAGAGGAGAAAATAAGCAGAAATAGAGAGACAGACAGAGAGACAGAGGGAGAGGAGAAGAGTGGAGAGGAGAGACAGAGAGGGGGAGAGAGAGGTACCAAGAAAGAGAGAAAGAG
This sequence comes from Homo sapiens, assembly GCF_000001405.40. NCBI lineage: Eukaryota > Metazoa > Chordata > Mammalia > Primates > Hominidae > Homo > Homo sapiens. Next base: position 939,237 of record NC_000024.10, on the reverse strand, counting down.
AAAAAGAGAGAGGAGATGAGAAGAGAGATGGAGAGATATCGAAAGAGAAAAGAGAGAGAGAGAGAAAGAGGAGAAGAGAGGAGAGGAGAGACAGAGACAGAGAGGTGCTGAGAAAGAGAAAAAGAGAGAGAGAGGAGATGAGAAGAGAGATGGAGAGATATCGAAAGAGAAAAGAGAGAGAGAGAGAAAGAGGAGAAGAGAGGAGAGGAGAGACAGAGACAGAGAGGTGCTGAGAAAGAGAAAAAGAGAGAGAGAGAGGAGATGAGAAGAGAGATGGAGAGATATCGAAAGAGAAAAGAGAGAGAGAGAGAAAGAGGAGAAGAGAGGAGAGGAGAGACAGAGACAGAGAGGTGCTGAGAAAGAGAAAAAGAGAGAGAGAGAGGAGATGAGAAGAGAGATGGAGAGATATCGAAAGAGAAAAGAGAGAGAGAGAGAAAGAGGAGAAGAGAGGAGAGGAGAGACAGAGACAGAGAGGTGCTGAGAAAGAGAAAAAGAGAGAGAGAGGAGATGAGAAGAGAGATGGAGAGGTATCAAGAGAGGAGAGACAGAGAGAGATTTCTTCCTCTTTCTTAGGAGGTCACCAACCTTTTTGCATTGGGACACCACCCTCATTATCTTGTTTAGCTTTGAGGTACCTCCTCAAAGCCCTGTTTCTGTTCCAGAACTTTCTTGGGTCCTCCCACCGGACACAGCAAAGCCCAACATCCACATTGGGATTTGCCGTGAGAGAAAGGAGGGTGTTTTCTTTGGCAAGAGGATCGGGCACCCCATGCTTTACTCCTGACCTCCCCAGGGGCCCCCACGTATGGGATTTTCAAGGCAGAGGAGGCATAAGTAACATTGGTTTGCTATAAAAAGCTGGGACATCTCAAAGCTTACAGGTCATAGGTGAAGTCCAAACTTCCCTGATTTGCAACTGGCTAAGGAGGCGAAGGGTTCTGTAAAAATTTGGGGTCAGCAGAAAAAAATGTCAGCCGTAGCTTGTCGGTGTGACTTTCTGCAGGTCCCTCAGGAAGTTCTCCTGCCTCAGCCTCCCGAGTAGCTAGGACTGCAGGAGTCCGCCTCCACGCCCGGCTAATTTTTGTATTTTTAGTAGAGACGGGGTTTCTCCACGTTGGTCAGGCTGGTCTTGAACTCCCGACCTCAGGGGATCCACCTGCCTCGGCCTCCCAAAGTGCTGGGATGACAGGCGTGAGCCACCGTGCCGGGCTGACTATTGTTTTAAGCTACTGTAGCGAGGTGCCTGGAATTTTCCTGGAAAGAACTCATGATTTTCCTTGATTTCCATCCTGGGGTTGGGAGAGGGTGCAGGTTCCTCAGGGAAGGTCCCTTCTCCCACCTCATATGGGGTCTCACTCTGCTGTCCAGTCTGGAGTGCAGTGGCACGATCACGGCTCACAGCAGACTCCACCTCCTGGGCTCAAGTGTGTGTGTGTGTGTGTGTGTGTGTGTGTGTGTGTGTGTGCGTGCGTGTGTGTGTGCAGAGATGGGGGTCTTCCCATGTTGCCCAGGCTGGTCTCGAACTCCTGGCTTCAAGCAATCCTCTCCAGCCTCGAATTCCCAAAGTGTTGCAATCACAGGCACGAGGCACCGCACCTGGCCAGCATCATCTTTTACTTCTGCACTGCGAATGTCCTTTCGCTCTTGTTTGGACACTGACGGTGTCACGGTTGGTGGTGATGTCACCCCGTGACGGGCAGATTGGGGCTCACGTTCACAAAGAGGGTTCTCAGCTATAGTTGCTCCTGATTTGTCTGCAGCCTTAGCTACGGGGCTGACTTCAGTGAAATGAAAGTCATTCTCCTGCTGAGTCTTTGAGAAAAGTCTTCCTTTTGCCCCAGCGACTCCCAGCACCCACTGAACCCCGACACAACAATGGAACCATCTGCAAATGATTTTCTGTGAATTTGTCTCATGTATAAAATAGATCCATTCTGATGACAACATCCAGTCTATTTTCTATTTTCTGTTTTACAGCTTGTCACATAACCGCTATGAGCACGCGGGCTCCCTGTAAACGGCTTCGGAGATTGATTAAGTGCCTCGGCTGAGTCTCACTATTTAATCAACACCAACAGTCATTTATTACACGGTATCTTTCGGCTTACAAGAGCTGATCTTAAATCCATTGATTAACTGCTAAGCGGTAACTGCTTCTCAATGTTTGCAAGGCACGGTTTACATATTTCTGAAAATAGACCTGCTTGGTTAACAGTAAAAAATTCTCCCTGTTGAGAGGCGAGTGCTCAGAAGGTGACATGAAATCACGCCAGCCTCCTTCTTACCAGCCAAGCCCATATTGCTTTGTACCGAGCCATAAATATTACGAATCTGGGGTGAATTAAAAAAATAACTACTGGCTGGGCACGGCGACTCATGTCTGTCATCCCAGCACTTTGGGAGGCTGAGGTGGGTGGATCAACTGAGGTCAGGAGTTCGAGACCAGCCTGGCCAACACGGTGAAACCCCGTCTCTACTAAAAATACAAAAATTAGCCGGGTGTGGTGGCGGGTGCCTGTAGTCCCAGCTACTCGGGAGGCTGAGGCAGGAGACTCACTTGAACCTGGGAGGCAGAGGTTGCAGTGAGCCAAGATTGCACCACTGCATTCCAGCCTGGGCAACAGGAGTAAAACTCTGAAAAAAAAAAAGAAAGAAAGAAGGAAGAAAGAAGAAAGAAAGGAAGGAAGGAAGGAAGGAGGAAGAAAAGAAAGAAGGAAAGAAGAAAGAAAGAAAGAAAGAAAGAAAGAAGAAAGAAAGAAAGAAAGAAAGAAAGAAAGAAAGAAAGAAAGAAAGAAAGAAAGAAAGAAAGAAAGAGAAAGAAAACTGTTGGGCTGGATCAACGTTGCAAGCCCAGAAGAAATGCAGAATCTAGGATCCTTTCAACAGCCACCACCCTCCCATCAGATGGGCTTTTAGATTTCACTTGATATAAGAAATTACACAGAGGCCGGGCGCAGTGGCTCACGCTTGTAATCCCAGCACTTTGGGAGGCTGAGGCGGGTGGATCACCTGAGGTCAGGAGTTCGAGACCGGCCTGGCCAACATGATGAAACCCCGTATCTACTAAAAATACACAAATTAGCCGGGCATGGTGGCGGGTGCCTGTAATCCCAGCTACTCAGGAGGCTGAGGCAGGAAAATCACTTGGACACGGGAGGCGCCCGGCTGATTAGTGCCTTTTATATGACCAGTGCCACTTATAAATACAGTCAAATCCACTGAAGGAAGTTAAATAATGCTGGGTGCCAAGGAATTTTCTCTCAAGCCTCTTTTTTTTTTTTTTTTTTTTTTGAGATGGAGTCTCGCTCTGTCGCCCAGGCTGGAGTGCAGTGATACGATCTCAGCTCATCGCAACCTCTGCCTCCTGGGTTCAAGCGATTCTCCTACCTTAGCCTCCCGAGTAGCTGGGATGACAGGTACACACCACCACACCTGGCTAATTTTTGTATTTTTAGTAGAGATGGGGTTTTGTGCCATGTTGGCCAGGCTGGTCTCGAACTCCTGACCTCAAGTGATCCACCTGCCTCGGCCCCCCAGAGTGCCGGGTTAACAGGCTTGAGCCACTGCGCCCGGCTGATTAGTGCCTTTTATATGACCAGTGCCACTTAGAAATACTGTGGAACCCACAGAAATAACTTAAATCATGCTGGATGCCAAGGAATTTCTCTCTCAACCCTGCCTTTAACTCACAGTTTCTGGATGAGGCCGTTGAAGCTCGTAGATTCTATTTCTATCACCCCCAAGTCTCTGGGGCTTGATTTCCCGGCCTCTAACAGGTGGACACGCAAGCTGCCTCCTGTCCTTCTAGACCAGAATGCATGGATTTTTCCCTCGGTTTAATCAGCTACGAAACCAGCAGAGAGGAACGCTTAAAGATACTGCACCCCCACACCCCACTGGTTATTTGAGGTGGGTTTTCTCCTAGCTCCCTCAGTTCAACCTTCTCCCAGCTCTTTCAGTGGGATTGCTGCGTTGAAAGAAAACCTCCATGCTGAGGCACTTAGTATAAAAGTGAAAGTCCATTTCAACAGGGTGGAGGTCCTAAGACGCGCTTGTCAACATTTTGCTCTTAGGGGCCCCGGAGGGCTCATGGGGAGGGGAAGATCCCTGAGGGAGTGAAACCTCTCATCAGGACATGAAATCATCCCACTAAGACACTCTGTTTTTGTCTGTTTGTTTTTGAGACACAGTTTCACTCTTGTTGCCCAGGCTGGAGTGCAGTGGCACAATCTTGGCTCGCTGCAACCTCCACCTCCCAGGTTCAAGCGATCCTCCTGCCTGGGCCTCCCGAGTAGCTGGGATTACAGGCATTTGCCACCACGCCTGGCTAATTTTCTTGTATATTTAGTAGAGACAGGGTTTCACCATGTTGGCTAGGCAGGTCTTTTTGTTGTTGTTGTTGTTTTTGAGATGGAGTCTCGCTGTGCTGCCCAGGCTGGAGTGCAGTGGTGCAATCTCGGCTCACTGCAACCTCGAACTCCTGGGGGTCAAGCAATTCTCCTGCCTCAGCCTACTGAGTAGCTGGGACTACAGGCGTGCGCCACCATGCCCAGCTAATTTTTTTGTATATTTAGTAGAGACAGTTTTCACCATGTTGGCCAGGCTGGTCAACAAAATACAAAATTACAAAAATTAGCCGGGCATGGTGGCAGGTACCTGTAACCCCAGCTACTCGGGAGACTGAGGCAGGGGAATAGCTTGAACCCGGGAGGTGGAGGTTGCAGTGAGCCGAGATCAAGCCACTGCACTTCAGCCTGGATGACAAGAGTGAAGCTCTGTTTCAAAAAAAAAAAAAAAAAAAAAAAAAAAACAAAACAAAAAACAACAAAAAAAAAACAAGACTGGGCGAGGTGGTTCATGCTTGTAATCCCAGCACTTTGGGAGGCTGACGCAGGTGGATCACAAGGTCAGGAGATCGGGACCATCCTGGCCAACATGGTGAAACCCCATCTCTACTAAAAACACAAAAATTAGCCGGGTGTGGTGGCGGGCACCTGTAGTCCCAGCTACTAGGGAGGCTGAGGCAGGAGAATCACTTGAACCCAGGAGGTGGAGGTTGCAGTGAGCCAAGATCGAGCCATTGCACTCCAGCCTGGGTGACAGAGTGAAACTCTGTCTCAAACAATAACAACAACAACAAAATCATATTATTAATTACCAGCTTCACCCCACGTACACTTCTAAGAACCGTTAATGCACGTCTCTTTTCCAAACAAAAATGGGAGGCATGGGGGCCCGGGAAGAAGATTTAAATAATTCACTACAAAAACAAATTAACTACGGCGAGAGTTCCTTAAATCCCACTCACGCCTCATTACTTTAATGATTATTTTTAATCCTCCACGCAGAGGATGGTCACAGGGTAATTGCTACCCTTCAGCGTCGTCAGAATCGCTCCCACATCTAAAAGCCTCCCCTCTTCACGTGGAGAGAATTTGATGACGGTTTTCAATTTTATGATAATGGCACTTTCACAAAGCATTGGTAATAAAATGGTAATCTCCAACATAAAAAGAATTAGCGTTAACTCCTTCAGGCCTGGAGGCATAGGGGCTGCATGGAGTTGTGAAGTGTGGCTTGATCTAATCAAACTGTATTAAGAAATTTTATTAAAGAATGGATACAGCGACCAGGTGTGGTGTCTCACGCCTGTAGTCGCAGCACTTTGGGAGGCCGAGGTGGGTGGATCACCTGAGGTCAGGAGTTTGAGACCAGCCTGGCCAACGTGCTGAAACGCCGTCTCTACTGAAAATACAAAAATTAGCCGGGCGTGGTGGCGGGCGCCTGGAATCCCAGCTACTGGGGAGGCTGAGGCAGGAGAATGGCTTGAACCCAGGAGGTGGAGGTTGCAGTGAGCTGAGATTGTGCCAATGCACTCTGGCCTGGGTGACAGAGGGAGACTCTGTCCGTAAATAAATAAATAAAAATATAATAAAATAAAAGATAAACAGAATGAGACTCCATCTCAAAACAAAAAAACCATATACAGGTGATTGTTGAACAACACTACAAATATATGAAAGGCCATAAAATCGTTCCTTTTAAAAATGGTTAATTTTATGTTGTGTGAAGCTCACCTCAGTGCATTTTTTACATAGAAAAATATATAAAATAATATAACAATATAACATATTTATTATAAAATTATATTATACTTAATATATCATATATATTTATATTATTTATTATATAACATAGAATATTTATTATATTAACAATCATGGTATTATTAATACTTAATGAATATCAATAATTAGTTAATATTAATAATTATTATATAGTATTACATTATATATTGATATATAATATATGTTATATTAAATATTGTTTAATATTATTTAAATTATATATTTAAATATATAATTTATACATATTTATATAACATAATATATATATTATATATTTATATAACATAATATATATATTATATATTTATATAACATAATATATATTATATATTTATATAACATAATATATATAATATATTTATATAACATAATATATATATAATATATTTATATAACATAATATATATTATATATTTATATAACATAATATATATTATATATTTATATAACATAATATATATATTATATATTTATATAACATAATATATATATTATATATTTATATAACATAATATATATATTATATATTTATATAACATAATATATATATTATATATTTATATAACATAATATATATTATATATTTATATAACATAATATAAATATATATTATATATTTATATAACATAATATAAATATATATTATATATTTATATAACATAATATATATTATATATTTATATAACATAATATATATATTATATATTTATATAACATAATATATATATTATATATTTATATAACATAATATATACATTATATATTTATATAACATAATATATACATTATATATTTATATAACATAATATATACATTATATATTTATATAACATAATGTATACATTATATATTTATATAACATAATGTATACATTATATATTTATATAACATAATGTATACATTATATATTTATATAACATAATGTATATATTGTATATTTATATAACATAATGTATATATTGTATATTTATATAACATAATGTATATGATATATTTATATAACATAATATACATATGATATATTTATATAACATAATATATATATTATATTTATATATGATATATGAATAATATATTATAATTAATATATAATTATATATTATAAAGTAATATAAATATATATATAATTATATACATTTGTCTCAGGTCTCATTTTAAAGAGATACTTGAGAAAAATCAGTAAATATAACAAGGTGACCTTGTTTCAGTTTTGGCTCAAACAAACCAACTGTAGAAATTCATCTTTGACATTCCAAAGCAAACCTGGGGCCAGGTGCGGTGGCTCACGCCTGTAATCCCAGCACTTTGGGAGGCCCAGGCGGGCAGACCACCTCAGGTCAGGAGTTCGAGACCAGCCTGGCCAACATGGTGAAACCCCGTTTCTACTAAAAATACAAAAATTAGCTGGGTGTGGTGGTGCATGCCTGTGATCCCAGGTACTTGGGAGGCTGAGGCAGGAGAATCGCTTGAACCCGGGAGGCGGAGGTTGCAGTGAGCTGAGATTGCACCGTTGCACTCCAGCCTGGGTGACAAGAGTGAAACTCCATCTCAATAAATAAATAAATAAATGAAGCAAATCTGAACAAAGTCCCTTAAGGACTTACTGTTATTATGAAGGCTTCATAATTAGTGTTCTGGTTATGAAATAAAACATGTTATTATCTGTTAGATTTACATCCTAAAGTAATTTTAGGCTAAATGATGTAATGTCTGGACTATTGCCTTAAAATATCACAGCCTCAAAGAAACAGGTGCATGGAAAACAGTTGATGGGAATGCTTCCAGATAATCTTCTCCCGGATTCTGGATTTGCAAATTTGCATAAGAAAAGTTTAAAGCAGCGTGTGAAATTCAGGTCGACTTGCTTACTCCACAAATGGGCGTTATGTAGCAAATATGTGATTTTGCATTCACCGGAAGCAGTTATGATTCCTTAAAAAATGGAAAATCACAAGAGTTGGTGAGGAGGAGAAGGATGTAGAGAAATTGGACACTTCATATATTGTCTACTATTTTTGAAAAGATCCTTTCGGCCGGGCGCAGTGGCTCACACCTGTAATCTCAGCACTTTGGGAGGCTGAAGTGGGTGGATCACCAGGTCAAGAGTTCGAGACCATCCTGGCCAATGTGGTGAAACCCCATCTCTACTAAAGATACAAAAATTAGCTGGGTGTGGTGGTGCATGCCTGTAATCCCAGCTACTCAGGAGGCTGAGGCAGGAGAATGGCTTGAACCCGGGAGGTGGAGGTTGCAGTGAGCCGAGATCACACCACTGCACTGCAGCCTGGGTGACAGAGCGAGACTCCATCTCAAAAAATACATAAATAAATAATAAATAAAAATAAAAACAAAAGAAAGGATCCTTTCTAGGGTGTAGCACTACAGATCTTTGACTTAACAATCAGTCAAAATAAGAATTAAAACAATACACTTCGCTTGAGCCCAGGAGTTCAGGACAAGCGTGAACAACATAGCAAGACCCGATCTGTCCAAAAGTTACAAGAATTAGCTTGGCGTGGTGGCACTCACCTGTAGTCTCAGCTACTTGGGAGGCCGAAATGGGAGGATCACTTGAGCCCAGGTGGTCGAGGCTGCAGTGAGCCATGATTGCACCACCGCACTCCAGCCTGGGCAGCACAGTGAGACTCTGATTGCAGTGGAAAAATAGGAACACTTTTTTTTTTTTTTTTTTTTTGAGATGGAGTCTCGCTCTGTCACCCAGGCTGGACTGCAGTGGTGCGATCTCGGCTCACTGCAAGCTCCGCCTCCCAGGTTCATGCCATTCTCCTGCCTCAGCCTCCTGAGTAGCTGGGACTACAGGCACCCGCCACCATGCCCAGCTAATTTTTTGTATTTTTAGTAGAGACGGGGTTTCACCGTGTTAGGCAGGATGGTCTCGATCTCCTGACCTCGTGACCTGCCCGCCTCAGCCTCCCAAAGTACTGGGATTACAGGCGTGAGCCACCGCGCCTGGCGAAATAGGAACACTTTTACACTGTTTGTGGGAGCGTAAATTAGTTCAAACATGTGGAAGACAGTGTGGTGATTCCTCAAGGATCTAGAACCAGAAATACCATTTGATCCAGCCATCCCATTACTGGGTATATACCCAAAGGATTATAAATCATTCTACTATAAAGACACATGCACACGTATGTTTTTGCAGCACTATTCACAATAGCAAAGACTTGGAACCAACCCAAATGCCCCTCAATGACAGACTGGATAAAGAAAATGTGGCACGTAGACACCGTGGAATACTATGCAGCCATAAAAAAGGATGAGTTCATGTCCTTTGCAGGGACATGGATGAAGCTGGAAAGTATCATCCTCAGCAAACTCACACAGGAACAGAAAACCAAACACTGCATGTTCTCACTCATAAGTGGGAGTTGAACAATGAGAACATATGGACACAGGGAGGGGAACATCACACACTGGGGCCTGTCGGGGCGGCATGGGGTACTAGGGGAGGGAGAGCATTAGGACAAATGCCTTATGCATATGGGGCTTAAAACCTAGATGATGGGTTGATAGGTGCAGCAAGCCACCATGGCACATGTATACCTATGCAACAAACCTGCACGTTCTGCACATGTATCCCTGAAGTTAAAGTAAAATTTAAAAAATAAGAAATGATTGCATGGGCTGGCACAGTGGCTCACGCATGTAATCCCAGCACTTTGGGAGGCCAAGGTGGGCAGATCACCTGAGATCAGGTGTTCCAGACCAGCCTGACCAACATGGAGAAACGCCGTCTCTACTAAAAATACAAAATTAGACGGGCGTGGTGGCAGGTGCCTGTAGTCCCAGCTACTCGGGAGGCTGAGGCCAGAGAATCGCTTGAACCTGGGAGGCAGAGGTTGCAGTGAGCTGAGATTGCACCATTGCACTCCAATCTGGGCGACAAGAGCGAAACTCTGTCTCAACAAAGAAAAAAAAAAAAAGATTGCAATGGCAAATTTATGGTATGTGTATTTTACCAGAATAGAAAAAGTAGTTCATGAAGGTATTTTAAAATGTTTAAGAGATAACATCTCCTACTGCACTCCAGCCTGGGCAACAGAGCGAGACTCTGTCTCAAAAAAAAAAAAAAAAAAAAAAAAAAAAAAGGAAAAAAATAGCATCTCTTAAATGATACCATGCATCCTCTCATATATTTCTTCTAGCCCCACCTTTTTCTTTCTCAAATATGTTCTCATGAATTGGGAAACAGAACTGCCATTTCCACACCTCATTTGACCCCATCCCTAAATGTTTACTAAGGCGTCCTTGCTCAACAGCACCCACTCCACTTCCCCTGTCCTTCTGTTTCTGTCCTGCATTCTGTGCAGACACCACTCAGAGGAACTGTGGTTAGAGAAAAGCTTGATAGCTTTTCTCTAACCACAGTTCCTCTGAGCAGCCAGGATGGATGGGGCCTGGCTTAGAACTGATGCTTCCGTTGCAGAGAAAGGGAGAAGGTCCCGTCTGGTATCTGACGGAGATGTCTGGGCAACAAGAGAGGCAAGCATTAGGGATCACATTCAGCCCAGGGAATGTGGCCGGGATACACAGATAGATAGATAGATGATAAATACGTAGATAGATGATAGATAGCTGATAGACTGATGATAGACAGATGATAGACTGATGATAGATAGATAGATACATGACAGACAGATACATGGACACATAGATTGATGATAGGTTGATGATTAATAGACTCATGATAGATAGATAATAGATGAGATCAATCAAAAGTTAGATGATAGATGAGAATAGATAAATAGATACATAGACAGATAGATAATGGATAGATAGATACACAGATAGTAGATAGATAGACGAATGGATAGATCTATAGTTACATAGGTGATAGATAGAAAATAGAAGATAGATAGATGGATGATTGATAGACTGATGATAGATACATGACAGATTGATACATAGATAGATTGATGATAGATTGATGATTAATAGACTGATGATAGATAATAGATGAGATCGATCGATAGTTAAATGATAGATGAGAATAAATAGATGATAGAGAAATAGATAGGTCGAGAAATAGGTAGATAGATAATGGATAGATACATAGATAGTAGATGAATGGATGGTTCTATAGATACATAGATAATAGACAGGTAGATGGAAGATAGAAGATAGACAGATGAATGATTTATAGAAAGACTGATGATACATAGGTGGATAGATAGATACATACATGATAGATGATAATATATGCAATCAATAGAATATAGATGATGGATAGATAGATAGATAATAGATTAGATAGATAGATAGATGATACATGATACATAGATACATAGACAGATGGATGATAGATGATAGATAGATACATACATACATAGATACATAGATGGATAGATAGATGATAGATAAAAAGATGATAGAAAAACAGAAAGATGATAGATGATAGATAAATAGATAGATGCATAGATGGATGGATGGATGGATAGATGGATGGATAGATACATAGATACATAGATGGATGGATAGATAGCTAGTACACAGATACATAGATACATAGATAGATGGATGGATGGATGGATAGACAGACAGACAGACAGATAGATAGACAGACAGACAGACACATAGATAGATACCAATGTGAGGTGGGTTGGATCCCAGGAGGTGAGGGATGAGAGGGAATTCAGAGTTGAGACAGGTGGCAGGGACAGATGAGCCTCTCAAGGGTCCCAGTTGCCCAATTGACGAAGGGTGTGGACTCCAGAGGGAGAAGTGGGGTCCAGGAAGTAATGAAGTCAGGCTGGAAACCACCAGAACAGAGACACAGGGACAGACCCAGGCCCAGAGCTGGGAGTCAGTGACCAGTTCCCAAAACAGAGTGAGGCTTGGGGATGTAGTGAGGCCAGAAGTCAGAGCTGACGCTGTGGAATTTCCAATGTGGGGATGCCTCAGGCCAGACTGTGTGTGGGCAGTGGGCTCAATGGAGGCCTCCCCAAAAGATATGTCCACCCGGATCCTGGGAAAGTGACCTTATTTGGAAACAGGGTCTTTGCAGATGTAATTAGGTGAAGGATCTTGAGATGGGATCATCCTGGAGTAGGGTGGGCCCTAAATCTAATGACAGGTGTCCTTCTAAGAGACAGAAGAGGAGACACAGTCACAGAGGAGAAGGCCACATAGAGATGAAGGCAGAGACTGGAGTGATGTGGCCACAAGCCCAGGGATGCCTGGAGCCCCCAGGAGCTGAGAGAGGCAGGAAGGACCCTCCCCTAGAGCCTGCAGAAGGAACTGGATACAATTGTAATGGATTGAACAGTGGCCCTCAGAAGCACATATTCACGTAATAACCCCCAGAACCTGGGAATGGGACCTCATTTGGAAAAAGGGTCTTTGCAGATGTGATTAAGGATCTGGAAACGAGATCATCCCGAATTAGGATGGGCCCTAAACACAATGACAGGTGTCCTTGTAAGAGACAGAAGAGGGGACACAGACACAGGGGAGAAGGCCACGTGGAGATGGAGGCAGAGACTGCAGTGAAGTGGCCACAAGCCCAGGGACACCTGGAGCCCCAGGAGCTGGGAGAGGCAGGAAGGACCCTCCCCTAGAGCTTCCAGAGGAAGCACGTTTCTGCCCACACCTTGATCTCAGACTTCCATTCTCCAGGGCTTGGAGAGGATGACTTGCTGATGAATTTAGGTCCCACTTTGGTAGTTCATGTGAGTCACTCGTTGGAGAAGTGAGCCCTTCCTCTGGGGTCCTGTGGAGAATCCTGACTCGTACAGGAGCCGGTGGTATGTCTTCAATCCATGTCCACATTTGGCTTTGACGGCTGCCATCTCAGCGCCTCCATTTGGGATTCCTACAGGGAATTTCCCATGGGAGGTGGGGACAGAGTCCAGAGGGAGGCCGTGCAGCAAAGAATGAAAATCATCCGCCTTGGTTTCCCCATCTTTAAAAGGAAGCGTCTTCACCAATGACCTCTGTGGCAGCTTCCAGCTCTAGGGTTTGAACCCTGCTGACGTTTGAGCTCATGTCTGCACATATGTGGGCAGTGACCCACAGCACAGGTGATGAGACATTTTCCAGGTCCAGGAAACCCACTCCTTGTGCCTCAGGAAATCCCTCCAGGACACCTGAGTTCATGTCTCTCCTTTTTACATCTGTCCAGTGACCCAGACTGGAGGCGTGGCTGCAGCTGGTTCATCGGTGCTTGTAGTTGTGAACTAGTGAGACTCACCCCAGCTGGCTTATGCACAAAAGGAATTTAGTGAAAAGATCCGAGAGCTCATTTTCCCCCTGAGAGAACCCGGGCACTGAGCTTGGGGGCTGATGCATGGGTGGAGGGATGGGCAGGTGCCTAGGGGGTGCCCTGTCCACAGCTCTTCCCACCAGCTGGACTCAAAGCAGCAGCGTGTCCTGGAGCTCAGCCCCAATTCTGCTTCTGCGAGTTGGGGTACCTGACCCCACCTACACCAAAGGGTCCCAGATGGCACCGGCTTCTCCATGCTGTTAGATCTACCTAGCCATCATCTGCCTATCTATTATCTATCTATCTATCTATCTATCTATCTATCTATCTATCTATCATCTATCTACCTATCATCTATCTATCTATCTATCAAATCTATCATCTATCAAATCTATCATCTATCTATCAAATCTATCGTCTATCTATCTACCTATTATTTATCTATTTATCATCTATCATTTATCTATCCATCCATCTATTCATCCATCCATCCACCATCCATCCATCCATCCACCATCCATCCATCCATCCATCCATCCATCTATCCATCATTTGTCCATCCATTCATTCTATCTATCGTCTATCTATCTATCTACCTACCTACCTATCTATTATCTATTTATCATCTATCTAACCATCCATTTATTCATCCATCCATCCACCATCCTTCCATCTATTCATCCATCATTCATCCATCCATCCATCCATCCATCCATCATTTATCCATCCATTCTATCTATCTATCTATCTATCTATCCATCTATCTATCATCTATCTATCTATTGTCTGTCTCCATTTATCTATCTCTAATCTATCTGCAATTTATATATGTATCAATCACTTATTGTCTATCAATCACCTATGTAGTTATCATTTATCATATCTATCATCTCTCACCTATTTCCTCTATTATCAATATATCCATGTATATATCCATCTACCTATTATCTATCTATCTATCATATCTATCTCAACTTTATTTATTGTCTTTTTATCTATTTGTCTCTAATTCATCAATCACCTATCATCTTCCTTTCATTATGTATCATCTATCTTATCTACCTATCTGCAATCTCTCATCTATCAATCTAATCTATCATGTACTTCCAGTTTTTTAGCATCTATCTATCTATCTATCTATCTATCTATCTATCTATCTATCTATCTATCTATCTTCTATCAATTTCTAGTTTATCCATCATCTATCTATCTAATCTATATCTATCTAATCTATCATCTGTCTATCATCTATCAATTTCTAGTTCATCCATCATCTATCTAATCTATCATCTATCTATCTATCATCTATCATCTATCAATTTCTAGTTTACCCATCATCTATCTATCTACCTAATCTATCATCTATCTGTCTATGTAATCTATCGTCTATCTATCATCTATCAATTTCTAGTCTATCCATCATCCATCCATCTATCTATCTATCTATCTATCTATCTATCTATCTATCTATCTATCTATCTGATCTATCATCTATCTGTCTATCTGTCTGTCTATGGAAGTGGTTTGCAACCAGGGATAATTTTGTCCCCCAGAGGACACTGGACAATGTCTGGAGACATCTTTGGTTTTCACAGCTGGGGAGAGGGTGGCCCTAGCACCTGCTTGGGGAGCCCAGGGCCGCTGCTCAACACCCTACAGTGCCCAGGACGGCCCCACCACAGAGAGTCCTCCAGCCCCAAATGTCAGCTGTGCCAGGGCTGAAAAAGCCTGTGTTAGACTTAATTCTGGGAAGTGGTAGAAATATGGTCCCATGTTTTTCAGGGTTATATTAGATAATTCATTCTTCTCCTCTCCTGCCCTGCCTGGATGATAGATACATAAATGATGATGATGATGATGATGATGATGAAGATAGATAGATAGATAGATAGATACATATAGATAATAAATAAATTAGAGATAGATGATAGATACATACACACATAGATGATAGAAAGACAGAAACGATAGATGAGATAGATAAATGGGTAGTAAATAAATTAGAGATAGATGATGGATAAACAGGTAGATGATAAACAGATAGAGATGAGAGGATAGATGATAGATATATGGATGAGAAATAAATTAGAGATAGATAATAGATACACACATAGATAGATGAGATAGGTACATAAACGGATAATAAATTAGAGAGATAGATGATTGATAGATAGATGATTGATAAACTAGAAATTGATAGATAGATGATAGATAGATAGATAGATGATAGATAGATAGATAGATAGATAGATAGATAGATAGATAGATAGATGATAGATAGATAGATAGATTAGACAGATTTGCCCAGCACGGGGACTCACGCCTGTAATCCCAGCACTTTGGGAGGCCGACTCAGGTGGATTGCCTGAGCTCAGGAGTCTGCGACCAGCCTGGGCAAGACGGTGAAACCCCGTCTCTACTAAAATACAAAAAATTAGCCGGGTGTGGCGACGGGTGCCTGTCGTCCTAGCTACTCGGGAGGCTGAGGCAGGAGAATCGCTTGAACCCAGGAGGCAGAGGTTGCAGTGAGCGGAGATGAGCCGAGATCACACCACTGCACTCCAGCCTGGGTAACAAGAGCAAAACTCCATCTCTAAATAAATAAATAAATAAATAGAGAGAGAGAGAGAGAGATGATAGAAAGATTAAACAGATTGGCCGTGCACAGTGGCTCACGCGTATAATCCCAGCACTTTGGGAGACCGAGGTGAGTGGACCACCTGAGGTCAGGAGTTCAAGACCAGCCTAATCAACATGGTGAAACCCCGTCTCTACTAAAAATACAAAAATTTGCTGGGCAAGGTGGCGGCGGCTGTAATCCCAGCTACTGGAGAGGCTGAGGCAGGATAATTGCTTGAACCCAGGAAGGGGAGTTTGCAGTGAGCGGAGATCATGCCACTGCACTCCAGCCTGGGTGACAGAGCAAAACTCCGTCTCTAAATAAATAAATAAGTAGAGAGAGAGAGAGGGAGAGAGAGACGATAGAAAGATTAAACAGATTGACTGGGCACGGTGGCTCACACCTATAATCCCAGCATTTTGGGAGGCTGAGGCAGGCAGAGAACTTGAGGTCAGGAGTTTGAGACTAGCCTGGCCAACATGGTGAAATACTATCTCTACTAAAAATACAAAAATCAGCTGGGCCTGGTGGCAGACACCTGTAATCCCAGCTACTTGGGAGGCTGAGGCAGGAGAATCGCTTGAACCTGGGAGGCGGAGGTTGCGGTGAGCTGAGATGGCGCCACTGCACTCCAGGCTGGGCAACAGAGTGAGACTCTGTCTGTAAATAAATAAATAAATAAATAAGAGTGTGAGAGAGAGATGATAGAAAAATTAAACAGATGAGCTGGGCATGGTGGCTCATGCCTATAATCCCAGCACTTTGGGAGGCCGAGGTGGGTGGATCACCTGAGGTCAGGAGTTTGAGACTAGCCTGGCCATCATGGTGAAACCCTGTCTCTACTAAAAATACAAAAATTAGCCGGGCGTGGTGAGGCACGCCTACAGTCCCAGCTACTCAGGAGGCTGAGGCAGGAGAATCGCTTGAACCTGGGAGGTGGAGCTTGCAGTGAGCTGAGATTGTGCCACTGCACTCCAGCCTGGGCAACAAGAGCAAAACTCTGTCTCAAAATAAATAAATAAATAAATAAATAAATAAATAAATAAATAAGAGAGAGAGAGAGATGATAGAAAGATTAAACAGATTAGCCAGGCACGGTGGCTTCCGCCTGTAATCTCAGCACTTTGGGAGGCTAAGGCGGGTGGATCACCTGAGGTCAGGAGTTCGAGACCAGCCTGGCCAACATGGCGAAACCCCGTCTTTACTAAAAATACAAAAATTAGCCGGGCATGTTGGCTGGCGCCTGTAGTCCCAGCTACTCGGGAGGCTGAGGCAGGAGAATCGCTTGAACCCGGGAGGCGGAGGTTGCAGTGAGCTGAGATCGCGCCATTGCACTCCAGCCTGGGTGACAGAGCGAGACTCTGTCTCTAAATAAATAAATAAATAAATAAATTAATTAATAAGAGTGTGTGAGAGAGACATGATAGAAAGATTAAACAGATTGGCTGGGCATGGTGGCTCATGCCTATAATCCCAGCACTCTGGGAGGCCGAGGCAGGTGGATCACCTGAGGTCGGGAGTTTGAGACCATCCTGGCCAACATGGTGAAACCCTGTCTCTACTAAAAATACAAAAATCAGCCGGGCGTGGTGGCGGGCGCCTAGAGTCCCAGCTACTTGGGAGGCTGAGGCAGGAGAATCACTTCAACCCGGGAGGGGGAGGTTGCAGTGAGCCGAGATCGTGCCATTGCACTCCAGCCTGGGCAACAAGAGCAAAATTCCGTCTCAAAATAAATAAATAAATAAATAAATAAATAAATAAATAAATAAGAGAGAGAGAGATGATAGAAAGATTAAACAGCTTAGCCAGGCACGGTGGCTCGTGCCTGTTATCCCAGCACTTTGGGAGGCCGAGGCAGGCGGATAACCTGAGGTCAGGAGTTTGAGACCAGCCTGGCCAACACGGTGAAACCCCGTCTCTATTAAAAATACAAAAATTAGCCAGGCATGATGGTGCACGCCTATAGTCCCAGCTACTTGGGAGGCTGAGGCAGGAGAATCCTTTGAACCTGGGAGGTGGAGCTTGCAGTGAGCCGAGATTGTGCCACTGCACTCCAGCCTGGGCAACAAGAGCAAAACTACGTCTCAAAATAAATAGATAAATAAATAAATAAATAAATAAATAAATAAAAGAGAGAGAGATGATAGAAAGATTGAACAGATTGGCTGGGCATGGTGGCTTATCCCTATAATCCCAGCACTTTGGGAGGCCGAGGCAGGCGGATCACCTGAGGTCAGGAGTTCGAGACCAGCCTGGCCATCATGGCAAAACCCAGTCTCTATTAAAAATACAAAAATTAGCCGGGCATGACGGCGGGTGCTTGTAATTCCAGCTGCTCGGGAGGCTGAGGCAGGAGAATCACTTGAACCCGGGAGGCGGAGGTTGCGGTGAGCCGAGATCACGCCATTGCACTCCAGCCTGGGCAACAAGAGTGAAACTTCTTCTCAAAACAAAACCACAAAAAGAAAAAAAAAAAACAACAATCTGTGCACCATCTGTCACAGAGAACCACTCAGCACGACCCCGGGGCGTTTTGACATTTTATACCCTAGACACGAGCCCATAGATCATTCGTACCTTGTGCGTTTGGCCGTCTCATTATGGGAATTTATTTCCTTGCTTTGTAGTCGGTGGAGGCTCCGTCCTAATTGTTTCTTCCATGTGCTGTAAATCTGTCTGCCAATCAGCAGAACATGAGGCAGGGAGCCGGCAATTTCCTCTCTGACCGCCGTGCGGGTCGAGGCTGAGTGTTGAAATAAAATGAAACATGTTTGCACCCCTCCCCGGTCCCCTCACGCCAGACCCCTCGCATTCATCTGCTGCAGGAATTTTTAATATTCTGGCCATACCCTCGGCATGAGGTCATCCCGGGCTGTAATTGGAACAACCGTCCTCGGGGCCTGAAACGCTGCCTCACACCTGGCTTCAGGCCACGGCCATTCTCTGACTCCCAGACTTTAATTCCGTCACGCCTCATCTGGTTTGATGTAGTCTTTTGTAGTGAGTTCACAAATATATTCTGAGGTTTCCAGTGCGATGGGGCGGCCGTTGAGTGGCGTCTGGGATCCTGCAGCACGCCGGCCCCAAACAGGCCAATTTGTCCTGTCTCTGTGGGATCTCTTGGTTCTAGGAGATCAGATTTGGTCTGGGTCACCCAAATCTGTGTGCACCCCAACCTCCACTGTCTGCCCTTCCATCCCTAGGTGCTGGCTCAGGTACTGGGCAAACTTTACAAGGAATATATACATGGTGTGGAATTTCTTAGCTTCTATCTGAACAAAGTTGAAACTTGGGGAAAATAATGATCGTTTGCTTTTCAAATCTCTCTAGTTAACCAATCAAAGTACGGCATGCGTACCCAGGTAGAGTGGAATTCGAGGTAAACAGCAGAACAGTTGCATGCTCAGGTACATTTGAGTTGGAGATAAACAGCAGAACAGATGCGTGCCCAGGTACACTTGAATTCGAGGTGAACAGCAGTATGGATGCATGCCCAGGTACACTTGAATTCGAGATAAACAGCAGTATGGATGCATGCCCAGGTACACTTGAATTCGAGGTGAACAGGAGTATGGATGCATGCCCAGGTACACTTGAATTCGAGGTGAACAGGAGTATGGATGCGTGCCCAGGTACACTTGAATTCGAGATAAACAGCAGAACAGATGCGTGCCCAGGTACACTTGAATTCGAGGTGAACAGCAGTATGCATGCGTGCCCAGGTACACTTGAATTCGAGGTGAACAGGAGTATGGATGCATGCCCAGGTACACTTGAATTCGAGGTGAACAGGAGTATGGATGCGTGCCCAGGTACACTTGAATTCGAGATAAACAGCAGAACAGATGCGTGCCCAGGTACACTTGAATTCGAGGTGAACAGCAGTATGGATGCATGCTCAGGTACACTTGAATTCGAGGTGAACAGCAGTATGCATGCGTGCCCAGGTACACTTGAATTCGAGGTGAACAGGAGTATGGATGCATGCCCAGGTACACTTGAATTCGAGGTGAACAGGAGTATGGATGCATGCCCAGGTACACTTGAATTCGAGATAAACAGCAGAACAGATGCGTGCCCAGGTACACTTGAATTCGAGATAAACAGCAGTATGGATGCATGCCCAGGTACACTTGAATTCGAGGTGAACAGCAGTATGCATGCGTGCCCAGGTATACTTGAATTCGAGGTGAACAGGAGTATGGATGCATGCCCAGGTACACCTGAATTCGAGATAAACAGCAGTATGGATGCATGCCCAGGTACACTTGAATTCGAGGTGAACAGGAGTATGGATGCATGCCCAGGTACACTTGAATTCGAGATAAACAGCAGTATGGATGCATGCCCAGGTACACTTGAATTCGAGGTGAACAGCAGTATGGATGCATGCCCAGGTACACTTGAATTCGAGGTGAACAGCAGTATGGATGCATGCCCAGGTACACTTGAATTCGAGATGAACAGCAGTATGGATGCATGCCCAGGTACACTTGAATTCGAGATGAACAGCAGTATGGATGCATGCCCAGGTACACTTGAATTCGAGGTGAACAGCAGTATGGATGCATGCCCAGGTACACTTGAATTCGAGATGAACAGCAGTATGGATGCATGCCCAGGTACACTTGAATTCGAGGTGAACAGCAGTATGGATGCATGCTCAGGTACACTTGAATTCGAGGTGAACAGCAGTATGGATGCATGCCCAGGTACACTTGAATTCGAGGTGAACAGCAGTATGGATGCGTGCCCAGGTACACTTGAATTCGAGGTGAACAGCAGTATGGATGCATGCCCAGGTACACTTGAATTCGAGGTGAACAGCAGTATGGATGCATGCCCAGGTACACTTGAATTCGAGATAAACAGCAGTATGGATGCATGCTCAGGTACACTTGAATTCGAGATAAACAGCAGTATGGATGCATGCCCAGGTACACTTGAATTCGAGGTGAACAGCAGTATGGATGCATGCCCAGGTACACTTGAATTCGAGATAAACAGCAGTATGGATGCATGCCCAGGTATACTTGAATTCGAGGTGAACAGCAGTATGGATGCATGCTCAGGTACACTTGAATTCGAGATAAACAGCAGAACAGATGCGTGCCCAGGTACACTTGAATTCGAGGTGAACAGGAGTATGCATGCGTGCCCAGGTACACTTGAATTCGAGATAAACAGCAGTATGGATGCATGCTCAGGTACACTTGAATTCGAGATAAACAGCAGTATGGATGCGTGCCCAGGTATACTTGAATTCGAGGTGAACAGGAGTATGGATGCATGCCCAGGTATACTTGAATTCAAGGTGAACAGCAGTATGCATGCGTGCCCAGGTATACTTGAATTCAAGATAAATAGCAGAACAGATGCATGCCCGGGTACACTTGAATTCGAGGTGAACAGCAGTATGCATGCGTGCCCAGGTACACTTGAATTCGAGGTGAACAGCAGTATGGATGCATGCCCAGGTACACTTGAATTCGAGGTGAACAGCAGTATGCATGCGTGCCTAGGTATACTTGAATTCGAGATAAACAGCAGTATGCATGCA
This sequence comes from Homo sapiens, assembly GCF_000001405.40. Taxonomy (NCBI): domain Eukaryota; kingdom Metazoa; phylum Chordata; class Mammalia; order Primates; family Hominidae; genus Homo; species Homo sapiens. The sequence continues at coordinate 917,704 of NC_000024.10, read as the reverse complement.
TGCCCAGGTATACTTGAATTCTACATAAACAGCAGAACAGATGCGTGCTCAGGTGCACTTGAATTCGAGGTGAACAGCAGTATGCATGCTTGCCCAGGTACACTTGAATTCGAGGTGAACAGCAGTATGGATGCATGCCCAGGTACACTTGAATTCGAGGTGAACAGCAGTATGCATGCGTGCCCAGGTACACTTGAATTCGAGGTGAACAGCAGTATGCATGCGTGCCCAGGTATACTTGAATTCAAGATAAATAGCAGAACAGATGCATGCCCGGGTACACTTGAATTCGAGGTGAACAGCAGTATGCATGCGTGCCCAGGTACACTTGAATTCGAGATCAACAGCAATATTGCATGGGACGTACTTCTACCAAAAATGCATATGCCGTTTCTCTGAATAAATGTGGAAGAAATGAAAGTTCTACATGCCCAACAACTCTTTGCCTCCATTTCCTTACGGTCGTGAAGCCACACCTGCCAGGAGCTACTAATCTATTTCCTCAGCACCAGAACCCTCTTGCTCATTTGGGGAATCCGTCTCCCTGCAGTTGACCTGTGGACCTCCAGCATCCTTGGGCAACCTGAGGACCCTAAGCCTGTAGCTGAGTCTATGATACGCAGGCTGGGAGGAATGTCCCCTCCACGAGGCTGCTGTGGACTCCCATTGCAGGAGAAATGAAACTTCGTAATACAGCGGAGGTCCCTGAATGAGCTTTTCTCCCTGGTGCATGGAAGTGAACTCAGTGTGTCTCTGGAAATCTGGAAACCTCCTTTTCTCAGTTCAGGCTGCCTGCATCATGCTGGTTTGCTTCCTGCAACAAAACAGGCCATCCAGACACCTCTCTGTTTTCCTTCAAATATATCCCCACGTTACCACAACATTCGTGGGCAGGACCTCGGTGCCTGAGGTCGGAATACAGACACCTCTGACATGGCATGGCTGTACCTGCAGATAACCCTTCCTCGGCCGTCACTGAAGCCACACCTCTACACAGCTGTCTGTTGTCTTACAGCGGCATAAGCTTAGAACAGATTTTTTTTTGACACGTATTATAGCACCTGCTGGCTTCATTTCCCTCCCTTATATCATAACATTGCTTGTTGATTTGTGTCAATGGATTTGCATCTTCTGCCCGGCACACACACACACACACATACACACACACACACACGTCCACCCCACTCCCCCCACTAGTGACCATGTATACTTGAATTCGAAGTAAATAGCACACACAAGAGGTATGTCCAGCACGTCATTCTCACAGGCCTGATTTCACAGCGGTGCTGGAGGCAAACCTCTCAGCCTCCAGCCTGTACAGATGGAATAATGACAAATTGTATAAATATGTGCAAATTGTCCAAATGATGTCATGTGTGCCCCGGCCTGCTCCCCAAGCGGGCAGAACGCTTCAGCGGAAGGTCAGGGCAGGCCTTGCTCTGAATTCAATTGAGGTAATTACATTCAATTTGCTTAAATGTATCACAGAGAAAAGCCCGGTCTGTTGATCTCAATCGTATTAAGAAGTTTATTTTCCGCTGGGGCAGGACTCCACGGCCTCACGGAGAGCAAGCCTTCTCTAGATGATGTCCTTCTCTCTCCTGCTTGATTCCAGGTTCTGGGGGCAGCCCTGAGAATGCCAGAGAGGGCCCCCGCCCCTGCCACAAGAAATACCTTATGGCTCTCTCCCTAGCCACCTGCAGGGCTCAGAATGGCCCCAGATAAGCGTGAGGATTTCTGTGCTTAGGGAATAGTTTGCCAGCTCTTTGCAGGTGTGGTTTGACAATGCCAGTGGTTTGACAATGCCAGTGAGTGAACAGAGCCTGAGGTTTCACCCCAAAAGATCATTGTGTGGTTTGTCTACCAGAGGCTCTCCTCGTTTCTGAGAAGAGGGAAGCAGGGCCCATATGCCTTTCGAGGTTGCCTCTGTCTCTAACGCAGTGTCACTCAATGCCAGCCTCATGACGGTGAGAGTCCCCTGAGTGGCCCACGCTGTCTTGTGACAATGCCACTTGTCTGTGAAGGAGAAAGCCAGGCTGACTTGCACACTGAGTGCTCCAAGGATGGAGGGGGTCCCCGGAGTGGGTACCACACCTCCCTCTTTGCAGACAAGGAGGGGGCAGCTCTGAGACCCACAGGGATGTAGGAGTGAGTGCGTGTGAGGCAGAACCGAACCTCCCCAGGAAGGGAGGGAAAAGCAGGTGGCTGATATCTGCAGGGTCCTCTTGTACCTGAAACTCCAAAACTTTACACTATTTTCAGAATAACAGCAGCAGCAGATAGAAAAGAACTCATGAGGGTTATGTCTTATAAAATAACAGAAAATATCTTAGGCAGACTGGGGAGTTCCTACCTATCTATTACCCATCTATCATCTATCGATCTATTGATCTATTTATCTATAATCTATCTAACATCTATCATCTATCAATCATCTATCATCTACTATATATCCATCATCATCTATCCATCCACCTATCTATCCATCTATCTATATGTGTATTTATCTATTGAATCTATAATCTATGTATCAGTTATCTATCTACCTATCATCTATCCCTGTAACTATCCACTTACCTATCTATCTACCTATCTATCCATCTATCTATCCATCTAATGTATTATCTATGTATTTATCTATTGAATCTATAATCTATGTATCAATTATCTACCTATCATCTATCTGTCTGGCTAGCTAGCTATCTATCTACCTATCATCTCTCTACTATCTATCTATCATTAACTATATATCCATCATCTATCATCCATCCATGTATCCATCTGTCTATCCATCTATCTATATATATTATCTATTGAATCTATAACCTATGTATCAATTATCTATCTACCTATCATCTATCCCTGTAGCTATCTATTCATCTATCCATCTAATGTATTATCTATTTATCTATTGAATGTATAATCTATGTATCAATTATCTATCTTCTATCCATCTAGCTAGCTAGCTGTCTATCTACCTATCATCTCTCTACTATCACCTACTATATATCCATCATCTATCTATTATCCATCCATCTATATATGTATTTATCTATCGAATCTATAATCTATGTATCAATTATCTGTCTACCTATCATCTATCCCTGTATCTATCTATTCATCTATCCATCTAATGTATTATCTATCTATTGAATCTATAATCTATGTATCACTTATCTACCTATCATCTATCCATCTAGCTGTCTATCTACCTATCATCTTTCTACTATTTATCATCTACTATATATCCATCCTCTATCTATTATCCATCCATCTATATATGTATTTATCTACCAAATCTATAATCTATGTATCAATTATCTGTCTACCTAACATCTATTCCTGTATCTATCTACCTATCATCCCTGTACTATCTGCCTATCTAGCTATCATCTATGCATCTATCCAGTTATCTCCCTATATATCTGTTATATATTTATCTACCTATCTCTATCATTTATGTAATCTAACTCATCTATTCCTATGTATTAATAATATAATATTAACTCATCTATTATTAACTAACATTAATAGTATAATAACTAATAAGTAACTAATTATTAACTAATTATATATTATTATATATTATTATATATAATTAGTTAATTATTAACTAATTATTAACTAATTAGCTAATATTATTAGTATAACTAATATAATTAGTATTATTAATGTTATTTAATATATTAACTAATATTTAATATATTATAATATATTAAATAATATTAGTTAATATATTATAATATATTATATTATATTAATTATTATTAATAACAATATATTATTAAATAATATATCATTAACTAATATAATATTAACGAATATATTAGTTATTAACTAATAACTAATATATTATTATTAATATATCATTAACTAATATATTAACTAATATTATTAACTAATAATTAACTAATTATTAACTAATAGTAGTATAGTAACTAATATTAATATAATATTATTAACTAATATATTATTAACTCATCTATTCCTATGTATTAATAATATATCTGTTATCTATCATTTATTTACCTAGGTCTGTCATTGCTTTAATTGTCCTAATTTATCTCTTTTCTATTAATTATCTATCTACCATCTATCTCGTTCTGACAGTTATCTATTTCTATCTAGTTTAACCTATCTAGTTTATTTCTTTCCATCTGTGATATAGTATGTCTATTGTCTATATATCCTTTTTTTCTTTTTTTGAGACAGAGTCTTATTCTGTCGCCCAAGGTAGAGGGCAGTGGCACCATCTCAGCTCACTGCAACCTCCACCTCCCGGGTTCAAGTGATTCTCTTGCCTCAGCCTCCCGAGTAGCCGGGACTACAGGCCCAGCCAATTTTTTACAGACCACCACGCCCAGCCAATTTTTGTATTTTTAGTAGAGACGGGTTTTCATCATGTTGGTCAGGCTGGTCTCGAACTCCTGACCTCCGGTGATCCGCCTGCCTCAGCCTCCCAAAGTGCTGGGATTAACGGTGTGAACCACCGCGCCCGGTCTGTCAATATACCTTTCTATCTCTCTCTCCACACACACACGCACACACATAATTGTTTTTGTAAGCGTCTGGAGAATACGTCTAATCATCTAATCTCCCATTTCAATTTGGGATCCATTTACCTCCACAGTCAACACCATCCAATTAGCAATAGCCACTTAAACACTTCAGGCATCTTGGAATGTCTATTTTTCTAAGCCAAGATCTAAAACCTTGGATGTCAGATTTTCCAGATCTCCTGCTTTGGGGACTGGTGTGAAAACGTCATTCGATGACAGGCCGACCCAGGTGGCCCCTGCCTGAACATCAAACGCCACATCAAACGCTCTGAACACGCTTCGGGCTCCAGGCCGGTGCTGTGTTTTTCCCCCCCGGAAAGGTCAGCTAGAGTCACCCTTAAAATAATGCACTTGTGTATTTTTCATTGTTTGGACAAGAAATTGGGAACAGGTTCGGGGTGCTCCAGAAAAACGTGTTAAGTTTATTTTTGAACAGAGGTTTATTTAAAAAAAAAAAGCCAAGGAAAAGTCACGCATGGGTTTGAGCTTCTGCCTGGCAGTACCTGGTAGACGCTGGTGTTGCAAAGTGGACACTTATCAACTTGATCCCTTCCCCGGGTCATCGGGGAAACCCGTGCCCCACACTCCTCTCACCTGCAGATGTGTAAAAGTGGCTGAGATGGTTTCTTTTAGAAGTGCGTTAAAAAGGACTGTAAAGGGCCAGGTGCAGTGGCTCACGCCTGTAATCCCAGCATTTTGGGAGGCCGAGGCGGGCAGATCACGAGGTCAGGAGATCGAGACCATCCTGGCTAACATGGTGAAACCCCATCTCTACTAAAATAAAAAAAAAAAATCAGCCGGGCATGGTGGTGGGCCCCTGTAGTCCCAGCTACTCGGGAGGCTGAGGCAGGAGAATTGCTTGAACCCGGGAGACAGAGCTTGCAGTGAGCCGAGGTCGCACCACTGCACTCCAGCCTGGGCAACAGAGCGAGACTCCATCTCAAAAAAAAAAAAAAAAAAAAAACCCATTAAAGATCGGATCACAAGGTCAAGAGATCGAGACCATCCTGGTCAACACGGTGAAACCCCTTCTCTACTAGAAATACAAAAATTAGCCAGATGTGGTGGCCCATACCTGTAGTCCCAGCTCCTCAGGAGGCTGAGACAGGAGAATCGCTTGAACCCGGGAGGCAGAGGTTGCAGTGACCCAAGATCGCGCCACTGCACTCCAGCCTGGGCGACAGAGCGAGACTCTGTCTCAAAAAAAGGAATTAAAAAGAAGAAAAAAAAAAAGGGCGACACAGTGGCTCACGCCTGTAATCTCAGGATTTTGGGAGGCCGAGGCGGGCAGATCATGAGGTCAGGAGATCGAGACCATCCTGGCTAACACGGTGAAACCCCGTCTCTACTAAAAGTATAAAAAATCAGCCGGGCGTGGTGGTGGGCACCTGTAGTCCCAGCTACTCGGGAGGCTGAGGCAGGAGAATGGCTTGAACCCGGGAGGTGGAGGTTGCAGTGAGCCGAGATCGCGCCACTGCACTCCAGCCTGGGTGACAGAGCAAGACTCTGTCTCAAAAAAAAAAAAAGGACTGTAAAACCACTTGTCCTAACCATGCTGGTTTGTTGATCTTCTTGATCCTTGGACGACCCAGTGTGGGGCTGTGACTCACACGCTTCTCTAATGTGCGGCCCTGAGCGTATAATCAACACGCTCGCGTCTGAAGTGAACTGGGATGCTGGTTTCCCGCAGACACCTGCCAGCGAGAAAAAGCTGAGATGCTGCTGGTTGCATGGGTCCCCCATAGAGTCACTTAAGAAAAGCAAAGGGACCGGGCGCGGTGGCTCACGCCTGTCATCCCAGCACTTTGGGAGGCTGAGGCGGGTGGATCACGAGGTCAGAAGTTCGAGACCAGCCTGACCAACGTGGCGAAACCCCGTCTCTACTAAAAATACAAAAATTAGCCAGGCGTGGTGGCAAGTGCCTGTAATCCCAGCTACTCGGGAGGCTGAGGCAGGAGAATGGCTTGAACCCGGGAGGTGGAGGTTGCAGTGAGCCAAGATCACGCCACTGCACTCCAGCCTGGGCAACAGAGTGAGACTTTGTCTCAAAAAAATAATAATAAATAAATACATAAAAAATAAATAAAAATTAAATTAAAATTAAAAAAAAAAAAGAGAGGCAGCACAGTAGCTCAGGCCTGTAATCCCAGGACTTTGGGAGTCAGAGGAAGGCAGATTGCCTGAGTTCATGAGTTTCAGACCAGCCTGGGCAACATGGTGAACCCACTGTCTCTATAAGAAGTACAAAAGTGAGCTGGGCATGGTGGTGCACTTCTGTAGTCCTAGCTACTTGGGAGGCTGAGGTGGGAGGATCGTTTGAGCCCAGTAGGCAGAGCTTGTAGTAAGCTGAGATGATACCACTTCACTCCAGCCTGGGTGATATAGCCAGACCTTCTGTGAAAAAAATTAAAAAAAAATAACAAAATAACAACATAACATGAATTTAAAAAGGGGTGATCAGGGCATGGAGGCAACTTTCTCATGAATGGGCTTAAGGCTTTTATGAAAGAGGCTTCCTGGTCGGGCGCGGTGGCTCATGCCTGTAATCCCAGCATTTTGGGAGGCCGAGGCAGGTGGCTCACGAGGTCAGGAGATCAAGACCAGCCTGGCCAACATGGTGAAACCCCATCTCTGCTAAAAATACAAAAATTAGCTGGGTGTGGTGGCAGGCACCTGTAATCCCAGCTACTCAGGAGGCTGAGGCAGGAGAATTGTTTCAACCTGGGAGCTGGAGGTTGCAGTGAGCCGAGGTCAAGCCACTGTACTCCAGCCTGGGCAACAGAGCAAGATTCCATCTTGAAAAAAGAAAGAAAGAAAGAAAGAAAGTAAGAAAGAAAGAAAGAAAGAAAGAGAAAGAAAGAAAGAGGCTTCCTGTAGCATTCATTTCCCTTGGTCTTCCACCTATACCATGTAAGGACAAGGTGTTTCTTCCTTCTGGAAGATTCAGCAGGAAGGCGCCATCTTGGAGGCAGAGAACAGCACTCATCAGATATAGAATCTGCTGGTGCCTTCATCTTGGACTTCTCCACCTCCAGAACCAGGAGTAAATAAATCTCTGCTCTTTATAAACCACAGTCTCAGGGATTCTGTTCTAGCAGTGAAAACAAATCCAGGCAGATGTAGATACATGATTTACGTGGACTCGAAGGCTAATAGAGATGAGGTTCACCTGGAAACTCCACAGGTGGGACCTTGACTAGCTAAGTCTAGGCTGACTGGAGAGTTCCTATCTGTATATTGCTTATCTATCACCTATTGATCTATTGATCTATGTATCTAAATATCTATCTAACATCTATCATCTATCTATATATTCATCATCTATCTTCTACCTATCAATCAATCATCTATGTATCTATCTATCCACCTACCTATCTGTTGATCTATCTATCTATGTCTGTGTCCATCCATTCATCCATCTATCCATCCATCTATCTAATGTATTATCTATCCATGTATTTATCTATTGAATCTATAATCTATGTATCAATTATCTATCTGTCCACCTACCTATTGATATATCTATCTATCCATTCATCTATCTATCCATCCATCTATTAATGTATTATCTATGTATTTATCTATTGAATCTATATGTATCAATTATCTATCTATCATCTCTCTATCCACCTACCTATCTATCTATTGATATATCTATCTATCCATTCATCCATCTATCTATCCATCCATCTATCTAATGTATTCTCTGTGTATTTATCTATTGAATCTATAATCTATGTATCAATTATCTATCTGTCATCTATCTATCTGTCTAGCTAGCTGCCTCCCTATCTGCATATCCTCTCTCTACTACCAGGAGTTCATCAGTGGGTCTTGATCCTCTCATGTGGTAAGTATCATCACAGCTTAGAATCTCACGTCTTCACCATCACCTCCTCTCTGTCCTATATAATTAGTTCCAAGGGTCTTAATTAGGCACTTATGTAACCCAGCACTGCTTATTGCAAAAGTTGAATCTCCAATGAAACGTTCTTAGCCTCCATGGAGATCCTGAGATTCTCTGCTTGGCTGTTCCCAACTTCCATGTCAACCTGGGGCTTGGGGCAACCCCTTCTCCATCTGGCATCTTGCCTCCTCCTTGGTGGCCTGGGCAGAGACCCTGTTCTCCCTGCCTGCCCGCGTCTCCATAAGCAAGGTTGCCCTGCTCATTTAGACCTCAGATCTGTGGAGCTGAGTTTCTGCATGCCTTAGGAGATGAGCTTTGAGGCCGGGTGCGGTGGCTCACGTCTGTATCCCAGCACTCTGGGAGGCCGAGGCAGGTGGATTGCCTGAGGTCAGGAGTTCAACACCAGCCTGGCCAACATGGTGAAACCCCATCTTTTCTAAAGATACAAAAAATTAGCCGGGGGTAGTGGCAGGTGCCTGTAATCCCAGCTACTCGGGAGGCCGAGGCAGGAGAACTGCTTGAACCCCGGAGGCGGAGGTTGCGGTGAGCCGAGATCACGCCATTGTGCTCCAGCCTGGGCGACAGAGTGAGACTCCATCTCAAAAAAAAGAAAAAAAAAGAAGATGAGCTTTGAAGGATGTGTGCAAAACTGTAAAAGCTGCAATGCTTGGTAGCATTTGCATACCCTTTTCCTTTGCAGGCTTAACCTTTGTTTGGGTAAACACGCTAATTGTTTTAAACACGATTTGAAAAGTCTGTTTTGTTTCACGAATGTTGAGGAATGAACCCAAGGACTGAGGCTTGCCAAACTCCTCAGGAAACCATCGACCCTGGCTTATCGCTGTGACAGCTCAGAATCCCAGAACCCACAGGGACTCCAAGCGCCTGTCACCCTCCTCACCGGTGCCCATTGAGGAGGGTGGCAAGGTGCTCCAATGGCCATCACAGGTGGCATCTCACTTTCATCTTAGTGGGCTGGCGAGGGTAGTGGCATCTTTGTAAATCCTAGCACTTTCTATGAAACGCAAAAGGTTAAGAGTTTGGGGACCTGGGACAGCATGGCTGAACAACTCTTAATTTTATGTATGTATGTATGTATGTATGTATGTATTGGAGATGGAGTCTCGCTCTGTCTCCCAGGCTGGAGTGCAGTGGCGCAATCTCGGCTCACTGCAACCTCCACCTCCCAGCTTCACGTGATTCTCATGCCTCAACCTCCTGAGTAGCTGGGACTACAGGCACCTACCACCACGCCTGGCTAATTTTGGTATTTTTAGTAGAGACGGGTTTCCACCATGTTGGTCAGGCTGGTCTCGAACTCCTGACCTCAGGTGATCCGCCCGCCTCGGCCTCCCAAAGTGTTGGGATGAGAGGCGTGAGCCACTGTACCCGGCCAACCCTTGAATTTAGGCTCAGAAGTTGCAATTTCCTCGGTTTTGCAACTTGTTCTCTGAAGAGGCACTGAACAATCACCCACCTTCTAGAAAGTTCTGATGTCTCTTCTGTAAAATGCCTGCCTCTCATGGTCTGAGGATCAAGCTGCATTTTAAAACAAAAGCACTACGTAGAAATTGCGTATTTCTCTCCATAAAGTAAAGATAAGAGGATCGCTGGAGCCCAGGAGTTTGAGACCAGCCTGGGCAATATAGTGAGGCCCCATCTCTCCAAATTTTTATCTTTTTTTGGAGACGGAGTCTCGCTCTGTCACCCAGGCTGGAGTGCAGAGGCGCGATCTTGGCTCACTGCAAGCTCCGCCTCCCGGGTTCACGTCATTCTCCTGCCTCAGCCTCCCCAGTAGCTGGGACTACAGGCGCCCGCCACCACGCCCGGCTAATTTTTTGTATTTTTAGTAGACGGGGTTCTACCATGTTAGCCAGGATGGTCTCGATCTCCTGACCTCATGATCTGCCCGCCTCAGCCTCCCAAAGTGCTGGGATGACAGGCGTGAGCCACCTTGTCTGGCCCCAATATTTTTTTTTAATGAATGGGACATGGTGGTCTGCTTCTGTGGTCCCAGCTACTTGGGGGGCTGAGATGGGACGATCGCTTGAGCCCAGGAGTTTGAGACCAGCCTGGGCAACATAGCAAGACCCCATCTCTACAAAATTTTTTTTTTAATTAATGAGGCACGGTGGTGCTCTGGGTTTGAGACCAGCCTGGGCAACATAGCAAAACCCCATCTCTACAAATTTTTTTTTTAATTAATGGGGCATGGTGGTACTCTGGGCAACATAGTGAGACCCCAACTCTCCAAAACATGTTTAAAAATTAATGGGGCATGGTGGGTCTGCTCCTGTGGTCCCGGCTACTTGGGAGTCTGAGGCGGGAGGATGGCTTGAGTCCAGGAGCTTGAGGTTGCAGTGAGCTATGATTGCTCCATTGCACTCCAGTCTGGGTAACAAAGCAAGACTGTCTCTCAAAAAAAGACAGAGAGAAACAGCTGTGGACAAAGGCAGGATGCCCTCTGCAAAGGCAAAGTCAAGGGATGGGGTCACGGTGTGGCAGATGGAGAGGAAGAGAGGAGAGATCCTTCCCTGTGTGGGTGGCTGTTGCTTCCTCCTCTCCTCCCTCCCTGACTCCAGCTCCCCACCTCCCTGATTTTTGGAGAACTTGACAATGAGTTGCCAAAGTGACATCTTCCTCTTCCTCAACTCTGGCACTGACCTTCCGCAAAACCACCAGCATGATCCCTTTTCTTCCAAAATATGCCCTGGAATTGGAGCACAGAGAAAATACCTTCCAGGGTCTCTCTCTCTGTATCTCTCTCTGTCTCTCTCTCTCCTCTGTCTCTCTCTCTCCCCTTTCTCTCTCTCTCCCCTCTGTCTCTGTCTCTCTCTCTCTCTCTCCTCTCTCTCTCTCCCCTCTCTCTCTGTCTCTCTCTCTCCCCTCTCTCTCTGTCTCTCTCTCTCCCCTCTCTCTGTCTCTGTCTCTCTCTCTCCCCTCTTTCTCTCTCTCCTCTCTGTCTGTCTCTCTCTCCCCTCTCCCTCTGTCTGTCTCTCTCTCTCTCCTCTCTCTCTCTCTCTTTCCGACCAGAGCAGCTGTGGGACCGCCCGTCACAAGAGACCACATAACTTCCCTTCATCAGTTTCCAGCAATCAGCTTGGAAAATTGTCCCATATGTGGGAGCGCCAAGCGGGGTGCGGGGTTAGGGCTGGGACACAGGCCACAGCGAGGTTACTGTCTGGCTGCAATTACGTGCACACTGCGGGAATCCGGGGGTGCCTTGGGGAGCTGCTGCACTCCGGTTCTTTATAATTGCACGCTCGGAAATTACTCACCCTGCAACGGCTGGGGGCCTTCCCGGTGCAGCCTCTGCCCATGTGTTCCCCGAGGAGGAACGGCGTAGTCTTGGCGGGCTTGTGGCATCTCTGCTGTGTTTATTTATTTATTTATTGTTATTTATTTATTTTTGAGATGGAGTCTCACTCTCTCGCCCAGGCTGGAGTGTAGGGGCACGATCTTGGCTCACTGCAACCTCCGCCTCCCGGGTTCAAGTGATTCTCCTGCCCCAGCCTCCCGAGTAGCTGGGTTGACAGGCACCTGCTACCAAGCCCGGCTAAATTTTTGTATTTTTTTATTTTTAGTAGAGATGGGGTTTCACCGTGTTAGCCAGGATGGTCTCGATCTCCTGACCTCGTGATCCGCCCGCCTCGGCCTCCCAAAGTGCTGGGATGACAGGCGTGAGCCACCGCGCCTGGCCCAATCTGTGGTTTTTTGGGGCCTGCCTTTTTTCACAGAGTGGTATCTTTTCAGATTCATGCACATTGTAGCCTGTCTCAGAGCTTCACTCCTTTACTGTTTTTATTTTATTTTACATTTATTTATTGCTTTACTTATTTATCTTTTGAGATGAAGACTTGCTGTCGCCAGGCTGGACTGTAGTGGCGCGATCTCAGCTCACGGAAACCTCTGCCTCCCAGGTTCAAGTGATTCTCCTGCCTCAGCCTCCCGAGTAGCTGGGTTGACAGGCACCTGCCACCACGCCAGGCTAATTTTTGTATTTTTAGTAGAGACGAGGGTTCCCCATATTGGCCAGGCTGGTCTCGAACTCCTGACCTCAGATGATCCACCTGCCTTGCGCTCTCAAAGTGCTGGGATGACAGGCGTGAGCCACCGCGCCTGGCCCTTCGTTGTGCTGGGTTTTAAAATCATCCCAAAGAGACCCTGTGGGCCAGTTATAGAGACAGTGGCCGGTGCTTTTTGAGGGGGATTCTGCTATTTAAAAGTCCAGAGGGTGCCCTGAGGGTGGATCACCTGAGGTCAGGAGTTCGAGACCAGCCTGGCCAGCGTGGTGAAACTCCATCTCTACTAAAAATACAAAAATTAGCTGGGCATGGTAATGGATGCCTGTCATCCCAGCTACTCGGGAGGCTGAGGCAGGAGAATCGCTTAAACCTGGGAGGCAGAGGTTGCAGTGAGCCAAGATTGCGCCACTGCACTCCAGCCTGGGCGACAGAGCGAGACTGTCTCAAAAATAAATAAATAGGCCAGGCGCTGTGGCTCACGCCTGTCATCCCAGCATTTTGGGAGGCTGAGGCGGGTGGATCATGAGGTCAGGAGATTGAGACTACCCTGGCTAACACGGTGAAACCCCATATCTATTAAAAAAAAATACAAAAAATTAGCCGGGGGTGGTGGCAGGTGCCTGTGCATCCAGCTACTCGGGAGGCTGAGGCAGGAGAATTGCTTGAACCTGGGAGGCGGAGGTAGCAGTGAGCCAAGATCACACCAGTGCACTCCAGCCTGGGAGACAAGAGCAAGATTTTGTCTCAAAAATAAATAAATAAATAAATAAATAAATGAAATTCCAGCATTATTATATACAAATATATATGCAGCTTTCCAGGGACAAATGGACTGTTCTAGAAAAAAAAACAAAAACAAAAACAAGGCCGGGCGCGGTGGCTCACGCCTGTAATCCCGGCACTTTGGGAGGCCGAGGCGGGTGGATCACGAGGTCAGGAGATCGAGACCATCCTGGATAACATGGTGAAACCCCATCTCTACTAAAAAAAAAATACAAAAAATTATCCGGGCGCGGTGGCAGGTGCCTGTCAACCCAGCTACTCGGGAGGCTGAGGCAGGAGAATCGCTTGAACCTGGGAGGCGGAGGCTGCAGTGAGCCGAGATCGCACCACTGCACTCCAGCCTGGGCGACAAGAGCGAGATTTTGTCTCCAAAAATAAATAAATAAATAAATAATGAAATACCAACATTATTATATACAAATATATATGCAGCTTTCCAGGGACAAATGGCCTCTTCTAAAAAAAAAAAAAAAAAAAAAAAAAAAGCCAGGCGTGGTGGCTCACGCCTGTCATCCCAGCACTTTGGGAGGCCGAGGCGGGTGGATCACGAGGTCAGGAGATCGAGACCATCTTGGCTAACACGGTGAAACCCCGTCTCTACTAAAAAATACAAAAAATTAGCCGGGCGTGGTGGCGGGTGCCTGTAATCCCAGCTACTCGGGAGGCTGAGGCAGGAGGATGGCTTGAACCCGGGAGGCGGAGGTTGCAGTGAACCGAGATCGCACCACTGCACTCCACCCTGGGCGACAAGACTGAGATTTTGTCTCAAAAAAAATAAATAAATAAATAAATAAATGAAATTCCAACATTATTATATACAAATATATATGCAGCTTTCCAGGGACAAATGGACTGTTCTAAAAAAAAAAAAAAAAAAAAAAAGCTTAAGTGTTAAAAAAAAAAAAAAGGAAACCGTTAGAGGTTTTTGTCAAATGATTCATGGAGACTGGCCTGGCAAATCCCGTTGAAAAGAAGGGCCGTCCTCCCAGACTCTGGGTGATAGACAGGTGGACGCCTAAGAGGAAAGCATTTATTTTCCGTGGTTAAATCGTTATTAAACAAGACACATACTGCAAACATTTCTTGGAAGGGAGCAACGTGAACGAGCCGTGGGCTGCCTGAAGAGCCCCAGATGTAAACCATTACATTATCCGAGAATTAAAGTGTTTTCACATTTCCAGTTTCACCCATCGGGAAGGCATTTGATTTGAAAGTGTAATTGGCTGATGTCATTTTTGGGGAAACACACAGCGTGCTGTGGGAGTATTAAGTCGCCGAAAAGAATGTATGGGGCGCGTGGCCTCCTTGCCTCTTTGCAGGTTTCTGGAACATGGGGTGAAGTCCGCACTATCTATGGGCATCCACAGTTGTGTGGATACCCCACCCACCAGAGGCTCCAGAATGATTTACCCACCAGAAGCTCCAGCATGATCCACCCCCCAGAAGCTCCAGCATGATCCACCCACCAGAAGCTCCACCATGGTCCACCCACCAGAAGCTCCAGCATAATTTACCCCCCAGAAGCTCCACTATGGTCCACCCACCAGAAGCTCCAGCATGGTCCACCCATCAGAAGCTCCACTATGGTCCACCCACCAGAAGCTCCAGCATAATTTACCCCCCAGAAGCTCCCACCATGGTCTACTCACCAGAAGCTCCAGCATGGTCCATCCACCAGAAGCTCCACCATAGTCCACCCACCAGAAGCTCCAGCATAATTTACCCCCCAGAAGCTCCACCATGGTCCACCCACCAGAAGCTCCAGCATAATTTACCCCCCAGAAGCTCCACCATGGTCCACCCATCAGAAGCTCCACCATGGTCCACCCACCAGAAGCTTCAGCATGGTCCACCCATCAGAAGCTCCACTATGGTCCACCCACCAGAAGCTCCAGCATAATTTACCCCCCAGAATCTCCCACCATGGTCTACTCACCAGAAGCTCCAGCATGATCCATCCACCAGAAGCTCCACCATAGTCCACCTACCAGAAGCTCCAGCATGATTTATCCACCAGAGGGTCCAGCATGATTTACCCACCAGAGGCTCCAGCATGATTTACCCACCAGAAGCTCCAGCATGGTTCACCCACCAGAAGCTCCACCATGGTCCACCCACCAGAAGCTTCAGCATTATTTAGCCACCAGAAGCCCCAGCATGGTCCACCCACCAGAAGCTCCAGCATGATTTACCCACCAGAAGCTCCAGCATAATTTACCCACCAGAAGCTCCACCCTGGTCTACTCACCAGAAGCTCCAGCATTATTTACCCACCAGAAGCTCCACCAGGTCTACCCACCAGAAGCTCCAGCATGGTCCACCCACCAGAAGCTCCAGCGTCTTCTAGAAAGCTGATGCTGCATGCCGTGTTTGCTTTCTTTTTCTGGGAGGTGGAGGTTGCAGTGAGCCAAGATTGCACCACTGTACTCTGGCCTGAGTGACAGAGGCAGAGACTCTGTCTCAAACAAACAAACAAACACAACAAAAACAAACAAACAAACCAAAAACCAAAAACACTTTTATTTTAGGTCCAGGGGTACCTGTGTGGGTTTGTTATATAGGTAAACTTGTGTCATAGGAGTTTGTTGTACAGATTATTTTGTCACCCAGGTACTAAGCTTTGTACCCAGTAAGTTATTTTTTCTGATCCTTTCCCTTCTCCCAACTTGCACCCTTAAAGAAAATGTGCCACATATGCGTGGAATACTATGCAGCCATAAAAAAGGATGAGCTCATATCCTTTGCAGGAACACAGCTGGAGCTATGGTATGCTTAGCAAACCAATGCAGGAACAGAAAACTAAATACCACATGTTTTCATTTAAAAGTGGGAGCCAGCCGGGCATGGTGGCTCACACCTGTAATTCCATCACATTGGGAGGCCAAGGTGGGTGGATCACTTAAGGTCAGGAGCTTGAGACCAGCCTGGCCAACATGATGAAACCTCATTTCTACTAAAAATACAAAAATTGGCTGGGCCTGGTGTCGCGTGCCTGTAATCCTAGACACTCGGGGGGCGCTGAGGCAGGATAATCACTTGAACCCGAGTGGTAAAAGTTGCAGTGAGCTGAGATCATGCCACTGTACTCCATCCTGGGTGGCAGAGTGGGACTGTGTCTCAAAATAAATAAATAAATTTAAAAATAAAGAATCTATCATGAAAGAGAGTTACCGGCCAGGCACAGTGGCTTACACCTGTAATCCCAGCACTTTGGGAAGCCGAGGTAGGCAGATCACCTGAGGACAGGAGTTCTAGACCAGCCTGACCAACATGATGAAACCCCGTCTCTACTAAAATTACAAAAGTTAGCCGGGCATGGTGGTGGACACCTGTAATCCCAGCTACTCTGGAGGCTGAGGCAGGAGAATCGCTTGAACCCAGGAGGCAGAGTCTGCAGTGAGCCGAGATCACGCCACTGCAGTCCAGCCTGGGTGACAGAGTGAGACTCTGTCTCAAAAAAAAATTAATTAATTAAAAATAAAAGTGAGAGCTAAATGATGAGAACATATGGACAAGAGACACTGATTTTTTTTTTCCTGGTGTTACCCGCATCACGAAGAATATTGTTTCTTCACCCCACTGATGCTTGGAACCACCTGTCAAGCAGTTTTCTCATATTGTTTTATTTAAATAGAAGGAAGAAGGGAAGACCCTGACCCTCCAGTGTACCTGGGGAGGAAAGAAGTAATCTATGTAACAGGAATGGGGAGAGAGAGCAGGTAGGTAGAGAGCTGAGTGTTTTTCCTCCTTCAGAGCCAGTGGTCATCCGACTGACTGTGACATGGTGTGGTTCCTTCCTCTTACACTTGTAGAGCTGACTGTTTTATACTTGTAGAGCTGACTGTTTTTTTGTTATTTTGCTTTTTTTTTTTTTTTTTTTTTTTTTGGAGATGGAGTTTCACTCTGTCACACAGGCTGGAGCGATCTCTGATCACTGCAACCTCCACCTCCCGGGTTCAAGCAATTCTCCTGCCTCAGCCTCCCAAGTAATTGGGATTACAGGCACACACCACCATCCCTGGTTAATTTTTGTATTTTTGGTAGAGACAGGGTTTCACCATGTTGGGCAGGC
This sequence comes from Homo sapiens, assembly GCF_000001405.40. Taxonomy (NCBI): domain Eukaryota; kingdom Metazoa; phylum Chordata; class Mammalia; order Primates; family Hominidae; genus Homo; species Homo sapiens. Next base: position 900,358 of record NC_000024.10, on the reverse strand, counting down.
TGGTCTCGATCTCCTGACCTCATGATCTACCCGCCTTGGCCTCCCAAAGTGCTGGGATTACAGGCATGAGCCACTGTGCCTGCCTAGTTGACTGTTTTTGTAATCAAGAAACCTTGTGATATATAAACAGCCACTTTCCCCCCCCCAAAAAAAAATCACCAGAATATCTCCAGTATTGACAAACTGTGGGGTGTTGAGAGAATTCGAGATTGTCTTAGCAGCCTGGGACCTTTCCGTAGGCCTGAACAGAACAGTGGACAATGTTCTCATTGTTGAATCGGAGGACATGCTGCTATTTACAACAGCAAAGACTTGGAACCAACCCAAATGCCCATCAGTGATAGACTGAATAAAGTAAATGTGGCACATAGACACCATGGAATACTATGCAGCCGTAAAAAAGGATGTGTTCATGTCCTTTGCAGGGACATGGATGAAGCTGGAAGCCATCATTTTCAGCAAACTAACACAGGTACAGAAAACCAAACACCACATGTTCTCACTCATAAGAGGGAGTTGAACAGTGAGAACACATGGACACAGAGAGGGGAACATCACACACCAGGGCCTGTCTGGGGGTTGGGGGAAAGGTGAGGGAGAGCATTAGGACAAGTACATAAAGCATGCAGGGCTTAAAACCTAGGTGATGGGTTGATGGGTGCAGCAAACCACCATGGCACATGTATACCTATGTAACAAACCTGCATGTTCTGCACGTGTATCCCATAACTTGAAACATTCTGCACATGTATCCCATAACTTGAAGTGAAGAAGGAGAAGGAGAAGGAAAACAAGAAGGAGAAGTAAGAAGAAGAAGAAGAAGAAGAAGAAGAAGAAGAAGAAGAAGAAGAAGAAGAAGAAGAAGAAGAAGAAGAAAAGGAAGAAGAAGAAGAAGAAAAAGAAGAAGAAGAGGAGGAGGAGGAGGAGAAGGAGGAGGAAGGGGAAGGGGAAGGGGAAGTGGAAGGGGATGGGGAAGGGGAAAAGGGAGAAGGAGAGGAGGAAGAAGAGGAAGAGGGAGAAGAGGGAGAAGGAGAAGAAGGAGAAGAAGCAGAGGAGGGAGAGGAGGAAGAGGAAGAAGAGGAAGAAGAAGGAGAAGGAGAAGGAGAAAAGAAGGAGGAGGAGGAGCGGGAGGAGCAGGAGGAGCGGGAGGAGAAGAAGAAAGAGGGCGTGCTCACATGGAAATTTGCTTCTGGCACCCAATGATTAAAATGCACGCAAAATCTGCAATCACAGAGAGGGTGGTGATGATGGTTTTTAAACATGTCATTCGTTTGGAAGAAAACACTCATGTCCTTACTTTTCTGGATGTAATGCCAAGTACCCACGCTTCCTGTACAGACAGAACTTCATTTACTATTTATTCAGTTCCCTCAAAGAGCAGGGGGAAATAGTTCCCTTTTCTATTTTGGGGGGAAATGGGTTATTATTCATGGGGGTTTTATTAAGAGAATTGTAAATGATTTCTTCCCTGTCATCTGTCCAAACAGCTCAAGGGGGAATTTTATTAGAACCAAAGCATGTATTAAAAAGAGTCTCGGCCGGGCACGGTGGCTCACATCTGTAATCCCAGCACTTTGGGAGGCCGAGGTGGGTGGATTACCTGAGGTCAGGAGTTCAAGGCCAGCCTGGCCAAGAAGGTGAAATCCTGTCTCTACTAAAAATACAAAAATTAGCCAGCCACGGTGGCAGGTGCCTGTAATTCCATCTACTTGGGAGGCTGAGGCAGGAGAATTGCTTGAACCCGGGAGGCGGAGGTTGCAGTGAACCGAGATCACGCCACTGCACTACAGCCAGGGTGACAGAGTGAGACTCTGTCTAAAAAAAAAAAAAAAAAAAAAAAAAAAAAAAAGAGTCTCTAAAATCTTCATTGAAAATTCATTTAGTCTCAAGACATCATTTATTTTGCAAATGTATTCTTCACGGGAGGCACGTGAATTTGTAACATGATATAGCAATTTTGAAATTTACTTTTAAAAAGCTTTAAATAAGAAGGAAATATTTTCTAGGTAAATTTAATTGTATATAGAAGACCTAATGGGTGGGAGTCTGCCTTGAAAGCAGGAGACACGTCAATAAATAAGAATAAACAATTAGAATAAGAAAGAGTAACAAAGACACTGCCCTCTAAAGCTTCCATCCTGCTTGGAGGTACCAAGAGAAAGCAGAGAATCTTGGCCAAATACAATCTCGGGTAATGCAGTCAGGGAGCTGCCTGGTGAGTGTTGGAGGCCCCATAGGAATGCTGAGGAAGAAGAAGTTGAGGAAGAAGCAGCTTGTTACTAGGAGAATTCTAAGAATAAGAAAGGAGGAAGACAAAGTGATTTCACCAAAGATGTCCAAGTTCTAATTATCTAGGGGTAGACAGAATAATGGCCCCAAAGATATCCATGTCCTAATCCCCATGTGGGAGACAGAATAATGGCCCTAAAAATGTTACCAACATCCTATTCCCCATGTGGTAGACAGAATAATGTCCCCAGAGATGTCCACATCCTAATCCTCATGTGGGAGACAGAATAATGGCCCTAAAGATGTTACCAACATCCTATTCCCCATGTGGTAGACAGAATAATGGCCCTAAAGATGTCCACATCCTAATCCCCGTGAGGTAGACAGTATAATGGCCCTAAAGATGTCCACATTCTAATCCCATGGGGTAGGCCGAATAATGGATTCCAAGACGTCCACTTCCTAATCCTCATGTGGTAGACAGAATAATGGTCCCAAAGATGCCCACATCCTTATCTTCATGTAGTAGACAGCATGATAGCATGAAAGATATCCACATCCTCATCCTCATGTAGTAGAATAATGGCCCCAAACAACGTCTATGTCCTAATTCTCATGCAGCAGACAGAATAATGACCTCAAAGATGTCCACGTCCTAATCCCCATGTGGTAGACAGAATAATGGTCCCAAAGATGCCCATGTCCTAATCCTCATGTGGTACAGAGAATAATGGTCCCAAAGACGTCCATGTCCTAATACTAGGTAGTAGACAGAATAATGGCCCCAAGGATGTCTACATCCTAATCCCCATGTGGTTGACAGAGTAAGCGCCCCCTGCCCCCCCTCAAAAAAAAACATCCACATCCTAATTCCAGAAATCTGTAAAAACCTTTCATGGCTAAAAAGATTTTGCAGATGTGATTAGTTTAAGAATCATGAGATGAAATGACCCTGGATTATCTAGGTGGGTCTAAGGTCATCACAGGATCTTTGTAAGAGGCAGGCAGGAGTGCCAGAGCCAGAGGAGGTGTTGTTAGGACAAAAGCAAAGGTCAGAGTCACAGAAAGATTAGAAGATGCTGCAGTACTGGCTTCGAAGATGGAGGAAGGGTCCAGGAGCCAAGGAATATTCTAGAAACATGCCTCTAGAAGTAGGAAATGGCAAAGAAACTGATTCTCCCCCAGAACTTGCATCAAGAGGGAAGTTTTGCTGACACCTTGGTTTTAGGCCAGTGAGACCTAGAGTGGGCTTCAAACCTACAACACTGTAAGACAATACATTTGTGTTGCTTTAAGCCAATACGAACATGATCATTGGTGATGGCGGCCACAGGACACTCACAGAAGGAGTAATGTGCTGGAGGTCTGCAACAGGAATGAATTTGGCATGACTGGGGGGACGCCCAAGGAGGTAGCAAAGAAGAACCAGCAAAGGCTAAATGTGACTCCTTGTTTTAGAAGAACCCTCTTCAGAAGAAGAATCAATAAAGCCAAGGCTGAACTCAACTTTGTTTTATTTTCTCCCCCAGACATAATTTACATTCTTTTATTGGGACCGCAGAGTCCCAATTGGAGCAAGTTGCCAGGGACAGAGTTACAAAGAAGCCATAGGGAAGTAGTCAGATTGTATTCCAACTTTGATGTGAAATTATTGGAGGGTTTTGAGTGGCATGAGGGATGTCTTAGTCAGCTTGGGTTGCCATAACAAAAATCATAGACTGGGTGGCTTAAGTAACAGCCATTGATTTCTCATAGTTCTGGAGATGGGAAAGTCCGAGTTCGAGGCATGGCAGATTTATTGGCTGGAGGGGGTTCTCTTGCTGGTTCACAGATGGTGCCTTCAGAGAGAGAAAGAGATAGAGAGAGAGCTTTTGTGTCTCTTGCTCTTCTTATAAGGATACTAATCCCATCATGAAGGTCCCATCCTCATGACCTCATCTAAACCTCATCACCTCCAGAGACTTCACCTCCTAATATCATCCCATTGGGGATTAGGGCTTCAGTATGGTGCATTTTGGAGGGACATAACCAGTAGGGGTTAGGCCTTCAACATACAAATTTTGGGAAACTGCTATTTAGTCAATAGGAAGGGATGAGGGCCACAAGCTAAAAATCATCTCCATTTTAAAAAGATTTCTCTGCTTAAGAATAATTCCAGGATCAAAGCAGAAACCAGGACAGAAGCCAAAAGATCAATCAAGAGGATGTGGCCATGATCCAGATGACATACGTCATGCATCAGGGCGAAGAAGGCAAAGGCAGGAAAATCTGATCCATTTTGACAAATGTTTGAGGTCATTCAAGAGACTTGCCAATGAATTGTATAAGGGGGAGATGAGAGAAAGGAGAGTTCAAAGTTTCCAAAATCTTCTGCCAAAACACTTGTCAGGGGTGGTGGTGAATCCAGTGAAGGCTGTCCAGATGGTTTGGGATGGGTTAACTTGAAAACCCTAATCATTTTCCTGAGCTGAGAAGTTGAGGATACAGTTACATGCTGAATCTGAAATAGAGAAAAGATGTCAAATCCAGAGATAGGAATTTAGGATTTTGAGTGGATGTGTCAAGTCTTGGAGCTGAGTGAGATCCCCCGGAGAGAGAAGGAAGCTTATGTTTGAGCCCTAGTTCAGCCCAACATTTAGAAAAACCCCTTTGGGAAGAGGAGAAGAACTAGCAAAGGCTAAATGTGACTCCTTGTTTTAGAAGAACCCCCTTCAGAAGAAGAATCAATAAAGCAAAGGCTGAACTCAACTTTGTCTTCTTTTCTCCCCCAGACATAATTTATGTTCTTTTATTGGGAGTTTGTTTCCCACTCAACTTTTCAGGTTAGAGCCCTGAAGTCACGTTTGATTCTTCCCTCAACATCAAAGAGACACAACAGTTTGCTTCTGTGGTGACTGTTATTTTTGTTTGTTTGTTTCTTTGTGTGTGTGTGTGTTATTTTAATTTGTTTGTTTGAGACAATGTCTCGCTCTGTCACCTGGGCTGGAGTGCAGTGGCACAATCTCAGCTCACTGCAATCTCCACCACCTGGGCTTAAGTGATCCTCCCACCTCATCTTCCCTAGTAGCTAGGACCACAGGCACACACCACCACTCTTGTCTATTTTTTTATTTTTAATAGAGGTGGGGTCTCGCCATGTTGCCCAGGCTGGTCTTGAACTCCTGAGCTCAAGTGATCTGCCTGTCTTGCCCTCTCAAACTGCTGGGATTACAGGTGTGAGCCATGGTGCCCAGCCTTACTGGTGACTTTGAATGCCTTCTCACTTCTTCCTTCCCACTCCATGCTCCAGGTTCAAAGATTCCATTACCACCATCCATCCCATGCCAGAGGCTCCAGGCTTCCACCTTCAGTGCCATCCCTTCTGATCCATCCTATGCATGGGTTCCAAGGTAATAGGTCTAAACACATTTAGACCTATTTAATATGTATAAGCATAAATGTGGACATGACTGGTCACACAATGTTGGTGGTTTCTCATCAACTGCAGAGAACAGTTCAGGATCCTTACCTAAGTGTCTGAGATCTTTCATAAATTCACACATGGAAAGATGTGGCCTCTCTGTCTGTACTTCATCACCTCACACCCAACACCTCAATCTCTGCCTCCATCATCAATTTCCTAGTTCCCTGACTTTGCCTGCCCAGCCCTGAGTCATTGTAACATCTGATTCATCTTTTAAAGTTTAACAACAACAACAACAACAACAAAATCATCTGTTCTGAGAAGCCAGCCTTTCTCAGGTGCAGAGATTATCCCAGAGATAGACATATGGTGCAAGACAGGCTAATTAACCCTTCCCTTGAATTTGATCAGCAAAGACTGAGAGAAGGTGGGAGAAGCTCAGACTCTAAATCTATAGCCTCAGCAGCTGGATTTTTTTTTCCATCCTATCTTCCAAGACTTTTTCCAAGAGAATCTAGTCTGGAACACAGAGAGAAGCAGAGAGTTGAGAGAGTGACCAGAACTTGGGGGATCCCTGAGAAGCTGTCCACCTCTACTTTTTCAGACTGTTTTTCCTAGACTCCCTTGCAGCTCTGTGTGACAGTATGATGAACTTTGAGCTCATGGGAAGTAAGTAGGAATGTATTAAGACCGTAAAAATCTCCTTAATTTCTTAAAAAAGTGAACGTGAACTCTTCCCTCTCCTTTTGCTGCTAGCTGCAATGGAGATGTGAGGGCTGGAGACCATGTCACCATATTGAACCATGAGTAGAAAGTCACATACTAAAATGGTGGAGGCACAACATGGAGGATGTCTGACATCTTGAATCTGTACAACAACTTGGACCCCTTGTTCTGGCCTCCTATCATATCAGAGAGAAGCAAACTTCCATCTTATTGAAGTCATGATTATTTGCTTATTTCCATACATTTCTTTATGCAGTTATATGATATTTATTCCATCTATCTATCTATTATCTATCTATCATCTATCCTGTCTATCTATCCATCTATCCATCTACCCATCATCTATCCTATCTATCTATCTATCTATCTATCTATCTATCTATCTATCATCCATCTTATTCTATCTATCTATCTATCATCCATCTTATTCTATCTATCTATCTATCTATCTATCATCCATCTTATTCTATCTATCTATCTATCATCCATCTTATTCTATCTATCTATCATCCATCTTATTCTATCTATCTATCATCCATCTTATTCTATCTATCTATCCATCCTATGTATCTATTATGTATCTATCCATCTTATCTATCTACCTATCATTTATCTATCCTGTGTATCAATGTATCTATTATGTATCTATCTGTCCTAGTTATCTATCAATTACGTATCTATCCATCTTATTTATCTATCTACCTATTTTATGTATCTATTAAATAACTACATATCTATATATATTATGTATCATCTAGCTATCTATTTATCTATCTATCCTATGTATTTATCTATCATCTATTTATTCTATCTATATCTATTTTTTCTCTATCTATGTCTCTATCTATCTATCTATCTATCTATCTATCTATCTATCTCTCTATCTAGAGATTTCTTAAGTCCTTGGGAATCCTGAGGTCAGCTCCATCGTAGGATCTCACAGTTATATTAGGTCAACAATCTTCTTTCTTTGCCTAACTTAGTCTGAGTTGTGTTTCAGTTGCTGTTGATTGGAACAAACCTCAAAAAGAAATTGGGACTCTTATAACGTTGCATTTATGAGTGGCTGACTTGTGATGCTGCCTTCCTTGTCTCTGGATCCTGAGCCCTGCAACCAACCCAGTTCCACAGCCTGAGTATCTAACCGTTTCCCTGGCACTCAGTAACATTTGAACTGAAATGCCATTTTCTTGTTGGGATCATTATAATACTTTGGAAAACTGCCTCAGAATTAATGTGGTTATCCTTTGTATCTGTAAAATAAACACACATTTCTTTAGAAGGAGAAACTAAAGTGTCACAAAGACCTTCAGGGTCTGTTTTTCTTACACCAGAAGTCACACTCAGGCCAAGTAACATGTTCTGGTTCTGGCCCTTAGTGCTCCTGGTTGGACTAATGCCTGGGCCTCCCCCAAGGATTTCCTTCCCCATCTCTGCCTATTTTAGCCTCTCCCCAGGAGAAGAGGACATTGCTTTCATATTCTAACACCTTACCTGAAAATCCCACATGTCTCTAAAATAAAGATGGAGGAAGCCCCTCCATTATTTATTTATTTATTTATTTATGTTTTTGAAACAGAGTCTCGCTCTGTCACCCAGGCTGGAGTGCAGTGGGTCCATCTCGGCTCACTGCAAGCTCCGCCTCCCGGGTTCACACCATTCTCCTGCCTCAGGCTCCCGAGTAGCTGGGACTACAGGTGCCCGCCACCATGCCTGGCTAATTTTTTTGTATTTTTAGGAGAGATGGGGTTTCACTGTGTTAGCCAGGATGGCCTCGATCTCCTGACGTCGTGATCTGCCCGCCTCAGCCTCCCAAAGTGCTGGGATTACAGGTGTGAGCCACCGCACCCGGCCAAAGCCCCCTCATTATTAACCCCAAGCCATCCTTTTACGCATTGGATCCAGTGGGATCTCACATGGCTTTTGCCAACCACCCCCATCACTATACCTGGCAAGTGCTCAGAGTTCACCCACAACTCAAAACGTATTTGCTATTTCTGGCCTCGATATAAATCCTAAATTTCATGGCACAGCATATTACTCACTCTGGGGCCCAACCCAGTCTTGCCTTTTCAACAATACCACATCTGAAAACCATGCCGAAACCTCTTCTCCTTGGATTACCTCGGGGTCACCCTCCTCGGCCACTATTTTGCATTTCTACCTGCTCATTCATTAAATAATTCAAAAACGTTGACTGGGCATTTATTGAGTACAATTTATGGAGTATCTACAAGAGGAAAATATCATGCTGAACAAAACAGGAGCATGCTTGAGCTCATCCATCTCATGTGTTGGTGAAGAACAACAGTGAGAGGTAAAATTTAAAGTTTATTCCCCGGTAACAGATGATATGAAGGAATATAAGTCGGGAAGAAGATTGGAGGTTGGTGAGGTGAGTAGCCCCCTCACTCAATGTACATTTGGTCATATTGATCCCCCCAAAACACCCATTCTTAGTGATGTCATCTCTCCCCGTCTATCCATAACCCCCTCAACTCTTACCCCATCCATGAAGCCATCCTGGTCCATGGTCAACCTAGTCAACACCAATACTGTCAGAAAAGGCAATGATCCCCTTAGACAAGGGAAACTGATGTGTCTGTATTTTGACATGGAATTCTGTCTATATTGGACACACAGGAGCTGCAGCCCTGCTGCCCTCCCTATGTGCTTGTTCAAAGCCTGGCTGGTCTTTCTAGCAGGTTCCTCATGAAAGCAGGACTCATTTCAAGGTCTTCCCACTTTAGACAATGACAAATTGCTCCTGCTTCCACTTGAGCTCCTTAATGAGGAGAGAGAGAGCCTCTGGGGCTCCCTCTACCACTTGCCAGATGCAAACGCATAAACGAGGGTTGAATATTTATGGCATAAAGAGTGGGTGTTTACAAAAACAAATTTGCAATAATGTGTCTTATGGAGAATATGGATAGAAAAGTCAAAGCCTTCTAAAGCTGGCAAGCATTCCTTCCCCTCCTAAAGCCTCTTTAATTAATTTAAAGACTTTCTCATTGAAAAGCACAAATGAAGATCCTTATTAATCAGGGAAGCTTTCAGGCTGCTATCAATCATCTCTTATGTAAACTACTGTCTCATCACCCAAACTAGGTGTTTGATTATACTGATATGATTTATTTATCTAAATGGATCTATTTGTTCTTGAAACCCATGCCAAGTGACTGGAAGTCTTGCAGTAAACAACTCTCTGATGACTAGAGGTGCAAGGCAGCAGGAGTCCCTCTCTCCACATCTTTTCTTGTTGCTTAATCTCAGAAATGGGTGTTAAGGGGATTCCAGGGGACTCCAGATGATAGAATACAACAGAGTGGGCCTAGATGCTCTACCATATTGCACTATCATTCAACACAGAAATCCACACACCCCAGGATGGAATGCCCACCATTGGTGTACACTGGGAGATCCCGCATCTCTTAAAGGGTGGCTTTGAAGCCTGTATAATCCACATTGGCCAGTGGCAAAAAATAAATAAAATCAATAAAAAGAAGTGTACAAACATTTTCACAGGGAAGAGATGACGTCATGAAGACTCAGCCCCATGACTCTATGCCTCCCCTGACCCATTTTAAGACCATCCTTATAAGCCAAGGTGTATGAGTACATTCAGCCTCTGGTGCACCCAATCTCTAATAGGGAAGCCCATCATTTTGATGAATGATGACTATTTATTATCCATCTCTAAAAAGAAAACAAGTTGAGATTTATTAGCCCAGATGCAAGAAAGGAATTGAAGCAGACAACTCTCCTTGCTTCTCTGTCTAGACAGGGGGCAGTGGCTGACATTTTTGATACCCCTCCCTGCCTCACTTTTATACCCAGCTCATGTATCCTGCAGCTTCAGATTCATTGGGTTTGATAGCATCTTTGCCTGCTGAGTAGGGCCAGCCGTCCATTGTTAAATACGAATACTTCTGTTCTTCAACAAACCACTAATGAAGACCACCAGAGAATCATGAGGTGCCCCAGGGATTCTCTAGTTTCTACCCATAAGCTGCTGACCCCGTTGTATTATGTTCCCCTGACTTCTTTTGAGGTGAGGGTATCTAAGTTTTGGTCTTTGCCCTGCACCTATCTGAAGACCCTGCAGAAGAGTCTAGCTCAGGGCTTCCTCATTTCAGCACCATTCACATTGGCAGTGTCTCTGTCAGCACGTGCTGCTATAACAAAATACCACAGACTGGGAGGCTTCAACCACCAACATTTATTTCTCACAATTTGGGAGACTGGAAATCAGAGGTTGGAAAGCTAGTATGGTTGGGTTCCTGGTTTGCATGTGGCTACTTTCTAATTGTATCTTCACATGATACAGGGGGAGAGAGAGAGACAGAGAGGGAGAAAACACACCACCCTGGTCTCTTCTTATAAGGGCAGTAATTCTATTAAGACGATCCAACTATCATAACATCATCTAACCCTAATTATGTCCCCAAAGCCACACCTTCTAATATCATCACTCTGGTGATTAGATCTTCATCCCATAAATTTGGGGTGAACACAGCATTCCGTTCATAACAGGATGGGATGATTATTTGTTGTGTAGCTGTCTTGTGCTTTGCAGAATGTTTAGCAACATCTCCGGTATCAACCCCCAGAGGTCAATAACTTGCCTTCTTCTGTCATGACAACCAACAGTGTCTCCAAACATGGCCAAATGCCCCTGGTGGGGGCACAATTACCTCTGGTTTAGATTAAGGCTGAACAAACTTGACTTCTTTGCTCCTTACACTTGACAGGAAGGGCTCCATGAAGAACCATAGGCTCTTCATATGGTGCTGTCTGTGTCTCTTCTTGTTCTTTTCAGAGCCATTTTGTGGATTTGGAACCTGCTGGGCATGGTGGCTCAAGCCTGTAATCCCAGCACTTTGGGAGGCCGAAGCTGGCAGATCCTTTGAGGTCAGGGGTTTGAGACCAGCCTGGCTAACATGGCCAAATCCCGTCTCTACTAAAAATACAAAAGTTAGCCGGGTGTGGTGGTGTGTGCCTGTCATCCCAGCTACTTGGGAAGTGGAGGCAGGAGAATCACTTGAACCCAGGAGGTGGAGGTGGCAGTGAGCCAAGATCACACCACTGCAGTCCAGCCTGGGCAACAGAGACTCTGTCTCAAAAAAAAAAAAGGAACTTGAGGAGTCAAACAGAGGAAGGAGGACCCAGGTCAGGTGCAGACACAAGCTTCTGGGGCGGCCTGGAAACATCAGAAGCTCTGTCTAAAATCAAATCACAAGGCAGTGTCGGGAGCCCACTGAAGTGTAACAGTGAGCTCCAAGAGTATTTGTTAATGCTGTAACAAGCATACCCCCTTTCAAAAGTCTCATATGGGAAGGAGTCCCATGACTTAAAATACCCACGGCATGAGTCATGCCATCGTGTGGTTCTGGAATTATCGTACAGTGGAAGGCCACCATTCTCCCCACAGAGAACCGACTTCTCATCATAGCCTCTCAGACCTCATGGTAAACACACAGTCAAGGACCGTGGCTGGGAACATTTCCTCAAGGGAAAGTTATCAGTCGTGGAGTCTTTTCTGTCTCCAAGGAAGAAACTCAGGGCAGAACGTAGGTCGTCTTTGATGCAGGGAACACAAAGGATGCTCAAGGCAATGAGGTGATATCAGCCAACGTGGAGAGGGTATATCCTCAAGCGCTGTAGTGATTCATACGTCATCTCTGCCTTCTCTTCTGTGTATGGCACAGATTGTCATCGCTTGGAAACCTTATTCTAAAATTGCCTGATTCCGGCCGGGCGCAGTGGCTCATGCCTGTAATCCCAGCACTTTGGGAGGCCGAGGCGGGTGGATCACGAGGTCAGGAGATCGAGACCATCCTGGCTAACACGGTGAAACCCCGTCTCTACTAAAAACACAAAAAATTAGCCGGGTGTGATTGTAGGCGCCTGTCGTCCCAGCTACTGGGGAGGCTGAGACAGGAGAATGGCGTGAACCCGGGAGGCGGAGGTTGTAGTGAGCCGAGATTGCGACACTGCACTCCAGCCTGGGCGCCAGAGCAAGACTCCGTCTTAAAAAAATAAAATAATAAAATAAAATAAAATAAAATAAAATAAAATAAAATAAAATAAAATTAAAATAAAATAAAATAAAAATAAAAAATAAATAAAATTGCCTGATACCTATGTTTCTGCAGCCACGAGGGCTTGCCCATCAAAGACAGCATCTCTCAGCAGGTTAGAGTATTTTCTTCCGGAAGGCCAAATGCAGTGGCTCATGCCTGTCATCCCAGCCGTTTGGAAGCCAAGCTGGGAGGGTGCTTGAGCCCAGGAGTTCCAGAGAAGCCTGGTCAACATACAGAGATCCTGTCTCTGCAAAAAGTTAAAACGTTAACCAGGCATGGGGGTGCACAAGCGTAGTTCCAGCTACTCAGGAGGCTGAGGCAGGAGCATCACTTGAGCCCAGGAGTTGGAGGCTATAGTGAGCCGTGATTATGCCTCTGCACTCCAGCCTGGGTGACAGAGCCAGACCCTGTCTCTCTGTCTCTCCCTCTGAAAAAAAAAAAGAATATTTCCTTCCAAAATTGAAGACCTGAGCTTCCCCGTGACATCACCTCCAGAGAAGTTTCTTTTCTTTTTTTCTTTTCTTTCCTTTTTTTTTTTTTTGAGATGGAGTCTCGCTCTTGTCTAGGCTGGAGTGCAGTGGCACGACCTCGGCTCACAGCAGCCTCCCAGGTTCATCTGATTCTCAGCCTCCTGAGTAGCTGGAATTAAGACATGTGCCACTGTGCCTGGCTAATTTTTGTACTTTTAGTAGAGACGGAGTTTTGCCATGTTGTCCAGGCTGGTCTCAAACTACCGACCTCAGGTGATCTGCGTGTCTCGGCCTCCCAAAGTGTTGGGCTTACAGCTGGAAGTTTCTTTAAAAATGTAAATGTCCCAGGCCGGGCGCAGTGGCTCACGCCTGTAATCCCAGCACTTTGGGAGGCCGAGGCGGGAGGATCACGAGGTCAGGACATCGAGACCATCCTGGCTAACACGGTGAAACCCCATCTCTAGTAAAAATACAAAAATTAGCCAGGCGTGGTGGCAGGTGCCTGTAGTCCCAGCTACTCGGGAGGCTGAGGCAGGAGAATGGCGTGAACCTGGGAGGCGGAGGTTGCAGTGAGCCGAGATTACACCACTGCACTCCAGCCTGGGTGACAGAGCGAGACTCCGTCTCAAACAAACAAACAAACAAAAATGTAAATGTCCCTAACATTGAGATCTCTGCTTCAGATTTTGTGATTATTCAGAAAAGGTGAGATTGCGTTTTCCTCTTGTCCTATGAAAAAGCATGTGTGTTTTTGGTGAATGTCTATGTAGACAGTTTTCCAGAAAACAAATTATCTGCACTTAGAAGGGAAAAGTTATTTAAAATATATATGATAATTGTACGTCTGCTGTCATGTATGTGGCAGAAATTCCACATGGTAAATTTTTACAAATTATTAGATCAAATGACTGTATCTACTAAAAACATTTTTTTTTTTTTGAGACGGAGTCTTGTTCTGTCTCCCAGGCTGGAGTGCAGTGGAGAGATTTCAGCTCACTGCAACCTCCGCCTCCTGGGTTTAAGCAATTCTCCTGCCTCAGCCTCTCAAGTAGGTGGGACTACAGGCATGTGCCACTACGCCCAGCTAATTTTGTATTTTTAGTAGAGACAGGATTTTTCCATGTTGTTCAGGCTGGTCTCAAACTCCCGACCTCAGGTGATTCGCCCGTCTTGGCCTCCCAATTTTTTTTCTTTTTTTTTTTGAGATGGAGTTTTGCTCCGTCGCCCAGGCTGGAGTGCAGGGGTGCGATCTCGGCTCACTGCAACATCCGCCTCCCGGGTTCAAGCAATGCTCCTGCCTCAGCCTCCAGAGTAGCTGGGATTACAGGCATGTGCCACTGCACCCAGCTACTTTTTGTATTTTTAGTAGAGACGGGTTTTCAACATGTTGGCCAGGCTGGTCTCGAACCGCTGACCTCAGGTGATCCGCCCACCTCTGCCTCCCAAAGTGCTGGGATGACAGGCGTAAGCCACCGCACCCGGCCTGTTTTTTTTCCTAAAAGATCTTCTTCTCCAGTGTTTCATAAATTCAAAGTACTTATTTTCTGTGGTTAGTCTGTGTCATGAGACAGTCTCGCACCTGCTCGAATTGCGGTACCTAGAAACTAAACAACTTACCTATTTTTCACCCCAAACCATCTAAAGTTTAAGGTGACCTCCATAAAACGTGTCTTTTTTTTTTTCTTTTCTGAGCACCATCTTCCAGTTTCTCAAGTCATCTCTCTTTGTTGAATGTCAAACGGGATCCCAAAGTAATGCGTAGACTTTGTCCCGGCCATCGACCGCGGTCTGTGAAATAACTTGCGTGTGTTATGTTTTATTTTTATTTTTTTAATACCTCTCTGGGGAGCTGCGTGATCATTTAATTATTTATAGATTAAAGAGCATCGTCCCTAATTAACACTGCTCTACTTGTCGGTGGGCACAGTTTCTCGCTTTGAAGTTTGTCTGATGCTGTATTTTGGGAATTGCATCCACAGTTAGAGTTGGCATAGTTTTGGAATTCAGAACCTGCTTTTCCAAGCAATTATCTGATGGACGGCGATGGCGTCTGTCTGTTATCTGGGTTTGGGCTTCACCGTATCACTTCCTGAGAACCTGTTCTTCTATGTCAGTTCAAATGGATTCCTGATGCAAAGCCTTGTGTTCGCCCACGGCAGAATGTCTACATGAGTCTTTATGCTTCTCACGAAGCACTTTTGTGGAAAAGGGGTGATTACTGTTTGTCTTAGTTCATCTGAATTGCTATGAGAAAAATGTCATACAATTGGCCGGGCGCGGTGGCTCACCCCTGTCATCCCAGCACTTTGGGAGGCCGAGGCGGGCGGATCATGAGGTCAGGAGATCAAGACCATCCTGGCTAACATGGTGAAACCCCGTCTCTACTAAAAATACAAAAAATTAGCCGGGCGTGGTGGCGGGCGCCTGTAGTCCCAGCTACTGGGGAGGCTGAGGCAGGAGAATCGCTTGAACCCGGGAGGTGGAGGTTGCAGTGAGCTGAGATCGCACCACTGCACTCCAGCCTGGGTGACAGAGCGAGACTCCGTCTCAAAAAAAAAGAATAAAAACGACTCACTTGGCTCACTTGGCTCACGTCTGTAATCTCAGAAATCTGGGAGGCCGAGGCAGGTGGATCACCTGAGGTCAGGAGTTCAAGACCAGCCCGGCTAAGATGGCGAAACCCCATATCTACTAAAAATACAAACAATTAGCAGGATGTGGTGGCAGGTGCCTGTAATCCCAGCTACTTGGGAGGCTGAGGCAGGAGAATCACTTGAACCCGGGAAGAGGAGCTTGCAGTGAGCCGAGATCACGCCACTGCACTCCAGCCTGGGTGACAGAGCGAGACTCGGTCTCAGAAAAAAAAAAAAAAAAACGACTCACCAAGTCCATAGGCACCTCAGCCTTCCCTCATTGCAGTGAGAAAGCAGATCTTGCTATGTTTGTAACATGCAGAGGCAATTTTCTGTCCCTTCAATTTGAAGGCAGGATGGCGTTTTCTGCCTTTCACGTTTCCTCCAGGACGCCCCGACTTTACAGACAGCAGAAATTCCAGATACTTTTCTTGTCGTTACCATTTTGTTGGCTGTTGCTGGCGCCTTCCTCCTGTCTGAAGGGAAACTCGAGATCCCGGTACGGTGTGAACCCGGTTCACGCTTTGATTGTGTTTCGGGAGGAAACGCAAGGATTGTCAAGGGTACACCCTGCAGGTCATCACACATCAAAGACAGATTAAGCAGAAGTGAGGGATGCACTGGGCGTGTCTGACAGACGCCCGCAGGCCTCTTGAGTTTCCAGGAAATATTAGACCAGGGTTATGATTTGGAAGAGCGTCCACACCTCACAACAATCCACTAAAATTTCCGTTGCTGGTTATCAAAGAGGGCTGTGGGGTTGCTCACTCCACTCTTATCAGTGTTAACGGGGAGAAGGCTGAGGCTGAGTAGCTCAGATTCTCCAGTGTCTTGGAGGGGGCATGAGGTTCCCATCCACACAGCAGGTCTCGACGTGAAATCAGAAACAGAGGCAGGTGCCCGTGGCTGCACTGGGACCCAGGGACACAGCCCCGGACGGCCGCGCTGCTGGAGAAATCTCCCAGGCACCTGCAACACCATGGGGCCACCCGTCTCTGGAAGACCTGCTCACACCCTGCACAGCTGGGGCCCTCGCATCTATGAGAGCTTGTGTGGGCTCAGGGCACCTGCCTGGAGGTCTTGTCTGGTGTAGCCAGGCCTCCGTCTCTCTCTGTCTTTCCTCCTCTGTTTCTCTCTCTCTCTCCTTTTCTGTCCCTGTTTCTGTCTCTACCTCTTCCTCCCTCTTTCTCTCTCTCTCTCCCTCTCTCTCCCTCTGTCTGTCTCTTTCTCTATCTCTCTGTGTCTCTTTCTCCCCCGTCTATCTCTTGGTCTCTCCCTCCTTCTTTCTCTCTCTGTCTCTTCTTTTCTTTCTGTTCTCTCTCTCTGTCTCTCTCTCTTTCTGTCTGTCTCTCCCTCTGTCTCTCTGTCTCTTTGTGTGTTTCTGTTTCTCCCTCCCTCTTTCTCTGTCTCTCTCTCTCTCTTCCTCTGTCTCTCTGTCTTTGTTTCTTTCTTGTGTGTCTTTGTCTCTCCCTCCCTCTTTCTCTCTCTCTCTTCCTCTGTCTCTCTGTCTTTGTTTCTTTCTCTGTGTGTCTCTCTGTCTCTCCCTCCCTCTTTCTCTCTCTCTCTTCCTCTGTCTCTCTGTCTGTTTCTTTCTCTGTGTGTCTCTGTCTCTCCCTCCCTCTTTCTCTGTCTTTCTCTCTTCCTCTGTCTCTCTGTCTGTTTCTTTCTCTGTGTGTCTCTATCTCTCCCTCCCTTTTTCTCTGTCTCTCCCTCTCCCTCTCTTCCTCTGTCTGTCTGTTTCTTTCTCTGTGTGTCTCTGTCTCTCCCTCCCTCTTTCTCTGTCTCTCCCTCTCTCTCTCTTCCTCTGTCTCTCTGTCTTTGTTTCTTTCTCTCTGTATGTCTCTCTCTCTCTCTTCCTATCTTTCTGTCTCTGTCACTGTCTCTCCCTCTCTTTGTGTCTCTCCCTCCCTCTCTGTCTCTGTTTCTCTCTCCCCCTCTCTCTATGTCTGTCTCTGTCTCTACCTCTTTGACTCTCTCTCTTTGTGTGTGTGTCTCTCTCTCTCCCTCTTTTTTTTTTCTTTGAGATGGAGTCTCCCTCTGCCACCCAGGCTGGAGTGCAGTGGCGCGATCTCGGCTCATTGCAACCTCCGCCTCCCGGGTTCACGCCATTCTCCTGCCTCAGCCTCCCGAGTAGCTGGGACTACAGGCGCCCACCACCATGCCCGGCTAATTTTTTGTATTTTTTTTTTTTAGTAGAGACGGGGTTTCACCATGTTAGTCAGGATGGTCTCGATCTCCTGACCTCGTGATCCGCCCGCCTCGGCCTCCCAAAGTGCTGGGATGACAGGCGTGAGCCACCGCGCCCGGCCTCTCTCCTTCTTTCTATGTATATGTCTGTCTCTCTTTCTCTCTCTGTGTCTCTCTCAGTGTCTCTCTGTCTGTCTTTCTCTCTGTCTCTGTATCTGTCCCTCTGTTTCTGCGTCTCCCTCTTTCTATCACTGTCTCTCTGTGTGTTTCTGTCTCTTCATCTCTGTCTCCCTCTCTCTCTCTGTGTCTGTTTCTGCCTCTCTGTCTCTGTCTCTCTGTCTCCATCTCTTTCTCTCCACCTCCCTGTGAGGTGGGAGCCTCACCCTTAGCCCACTGCCTACCACCCTGGTCCACGCCTTTCCCCCTAACACCAACAGACGTAAAAATCACAGGTCCTTCCAGGACACTGCCTCAAAGTGGCCCCATTTCTCTTCATCAGATCTCTCCCTTCAATGCTAAGAAGTCTGTCTCCAACTCTGTGTTTCTTTCGGAAAAAAAAAAAAAAAAGGAGAGGAAGGCTGGGCGCAGTGGCTCACACCTGTCATCGCAGGACTTTGGGAGGCCGAGGCAGGTGAATCACAAGGTCAGGAGATCGAGACCAGCCTGGCCAGCAGGGTGAAATTCCGTCTCTACTAAAAACACAAAAAATTAGCCAGGCATGGTGGCGGGCGCCTATAATCTCAGCTACTTGGGAGGCTGAGGCAGGAGAATCGCTTGAAACCAGGCGGCAGAGGTTGCGGTGAGCCGAGATCACACCACTGCACTCCAGCCTGGGTGGCAGAGTGAGACTCTGTCTCAAAAAAAAAAAAGGGGGGGGGAATATTCAATTAATAAACAACAGCCTCACATATGCTCGCCACGGGGTTGAAGCAAAGCCTTCTTCCAAAAGCAAAAATTGGGAAAATATGCTACCGACAGCCTGGCTCTAAAGGGAATATTAAAGAGGGACTCCAAAGACAGAAGAGAAGCTGACCCAATGTGACATGAAAATTTAGGAAGGACTCAACAGCAGTGAGAACTCAAGATAATGTCAGTAATTGTAAATATATATTGACATTATAAAACCATCATGTCTTCAGGGATTTAAAACACACAGAGAATTAAAATGCATGACAATGGTGATATCCGAATCAGGAGGAAGTGCATGAATTTAGATGTTACAAGTTTTTTATTTTTATTTTTATTTTTATTATTCTTTTTGAGACAAAGTTTCACTCTTGTCCACCAGGCTGGAGTGCAATGGCACAATCTTAGCTCACTGCAACCTCTGCCTCCTGGGTTCAAGTGATTCTCCTGCCTCAGCCTCTGCAGTACCTGGGATTAAAGGCATGTACCACCACGCCCAGATAATTTTGTATTTTTAGTAGAGACGGGGTTTCTCCATGTGGGTCAGGCTCGTCCCAAACTCCCAAGCTCAGGTGATCCACCCTCCTCCACCTCCCAAAGTGCTGGGATTACAGGTGTGAGCCACCACACCCAGAGAATTTTGTATTTTTAGTAGAGACGTGGTTTCTCCATGTTGGTCAGGCTCGTCCCGAACTCCCAACCTCAGGTGATCTGCCTGCCTCGCCCTCCCAAATTGCTGGGATTACAGGTGTGAGCCACCGCACCCAGATAATTTTGTATTTTTAGTAGAGACAGGGTTTCTCCATGTTGGTCAGGCTCGTCCCGAACTCCCAAGCTCAGGTGATCCGCCCTCCTCCACGTCCCAAAGTGCTGGGATTACAGGCGTGAACCACAGCACCCGGCCTAGTGCAATGAATGTAAATGTTCCAAGGTATTTTTGCTTTGTCAGAAAAGAGGAGTAAAAGTAGTGAGAATTAGACTTTGAAAACCCAGGGGTGTGCTGTGATGTTTACGATAACCTCGGCAAGGCTAGTTAAAGAGTATATTACTTTCAAGTTAATGGTGCTGGTGAAGAGAGTAATTATACTGGAAAACAAAAAACTTAAATACACTAAAAGAAGATATAGACTAGGAAACAAAAACCGTAAATACACTAAAAGAAGATATAGCCTACAAAACAAAAACCGTAAATACACTAAAAGAAGAAATATACCAGAAAACAAAAATCGTAAATACACTAAAAGAAGATATATACTAGGAAACAAAAACCGTAAATACACTAAAAGAAGATATATACTAGGAAACAAAAACCGTAAATACACTAAAAGAAGATATAGACTAGAAAACAAAAACTGTAAATACACTAAAAGAAGAAATATACTAGAAAACAAAAGCTTAAATACACTAAAAGAAGATATATACTAGGAAACAAAACCCTTAAATACACTGAAAGAAGAAATATACTAGAAAACAAAAACCTTAAAGACACTAAAAGAAGAAATACACTAGAAAACAAAAGCCGTAAATACACTAAAAGAAGAAATATACTAGAAAACAAAACCTTTAAATACACTAAAAGAAGATATATACTAGGAAACAAAACCCTTAAATACACTAAAAGAAGATACATACTAGAAAACTATAACCTTAAATACACTAAAAGAAGAAATATACTAGAAAACAAAAGCCGTAAATACACTAAAAGAAGAAATGTACTAGAAAACAAAAGCCGTAAATACACTAAAAGAAGATATATACTAGAAAACAAAACCCTTAAATACACTAAAAGAAGAAATATACTAGAAAACAAAACGCTTAAATACACTAAAAGAAGAAATATACTAGAAAACAAAAGCCGTAAATACACTAAAAGAAGAAATGTACTAGAGAACAAAAGCCGTAAATACACTAAAAGAAGATATATATAGAAAACAAAAATCTTAAATACACCAAAAGAAGAAATATACTAGAAAACAAAAAGCTTAAATACACTAAAAGAAGATATATACTAGGAAACAAAAACCTTAAATACACTAAAAGAAGATACATACTAGAAAACAAAAATCTTAAATACACTAAAAGAAGAAATATACTAGAAAACAAAAACCTTAAAGACACTAAAAGAAGAAATATACTAGGAAACAAAAAACTTAAATACACTAAAAGAAGATAAGACAAAAAATATATGTAAAAAAGATAAGACCAGCAGAAAGCAAAAGCTGCTAATAAGCTGGTAGATATTAACATATGTATCAATAATTTTATTAAATGGAAATAAACTAGAGGTTCTAGTCACAAGATCATCAGATTAATAAAAACCAAGGCTAAGGCCAGGCGTGGTGGCTCACTCCTGTAATCTCAGCACTTTAGGAGGCTGAGGCAGGCAGATCACCTGAGGTCAGGAGTTTGAGACCAGCCTGGCCAACATGAAAAAACCCTGTCTCTATTGAAAAGACATAAATTAGCCAGGCATGGTGGCATGTGCTTGTAATCCCAGCTACTTGGGAGGCTGAGGAAGGAGAATCTCTTGAACCTGGGAGATGGAGGTTACAGTGAGCCGAGATTGCACCATTGCACTCCAGCCTGGCCAACAAGAGTAAAACTCTATCTCAAAAAAAAAAATAAATAAATAAAATAAAAATTAAAATAAATAAAAAAGAATAAAAATGAAAAAATTAAAGATCATTTTAAGATAAAGTCTTAACTAGTGATAAAGAGTAATAATCCTAGTTTAAAATGTTTTATTAATCAAGAAACATAAACATTCTAAATAGGTATGCATATAAAACCACAGCTAAAACATATATAAAGCAAAATGTGAAATTACTAAAAGAAAATGTAAAATATATACAATCGTAGTAAGAGATTTGAACATACTTTTCTCAGTAACTAAAAACAAGCATATAAACCAAGGGCATACTTTGAACAAAAAGATTAACAAGCTTGATGAGCTTGCAGTTATATATGCTGGCAACAAAGAATTAATTTTGTAAACACATATAATAACACATATTCACATAATGTGGAATAAAATACTATTTATGTTTGCATAAAATGATAGCAAAAGCCAGGGAGAAAAGATCAGAAAAAATAACTAATGGGTACTAAGCCTAGTACCTGGTTGATAAAATAATCTGTACAAGAAACCGCCATGACAGATGTTTACTTATGTAACAAACCTGCACATGTACCCTTGAACTTAAAATAAAAGTTTATTTTATATATATAAAATAAAAGTTTACTATGTATATATAATAAAAGTTTTATTTTATATATATAAGTGTATTTTATATAAAATAAAAGTTTTATTATATATACATTATATTATCTATAATATACACTATATTATAGATAATAGGTTATATAAAGTTTACAAATATAGAGTTTATATATAAACTTATTATCTATAATATAATGTATATTACATATAAACTTTTGTATAAAATTTATATACACTTTTATTATATATGATATATAATAGCATATTGTAATGTAAAACTTATATTTATTTATAATATCATCAATTAATTTATTTATAATAGCATAAAATATATTTAAACATAGTATAATAGCATAAATATCTAATATTTATAATAGGATAAAATGTAATATTAAAGAAAAAATCTGACAGTTATATATGATGTCTAGTCAGATAACTGCAAAATCTCACTGAGAGAAATAAAATAGACCATAAATAAATAGTAATATATGCCACGCCAGGTATTCTCCTTCTGAAATCTAAGTTTACCAAATTAGTGTTTGCACAGTGCCTCACACATTCCAGGTGCTTTAAAATGGTGAACTGAATTGTGCAAAGTATTTCATCATCAAGAAGAAGAGACTGAGTCACAGTTTCATGAAAGGTCCCAGTGAGGTCAGACTGTGGGATGCTGGGGAAGTTGAGCCTTGAGCTCCATCATATGCAACTGCAAATGGTGCCTCCACACCTGGTAGACAGGTGAGCCCAGCTAAACTCTGCTATTCTCACACTAGGAATGTGAATGCTTATGGGAATACAGAATTCACTCATTGGGAAACCTTACATGAATGTGAGTTTACAGCCCTAAAGTGAAGCCAATGGGCAACGATGGCTTGATCCCCAGCTGTATGGACTTAGGTATCCTTGTACTGTTACAAGACTACCGTGTGAATGCTCCCTGCAGAGTAACAGACCAAGACACTGAGACAGCAGGGTATGCAACAGAGAAAGAATTCAAAGATTGCAAGGTGCAGAGGGAGGAGATGGGAGGAGACCCTGAAGTCCATCTCCCTGAGGAGTTGTAGGCTGGAGATTTTTTCTTTTTTTTCTGAGACAGAGTCTTGCTCTGTTGCCCAGGCTGGAGTGCAGTGGCATGATCTCAGCTGACTGCAACCTCCGCCTCCCAGATTCAAGCAATTTTCCTGCCTCAGCCTCCCGTGTAGCTGGGATTACAGGCACACATCACCATAACTGGCTAATTTTTAGTAGAGGCAGGGTTTCACCATGTTGGCCAGGCTGGTCTCGAACTCCTGACCTCGTGATCTGCCTGCCTCGGCCTCCCAAAGTGCTGGGATTACAGACGTGAGCCACCGCACCCAGCCAGGCTGGAGTTTTAAAAGGGATCATGAACAGATCAGGACACCAAGAAAGCAGACTTTGCAGCAGATAAAAAACTCAATGCTTGCAAGGTGCAGAGCGAGGATATGGGAGGAGACCCTGAAGTCTGTCTCCCTGAGGAGTTCTGGGCTGGAGTTTTTAAAGGGATTATGAAGCACAAGGGGCTGGAAAATTGGGGTCATTAATTGGCTGGGGTAAGGGGGATGAAGCCATCTGGATGGGGAAACTGAAGTCTTTGGTGAGTCAGCTCCTGTGGGGTCCTTCAGCCCAGCTGGTGTCAGTATTATTTTTTTAAGCTATTATAAATATTAGATATCTATGGTGTCAGTAGCTGGCATGCAGGACCTGGAAGACTATCTCAAAGGGAAAACTAAATGTTTCCTGATGCTTAAGTTGTCACCTATAGAGCAGGGAAGGGGGACCGTAAGCTAGGATCTATGTGACTCTGGGACAATC
The DNA here is from genome assembly GCF_000001405.40 of Homo sapiens. NCBI lineage: Eukaryota > Metazoa > Chordata > Mammalia > Primates > Hominidae > Homo > Homo sapiens. Next base: position 876,668 of record NC_000024.10, on the reverse strand, counting down.
AGCACCAAACAGCTATGAGGAAGCAGGTCAAAAAGAAAGCTTTTGGGAGGCCATGGTGGGTGGATTACCTGAGGTCAGGAGTTCCAGACCAGCCTGGCCAACATGGTGAAACCCCATCTCTACTGAAAATACAAAAATTAGGTGGGCATGGTGGCACATGCCTGTAATCTCAGCTACTCCGGAGGCTGAGGTAGGAGAATCACTTGAACCTGGGAGGCGGAGGTTGCAGTGAGCCCAGATCATGCCATTGCACTCCAGCCTGGGCAACAGAGTGACACTCTGTCTCCAAAAAACACAAAAAAAGAAAGAAAAAAAGAAAGCTGATTTCATGATGAATGCTGAGGGTTCTGCAGGCTTGGCCTATTTTCGTTTCTTCCCCTCCCTTCTTCCCTGGTTAATTTTATGGAGTTTATAGGGACTGGTTCAATACCCTCATTGACTGAGCCACCTCTTAGGCAATTGGCTGGAGAAGAAACTGAGGCACACAGAGGGAAGGTGGCGGAGCCAGGACCTCTGAGCTGCAGTGGCATGAATCAGGGTTCAGTCCTAGTCCCACCGTGTTTGTGTGTGTGTTTTGAGACAGAATTTTTGCTCCTGTCGCCCAGGCTGGAGTGCAATGGTGCCATCTCGGCTCACTGCAACCTCCACCTCCCAGGTTGAAGGGATTCTCCTGCCTCAGCCTCCCAAGTAGCTGGGACTACAGGCACCTGCCACCACGTCTGGCTGATATTTTGTATTTAGTAGAGATAGAGTTTCATCATGTTGGTCATGCTGATCTTGAACTGCTGATCTCAAGTGATCCACCCACCTCGGCCTCCCAGAGTGCTGAGATTACAGGCCTGAGCCACCACACCTGGGCCTTCCATGTATTTAATGGTGGCATGGATCCTAGCTGATTCTATGGTTATCTGCAGATATGTTGTTCCTGGGTCCTTGTTAGGCTGAACTGTAATCCCAGCACTTTGGGAGGCTGAGGCAGACGGATCACCAGGTCAGGAGTCTGAGACCAGCCTGGCCAACACAGTGAAACCCCATCGCTACTAAAAATACAAAAAATTAGCTGGGTGTGGTGGCGGGCACCTTGTCATCCCAGCTACTTGGGAGGCTGAGGCAGGAGAATCGCTTGAACCTGGGAGGTGGAGGTTGTGGTGAGCCAAGATCGTGCCACTGCACTCCTGCCTGGGGAACAGAACGAGACTCCTGTAATTAAAAAAAAAAAGAGCCAGACTCTGTCTCAAAAAATAAATAAATAAGCAAAAATTAAAAAAAGAGGAATTGTCATTCTATGTATAAAATGTTGGAAATGGAGAGTGGATTTGTCCTTAGCATTATTAAGATAAATTGCAGGGCTGAGATGGGGCAAATAAGAGAGGACCCAGAGATCCGGGTGTGGTGGTTCACGCCTATAATCCCACCATTTTGGGAGGCCGATGCCTGAGGATCACCTGAGGTCAGGAGTTCGAGACCAGCCTGGCCAACATGGTGAAGCTCTGTCTCTAATAAAAATACAAAAACTTAGCCAGGCGTGGTGGCGCGCGCCTGTCATCCCAGCTACTCGGGAGGCTGAGGCAGGAGAATCGCTTGAACCCGGGAGGCAGAGGTTGCAAAGCCAAGATTGCACCACTGCACTCCAGCCTGGGAAACAAGAGTGAAAAGCCGTCTCAAAAAAAAAAAAAAAAAAAAAGAGAGAGAGGACCCAGTGAGGTTTCTCAGGGTCCGTCTTGGAGGGTCCCAGTCGGCTCTGTGCAGCCCCGTCCTCCTGGCAGCCTCACGTACTCAGAAAACGGTCCAACAGTCCCAGGGGGACCCTCCCTACATCCCAGCCAGCCAGGCCTCTTGTGTCTGCAGTGTCCCCTTAACATAAATCTTGGTCCTGTAAAGCAGTCCACCTAAAGACGTCTCCGTGTGGTTTTTGAACACGGGAAGTTAATAATAAATATCATCTTTGTTTTCTAATTTTTTTTTTTTTTTTTTACTGAGTTGATTGAAATACCCGTGACAGCCCCAATCCAATCCTCGGGTGCAACGTGATACGGATGACAGGCGGTGTCTCTATGCAAACGTTCAGTTATGCAGAATCCAATGTTTTCTGGATTTTTAATTGAATCACTCGTCTCAAACTTGTTATTTTTAATTTACGACATTTGATTTCTGACACTGGCTTCTGCATCTCATCAATTATGCAGTCTGGAGACTCGGTTGCACGGGTGATTAAAAAAAAACTAATTAGGCAAGATTAAAATAAAAAAAAAAAAACCTAAAACAGAGACCTCTTAACTATGGACATGTTCCTGGGTAAAGGGAGGCTGATTTCACTGGAAATGCCTCATTTTCTTTGCAAGCGATTACGTTCGGTTTGGTACAATGTGATTGATTCTGACAGATGTGAAGGAACCCGGACTGTTTGCTTCCCCCTTCTCGAATATTCACCAGAAATTGCGTGACGCGGCCCGTTGATGTCAATTCCCCCCACAACTCATTGAATATAATTTTGTTAAGTGGGCAGGAAAAGGAAAATGAACAACGTGGAAGGGAACCCGGCGTTTTCTTTGGCAGCACGACGGGGTCGAGACAGGACTCTGTGCCCCACAGAGGAAACACAATTAGAGTTCCTGCCCTTTCAAGTCCTAGCTAATGACAGCAAAGAAGTAAAGTATAGGGGGAAAAAAAGTGCAACTTTTTGAAAAAAGGCCCTTCCTCATCCAGCAACGTGCAGGTTTTTTTTTTCTTTTTCTTTCTTTTTTTTTTTTAGACAGAGTCTGGCTCTGCCCCCCAGGCTGGAGTGCAGTGGTGCAATCTCGCTTCACTGCAACCTCCGCCTCCGAGGGTCAAGCGATCCTCCTGCCTCAGCCTCCCCAGTAGCTGGTGGTGGCGGGCGCCTGTAATCCCAGCTACTCGGGAGGCTTAGGCAGGAGGATCGCTTGAGCCTGGAAGGCGGAGGTTGCAGTGAGCAGAGATCATGTCACTGCACTCCAGCCTGGGGGACAGAGCAAGACTCCAATAAATAAATAAATAAAACTATCCAAATATGTATATTATATATAATTTAAATATATGTATACATTATATATAAATATATGTATACATTATATATAATTTAAATATATGTATACATTATATATAATTTAAATATATGTATACATTATATATAATTTAAATATATGTATACATTATATATAATTTAAATATATGTATACATTATATATAATTTAAATATATGTATACATTATATATAATTTAAATATATGTATATATTTTATATATATATATATATATTTCTTTATATATATATATATATATTTTTTGAGATGAGACCTTGCTCTGTTGCCAAGGCTGGAGGGCAGTGGCGTGATCTCGAGTCACTGCAACCTCTGCCTCCCAGGCTTAAGCAATCCTCCTGCCTCAGCCTCTCGAACAGCTGGGACCACACGCATGCACCACCATGCCCCACTAACTTTTGTATTTTTTAGAGTTGACGTCTCGCCATGCTGACCAGGCAAGGTGATGCACGCCTGTGGTCCCAGACACTCAGGAGCCTGGGGTGGGAGCATTGTTTGAGCCTGGGAGGCAGGGGCTGTAGTGAGCTGTGATTAAACCACTGTATTCCAGCCTGGGTGACAAAGTGAGACCTTGTCTCAAAAGGAAAAGAAGAAAAAAGGAAAGGAAAGGAAAGGAAGGGAAGGGGAGGGGAAAGGGAAGGGGAAGGGGAGGGGAGAGGAGGGGAAAGGAGGGGGAGAAGGCAGGGAAGGGGAGTGGACAGGGAAAGGGAGGAGAGGGGAGGGGAAGGGGAGGGGAAAAGGGAGGGGAGAGGGAGGGGAAGGGAGGGGAAGGGAGGGGAGAGGGGAAGGGGAGGGGAGAGGGGAAGGGGAGGGGAGAGGGAGGGGAGGGGAGAGGGAGAGGAGAGGAGGGGAAGGGAAGGGAGGGGAGAGGGGAAGGGAAGGGGAGGGGAGAGGAGGGGAGGGGAGAGGAGGGAAGGGGAGAGGAGGGAAGGGACGGGAAGGAAAGAAAAAAAAGAAATTGGAGAAAAGCATTAGGTTTTGGGACTGCAATTTCCAGCGGAGTTAATTCAACTTCTTTGACCAAATAACCAGCCACCCCGACCCCTGTCAATTAAACATCAGCCCCAGATTGCAAACCATTCTGAAGAATTTCGTTTACACACACACACACAGGCACAGTCACACACACATGCACACACACGTGCGTGCACACACACGTACACGCACACGCACACACATACACACACATACATGCATGCACACGCACACACACTCACATACATGCACACATGCACACTCACACATGTACATGCACATACACATGCACACACGCACACTCACACACATGCACGCACGCATGCACACACACATACATGCACACACGTATGTGCACACACATGCAACCTCACAGATTCATGCACACAGAATACATGCACACATACATACATGCACACCCATGCACGCACTCACATACATACATGCACACGTGCACGCATATGCACACTCACACACGTACATGCACATACACACATGCGTGCACACATGCACACACATGCGCGCACACACGAGCGCACACATACATGCACACACGCAACCTCACACACATTCATGCACACACATGCACAAACACACATGCGCATGCAGACACACACGTACCCACACATGCACAAGCTGAATGAGAATCCACCATCGTGTCATTATCGGGTTGATATTTATAGTTCCAAGCTCCAGGGGAAAGGCAGCATATGGAATATGGAGCAATCCTCCTGTAAAAGCTAATTTCTCAGCCTAATAGCTGGTCGCCGTGAAAGCCTTGAATTGCCGAAGGGGAATTAAGAAGTTAACTGCTGCCTGCCCTGATTTGTTGCGTTGCTTAAATTGCAAGGGGACCTCCGTTGCAACTCATGGATGGTGTGTCGGGTCTATGAAGGGGCCTAACCCCCAATTTCTCCCAAATTCCTGCCTAGATCCAAGGAACTTTTAGTCCATGCATGAGACTGTTGGAGAGGCTTTCCCTAAGAATTCCCGCAGAAGAGAAAGCATTCCTGGCAGAGAATTAGGCTCACCAAGTTCAGCCTGGTCTTCTCAAGAGACCACGATGCTGGCATGAGGAACATTTGACTTCTTTTTCATTTATTATTATTTTTTTTTGGAGAGGGAGTCTCGCTCTGTCACCCAGGCTGGAGTGCAGTGGCGTGATCTCTGCAACCTCCGCCTCCCGGGTTCAAGTGATTCTCCTGCCTCAGCCTCCGGAGTAGCTGGGATTACAGGCACACCACTACACCCTGCTAATTTTTATATTTTTAGTAGAGACGGGGTTTCACCATGTTGGCCAGGCTGGTCTTGAACTCCTGACCTCATGATCCTCCCGCCTCGCCTTCCCAAAGTGGTGGGATGACAGGCATGAGGCACCGCACCTGGCCAGAACATTTGACTTCTACCAGGCACGTTGGAAAGTGAACGCCGACCTCTCTGCATTCCCTGACTTATTTCCCCCAGAGTTTTCTTAGCTGGGAATCAGAAATGTGGCTTCCAACTTGATCCTTTCAAAGCTACAAACTCCAGCCAAACACACAGCATCAAGTCTTACTCATTACATCATTACAACCTTGGAACTGACACCGATAATTAGAAACGGGAAAAAAGAACAAATCTTTTTTTTTTTTTTTTTTTTTGAGACAGAGCCTCATTCTGTCAGCAGGCTGGAGTTCAGTGGCGCCATCTCGGCTCACTGCAACCGCCGCCTCCCAGGTTCAAGCGATTCTCCTGCCTCAGCCTCCCGAGTAGCTGGGATTACAGGAGTGAGCCACCACACCCCGCTAATTTTTGTATTTTTAGTAGAGACGGGGTGTCACCATGTTGGACAGCATGGTCTCGATCTCTTGACCTCATGATCCATCCACCTCAGCCTCCCAAAGCACTGGGATTACAGGCATCCACCACCACGCCCGGCTAATTTCTATATTTTTAGTAGAGATGGGGTTTCACCATGTCGGACAGTATGGTCTCCATCTCTTGACTTCATGATCTGTCTGCCTCAGCCTCCAAAAGCACTGGGATTACAGGCATCCACCATCATGCCCGGCTAATTTTTGTATTTTTAGTAGAGAAGGGGTTTCACCATGTTGGACAGTATGGTCTCGATCTCTTGACTTCATGTTCTGTCTGCCTCAGCCTCCAAAAGCACTGGGATTACAGGCATCCACCATCACGCCTGGCTAATTTTTGTATTTTTAGTAGAGATGGGGTTTCACCATGTTGAACAGCATGGTCTCGATCTCTTGACGTCATGATCCATCCACCTTGGCCTCCCAAAGCACTGGGATGACAGGCATCCACCACCATGCCCAGCTAATTTTTGTATTTTTAGTAGAGATGGGGTTTCACCATGTTGAACAGCATGGTCTCGATCTCTTGACCTCATGATCCATCCACCTTGGCCTCCCAAAGCACTGGGATGACAGGTATCCACCACCATGCCTGGCTAATTTCTGCATTTTTAGCAGAGATGGGGTTTCACCTTGTTGGACAGTACGGTCTCCATCTCTTGACTTCATGATCTGTCTGCCTCAGCCTCCAAAAGCACTGGGATTACAGGCGTGAGCCACCACGCTGGGCTAATCTTGAAAACTAGGCTCCTCATTGAGAGAGAAAAGGATTTTTCTGCATAGGAAGTTGGAGCCACGGTATGGAAGATTACCTTAAAATACTGCCATCTGCTTCACTAAAAACAAAAAAAAAACAAAAATCAATGACTTTCCGTTTCCTTCAAAAACATGTCTGTTGTGAACTGAATTGTGTTTCTTCAAAATATCTGTTAAGGTCCTAACTGTACATACCTGTGAACGTGGTGTTGTAGGAAATAGGGTCTTTGCAGATATTATGGACGTATAATGAGGAAAGACTGGAGCAGAGGGGATGCTCAATCCAATCAGTCGCGTCCTGGTAAAAAGAGGGAAGTTTCCATACACTTAGAGAGGAGAAGTCCACATAGAGACGGAGGCAGAGACTGGAGTGATGGGGCCACAAGCCCAGGGACGCCTGGAGCCCCCAGGAGCTGGGAGAGGCAGAAAGGACCCTCCCCTAGAGCCTCCAGAAGGAACTGAACACAATTCTAGTAGATTGAATGGTGATCCCTAAGAAACACGTTTATGTCCTGACTCATAGAACCTGTGAATGAAACCCTTCTTGAAAACAGAGTATTTGCAGATGTAATAAATTAAGGATATTGAGATGAGATCATCCTGGATTAGGGTGGATTCTAATTCCAATAACAAGTGTCCTTGTAAGAGACAGAAGAGGAGACACAGACACAGAGGAGAAGGCCACATGGAGATGGCAGCAGAGACTGGAGTGAAGCGGCCACAAGCCCAGGGATGCCTGGAGCCCCCAGGACCTGGGAGAGGCAGGAAGGACCCTCCCCTACAGCCTCCAGAGGGAAGATAATACAATTGTTTTGAATTGAACTACAGTCCCCCTAAAGGCTATCTCTACAGCCTAACTTCCAGAATATGTGAATGGCACGTTAATTGGATATAAGGTCTCTGCAAATGTAACTAAGTCAAGGATTTCTACATGAGATCATCCTGGAGTAGGGTGGGTCCTAAATGCAATGGCAGGTGTCTTTCTAAGAGACAGAAGAGGAGACACAGACACAGAGGAGAAGGCCACGTGGAGACGGAGGCAGAGACTGGAGTGATGCGGCCACAAGCCCAGGGACGCCTGGAGCCCCCAGGAGCTGGGAGAGGCAGGAAGGACCCTCCCCTAGAGCCTCCAGGAGGAACTAAACACAATCATAGTGGACCCAATACTGGCCTTCCTGGAGTCCAGAAGTCCTCCCTGTCTCTCCTCCATCTCCACGTGGCCTTCTCCTCCGTGTCTGTGTCTCCTCTTCTGTCTCTTAGAAAGACACCTGTCATTGCATTTAGGATCCACCTTACTTCAGGATGATCTCATGTTGAAATCCTTAACTACCTGCATCTGCAGAAACCCTATTTCCAAATAAGGTCCCGTTCACAGGCTATGAGACTGAGGATGTATATACAGTTTTTAGGAGGACTGTAGTTCAGGACGCGGAGAGATGAAATTTTTCTTGTTTGATCCTCTGGTTTTTGGCATCTTGTGACAGCATCCCCAGGAAACCCTTACAATATCTAAACCTTTTTCTTCTTCCAAGCGCTAGTCTGTCCGTTCCCTTCCCTTATCTGCCTCATCCCCTTGCCTCCGGAGTCCACCCTCATGGATCAGAGAGCAGAGAGTCAGGGCTCACGGCCTCAAGAGAGACACCCCCAAGCAGGGCCAATCCAATCCCCCACACTGCCCGTTTTCCAGCCCGTTACATTGCAGATGCCAGTTTGTGGTGAAAACATCCAGAACAGGTTTAGGCAGGAAGAGACGCAGCGTCTCAGCCCACCAGCCTACGGGAAGAAAGGGTGCTTGCAGCTGACCGTCTCATCTCTGCCTTGCTTTTCTGAGTCTGGGTTAAACTGCCACAGTGTCCGGAACCCGCTTACTCTGTCAACCCATCAGCAGCGATATGAGCTCACAGGAGCTTGTGGTTTCGTGCCCACACCCTTGAAATAGGTGCCCAAACTGCCATGCCCAAGATGTAGACGGGTAAGCTCCCTTTTACACCCCAAAGTCTCATTCTTTGAAGACCCCTCGTCAACAAGGATTACAATCTTTATATTTCCTGCACAAACCAGACATTAAAAAAAGAAGAAGAAAAAAACCCCACCAAAATGGCTCTTATTGATGACTGGAGAAATTCGAAACCCAGAGCAGCCCCTTTTAAAGTCAGTGGTGCCAAATCTATGAAAATGCAAAATCCTTTCCAGAATTTCACACACACACACATACACACTCTTCTCTAGGGACGTCGTTACAGGCTCATAAAAAGTCAAATTGCCATTCCCGCAGTGCTCCAATAATTTATACGTATCATTTGCTGTAGCGTCGGTGCGTTGGCCGGCTGACCTGACCACCTACGTACACACGGAGCCCTGGAACCCTCCACCCTGTCTTAGGAAGACAGGAATTTGCAATCAGAGGAGAGTTCCAAAGCCCAGTATCAATGTGGGTTTCTGAGTGAAAACACAAAAGCAAATGAATGCCTTCTCAAGAGCCAGCCCCCAAGTTTACAACCCAATCATCTCCTAGCTGGCCCAAGAAGCACCTAATGATAACTATATCTTTATCAAGGTGGTACATTTTCTGACTCTTACTGTCATCACAGAAAAATAATCGTGACCATCATACTCTGGGGACTGTGGTGGGGTGGGGGGACGGGGGAGGGATAGCATCGGGAGATACACCTAATGTTAAATGACGAGTTAATGGGTGCACCACACCAGCATGGCACATGGATACATATGTAACTAACCTGCACATTGTGCACCTGTACCCTAAAACTTAAAGTATAATAATAATAAAATAAAAAATAAAAAAATAAAAAAATAAAAAAAATGTCATATCTGCCTATTAAAAAGATTAGAAGCAAAAAATAATAATAATAATAATCGTGACGACGTCTCGGAAAAGACGGAGTTAATTTTGCTGAGGTTGACTTGGCTGTGTGGACATAAGACTCCTTTTCCTGCTTCAATCCTGGATTCTTTTTTTTTTTTTTTTTTTTGCTTCTAATCTTTTTAATAGGCAGATATGATATTTTTTTTTATTTTTTTATTTTTTTTTTACATTTTTTTTTCCCCATGAGGACGCCAAAGTTCAGGAGAAGTTGGCAACACAGCGAAACATTCATACCTCTGCAAAGCCCAGGTCTTTAGCCTGTGTGGCTGTTTCATAACTTTGCAACTGTTTGACCCGGCCTTTTTAACGACCGGCCATAAAACCCAAGCTAATTAGTGGCGGCAGGAAGCGGGCCCCACGTCTGGCCTCCCCACATTCTGGGGTGAGCCCGTGACTCCTGCTCACACTTTGCTGCAAACCCCACGTTTATCCCAAAGTCATTTGTCTTTACACCTCGGACCAGCCAAGGGCGAGAGTGGCTTAAAACAAGAGCGGCATCCAAGTAATTTTCCCATAGAGGGGGAAGCAAACAAAGGTCCCCATGATGGACGCTGCAAATCGGTGCTTCCTTGTAGAAATGGTCTATGGACATGTCTATGTAGAAACGGTCATTTTTTCCTTGAAAAATTAAATCTCAGAGCATTAGTTAACTTCTGCAATGAGCCCACACGCCTCATTCTTCTTTTTTCAGTTCTAAAACGGCAGGAAACCTACATTAAACTGTGTTGTGTGTCCATGTGTGTCTTGAGTGCGTGTGTTGTGTTTATGATGTGTTTGTGCGTGTGTCTCTTGTGTGTTGTGTGTCTGTTGAGCGTGTTGTGTGTGTGTCTGTTGTGTGTTGTGTATGTGTGTGTCTGTTGAGTGTGTTGTGTTGTGTATAGATGTGTGTGTCTTGTATATATGATGTGTTTGTGCGTGTCTCTTGTGTGTTGTGTGTGTTGAGCGTGTTGTGTGTCTGTTGTGTGTTGTGTATGTGTGTGTCTGTTGATTGTGTTGTGTATAGATGTGTGTGTCTTGTATATATGATGTGTTTGTGCGTGTGTCTGTGTGTTGTGTGTCTGTTGAGCGTGTTGTGTATGTGTCTGTTGTGTGTTGTGTATGTGTGTGTCTGTTGAGTGTGTTGTGTTGTGTATAGATGTGTGTGTCTTGTATATATGATGTGTTTGTGCGTGTGTCTCTTGTGTGTTGTGTGTCTGTTGAGCGTGTTGTGTGTGTGTCTGTTGTGTGTTGTGTATGTGTGTGTCTGTTGAGTGTGTTGTGTTGTGTATAGATGTGTGTGTCTTGTATATATGATGTGTTTGTGCGTGTCTCTTGTGTGTTGTGTGTCTGTTGAGCATGTTATGTTGTGTGTGTGTCTGTTGTTTCTGTGTCTGTTCAGTGTGTTGTGTTGTGTATAGATGTGTGTGTCTTCTATATATGATGTGTTTGTGCATTTGTCTGTTGAATGTGTGTTGCGTATTAGTGTCTGTTGATCCCATGTGTGGTATTGTGTATATACATGTGTGTTCTGTATAGATGTTGTGTCTTGCGTGTGTGTCTGTTAAGCATGTGTGGTATTGTGTATATACATGGGTGTTGTGGATAGATGTTATTTCTTGATTGTGTGTTTGTGTGTGTCTGTTGTGTGTATACGTGTGTTCTCTATAGATGTGTCTTGACTGTGTTGTGTGTGTGTCTGTTGATTGTGTGTGGCATTGTGTATACACATATGTGTTGTGTATAGATGTTGTGTCTTCAGTGTGTCTTGTGGGTGTGTCTGTTAAGCATGTGTGGTATTGTGTATATACATGTGTGTTGTGTATAGATGTTGCTTCTTGACTGTGTGTTGTGTGTGTGTGTCTGTTGTGTATATACACGTGTGTTCTATGTAGATGTGTCTTGAGTGTATGTTGTGTGTGTGTGTTGATCGTGTGTGGCATTATTTATATATATGTGTGTCGTGTACAGCCGTTGTGTCTTGAGTGTGTGTTGTATGTGTATGATATGTTTGTGTCTGTTGACTGTGTGTTGTGTATGCGTGCGTGTGTCTGTTGAGCGTGCTGTGTTGTGTCTATACATGTACGTTGTCTAAAGGTGTGTGTGTGTGTCTTGAGTGTCTGTGTTGTGTATGGATCTGTGTTTGCACCTCGGACCAACCAAGGGGGAAAGTGGGTTGAAGCAAGATTGGTATTGGCCGGGCGCGGTGGCTCACGCCTGTCATCCCAGCACTTTGGGAGGCCGAGGCGGGTGGATCACGAGGTCAGGAGATCGAGACCATCCTGGCTAACACGGTGAAACCCCGTCTCTACTAAAAATACAAAAAAATAGCCTGGCGTGGTGGCACACGCCTGTCATCCCAGCACTTTGGGAGGCTGAGACGGGCAGATCACCTGAGGTTAGGGGTTCGAGACCAGCCTGCCCAACATGATGAAACCCCGTCTCTCTACTAAAAATACAAAAAATTAGCCAGGCAGGGTGGCGGGTGCCTGTCATCCCAGCTACTCGGGAGGCGGAGGCAGGAGCATCACTTGAACCCGGGAGGCGGAGGTTGCAGCGAGCCGAGATCGTGCCACTGCACTCCAGCCTGGGCTGCAGAGCGAGACTCTATCTCACACACACACAAAAAGGCTGTGGGGAGGCAGATAATTTGTAACAATTCAATCCTGCAGCTTTCCACCTGCAAAAGCACCGCATGGTATTTGATGAACCTTTTTTTTTTTTTTTTTTTTTTTTTTCCCAGACGGTGCCTCGCTCTTTTGCCCAGGCTGGAGTGCAGTGGCACAATTTTGGCTCACTGCAACCTCCGCTTCCCGGGTTCAAGTGATTCTCCTGCCTCAGCCTCGCGAGTAGCTGGGATGACAGGCACCCGCCACCACGCCTGGCTCATTTTTGTATTTTTAGTAGAGATGGGGTTTCGCCATGTTGGTCAGGCTGGTCATAATTAACGTCTTGTTGGGTTTAACTCGAAATGCAAAAACGTCGAGTCTGTACAGCCTATATTTGTAGGTTTATTGCAGTTCACTTCCTTTGGCTGCTAGACCACACGTAATTCATGGCAAACTCTAGGAGGAAAAGAAAAAGAGAGAAAGAGAGAAAAAACAAAAACAAAAACAAAAACAGAGTTTCCACCATTCCATCATTCCCCTTCTTTATTCATTCTGTTTGGTGCCTTAAAAAAATCATTAAAGAAAACATATATAAAATGTAGATTTACTGTTGACGTTTTTAATTTGGACTCAAGACACTCATCTGTTGAGCACACGCTGGAGTGAAAGACACCGTCTGCTGTAACTTAAAGTGTCTGGGCCGGGCGCAGTGGCTCACGCCTGTCATCCCAGCACTTTGGGAGGCCGAGGCGGGTGGATCACGAGGTCAGGAGATCGAGACCATCCTGGCTAACACGGTGAAACCCCATCTCTACTAAAAACACAAAAAAATTAGCCGGGCGTGGGGGCAGGTGCCTGTAGTCCCAGCTACTCAGGAGGCTGAGGCAGGAGAGTGGCTTGAACCCGGGAGGCGGAGCTTGCAGTGAGCCGAGATCGCGCCACTGCACTCCAGCCTGGGCCACAGAGCAAGACTCCATCTCAAAAAAAAAAAAAAAAAAAAAAAAAAAGCCATCGTACCCGGCCAGGAAAAGAGTTTAAATGCTTTTGGAGTTACAGGGGAAGGAAGCTGAGCTTGTGTCCAAAGGCATGGAGGGCCCTTTCTCGGGGGCTGGAAAGCATCTCTCTCTGTGCAGAGTGACAGGTGACAACATCATCTTTCACCACAGAGCCCAGGAAAAGCTGATTCTGAGAGTTAGTACGATGTTGCCTGTTATGAAAATGAAACCAAAATGATCCTACATAGGAGTGATCTTTTTGGGTTTAGGGTTGGTAACACCCATCTACACCGGGGCTTAAAATGTGTGGGTCCTAGGCTGGGCGCGGTGGTTCACACCTGGAATCCCAGCACTTTGGGAGGCCGAGGCAGGTGGATTATCTGAGGTCAGGAGTTCGAGACCAGCCTGGTCAACATGGTGAAATCCCATCTCCACTAAAAATACAAAAATTAGCCGGGCGTGGTGGCGTGCACCTGTAGTCCCAGCTACTCGGGAGGGTGAGGCAGGAGGATTTCTTGAACCTGGGAGGTGGAGGTTGCAGTGAGCTGAGATGGCACCATTGCACTCCAGCCTGGGTCCATCTCAAAAAAAAAAAAAAAGGGATGAAACATCTGATCCAAAAGAGATTGGGTCTGCCGGGCGCGCTGGCTGACGCCTGTAATCCCAGCACTTTGGGAGGCCGAGGTGGGTGGACCACAAGATCAGGAGATCGAGACCATCCTGGCTAACACAGTGAAACCCCGTCTCTACTACAAAAAAAATACAAAAAATTAGCCGGGCGTGGTGGCGGGCGCCTGTAGTCCAAGCTCTCGGGAGGCTGAGGCATACCCGGGAATGGCGTGAACCCGGGTGGTGGAGCTTGCAGTGAGCCGAGATCACGCCACTGCACTCCAGCCTGGGCGACAGAGTGAAAGTCCATCTCAAAAAATAATAATAATAATAATAAAAGGGATGAAGTATCCGAGAAATACCAAAAGAGGTTCACCTAGACTACCAAAAGAGATTGGGTAAAGAAAACCCAAAACACACACACACACACACACACACACACACACACACGCACACAGAGAGAGGGAATTGGAGAATGCGGTTTGTTAAAATGAGGTTTCTGAGAGACCCAAATTGCAGGTGTGCGAGGACCTGACAGTGGTTACGATTTCCCGACTGTGTCTGTGTTCCGGGGTCTGACCCTGCCTGGGGCCACCCTCAGGAGGAAGGAGGTCATTTTCATCCCAAATGTTCACTTTCTTTGATGATTGCATTTTCCTCCTTTCCACGATGAGGAATCCACAGACTAAAGAGTTAATATGTGTTAAACTGTGAGTTGCAACTTCCTCTGACTTTCTTCCCAGCTGGATTTCAGAGCACTGTTCCAGAATCTTACCTGACGCCCATGAATTGTGCATACGGGTCCGCCCCCTGGGACACACGATGTCTCCTTGCTGTTTAGGCAAAAAGACAACCATATGCTGTGTGCACTGCCTGAACCCCTTGGATAGGAGTCCTGGGCGGACGACGAGTTATTTGGGGATTGAAGTGTTTCCATTTGGGAGGAGTCCATTTAAGAAAAAAAAAAAAGAATGCAAAATCACAGAAGTGACTGTGTGTCCTTGTACACGGGGGCTTGAAATGTGGGTCCTGGCTGTGGACTGTGTGTCTGTCTACACCGGGGGTTAAATATGGGTCCTGCCTGTGGACTGTGTGTCTGTCTACACCGGGGGTTAAATGTGGGTCCTGCCTGTGGACTGTGTGTCTGTCTACACCGGGGGTTAAATGTGGGTCCTGCCTGTGGACTGTGTGTCCATCTATACGGGGGCTTGAAATGTGGGTCCTGGCTGTGGACTGTGTGTCTGTCTACACGGGGGCTTCAAATGTGGGTCCTGGCTGTGGGCTCTGTCTAGGGAATGTCTATGGAATGTATTGTTCATCCGAGATGGGGTACAGAAACAGAAAGGGCCAGCAGTCTCAACTCTTACCAGGAGGCCGGCCAAATACCTTCTGCAAATGTCACAGAAAAATATGTGACTCCATGAACACACAGCTTGGGCCCTTCCCCACGTCGGGAACGCAGCTCTTGTTTCTTTCTGACCTGCTCACTCAGGGCGAAGCTTCCTGTCCTGGTGGTGGAGATAAACCTCCTTCTGTCAGGCTGGAGTTTTCTTCTGGGATTCCCGGAGCAGGAGGGACGTCTTTTCCTCTACGTTCCGAGCAAAGTTCAGAGGGGTTGTGGGAGGACAGAGCTGGGGTAGTGTCTGATACTCGAATAAGATATCCTTCTTCTTGATTCTATATCACCCTTCATGTGTCTTCACAATATTAAAGACAGGGGCAGGTGATTCTCCTGCCTCAGCCTCCCAAGTAGCTGGGATTACAGGTGCCCGCCACCACGCCCGGCTAATTTTTGTATTATTAGTACAGATGGGGTTTCACCATGTTGGACAGACTCATCTCGAACTCCTGACCTCAAGTAACCCGCCCGCCTTGGCCTCCCAAAGTGCTGGGATTACAGGCGTAATCTCACCCCATCCACTGTGGGTGGGGATGTAAATTCGTGCAACCGCAATGGGGAGCAATTTGGAGGTTCCCTTACAAATCGAGCTATCGTAATTGGGGAGGCCGAGGCAGGCAGATCACCTGAGGCCAGGAGTTCGAGACCAGCCTGGCCAACATGGTGAGACCCCGTTTCTACTAAAAATATATTAAAAAAAAAATTAGCCAGGAGTGTCGGCTGGTGCCTTAATCCAGCTACTGGGGAGGCTGAGGCAGGAGAATCACTTGAACCCGGGAGGTGGAGGTTGCGGTAAGCCGAGATCCCATCACTGCTCTCCAGGCTGGGCAACAGAGTGAGACTCCGTCTCAAAATAATAATAATAACAATAAATAAAATAAAATAGAGCTACCATAGAATTCAGCAATCATACTCACTGATGGGCATACACCCTCAATAAAAGAAGTCAGTATATTGAAGTTTAGGAGGCCGAGGCTTGTGGATCGCCTGAGGTCAGGAGTTGGAGACCAGCCTGGCCAACATGGTGAAACCCCGTCTCTACTAAAAATACAAAAAAGTAGGATTACTGAATTCTATGGTAGCTCTATTTTATTTTATTTTATTTTATTTTATTTTGAGATACCTGCAATCTCATAGTATATTGCAGCACTGTTCCCAAGAGCTGAGATTGGGAAACAACGTAAGTGTTCATCAACAGGTGAATGGATAAAGAAAATGAGCCGGGCGAGGGGGCTCACGCTTGTAATCCCAGCACTTTGGGAGGCCGAGGCAGATGGATCACTTGAGGTCAGGAGTTCGAGACCAGCCTGGCCAACACAGTGGAAACCTGTCTCTCATAAAAATACAAAAATGAGCCGGGCGTGGTGGCGGGTGCCCGTAATCCCAGCTACTTGGGAGGCTGAGGCAGGAGAATCGCTTGAACCTGGGAGGCAGAGGTTGCAGTGAGCTGAGATCACGCCACTGCACTCCCGCCTGAGTCACAGAGAGAGACTGCTCAAAAAAAAAAAAAAAAAAAAAAAAAAAAGAAGAAGAAGAAGAAAAGGCCGGGCAGGGTGGCTCACGCCTGTAATCCCAGCACTTTGGTAGGCCGAAGAGGGCAGATCACAAGGTCAAGAGATCGAGACCATCCTGGCTAACACGGTGAAGCCCCATCTCTACTAAAAATAGAAAAATCAGCTAGGCATGGTGGTGGGCGCCTGTCATTCCAGCTATTCCGGACGCTGAGGCAGGAGAATCGCTTGAATCTGGGAGACAGAGGTTGCAGTGAGCCGAGATCGCACCACTGCACTCCACCCTGGGTGACAGAGCGAG
Source organism: Homo sapiens (assembly GCF_000001405.40). Classification (NCBI taxonomy): domain Eukaryota; kingdom Metazoa; phylum Chordata; class Mammalia; order Primates; family Hominidae; genus Homo; species Homo sapiens. Next base: position 859,741 of record NC_000024.10, on the reverse strand, counting down.
ACTCTGTCAAAAAAAAAAAAAGAGAGGAGAGAGAGAGAGAGACAGAAAGAAAGAAAGGAAGGAAGGAAGAAAGGAAGGAAGAAAGAAAGAAAGAGAAAGGAAGGAAGGAAGAAAGAAAGAAAGAGAAAGAAAGAAAGAAAGAAAAAGAAAGAAAGAATGAAAGAAAGAAAAAGAAAGAAAGAAGAGAAAAGTGTTACACATATGGAATGGAATACTATTCAGCCATGAAAAAGAATGAGATCTTGCCATTTGCAATAAAACGGATGGTCATTATGTTCAGTGAAATAAGCCAGGCACAGAAAGACAAACTCTTCATGTTCTCACTTATTTGCAGGAGCTAAAATTGAAAACAATTGAACTCATGGAAATAGAAGAGTAGAAGGCTGGTTCTCAGAGGCTGAGAAAGATAGTGGGGAGTTTGTGTGGAAGAGGTGGGGAAGGTTAATGTGTACCAACAAATAATTAGAAAGAATAAATAAATCCTAGTTTTTGCTAGCATAACAGGGTGAGTATCATCAATAATCACTTCATCGTACATTTGTAAATAACTAAACGAGCATAATTGAATTGTAACACAAAGCCTCAATGCTTGAGTTCATGGATATCTTATTTACCCTAATGTGATTACTGCATATTGCATGTGGGCATGAAAACGTCTCACCTACCCCGTAACTATATACACCTACTATGTACTTGCAGTAATTAAAAAAATGAATAAAGACAGGAGTAGAGCAGGGGAGAATCCAATGAATAATTTGTCCCCACATTTATCAAAGGAGGTAAAGAGATAGAAACAGGGAAGACTTCCTGGGGGTTGACCATGGAGGGGGAAAAAAAATTCAATATTTCATTCACTTCCTTTAAAAAAAAATCAATGTAAAATTTCTTTTCTTTTCTTTTTCTTTTCTTTTATCTCCTCTTCTTCTTTTTTTCTTTTCTTCTTTTCTTTTCTCCCTTCCCTTCCTTTCCCTTCCCTTCCCTTCTCTTCCCTTCCCTTCTTTTGCCTTCCCTTCTTTTCTCTTCCTTCCCTTCCCTTCCCTTCCTTTTGTTTTCTTCCCTTCCCTTCCCTTCCTTTTGTTTTCTTCTCTTCCCTTCCCTTTTTTCTTTTCTTCTCTTTTCCTCTTGCTGGTAGCCAGCAACATATGTGAGACTTTGGTTACACCAAGAGATGAAACTCTGTGTTCCCTCAAACAAAAACCACCCAAACAGAGTTGGAGACTTTGTGGGTCCCAAGGTGGGGAGGTGAAGGAGTTATGGGGTTACAGAAGAACAGTGATAGGACGGGATTTTTTTTAGGAGATTTTCCCCAATCAGGGGTAGAGTAAGCTGTGTTTGTTTTGTGCTACACCTGCCTTGGGGAAGTAGGAGATCATGGAGGTCACCCTGGTCTCCCAAACTGGAGAGCCCACCCCAAAATCTACATCAGTAAGACGCACACCATCTCCACCATTTCTTAGAGTGTGGCTTGCAGCGACTGAGGTATGTGGGGGCGAATTAGACTCTTTACCTCATTATTTAGTGCTGTATTTGTGAGACGATACGCAATGCCGCTATTATTTTCAAGATGAAGAAAGTCACCGTGCATAGCAACCACCAGGAATCCGAAGGAGTTGCTATTCCTGCCTTCCACACACCCGGCTCTGTTTTCTGATGCCCACCCTGATTCTTGGGAGCCTATATTCCAGTCCACCACACGTTGCCCCATGACCACAAATTTAATTTTCCATAAATAAATCAATGTAAAATTTCTTTTCTTTTCTTCCTTTCTCTTCCCTTTCTTTTCTTTTCCTGTCTTTTCTTTTATCTTCTTTTCTTTTCTTTTTCTTCATTCTTTTCTTTTCTTCCTTTCCCTTCCCTTCCCTTCCCTTTCCTTCCCTTCCCTTCCTTCTCTTCCCTTCCCCTCCCTTCTCTTCTCTTCTCTTCTTCTCTTCTCTTCTCTTCTCTTCTCTTCTCTTCTCTTTTCTTTTCTTTTTTTTTCTTTTCTTCTTTTCCCATCTTGCTGGGAGCCAGCAACATATGTGAGACTTTGGATACACCAGAAGATGAAACTCTGTGTTCCTCCAAAGAAAAACCACCCAAGCACAGTTGAAGACCTTACGGGTCCCATGGGGACCATGAAGGAAAATTTATGGAAAATTAAGGTATTTTCCACTGATCTGTGTAGATATCTGCCATTTCATCGTTAAAAATTACAGCTTTGCATTCCAGAGCGCGGGCTCGTGGTAACAAGTCATTCCTATGCACTTCCTGCCTCTCATCCCAATTATAATTCAAATATAAATGCAGCCTGAGACTTATATGGAATAATTATTTTATGAATTATCAGCCATTGTGGCTTCAAGGTTTTTGTTTGTTTGTTTTGTGTTTTCGTTTTTGTTTTTCTGAGAAATTCATGCCGATAGAACCCTGGGAATAAAAATAAAATAAAACTCCATATTGTGAGTAAATAACCGACTCTCTTCTCTCATCTAGACTCTAAGAGCCTTCCCCACGGCCACTTCTAAATTAATTGCTCTTACTCTCCCTCCAGTTTTTGCTTTTCCTGGGTAGAAGGTAGATTAATATGCAACACGTCTGGCTTCTGTAATCCAAGCCTGCATTGCTTTGTCATCCTGAAAAGGATCCGGCCATGACTCAGTGGCCTGTAATCTTCCACTTTGGAGACCCCTCGGGAGGCAGAGAGATTTGTACAGGCATGGAGAGGAACTCCAAAAACCACAGGGGCCATTCAAAAAGCAGACATGCAACTTACAGAACATCGTAAAGTTATAATTCCTAAAACAAGCCTAGTGAAAAAAAAAAAAAAGAAATCCAGTTCTGTCTACTCCAATTCATATAACTCATAATGCTTTTTTTTTTTTTAATTTGAAAACTTTGGACTATTATTTGGAAAGGCCGATGTGACCCCACTTGATTGATTTCAACATTGATCGCTACGAATCAGGAAAAAGAATTAAGCGTTTTTCCTACAAGCTCATTTCTCAACGCCACAAGGGATTTGGAAAGGAACTGCTTTAAGATGTCAGAAGAATACTCAAGGACATTTATCTCAAATGCCTGTATTTAAAAATTGCATTAAAAAATAGGTTTCGAATTCTATGGTGAGCTATAATATCATCCAGTGATTTCTGCCACAGTAATACGACCACGTGTACCCTGGTCAGTAATCTGAGAGTCAGCGGGATGAATAACTGCCTGGATGTGACAGCGTCTGTTTAAAACGGCTCACACTGTTTCTTGAAATGTTTCTACAGTGGAAATCTTGCCTGTCTTGGAGAACTGCAAAGTCACTTTATTATTATTAATTATTATTATTATTATTATACTTTAAGTTGTGTGAGATACATGTGCAGAACGTGCAGGTTTGTTACATAGGTATACACGTGCCATGGTGGTTTGCTGCACCCATCGACCCGTCATCTACATTAGGTATTTGTCCTAATGCTATCCCTTCCCTAACCCTCCACCCCCCAGCAAGCCCTGGTGTGTGATGTTCCCCTCCCTGTGTCCATGTGTTCTCATTGTTCAACTTCCACTGATGAGTGAGAACATGCGGTGTTTGGTTTTCTGTTCCTGTGATAGTTTGCTGAGAATGATGGTTTCCAGCTTCATCCATGTCCCTGCAAAGGACATGAACTCATCCTTTTTGATGGCTGCATAGTATTCCATGGTGTCTATGTGCCACATTTTCTTTATCCAGTCTATCATTGATGGACATTTGGGTTGGTTCCAAGTCTTTAATATTGTGAATAGTGCTGCAATAAACATACGTGTGCATGTGTCTTTATAGTAGAATGATTTATAATCCTTTGGGTATATACCCAGTAATGGGATTGCTGGGTCAAATGGCATTTCTGGTTCTAGATCCTTGAAAAAGTCACTTTTTAAGAGCTTTGACTCTGTCCATTTTACCCACCCCAGCTAAAATGTATAACATTTATTTTTGGGGATTCAGAAATGATAGTCAATTATCAGCCAGAGAAAACCTTAATCCAAAATGCAAAAGGGTCATGGATGATGTTTTCAAAATCCAGAGTTTACAAAACTCACATGTGCTTCCTCTTACACAAGCAGGTGCCCCCAACCCCCATCAGCCTGATTTTTTAAAAACACTTTAAAATATGGGATGTTTTTGTTGGGCAGTCATTGAACTTTTGTTTGAGTACATCCTGGTTCACTGTCAGTTAAACGCACGGCAAGTCCAACAGAAATGCATTCCTGAAAGATGCGGCTGGACTCTGTGAAGATTTGCACCACTCTAGGAGGTTGAGGCAGGAGGATTGCTTGAGGCCAGGAATTCGACACCAGCCTGAGCTACAAAGTGAGACCCCATTTCTACAAAAACTGGAAAAAAAGTAGTGGGGCATGGTGGCGTGTGTCTGTGGCCCCAGCTACTCTGGAGTCTGAGGTGGAAGGTTTCCTTGAGCCTGGGAGTTTGAGGCTGCAGTGAGCTGTGTTTGCACCACTACACTCTGGTCTGAATGACAGAGTGAGATCCTGTGAAAGAGAGAAAGAAAGGAAGAAAAGGAGGGAGGGACAGAGGAAGGAAGGAAGAAAGGAAGGAAAAGAAGAAAGAAGGAAAGAAAGAAAGAGAAGAAAGGAAAAGAAAGAAAGAGGAAAGAAAGAAAGAAGGAAGAGAAAGGAAGGGAAGGAAGGAAGGAAAGGAGGGAGGGAGGGATAGAAAAAGAAAAAAGAAGAGAGAAAGAGAAAGGAAGAAAGAGAGGAGAAGAAGACAGAGAAAGGAACAAAAAAGAAAGGAGGAAGATAGAAAGGAAGGAAGGAAAGAAAGGAAGGGAGAGAGAGAGGGAATGGAGAAAGGAGGAAGGAAGGAAGGGAGGGAGGGAGGGAGGAGAGGAAAATGAGGAAAGATGGAAGGAAGGAGGGAAGGAAGGAGGGAGGGAAGGAAGGAAAGAAGGAAAGAAAGAAGGAAAGAAAGAAGGAAGGGAGAGGTAGGGAGGGAAAGAAAGTAGGGAGGGAAGAAAGGAAGAAAGAGACAGAAAGAAAAAGAATGAATGAAAGAGAAAGAGGAAGGAGAAAGAAAAGAAAGAAGAGAGTATAAAGAGGGAGAGAGAGAGAGAAAGCCATTTTTACACGATCACAGAACCTAGGAATTACTTTTACTATAAAATATCTTTAACACGTCAATGATCCTATGGTTGGAATTTTAGGTCAACAACGCTGTTTCATTTTACTGTCAAGAGTGAAAAATCACACTGATGTGAAATTGGGAGTAAGATTTTTTAGAGAAAGTTCAGCATAGGTCATCGGGCTGAGCACCTGGTCCTTTGGACAACAGTCAGTCACAGCGTGGGTATGGTAATTGAATATTTGGTACACTCATTTTGTATTAAAAAAATACACCCCTGGCAGGGCGCAGTGGCTCACACCTGAAATCCCAACACTTTGGGAGACCAAGGCGGGCAGATCAGTTGAGGTCAGGAGTTCGAGACCAGCCTGACCAACATGATGAAACCCTGTCTCTACTAAAAACACAAAAATTAGCCGGGCGTGGTGGCGTGCACCTGTCATCCCAGCTACTCGGGAGGCTGAGGCAGGAGGATCGCTTGAACCCAGGAGGCGGAGGTTGCAGTGAGCCAAGATCGCACCACTGCACTCCAGCCTGGGCAACAACAGCGAAACTCTGTCTCAAAAAATAAACAAATAAACACAGTCCTCGGTTCCTCTTGTCATCTCCCTCTTCTATTTATGACTCTTACACGTTCAAAACAGCAATTCCAGAATCAAATCATCATACATCACTGCACTGGTATTGTCCTGTTTCGGTATTTGCAAGTATTTTGGGGCTGGGCGCAGTGGCTCACGCCTGTAATCCCAGCACTTTGGGAGGCCGAGGCGGGCGGATCACTTGAGGTCAGGAGTTCGAGACCAGCCTGACTAACATGGTGAAATCCCATCTCTACTAAAAGTACAAAAATTAGCGGGTCATGGTGGCGGGCACCTGTAACCCCAGCTACTTGGGAGGCTGAGGCAGGAGAATCGCTTGAACCCGGGAGGCAGACGTTGCCGTGAGCTGAGATCACGCCACTGCACTCCAGCTTGGGTGACAGAGCGAGGCTCCATCTCAAAAAAAGGAAAAAGAAATTTGTCTCTTTTCAGGACTAAGGAAAGCAATCATGTTATGCGCACAACAACCATCCTGCTTTGAGTTCAAACACCAAAGAAAACCTCGTGCTGGCTCATTTCCCTTAACGTTAAGTTGTTGCAAAGTGGTGAGACTTCTTCCTTTTTGATGGCTGAATAGTATTCCATGGTGTGTGTGTATCACATTTTCTTTATCCATCCCCCACTGATACTTAGGTTAATTCTACATGTTGGCTCTCGTGAATAGCCTTGCAATGAACATGGGGGTGCAGACCTCCCCCCTTTTTTTTTTGATATACTGGTTTTATTTTCTGCGGATGCATACCCAGAAGTGAAATAAGACAAATGCAGCCAGTTCTCACTCCCATGTGGAAGCTAAAAGAGTTGATCTCCTGGCCGGGCACGGTGGCTCACACCTGTCATCTCAGCACTTTGGGAGGCTGAGGCGGGCAGATCACCTGAGGTCAGGAGTTCAAGACCAGCCTGACCAATACGGAGAAACTCCGTCTCTACTAAAAATACAAAAAGTAGCCAGGTGTGGTGGCACATGCCTGTAATCCCAGCTACTGGGGAGGCTGAGGCAGGAGAATCGCTTGAACCCGGGAGGCGGAGGTTGCAGTGAGCCAAGATCATGCTATTGCACTCCAGCCTGGGTGACAAGAGCAAAACTCTGTCTCAAAAAATAAATTATATAAAAAAAGAGTTGATCTCCTAGGAATAGACAGCACAGTGGTGATTACCATAAGCTGGGGAAGGGAGAGAGAAAGAAGGGATGGAGAGAGGTTGGTCCATGTGTACAAAGTTACGACTAAATAGGACTAAATTCTGTTGTTTTAATTCTCTGCAGGGTGACAATACTTAACAAGAATATATTGTATATTACAAAATAGTCCAAAGAGAGGATTTTGTTGGTGGGAAGTGTGGGAAGGGGACGAGGGATAAAAGACAACAAATTTGATACAATGTATACTGCTCGGGTGTTGGGCGCACCACGTTCTCAGAAATCTCCATTGAATAACTTCCTCATGTCACCAAATACCACCTGTACTCCAATAACTTATGGAAAAGGGGAAGATACATATTGCAGGGCATGGTGGCTCATGCCTGTAATACCAGCACTTTGGGAGGCTGAGGCGGGTGGATCACCTGAAGTCAGGAGTTCAAGACCAGCGTGACCAGCATGATGAAACCCTGTGTCTACTGAAAATACAAAATTAGCCAGGCGTGGTGGCTCATGCCTGTAATCCCAGCTACTCGGAAGGCTGAGGCAGGAGAATTGCTTGAATCTGGGAGGTGGAGGTTGCAGTGAGCCGAGATCATGCCATTGCACTCCAGCCTGGGTGACAAGAGCGAAACTCCGTCTCAAAAAAAAAAAAAGATACATATTCCTCAGCCACCGGAAAATGAGATTTCTGAGCAGCTGGATCTCATAATTACTGTGAGTTGTCATTACATGATATACACATGCTTGGAAACATTATATTATATGTCATAAATGTGTACAATCATTATGGAGATTTTTTCTTGAGACAGGGTCTTGCTCTGTTGCCTAAGCTGGAGTGCAGTGGTGCAATCACGGCTCAGTGCAGCCTCTACCTCCTGGACTCAAACGATCCTTCCACCTCAGCCTCCCCAGTAGCTGGAAATACAGGTCTGCACCAGTAGGTCCAGCTAATTTTTGTATTTTTTTTTTTTTGGAGATGGGGTCTTGCTATGTTGCCCAGGCTGGCCTTGAACTTCTGGCCTTCTGATTCTCACACCTCAGCCTCCCAAAGCGCCGGGATTACGAGCGTGAGCCACTGCGCCTGATCCAAACGATAATTGTTAAACATAAAATAAAACTGTAGAAAAGAAGAAAATCTAATGGCGGTTTTTGTCTTTTCATTGGCTCTGTGTTACTTTGTAGCTGCAACTTTTCTTTCCTTCATTAAGTCAGTTCCAAATTTGCAAACTTGAGTGAAAGGTGAGTGAGTTTTCTGTGTATCTTCTTGGCATGGGGTGGTGAGTGTGGGTGCCCGTGTGTGTGTGTGTGTGTGTGTGTGTGTGTGTGTGTGTATTTGTATGTCCAGGGTTCCTCCATATCCCTGCAGAGACTTGGGGCTCCTTAATATCCATATAATTTCTATTTTGACCAGAAAGAGGAAGAGTCAACGTTTTGGAAACTCCAAACTCCACCAAGGGCTTGGCTGAAACAGGTGTGTGTCGTTTCTCCCACCAGCCACCTCGCCTGCGAATCTTGGAACTTATCTTAATGAGAGTTGCCTCTGCCCACAGCTCTGCTATGAATAATGTTTTTGTATGTAAAGGAGAAGCAAAAACATTTTTTTGACCTCTTGGAGCACGGAAATCAATAAGAAGTTGATAAAGCAAAGTCTGTGCCTGCCGAAAATAAAACAAGTGTGGTTTGTTTATTCACCAAAACCTTCGCGTTGTCAGGCCTGCCTCGAGATGATTTATAGACCAACACCCCACGAAAATCATTTAAAGCAGATTAGGTTCCTAGGACAATCCCCTCTAATATGACAAGCTGATAGGGGCTGACAGGTAACTAGGTTGCTCAGGATGGCAAGCCAGTTCCAGAAATTCTGATGAAATTAAAATATTAATGGTACCGCCGGGAGAGGAAGATTGAGTGCAAGGTGGGTGAATTCTGTATGAGGACCGAGGTGCAAACACAACGTCGCAGTCGCTGTGCTGGAAGCAGAAGCCTGGGGGTGCCAGGGGAAGTTACCTTTGCTAAACCCAAAAGCAGGGCCTGCATTGCAATGGACTGTGCGGTGCTGGGGGCAGGGTGGGGACAACGCACCTGCCAGGCTCAGAGGGGAACACGGAGCTTCCCTAATCACCTCCTCTCTCCTGCAGCTGCAAAGGTGATGGCCACAGACCCTCGTCTCTGCAGCTCTTAATTCGCCGGTAGCCTCTCCCGTGCCCCTCTGCAAATGCCCGTTTGCAGGGTACTTTAAACCAATATGCAAATGAGCCCCCAGCACAATCACTGTGTACAGACTCTCCAGGAAACTGTCTTGTGCCGGCTGGATGAAAGCTTATTGCTGTGTGCGTGTGTGTGTGTGTGTGTGTGTGTGTGTGTGTGGTTTTGTTTTTACCCTGCAGAGAAAAATGCAAAGAATCTTGCCCCGGCCACAGGAAAAGGAGATTCCTCAGCAGTGTACATTTGCTTCTTTCTTTCTTTCTTTCTTTCTTTCTTTCTTTCTTTCTTTCTTTCTTTCTTTCTTTCTTTCTTTCTTTCTTTCTTTCTTTCTTTCTTTCTTTCTTCCTTTCCTTCAGACACAGTCTGGGTCAGTCGCCCAGGCTGCAGTGCAGTGGTGCGATCTGGGCTCACTGCAACCTCCGCCTCCCAGGTTCAAGCGATTCTCCTGCCTCAGCCTCCCAAATAGCTGGGACTACAGGTCTGAGCCACCACACCCAGCTGATTTTTGTACTTTTAGCAGAGACGGGGTTTCACCATGTTGGCCAGGCTGGTCTCGAACTCCGGACCTCAAATGATCCACCTGCTTCAGCCTCCCCAAGCGCTGGGATCACAGGCATGAGCTGCCTCTGCACCTGGCCTTGCTCATTCATTTCTACACCATTCGTAACTGTGAAGCGATTCTCGTCTGGGCCCCTTAAACGCGTTCTGCCAGATTCTGAGGATGGAATTGGCAAACACTATGGACAAAGTTCTACCGATGACACCCCGTGTTCTACTAAACCGGAGTGACTTCAGGTACAAGCAACCTGGTATCAATTAAAAAACAAACAGGGCAGGTGCGGTGGCTCATGCCTGTCATCCCAGCACTTTGGGAGGCCGAGGCGGGCGGATCACCTGAGGTCCGGAGTTCGAGACCGGCCTGGCCAACATGGTGAAACCCCGTCTCTACTAAAAATACAAAATTATCCAGGCGTGGTGGTGTGTGCCTGTAATCATGGCTATTTGGGAGGCTGAGACAGGGGAATTGCTTGCACCTCGGAGGCGGAGGTTGCAGTGAGCCAAGATTGTGCCACTGCACTCCAGTCTGGGCAACAGAGCCAGAATCTGTCAAAAAAAAACCAGAGAAAGAAAGAAGAGAGAGAGAGAAAGAAAAAGAAAGAAAGAAAGAAAGAAAAGAGAAGAGAGAGGAAGGAAAGAAGGAAGGAAGGAAACAAAGAAAGAGGAAGGAAGGAGAAAGAAAGAGGAAGGAAGGAAGAAGGAAAGAAAGAAAAGAAAAGAAAAGAAAGAAAGAGGAAAGAAGGAAAGAAAAAAGAAAGAAAGAGGAAGGGAGGACAGAAGGAAGAAAGAAAGAAGGAAAGAAAGGAAGGAAGGAAGGAAAAAAGAAAGAAGGGAAGGAAGGAAAAGAAAGGAAAGAAAGAAAGAGAAAAGAAAGAAAGGAAAGAAGAAAGAAAGAAAGGAAAGAAAGAAGAAAGAAAGAAGAAAGAAAGAAAGAAAGAAAGAAAGAAAGAAAGAAAGAAAGAAAGAAAGAAAGAAAGAGAAAGAAAAAGAAAAAAAAAAAGTTAAGCCCTCAACAGCTTAGGAAAGCTTTGGTTGCTCAGACAGAGAAACGAATAAATGGTTCAGAGATGGGTAGTTGGGTGGGGTGGGAGGCGCTTATTCTCAGGAAGCAATTCCCCAAAAGCAAATGAGATCCTTAAAATACTGAAACTCTCTCCAAAAAAAAGAAAAAAGAGGAAGCAGACGGCGTTTTGGAGGCCAGGCTTCCAGAGGGGAGCTCTTGGTGGTGTTCAGAAGGAGCTTGTGTTTGCTTCCAGTGTAGACTTTTACAACCTTAAGGCTACAAATTATAGACGCAGGAAAGGGCACCAGCTCTGCTGCAAGAGTATTACACAGACAACTGGTTTTTGTTTTTGATTTTGAAACTGGGTTCATTTTTATCTTTGAGAATGTGAGCAAAGTGACCCCTATGTGCAGAATCACTGAGGTCCTGCATTGCAGGGTGACCCTTGGCTGGACAGACTCAGGGACAGGGAGGCAGCTGGAGCAGACAGGCCCTGTCAGTCACCCCAGCCACCACTACCCGGGGCTCTGGAGTCCTAGGCCAGGCCGAGGCTGCTGGCCACTTTCATCCCAGGAGAGGTGGACGTCAGGAGTGAGTTTTACGGTGGGAACAGCTTGATGTGACCGTCTCAGAGCTCGGCTGTTCCCAGGCTGACTCCATCTCAGGTTTCTTGCATTCATGACTGGGTGTCCTAAAAATTCAGAAAGTGTTTCTTGTAAGAGGAAGAGAGAGAAACCCCATGCAGGGAAACTCTAGAGGGTCCACTGGCTGTGTCCTTCCCTACACAGCGCTGCCCCAGCCACACATGTCGCCCGATGGGGCCAGAAAACCTGCTTACACCTCACTCTTTGCTCTAAAATAAAATCATGTTGGTCCAGGCTGTGGGAAGCCCAAGGTGTTTTGTTACAAAATAAACGGATTTTATTTTTTTTTGCTATTACTGTAAGATCTTGATCTAGAAAAGGAGACAAGAAGCATGTAAATATATATATTTTTATAAACATGGACATATATTTACATATTAATATGAACATGCATTTATCTATTAAACTCAAATATACATTTTATATACTAAATACAGATATACATTTTGTCTATTAAATATGAGTGTATATTTACATACTAAGTATGAATATACATTTCATATATTAATACAAATATATGTATTCATTAAATATAAAAATATACATTAAATATAAATATAATTTATACATTAAACATGTTTTTATACATTAAATATAAACATCTTTTATATATTAAACATAAACATATACATTAAATATAAACATATCTTATATATTAAATATAACTTATTTTTATATATTTTATATATTATACAATATATAAGGTATATATAATATATAATATATAAAGTATATATAAACTTATATGTTAAATATAAACGTCTTTTATACATTAAATATAATACATTTGGTACATTAAATAAAAACATCGTATACATTTAATATAAACATGTTGTATACATTAAACATAAACATTTTATACGTTAAATGTAAACATATCTTTCATATAAAATATAAACATACCTTATATATTATATATAAATATATTTTGGACATTAAATATAATAATATATTTGGTACATTAAATATAAACATTGTATACATTAAATATAAACATCTTTTATACATCAAACATAAACATTTTATCCATTAAATGTAAACATATCTTATATATTAAATATAAACATCTTTTATACATTAAATATAAGAATACGTTTGGTACATTTAATGTTTACAATACATTAAATATAAACATGTATTTTAGACATTAAATATAAGCATATATTCCGCACATTAAATGTAAACATATTTTATACATTAAATATAAATACTATATATGTTAAATATAAATATATATTTTCCATATTAAATATAAATATATATTCTCTACGTTAAATATAAACATATTTTCTATATTAAATATAAACATGTATTTTGCATAGCAAATATAACTATACATTTTCTATTTTAAATATCAACATGTATTTTGTATATTAAACATAAACATATATTTCCCATATTAAATATAAACATATATTTTTATATGTCAAATATAATATACATTTTCTATATTAAATATAAATATATATTCCCTGTATTAAATATACACATATATGTTAAATATAAATGTATATTTTCCATACGAAATGTAAACATGTTTTGTACATTAAATATAAATATGCCTCTTAGATATGGCCTGTGTTGGAATGTGTACTAGATTGAGCATATAATGTCTATTCAATATAAAATTTATATTTATATAATGCAATAATGATTCACGTTGATTGTAGTTAAGAAAAACAAGCCCCAAATTCGAGAGAAATATGTAAGAAGAGAGACAGGAAGAAAAAATAATAAGGCAGGTAAATGCAACAGACAATTCGAGACCCACAAGTGCAGAGCAGGCTTCCCCAGGCCCGGGGAATGTCTCCTGGGCTGATAGGAAGCCCTCAACCCCCAAGTCCTTCTCAGCCATAAACCGCCTGAGCACAGAGCCAGAGGGACCATGTTGGGGCTGGGCCTCCCGACTTCAGTTCCTCTCATTCTGTGCAAAAGGAAAAACAATTCAGAATCTACAGAGATTTACACGTGTGTAGATGTGGACAGAGAAGGCAGGGCACGGTGGTTCACTGGCCCAAGAAGACAGTGAGTCCCCGGAGGAACAGAAGAATATACGTCATGCTAATATGTGTCATCCCGGTGCTTTGGGAGGCCGAGGCGGGTGGATCACTTGGGGTCAAGAGTTCGAGACCAGCCTGGCCAACATGGTGAAACCCCGTCTCTACTAAAAACACAGAAATTAGTTGGCCGTGGGGGTGGACGCCTGTGATCCCAGATACTCGGGAGACAGAGGCAGGATGAACTGCTTGAATGTGGGAGGAGGAGGTTGCAGTGAGCTGAGATCATGCCGTTGCACTCCAGCCTGGGGGACGGAGCAAGATCCTGTCTCAAAAAAAAAAAAAAAGAAAAGAAAAAGGAAAAAAGAAGTTGTCGGTGCTAAGTTCTCTCTGGATTTTCAGGAGGCCAGTTCTCCAGTCCACGGTGGCCTGGGAGGACAGGGGTTCCTGAGGGTGAACAGAGCCTGTGCCCGGTCAGGTAGGATCTCATGTACCTGAGGTTCAGAACCCAGGAGCATGGGGAGGGTCTAGGGGGTTCCTGCTGCTCGGGGGGAAGACCCTCTTTGCACAGGGGCCCCGGAGAGCGAGAGGAAGGAGGAGGACAGGTCAGTGAATGTGACGGGGTCACAGTGGAGAGGGAAGCACAAAGAAGTGCTCCCACAACAAGACACACACAGTGTCCACGCTGAAGCTACAGAGAGGACCTCTCCACCTGTGTCTGCCCCAAAGCAGTGGGGCATCTTCTGGCAGCCCAGAGTCACCTCCAGATCCCACCTGCCCCACGCTTCCTGAGGGGACTGCCTGTCTTCCTAATACACTGTCTTCTGAACAGAGTCTTCCAGACAAATCACCAGTTGCTATTTATGTACACATATTTTTTAATAGCTAATATCTTACACTGATATATTTATATTATATATAGTTATAAATATTTTTGTACTTTATGTTTATGCTATATGTACAGATGTAATTAGCTGTTTATGTTATATATAATATATTAACATGATGTATATTCTTATATTCCTCTGGGGACTCACTGTCTTCTTAATACAGTGTCTTCTGACCAAAGTCTTTCAGACAAATCAGCTGTTGCTATATATATACTATATATATATAGCAAATATATATGCTATATATTTTATTATATATAATATATATTATATTATGTCTTATATATAATATATATTATATTATGTCTTATATATAATATATATTATATTATGTCTTATATATAATATATATTATATTATGTCTTATATATAATATATATTATATTATGTCTTATATATAATACAATATATTATTTTATATTATGCTATATATTATATATTATATATGCTATATATGTATATATTATATATACACATATACACATACATACACACATATGTATATTTTAATAGCTAATATCTTACACATATATTTATATTATAGTTATATACAAATATTTTTGTACTTTATGTTTATACTATACATACAGATATAATTAGCTGTTTATGTTATATATAATATATTAACATGATGTATATTCTTATATTCCTCTAGGGACTCACTGTCTTCTTAATACACTGTCTTCTGACCAAAGTCTTCCAGACAAATCAGCTGTTGCTATATATATATATATATATTTATTTATTTATTTATTTTTTAATAGCTAGTATCTTACACTGTTGATCATGTCTGTAATCCCAGCACTTTGGGGGGCCGAGGCGAGTGGATCACCTGAGGTCAGGAGTTTGAGACCATCCTGGCTAACACGGTGAAACCCCATCTCTACTAAAAATACAAAAATTGATTGGGTGTGGTGGCGAGTGCCTGTAATCCCAGCTACTCGGGAGGTTTAGGCAGGAGAATCGCTTGAACCCGGGAGGCAGAGGTTGCAGTGAGCCGAGATCGTGTCACTGCACTCCAGCCTGGGTGACAGAGCGAGACTCCGTCTCACAAAAAAAAAAAAATCTTACACTGATGTATTTATATTACACGTAGCTGTATATAAATATTTTTGTACTTATATTCTACATATTACAAAACATATAAAATTACACATGTATAATAAAATGTTACATAAAAATTTTAATATACCATTTTACTATATATATTTCTAAATTTAATATAATGAAATTTTATATATAATAATGTATAACATTTCTAAATTTATTGTAATACAATGTTATATGTAATTATTTTCTCATATTATGATTATACATAAGGTAATTTATTATAAATAAAATTTTATATAATCTACATTTATTATATAAGGTTTTATTATATATAACACATTTCTAAATTTAATACAATAAAATACTATGTATAATAATTTATAAAGTTTCAAAATTTATTATATAATTTTATATACAATTATTTTATACATAATTATATGTGGTATGTAATTGTATTTATAGAAATATAATTATGCATATACAATATATAATTTTATTTTTACATAGTATATATACATAATTATGTATTAACAAATATAATATCAATTTTATTATATACTTATTTACATTAAGTTATATGTTATATAAATATGTTATATGTTATGTATATGTTACACATATTTTTGCTTAATATATTAAATTTAATCTACAAAATTATGTATTACAAATAAAAGTGTATTTTACATATACACTATATATAACTTTATTATTTATATAAAAATATAAAAATCATATGTTTATATTAATAAAATATACTTATTTATAGCAATCTATTGATATAAAATATACCCAATGCATATTTATATAAATACAAAGTATATAAAACTTTTACCAGTAGGATGCAAAGAGTTGCTGACCGTCTGCAGAAATCGTGAACCTCTGGAAACAGAATAAAATCTTACCTCCCTGTCCGCTTTGAAAGGATCAGTAACGAAGTCCGGGACCCCAAACCCGCCCTAAGGGGAGATGCGGGAGTTGGGATGGACGCGTTGGCCAGTGAGGACTTCCCTTTGCTGGTTTTGAGGTGTCTGAGCCCAGAAGCTACGAGGGAAAGTGATTCTGCAGCAGGTAAGCTGATCACAAGCCTGAGCCAAGAATCCATGAAGATCATTTACAGCAGAAGCCGGGGCCCTGTGCAAATCCTTCTGAAATATCCCCGGTTGACTGAGCTCCTAGGGGTGGGGAAGAAAAATTCCCTGACATCTCGGCCTCAGGGAAAGAGACACCCCACTGGCAGGACGTCTCTGCTGTTTCTCAGAAGACAGCTGGGGTGTCACTCTCCCAAACGACGGTGATTTTCAGAACGGTTCACTTTTTAGAGAGACGTTTCTGCCCTGGAGATCCGTACATATTGAACCCAAACGAATAATTTTTAATTAAAAAAATTAAACATTAGAAAGTTCAACATTGAGGCGGCTACGAGTTTGAATTCCTCCTGTTTCCTAAAAGCATGTTGTCGAAATCTGTATTGCATTTAGTAATTACTTATGTGTCTAATGCATATAAGGTTACACAATGTTTTCTTCTTTTTCTCCCCCTCGGTGTCAGAATTTGAAATAAAAGTTTTGGAAAGAAAAAACAGTCTTGTCTGTTTGTGCAAAAATAAAAAAAATCCATATTTTAAGAATATTTTAAAATAAATACAAATTGTGTGTGTGGGGTTGCTTATAAGAATTCTTCATATCCTAAATCAAACATAGACCTTGTTATTAACCAGAAAACAAAATGGGTGTGTATAAAGGTACAACACTCTTACACTCACACAGACACACATGCTCACACACACATTCACGCACTCACTGATGGACTCACACAAACACAGGCATTCACGTATAAATACACACATAAGCGTGTATTTATAGAAATATAATTATGCATATACAATATATAATTTTATTTTTACATAGTGTATATACATAATTACGTATTAATATAAGATCAATTTTATTTTATTTACATAAAGTTATATATTATATAAATGATGTTATATGGCATGTATATATTACACGTAACTTTGCTTAGTATATAAAATTTAATCTATACAATTATGTATTACAAATAAAAGTATATTTTACATATACACCATATGTAACTTTATTATTTATGTAAACTATAAAAATCATATGTTTATATTAATAAAATACATTTATTTATATCAATATATTAATATAAAGTATACACAATGCATATTTATATAAACTTTTTTAATTAAAAAATATTCATTTGGGTTCAATATGTACGGATCTCCAGGGCAGAAACGTCTCTCCACAAAGTGAACCGTTCTGAAAATCACCGTCGTTTGGGAGAGTGACACCCCAGCTGTCTTCTGAGAAACAGCAGAGACGTCCTGCCAGTGGGGTGTCTCTTTCCCTGAGGCCGAGATGTCAGGGAATTTTTCTTCCCCACCCCTAGGAGCTCAGTCAATCGGGGATATTTCAGAAGGATTTGCACAGGGTCCCGGCTTCTGCTGTAAATGATCTCCATGGATTCTTGACTCAGGCTTGTGATCAGCTCACCTGCTCCAGAATCACGGACACAAATGCAACCACACGCTTACACAAACGCACATCAACGCAAAGACAGAATCACAAAACACACTCAGAGAAGCACATGGACACACAAAGACATGCACACTCACACAAACACAGGGACACACACACACAAACACAATTACAAAAACCCTCACATGCACACGTGGGTGCAGAGGCACATGGATGTTCTCACAAAGCACACAAACACGTATACGTACAAAGACGCATAAACAGAATCATGAAAACACTCTCATATAAACACGTGGATGGCCATTCACCCACATAGACACTCACATATGTCATACACACTCATACACACACTCAGAATCACACAAGCACACACAGACACATACATACAGTCACACTCGTGCAAACGCAGTCACAAAAAGACTCACGTAATCACGTGGACACACAAACGTAAAAATTCACACACTGGGGCCAGGCACGGTGGCTCAAGCCTGTCATCCCAGCACTTTGGGAGGCCGAGGCTGCTGGATCAGTTAGGGTCTGGAGTTCGAGACCAGCCTGGCCAACATGATGAAACCCCGTCTCTACTAAAAATACAAAAATTAGCCAGATATGGTGGCATATGCCTGTAATCCCAGCTACTCAGGAGGCTGAGGCAGGAGAATCATTTGAACCCGGGAGGCAGAGGTTGCAGTGAGCCGAGATCGCACCACTGCACTCCAGGCTGAGTAACAGAGCGAGACTCCATATCAAAAAAGAAAAATTAGCCAGATGTGGTGGCGGGTGCCCGTAATCCCAGGTACTCAGGAGGCTGAGGCAGGAGAATCGTTTGAACCCTGGAGGCGGAGGTTGCAGTGAGCCGAGATTGCACCATTGCACTCCAGTGTGGGTGACAAAGCGAGACGCCGTCTCAAAAAAAAAAAAAAAAAGAATTTATACATTGCCATACAGATTTACACACATACACTCATATTCACAAACACACAAACACAATAAACGCAGGGACACACACAAACACCATCACAAAAACACACTTCCGTAAAACACAGGAATGCACGCTCACACAGAAACACACATGTAAACACACATTGTCTTACAGACCCACAGACACACTCATCGTCACATAAACAGGCACACACACACAGCCACACAAGCACACACCCACACCCACGTCAACACACACACGGCCCCACGGTACCCATGCGCTCACGCACACAGGTAGAACAGGCCTGCGTTACCTGATAACACAGATAAATCAGACGTGATGCTGCCTGCCGAGGAGACCTGGAGGCTTCCCATGAATGGCCTTTTGGACGAGAGGTCTCTGGGTGCATTAGGTGACACCCCAGGCAGTGGGGGGGATGTCCAGGCTGGGGGGGCCAGCCACAGCCAGCCCTGCCCGAGGATGCCACGCCCCTTTGCTTCAGTAGGATCTGCACCCTGGAAACCCTGGTTCCTGCCTCTCCGGGACACCCCACTGAGGTCAGCACACCCTGCAGGTTTAGGAGGGGTGTCTGGGTGCATTTGGTGACACCGCAGGCAGAGGGGGGACGCCACAGCCAGCTCTGCCTGAGGATGCCACGTCCATTTGCTTCAGCAGGATCTGCACCCTGTAAACCCTGGTTCCTGCCTCTCCGGGACACCCCACTGAGGTCAGCACACCCTGCAGGTTTAGAAGGGGTGTCTGGGTGCATTTGGTGACACCGCAGGCAGAGGGGGGACGCCACAGCCAGCTCTGCCCAAGGATGCCACGTCCATTTGCTTCAGCAGGATCTGCATCCTGGAAACCCTGGTTCCTGCCTCTCCAGGACACCCCACTGAGGTCAGCACACCCTCCAGGTTTAGGAGGGGTCTCTGGGTGCATTTGGTGACACCGCAGGCAGAGGGGGGACGCCACAGCCAGCTCTGCCCGCGGATGCCACGTCCATTTGCTTCAGCAGGATCTGCATCCTGGAAACCCTGGTTCCTGCCTCTCCGGGACACCCCACTGAGGTCAGCACACCCTGCAGGTTTAGAAGGGGTGTCTGGGTGCATTTGGTGACACCGCAGGCAGAGGGGGGACGCCACAGCCAGCTCTGCCCGCGGATGCCACGTCCATTTGCTTCAGCAGGATCTGCATCCTGGAAACCCTGGTTCTTGCCTCTCCGGGACACCCCACTGAGGTCAGCACACCCTGCAGGTTTAGGAGGGGTGTCTGGGTGCATTTGGTGACACCGCAGGCAGAGGGGGGACGCCACAGCCAGCTCTGCCTGAGGATGCCACGTCCATTTGCTTCAGCAGGATCTGCACCCTGTAAACCCTGGTTCCTGCCTCTCCGGGACACCCCACTGAGGTCAGCACACCCTGCAGGTTTAGAAGGGGTGTCTGGGTGCATTTGGTGACACCGCAGGCAGAGGGGGGACGCCACAGCCAGCTCTGCCCAAGGATGCCACGTCCATTTGCTTCAGCAGGATCTGCATCCTGGAAACCCTGGTTCCTGCCTCTCCAGGACACCCCACTGAGGTCAGCACACCCTCCAGGTTTAGGAGGGGTCTCTGGGTGCATTTGGTGACACCGCAGGCAGAGGGGGGACGCCACAGCCAGCTCTGCCCGCGGATGCCACGTCCATTTGCTTCAGCAGGATCTGCATCCTGGAAACCCTGGTTCCTGCCTCTCCGGGACACCCCACTGAGGTCAGCACACCCTGCAGGTTTAGAAGGGGTGTCTGGGTGCATTTGGTGACACCGCAGGCAGAGGGGGGACGCCACAGCCAGCTCTGCCCGCGGATGCCACGTCCATTTGCTTCAGTAGGATCTGCATCCTGGAAACCCTGGTTCCTGCCTCTCCAGGACACCCCACTGAGGTCAGCACACCCTCCAGGTTTAGGAGGGGTCTCTGGGTGCATTTGATGACACCGCAGGCAGAGGGGGGACGCCACAGCCAGCTCTGCCCGCGGATGCCACGTCCATTTGCTTCAGCAGGATCTGCACCCTGGAAACCCTGGTTCCTGCCTCTCCAGGACACCCCACTGAAGTCAGCACCCCCCCACCCCCACCCCCCCAGGTTTGTCCAGCTTCGCTGTCTGGGGAGAGACACAGAAAGACCACATTCGGTGGAATTCTGGCTGTAATCTGGCGGAGCCGGCAAGAAGAATCACCCAGCTGTCCTGTTACCTTGCTGGAGCGCTCACTGGTTTCATGTTTGGCCCCCGTGCTGTGAGTCCTCTGGGCCAGGCTCGATTCCTGGAGCTCCGGTGAAATTTGGGCTTGGAGCTCATGCCTGCACCATCCAGAAAGCAGAAGGCAGCCGGCCCGGGGCTGTACGGTTCGTAGAATCAAAGAGAACACTGCTTGCCTTCAGGTCTGTACCACAATAAATCTGCCAGCTGCGGTCAAAGCCTTTGGATTCCTGCCCCCTCATTTTATTTTGTCTATTACGGAGCGGAAGGAGCGAGAAAGATTTTGCTTCCTATTTTGTTTTGCAAAGCGCTTCTAAGAAAAACAACCCGCGTTCTGAAAATGAGATTCTGAGTTTCCCCTAGGGGTGTTGAAAACAAACTTTGGGAATCCAAGGGACTGAGAGGCAGAGGGGGTTTCCCTGTGAATTACAAAGTCACTTTTTATTTATTATTATTATAGATTCAGGAGATCCACATGCAGCTTTGTGACCTGGGGATATTGTACGATGCTGAGGTTTGGGGTATGAATGATCCCATCACCCAGGCACTGAGCATTGTACATCCATGAGGTATATAATATGTATTAAATATAAAATGTATATTTATACATGCAATAATGATTCAACTTGGTTCCTTGTAATTAAGAAAAACAAACCCCAAATTCTAGAGGAGTTCTAGAAATACATAAGAAGAGAGGCCGGGTGCGGTGGCTCAGGCCTGTAATCCCAGCACTTTGGGAGGCCCAGGCAGGGTGATCGCCTGAGGTCAGGAGTTCAAGACCAGCCTGACCAACCTTGTGAAACCCCGTCTCTGCTAAAAATACAAAAATTAACCAGGTGTGGTGGCGGGTGCCTGTAGTCCCAGCTACTCAGGAGGCTGAGGCAGGAGAATCGCTTGAATCCAGGAGGCGGAAGTCGCAGGGAGCCGAGATTGCACCACTGCACTCCAGCCTGGGCGACAGAGCTAGACTCCTTCTCAAAAAAAAAAAAAAAAAAAAAAAAAAAAAAAAAAAAGAAAGAGAGAGAGAGACAGAAAAAAACAAACAAACAGGCAAGAAAATGCAACAGAAAAATCCGTGACCCAAAGATCTCTCCAGTCGCTGCCTTCTGCCTGACATTCCAAGAACCTCAGGGTAGTTTTTCAACGCTGGTACCCCTGCCCCTGCTTCCTGCTCTATTAGTCCTGAGGGTCTGTGGTGTCCCTTCATTGTGTCCAGGCGCAGGCAACGTTTAGCTCCCACCTATAAGCAAGAACATGTGGTATTTGATTTTCTGTTACTGGCATTAATTCACTAAGCATAGTGCCCTTCAGCTTCATCCATGTGAATACAAAGGGCATGATTTTATTGTTTTTCATTGCTGTGTAGTATTCCATGATGCAGAAGGACCCCATTTGCTTTATCTAATTGAGAACATGTGGTATTTGATTTTCTGTTTCTGGCATTAATTCACTAAGCATAATGCCCTTCAGCTGCATCCATGAGGCTGCAAAGACATGATTTTATTCTTTTTCATGGCTGTGTAGTATTCCATGATGCATGATGCAGAAGGACCACATTTGCTTTATCTAGTTGAGAACATGTAGTATTCATTTTCTGTTTCTGGCATTAATTCACTAAGCATAATGCCCTTCAGCTGCATCCATGTGCCTGCAAAGACATGATTTTATTCTTTTTCATGACTCTGTAGTATTCCATGCTGTAGAAGGGCCACATTTGCTTTATCTAGTTGAGAACATGTAGTATTCGATTTTCTGTTCCTGGCATTAATTCACTAAGCATAATGCCCTTCAGCTGCATCCATGTGGCTGCAAAGACATGATTTTATTCTTTTTCATGGCTGTGTAGTATTCCATGATGCAGAAGGGCCACAATTGCTTTATCCAGTTGAGAACGTGTGGTATTTGAGTTTTCTGTTCTTGGGTTAATTCATTAAGCATAATGCCCTTCAGCTACAACCACGTGGCTGCAAAGGACATGATTTTATTCTTTTTCGTGGCTGTGTAGTATTCCATGGTGTAGAAGAACCACATTTGCTTTATCTGATCCCCTACTGATGGACAACTAGGTCGATTCCATGACTTTCCTATTGTGAGTCGTGCTGTGATGAACCTTACAGGGCTGGGCACTGTAATCCCAGCACTCTGGAGGGCTGAGGTGGGCAGATCACCTGAGGTCAGGAGTTCGAGACCAGCCTGATCAACATGGTGAAACCCTATCTCTACTAAAAATACAAAACTGAGCCAGGCGTGGTGGCACATGCCTGTAATCCCAGCTGCTCAGGAGGCTGAGACAGGAGAATCGCCTGAACCTGGGAGGCAGAGGTTGCAGTGAGCCGAGATTGCTACTGCACTCCAGCCTGGGCAACAGAGCGAGACTCCATCTCAAAAAAAAAAAAAAGGAACTTTACCATGCATTTGTCTTTTTGGTAGAATGACTTCTTTTCCTTTGGGTAGATGACCAGTCTTGGAATTGCTGGGGCAAATGTTGGAGCAGTTTAGATTCGGGAGGTACATGTACAGGTTTATTACATGGGTACCATGTGTGATGTAGAGGTCTGGGGTATGAGTGATCCCATCACCCAGGTAGTGAGCATAACACCCTGCAGTTGGTTTTTTCAACTCTTGTGCTTCTACCTTCCTCTCTCCCCCTAACTAGACCTCAGTATCTGTTCCCTTCTCTGCATCTACGTATACACAACATTTAGCTCCCACTTATAAGTGAGAATGTGCAGCATTCTGTGAATTTACTTAAGATAATGGCCTCCACACTGTTCACAATAGCAAAGACACGGAACCAACCCAAATGCTCATCAGTGATAGACTGGATAAAGAAAATGTAGCACATAGACACCTTGGAATACTATGCAGCCATGAAAAAGGATGAGTTCATGTCCTTTGCAGGGGGACATGGATGAAGCTGGAAACCATCATTCTCAGCAAATTCACACAGGAACAGAAAACCAAACACCACATGTTCTCACTCATAAGTGAGAGTTGAACAATGAGAACACATGGACCCGGAGAGGGGAACATCATACACTGGGGCCTGTTGCAGGGGTGGGGGACTGGGGGGGGAGGGAGAGCATTATGAGAAACACCTAATGTAGATGATGGGTTGATGGGTGCAGCAAATCACTATGGCACATGTATACCTATGTAACAACCCTGCACATTCTGCACATATACCCCAGAACTTAAAGTAGAATAGAAAAAATAAAAAATAATAAAAATAATTTTAAAAAGATAATGGCCTCCAGCTACATCCATGTTGCTGCAAAAAAAACCCATGATTTTGTTTCTTTTCAGGGTTGCGTAGTATTCCATGGTGTAGATGTACCACATTTTCTTTGAGTGTGGACGGTGGGAGGAGGGAGAAAATCAGCAAAAATAAACTGTGTCTGGGTGTGGTGGCTCACACCTGTATTCTCAGCAATTTTGGAGGCCAAGGTGAGCAGATCACCTGAGGTCAGGAGTTTGAGATCAGTCTGGCCAACATGGCAAGACCCTATGTCTACTAAAAGTACAAAAATTAGCTGGGCATGGTGGCGTGTGCCTCTAATCCCGGCTCCTCTGCAGGTTGAGGCAGGAGAATCTCTTGAACCCAGGAGGCGGACGTTGCAGTGAGCCGAGATCGCGCCACTGCCCTCCAGCCTGGGCCACAGAGTGGGACTCCATCTCAAAAAATAATAATAAAAAAATAATAATAACCTGCTAGGCTTAGGATCTAGGTTGATTCCATGACAAAAGAAAGAAAGAAAGAAAAAAAAAAACCTAACTTTTTAAATGAAGGATCTCTCTGTTCAAAAACAAAACCAATGTCCTGTCAGGAAAGATGTTGTGTGTTTTTCTGGCAAAGCTGGAAGGAACCTACAGGAAGGAGTCACCCCATAAAATGAGTGGAACAACATTGCCTTTTGGGGTGAGGGCTGCCTCTGTTAGTCCACCAGGATGGGTGCCTTCCTGGGGAGTGGGGTTCATCCTACAGCATCCAGGAAGCAATTCCTGCCCCCAAAATCACCTGCCAGCTTCTGCCCTGTAAGTAAAATCTCCAGCAAGCGGGGAGGAGGGAGCTGCTTGCCTTGGAAGGCAGCTGAAGTCTCTGCCCACCACCCAGGCTCTGTCCTCTGGGCAAGGCCAGGGCTTCCAGTTGGATGGTTTTCACATTAGCGGGTGCTGTTTAGAATCATCAACATTGGCCAGGCGTGGTGGCTCATGCCTGTCATCGCAGCACTTTGGGAAGCCGAGGTGGGCGGATCACAAGGTCAGGGACCAGCCTGGCCAACATGGTGAAACCCCGTCTCTACTAAAAAAACAAAACAAAACAAAAATTAGCCTGGTGTGGCTGGGCGCGGTGGCTCACGCCTGTAATCCCAGCACTTTGGGAGGCCAAGGCAAGCGGATCACGAGGTCAGGAGATTGAGACCATCCTGGCTAACATGGTGAAACCACATCTCTACTAAAAATACAAAAAATTAGCCGGGCGTGGTGGCGGGCACCTGTAGTCCCAGCTACTCGGGAGGCTGAGGCAGGAGAATGGCGTGAACCCGGGAGGCGGAGCTTGCACTGAGCCGAGATTGTGCCATTGCACTCCAGCCTAGACAAAGAGCAAGACTCTGTCACCAAAAAAAAAAAAGAATCATCAGCATTGCCATGGCCCAACATCTTCCAAGACTTGTCAAAACTTTACCACTGGACCTCCACATTCTAGTTTCAAAGCTTTGCCAGCCCCGGTGGCTCATGTCTGTAATCCCAGCACTTTGGGAGGCTGAGGCAGGAGGACTGCTTGAACCCGGGAGTATAAGCCCATCCTAGGCAACATAGTGAGACCCCCATCTCTGCAAAACAATGAGAAAATTAGCCCAGTGAAGTCACTCACACCTGTAATCCCAGCATTTTGGGAGGGTGAGGAAGGAGGATGCTTGAACCCAGGAGTTTCACTCCAGACGGGACAACATAGTGAAACCCCACCTCTACGAAACAATTAGAAAATTAGCCAGGCACGGTGGTTCACACCTGTAATCCCAGCACTTTCGGAGGCCGAGGTGGAAGGATCCCTTGAGCATAGGAAGTGGAGGCTGCAGTAAAGTATAATTGTGCCACTGCACTCCAGCCCGGGAGACAGAGAAAAACCCGTCTCAAACACAAAACAAAGAAACACTAAACACCAAAGCTTCCTCCCATCCAGGGTTGAGAACCTCGTTCTGAATGACATTTCCTCCAGGAGCCGCAGTAACAGTGAAACAGCAAAATAAGGAACATATCTAACTCTACTTTTTGTTTAAGGGGACCTTACCCATTCTTGCACATAGGATAGG
Organism: Homo sapiens; assembly: GCF_000001405.40. Lineage (NCBI taxonomy): Eukaryota > Metazoa > Chordata > Mammalia > Primates > Hominidae > Homo > Homo sapiens. The sequence goes on along the minus strand of NC_000024.10, from coordinate 833,598 downwards.
ATAGTTTCAGAGCACAGAGATAAAACAAAAACAGCAATCATGTAGTTTTTTTCTTTGTTTGTTTGTTTGTTTGTTTGAGATGGAGTCTTGCTCTGTTGCCCAGGCTGGAGTGCAGCGGTGCAATCTCGGCTCACTACAACCTCCGCCTCCCGGGTTCAAACAATTCTCCTGCCTCAGCCTCCCGAGTAACTTGGATTACAAGTGCCCGCCACCATGCCCGGCTAATTTTTGTATTTTTAGTAGAGACAGGTTTTCACCATGTTGGCCACGCTGGTGTCGAACTCCTGACCTCAGGTGATCCACCTGCCTCGGACTCCCAAAGTGCTGGGATGACAGACATGAGCTACCATGCCTGTTAGGCACGAAACTGTTAGGAGTTCCTAATTTGCTGACTGTCAGAGGTAGCTTGCTGATACAACTGGATCCCAGCAGTGATCCACCTGCCTCGGCCTCCCAAAGTGCTGGGATGACAGGTGTGAGCCACCACCCCCAGCCGCAATCATGTAGTTTTTAAAACTAACTCTGCGATTAAAGGGAAAACATGTAAAACAACTATGTTTTGTTAAAGATTTTTGGGAGCATGGTGACTTGACCAAGGACAAAAAAGTCTTCAACTTCTTTGGACCCTGACTAGCATTCAGAGGTCCGTGGCCATCGGTCATCTCTCTATCCCAACCCCCTCCTCTTTCCCATGCCCTTCATATAAAAAGAGCCTGAAAGATGTACTTATTTAAGGGGGTACACTCGGACTTTTGTTCAACAGATTCTTGGTTTGCCAGCTCTCCAAATAAACCTGGTTTTCCTCCCACCAACTCTCCAGATTGGTTTTCAAGCCACGAGCCACGGAGCCTGGGTTTGGTTATACCATGTTCATGGATATGTGCATAACAACAGCAGCCTTGCCTTCTTTGGTCTTGCCCTTAGCATCATGTTCTGTTATTGCCATGCTGAAAACCTGAATGATTTCTTAGCAAGGGACTACCTCATTTTCATTTTTCTTTTTTTGTTTTTTCTGTTTTTGTTTTTGAGGTGCAGTCTCGCTCTGACACCAGGCTGGAGTGCAGTGGCGTGATCTCGGCTCACAGCCACCTCTGCCTCCCAGGTTCAAGCAATTCTCCTGCCACCTCCACCTCCCAGGTTCAAGCAATTCTCCTGCCTCAGCCTCCCGAGTAGCTGAGACTACAGGCGCCTGCCACCATGCCCAGCTAATTTTTATATTTTTAGTAGAGACAGGGTTTCACCATGTTGGCCAGGCTGGTCTCGATCTCTTGACCTCGTGATCCATCCATCTTGGCCTCCCAAAGTGCTGGGATTACAGGCGTGAGCCACTGCTCCCGGCCTCGTTTTCATTTATCATGGGGTTCTATGGAGTAAACATTGCTTTACCTACTTGCAGGGAAGTAGCTCCAAAGCAGGTGCCTCTCTTCTCTGTTAAGTGGCAGTAGTTGTACCTCCCTCAGACTGACCCAAGCCCCCATCTGGGCCACTGAGCTTGAGATCCAAGCCGCTGGGGAGGTCTTGCTTAGTTCAGGGCGTCTGATCACCCTGTGGTTCCCTTGGAATTCCAGTGCATGGACATTAGGAGGAGACGCTGTTTCAGTTTCTTTTTTCTTTTCTTTTCTTTCTTTTTTTTTTTTTTGAGATAGAATTTCACTCTTGTTGCACAGGCTGGAGTGCAATGGCATGGTATCGGCTCACTGCAACCTCCACCTCCTGGGTTCAAGAGATTCTCCTGCCTCAGCCTCCCGAGTAGCTGGGACTACTGGTTCCTGCTACCAGGCCCAGCTAATTTTTTGTATTAGACGGGGTTTCACCATGTTGGCCAGGCTGGTCTCGAACTCCTGACCTCAGGTGATCCACCCACCTCAGCCTCCCAAAGTGCTGGGATGACAGACATGAGCCACCATGCCTGTTAGGCATGAAACTGTTAGGAGTTTCTAATTTGCTGACTGTCAGAGGTAGCTTGCTGATACATCTGGATCCCAGCAGCGGGTGGAGACAAACATCCCCAGAAGCTGGAGAAAAGTTGGACAGGTGGGCTTGTAAGCAAACAGAGCTGTGCTATTTATTTTTTAAACCAATGAGTGTTTTTCACTCGTTCACTTAAGGCAGCAGGCAGGGAGGAGTGTTTTCCACCACACGAGAGGAAATTTGAGCCCTTTGCTACAATCTGCTCTTTCTCATGGAAATAATTGTTGAGTGAACATGGCTTCCAGCTCCCCGTGGTGTATTAAGGAAACAGTATGGAAATAAAGATATTACCATGTTATTAATGCTTATTGTGGAAATAGAAATACAGAAAATATACGGCTGAGTGTAGTATTTAAATTGCAAAAACGTGGAGATGTTTAATAAGGTAGAGGCAATTCTGGGTTGTTGGATTTTTTTTCCCCTCCCCTTCATAATTTTCAATATAATCTAAATTAAGCTATAAAAAATCATTACCTATAGCAATTTTTAAAATCATCTTTCATCTCGGGGAAACTAACTTAGGGCGCAAGGAAAATATTACAAGTAAATACCGTATTGAGAACATTGATTATTTTCCTTAATCCAATTCAAGCATATTGAGACGTAAAGCAAAATTGTGGGAAATTACAGACATGCCTGGAGGGCCGGGGGAGCCCCTTGAAGCATCTTAAAGGGGGAAATGTGTTATTTTTTAAGGGACACCTTCTCATTCCTGATTAGCTGTGCCAAGTTCTCCTCGAAGGAATGCATTTGTGCCCTACGGTTTTAACCCAGCTGCTTGCAAAGGTTTGGGGAAATGTGGAATGTTTCAGGAAGACGTATGGTAGCATTTTGGAGGCAAACGCTGTTTTTAAGTCACCCTGGGTGTAGGACAAGTAGAATAACAAAGTGACTCCACATTCCTCTGGCCACTCGCAGAGCTCTGCCTTGAGGTTGGAGGAAGGGGTGTACCCTCTTCCGCAGAGACACAGATAAAGAGGCAGATTAACTCTCAAACCCAAGTCTTGATATACTCACTCCTTAGACTGCCCTTTTTTTTTTTTTTTAGACAGAGTCTTGTTCTGTCACTCAGGCTGGAGTGCAGTGGCATGATCTTGGCTCACTGCAACCTCTGCCTCCCCGGTTCAAGCAATTCTCCTGCCTCAGCCTCCCGAGTAGCTGGGATTACAGGCACCCGCCACTGCCTGTAATTTTTGTATTTTTAATAGACACAGGGTTTCACCATGTTAGCCAGGCTGGTCTCGAACTCCTGACCTCACGGTCCACCTGCCTCGTGCTGGGATTACAGGCATGAGCTGGATTGCTTTCTTAATGAGAAAGTAATTATGAGCCAGCCCACAGGACATAGGGCCCTGAGCAGGTGCCAAGGTAAAACCATGCAGGTCCCAGGCTCTGTGTTCCCACCCCCGGGTACCTTTTTTCCCCCTTACTCTGGAAACAGGATTAAGAAAGAAAACTTCTGCGGAGATGTTGTTGCCCTGGTAGAAACTGCTTCATATCTGTTTCTGCCCCTCCTGAGGCCCCAGGAGCAAAAGTCAGATGAAAAACTGTAGATTTCTGTCTGCTCCATCCAACCAAAGCATTCAGCCAGCCATGGTGAACCAGCTTCGTTCCAAGCTTTTGTCTGAAGTTGCACGGATTGGACCTTCCAACCCACCGTGGGCGCTGACCTTTCTTCCAGGTTTCCTGATATCCACCATGAGCCTGGCCTTGAATTACCAACTTCATGGGGCACCTCCATGGAGAAAGCATTCCTGGAGGCTGGATGGAAGACCTCCAAGCCTGGAAGACCCCCAAGTCTTGCTGTGTTACCTCTGGATTAAACTCGAGTGCTTTGGACTGGGTGCGGTGGCTCACACCTGTCATCCCAGCACTTTGAGAGGCCGAGGCGGGTGGATCTTTTGAGGTCAGGAGTTCGAGATCAGCCTGACCAACATGGTGAAACCCCATCTCTACTAAAAAAAATATAAAAGTTGGCCGGGCGCAGTGGCTGACACATGTGTTCAGATGACAGGCGTGAGCCACCACATCCGGCTAATTTTTGTATTTTTAGTAGAGACAGGGTTTCACCATGTTGGCCAGGCTGGTCTCGAATGAATGAATGAGTGAGCTTCTGAATAAATGAATGAATGAGTGAGTGAGCTTGTGAGTGAATGAATGAATGGAGTGAGCTTGTGAATGAACGAATGAGTGAGCTTGTGAATGAATGAGTGAGCTTGTGAATGAATGAGTGAGCTTTGAGTGAATGAATGAATGAATGAGTGAGCTTGTGAATGAATGAATGAGCTTGTGAGTGAATGAATGAGTGAGCTTATGAATGAATGAATGAGCTTGTGAGTGAATGAATGAATGAATGAATGGAGTGAGCTTGTGAATGAGTGAATGAATGAATGAATGGGTCGGGCATGGTGGGTCACACCTGTAATCCCAGCACTTTGGGAAGCTGAGGCAGGTCAATCACTTGAGGTCAGGAGTTCAAGACCAGCCTGGCCAACATGGTGAAACCCCATCTCTACTAAAAATACAAAAATTAGCCGGGTGTGGTGGCTTACACTTGTAATCCCAGCTACTCGGGAGGCTGAGGCAGGAGAATCGCTTGAACCCAGGAGGTTGCAGTGAGCCAATATAACCCCCGCTGCACTCCAGCCTGGGCCACAAGAGTCAGACTCTGTCTCAAAAAAACAAAAAAAAATGAATAGACTCTTGGGAGTGGTTTAAATCTGTAAAACTCATGTTGAATCATAGTAAAAACATTTCAGAGAGATACTCGTGTTGGACCTGCGTAAAGAAAAGACAAATCCAGATGGCGAATTTTTCAGCTGTGAGATGGGCCTGCCATTTCTAACCTCACCTTTCCAAAATATAAAATTACTTGGAAAAGCATAAGGCATCTAGAAACCAGCGAGAAAGATTTCCATATAGTAGAATTGGGGGGAAAAAACAGAAAAGAGACACATGGAGAGACAGATAAAAACTTCATCCCACAAGGAAAGAATTGGGGTAAATGTGGATGCAAGCAGGAAATCCTATACCTTGCCAGAAATGACTGCCTGTTTTTCTCATTCTTACATGATCTAATCAAACTTGAACACCAGTAACCCTGCATAATTTTTTAAGTATGAAACGGATTCCGGTGATATCATCAGCAAAACTGAAACCAAATACAAACGTCCCAACGGCTCAATTTGTTACTCAGTGTCAGAGTTCTAAGTTCCAAAGAGACACCAGGTCCGTTTATTATGATGATTTTAAAAATTCTCCTAGTTTCCTTAGAATGGCTTATAATTCTACAGAAGCAGCAGCTTGACAGGAAAAAAAATAACTACCATTTTGCCTCTTTGAGATATATATACATATATATATATATATATATATATAGAGAGAGAGAGAGAGAGAGAGAGGGAAAGATATTATATATCTATATAGATATATATTACACATAGATATATAGATAGAGAGAGATATATAGATAATATCTATATATCTCTATATAGATATATATCTATATATCTATATATGTCTATCTATATATCTCTATATATCTATATCTCTCTATATATCTATATATCTATATATATCTATATATCAATATATCTATATATATCTATATATCAATATATCTATATATCTATATATCATCTATATATCTCTATCTATATATAGATATATCTATATAAATATATATATCTATATGTCGATATATATCGATATGTCGATATATATCAATATGTCGATATATATCGATATGTCGATAAAGATATTATATATCTATATAGATATATAATATATAGACATATAGATATATATTACAGATATATAGATATATATTACAGATATATAGATATATAGATATATATTACAGATATATAGATATATAGATATATATTACAGATATATAGATATATAGATATATATTACAGATATATAGATATATATTACAGATATTTAGATATATAGATATATATTATAGATATATAGATATATAGATATATATTACAGATATATAGATATATATTATAGATATATAGATATATATTATAGATATACAGATATATATATATTATAGATATATAGATATATAGATATATATTATAGATATATAGATATATAGATATATATTATAGATATATAGATATATAGATATATATTATAGATATATAGATATATAGATATATATTATAGATATATAGATATATAGATATATATTATAGATATATAGATATATATTATAGATATATAGATATATGTTATAGATATATAGATATATAGATATATATTATAGATATATAAATATATATCATAGATATATAGATATTTATCATAGATATATAGATATATATCATAGATATATAGATATATATCATAGATATATAGATATATAGATATATATCATAGATATATAGATATAGATATATAATAGATGTATAGATATATATATTATAGATATATATTATAGATATATAGATATATATTATAGATATATAGATATATATTATAGATATATAGATATATATAGATATATATTATAGATATATAGATATATATAGATATATATTATAGATATATAGATATATATAGATAATATCTATATATATCTATATAGATAATATCTATACATATAATATCTATATATATCTATAGATATATATAGATATTATATATCTATCTATATATAGAGAGAGTCCAAAGCACTTCATTTTTCAACTTTTAAAATATAGGTAACAGATGAACATATTTCCTGTGTCACAGTTTTCCCTGCATTCAAATTCTTATTCTTGGTTTCTGATTACCAAAAACTGCCAAGACTGACTCTTCCGAAGCTAAAGGAAAGTCCCCTCACGCCAGACAGCTGAACGTTCAAAAGAGGCAGCAATTCTCATTCGTCAGGACAAAACGGGGGCGAGAAAGGCATCATAGCGTGAAACTATTATTCTTTTGGTAATTTAGGGGCTGGCGTAGCTCTCTTTAGTAAAAGCTGATTTAAGACAAATAAACACAAAAGATCCCAGTTTGTTGCCAAAAATAGGAGTGTGGGTTCTTTACAAAGGAGATTCCAATTGAGGATTCACTGAGTCTCAGCTTAGAGAATGACTGGAACAGTTCTAAGTATCAGCATCACCCACATGGATTTCTAAAAGCTACCGGAAATATGATTTTCATGTCATGATAAGCAGACAATTCTTAAAAGGAAAATGATCATTTTACACTGAAGGCCTTTCTTTCCTTATTTTGTGCTTTCCTATTTGCTTCTCTCCAGCGAATGTTAGTTTTAGCCCAAGAGGGATTTTTCTGGGAAAGTTTCAGAAATGTCCTCATCTATTTTTGAGTTATGCAACCACGGAGAAATGAACAGTTTCCACACATAAAAACATTTTTCAGATGCCTTTTGGAGATCTTGGTTAGACTTGTATTTTAAAAATGCAGAGAACCCTGGGGGAAGATTATGGGATGACAAATCGTTGCTTCTTCCTCCCCGGGCAGGTCGTTATGAAGGAAACATCCAGTTACTTAAAATTAGCAAAACCTGCGTAAACACACCGAAATAATCGTCCGACCGAAGTCACTGAGGGAGGCCTTCTAGGGAACATATGTCACTTCCCTCAAAATTCAACCTCTAATACAAGCCAGACGAGCCACAACTTTTCAAAAATATCTTTTTAAAAGCACGCTGTTATTGAAACACATGTAGTCCAACTCAGAAGGCAGAAAAAAAAAAAGGTGGCTTAACTTTCTTGTTAAACAGTTTTTTTTTTTCATCATCTGTTCAGTTAATTTTAAACAGTCTATTTCCAGTGATGTGTGTAAAAAGATATACATGTAGATATAAAAACATACATATGTCTATAATATACATAGATGAATATAAAAGACACATGTGGGGGCAATTTCCATAAATACAGGACATCTGTATCAATGATCTATATAAATGAATCTGTATCAATAGAATTAAAACCTAAACTTAAAATATATATAAATACCAGGTCGATGCAAAAGTAATTTCAGTTTTTGCCATTAACTTTTGCACCAAGCTAGTGGAGACATATGTATATATAAATAGATACGTATGTATGCATATGTATATATAAATAGATACGTATGTATGCATATGTATATATAAATAGATACGTATGTATGCATATGTATATATAAATAGATACGTATGTATGCATATGTATATATAAATAGATACGTATGTATGCATATGTATATATAAATAGATACGTATGTATGCATATGTATATATAAATAGATACGTATGTATGCATATGTATATATAAATAGATACGTATGTATGCATATGTATATATAAATAGATACATATAAATATATACATATGTATACAGATACATATGTATATATAAATAGATTTTATACATATATACATATGTATAAAATACATATAATGGACATAGATACATGAACATATTTATGTAAAGACATATAGATATACGCAATATACAATATGTATACAAAAGGTGTAATAAATATATAATTTCCATATACAGTAACTTCTCACTTGATATCACAAATAGGTTCTTGAAAGCAGCAACTTTAAGCAAAAGGACCTATTGTATGCTCTAGGAATTTAACTCTTGTTTATATCAATTGGCCTATGGTAAAATAGGTTATACGTAAGTCATTTTGCTTAAAGTTGCAGTTTGTTTTTTTGAGATGGAGTCTCGCTCTGTTGCCCAGGCTGGAATGCAGTGGTGCAATCTCTGCTCACTGCAAGCTCCGCCTCCCGGGTTCACGCCATTCTCCTGCCTCAGCCTCCCGAGTAGCTGGGACTACAGGCGCCCGCCACCACGCCAGGCTAATTTTTTGTGTTTTTAGTAGAGATGGGGTTTCACCATGTTAGCCAGGATGGTCTCGATCTCCTGACTTCATGATGCACCTGCCTCGGCCTCCCAAAATGCTGGGATTACAGGCATGAGCCACTGTGCCCGGTCTGCAGTTTCTCTTTTTGAGACAGAGTCTCACTCTGTTGCTCAGGCTGGAGTGCAGTGGTGTGATCTTGGCTCACTGCAACCTCCACCTCCTGGCTTCAAAGGATTGTCCTGCCTCAGCCTCCTGAGTAGCTGGGACTATAGGCATGCACCATCATGCCCAGCTAATTTTTGTATTTTTTAGTAGAGATGGGGTTTCACTATGTTGGCCAGGCTGGTCTTGAACTCTTGACCTCAGGTGATCCACCCACCTCAGCCTCCCAAAGTGCTGGGATTACAGGTGTGAGCCAGGATGCCTAGCGAAAGTTGTAATTTCTGATAACCTATTAATGATGTTGGGTGAGGCCTTACCGTATATATTGTATGGTGTCTCTGGTATTATATCTGATAGATGATAGTTATATTTACTTGGAAGCACCTAATTAAGAGGCAGTCAGTTGGTGCTTAAGTCAATGTTGTGAGGACCTTGGACCTATGTTTGCTGCTTCTCTGAGAGCTCCTTGTCCTCTTCTTTCTCATTCTCATAGTTAATAATAACGTATTGTATGTTTCAAAATTGCTGAAAGAGTCGATTTTAAATGCTCTTACCTCCTAAAGATGAGACGTATGTGAGGTGATGCATTTGTTAATGAGCTTGATCTAACCATTCCACATCCTATGCACGTATCAAAACATTGCATGGTGCTCTAGAAATGTATATAATTATTATTTGTCAATCACAAGGAAATAGTATTCAGCTGGAAAAAAAAACAAAAAACAATGAGGTCCTGGCCGGGTGTGGTGGCTCACACCTGTAATCCCAGCACTTTGGGAAGTTGAGGCAGGTGGATCACCTGAGATTGGGAGTTCGAGACCAGCCTGGCCAACATGGAGAAACCCTGTCTCTACTAAAAAAAAAAAAAAAAAAGACAAAATTAGTCAGGCATGGTGGTGGGTGCCAGTAATCCCAGTTACTCAGGAGGCTCAAGCAGGAGAATTGCTTGAACCCGGGAGGTGGAAGTTGCAGTGTGTTCAGATTGAGCCATTGCATTCCAGCCTGGGCAACAACAGCAAAACTCTGTCTCAAAAAAAAAAAAAAAAAAAAAAAAAAAAAAAAAAAAAGAGATCCTGTCATTTGCAAAAACATGGATGGAAGAGGAGGTCACTATGTTCAGTGAAACAAGCTGGCACAGAGAGACACATTTCACATGTTCTCACACATGTGTGGGAGCTAAAAATTACACAAAAAACACTAAACTCAAGGACATGGAGAGGAGGATGATGGTGACCGAAGGCTGAGAAAAGTAGCAGGAAGGAAGGAAATGGTAGAGATGGTAATGGGTACAAAAATATCCTTATACCCCATAACTATATACACTGCTATGATGGACTGGAGAAAGAAAATGTGGCATATATACACCATGGAATACTATGCAGCCATGAAAAAGGATGAGTTCATGTCCTTTGCAGGGACATGGATGAAGCTGGAAACCATCATTCTCAGCAAACTCACACAGGAACAGAAAACCAAACACTGCATGTTCTCTCTCATAAGTGGGAGTTGAACAATGAGATCACATGGACACAGGGAGGGGAATGTCACACACTGGGGCCTGTCAGGGTCTGGGGGGCCAAGGGGTGGGATTGCATTAAGAGAAATACCTAATGTAGATGAGGGGTTGATGGGTGCAGCAAACCACCATGGCACGTGAATACCTATGCAACAAACCTGCACGTTCTGCACATGTATCCTAGAACTTAAAGTATAATTGAAAAAAGTTAAAAATGGAGTGAGGTAGAATGAAAAGGATCTCTTATTTGGTAGCACTGTAAGGTGACTATACTTAACAATAACTTATTGTATATTTTAAAATAACTAAAACAGTGGATTTGACATCATGAAATAAAATGATAAATGATAAATAAAATGAAATGATAAATGCTTGAGGTGGTAAATACCCCAGTCACCCTGGTTTGATCACGATACATTGTATGCTTGTATCAAAACAGCACATGCACGGCATAAATATATACAACTATTATGTACCCATTATCATTGATACATTTTTTAAAAAAAACTTTAAAAATTCTTCCTTGTGATTACCATGTGCTCCCAATGACCAGTGTGTTAGAAGCTCAGGATAAAATGATTTAAAAAATTAAGTAAGGCCAGGCATGGTGGCTCAGGCCGATAATCCCAGCACTTTGGGAGGTCAAGGCACATGGATCACTTGAGGTCAGGAGTTTGAGACCAGCCTGGCCAACATGGTGAAACCCCGTCTCTACTAAAAATACAAAAATTAGCTGGGCGTGGTGGCGGGTGCCTGTAATCCCAGCTCCTTGGGAGGCTGAGGCGGGAGAATCACCTGAGCCTGGGAGGCAGAGGTTGCAGTGAGCCAAGATTGCACCACTGCACTCCAGCGTGGGTGACACAGCGAGACTCTCTCTTAAAAATAAAACAAAACAAAAATTAAATAAATAACCCTCCCCCTTCCAATCTGATCTCCTTTCTAAACTCCTCTTGACTGATTTTTGAAACAGAAAAAAAAGGATTTTTTTCCCACCTGGCAATTACTATTATATTTTCTTAATCTTTTAGTGAAATTACAAAATACTTCCCTCTCATTCTCTAAATTGCACTGAGCTATTTATGGTGGGAAATGACCTGAGGAACCGCTGTTGCCTGGCCCTTCTCCGTGTTAAACAGCTTCTTGCCAAATCTCAAGCTAGACCAAGCTTTTCATTCTGCATAGAGGGCCCTTGGGGTTTCCCAGAAAAAAATGCAGACATTTATGGAAAATAATATGGCTTGATTATTCTGGACCGCAATTCTGAATGTATCATAAGAAAAGAAAATTCAATCTTTCAGGATCTTTTTTGTTTTTTGTTTTTACTGCAATTGGACTACGAGGATAAGCATTTTTTGCATTGTTACGAACTGTTTTATGTCCACTGGGGACGAATTATGTATAACATGGGAATGGAGGCTAAGACCATGTTGTACAAACATTCCAGATAGGAGGTATTTGCCAAGTCTCTGCCTGGGATGATGAGGTTTTTCTTTGCATTGGAGACATTCTGCAGCCCACACTGATACAAAAATGCATTTTCAATGTTGAAGTGATCCATTTGCCATCCCTGGACTTGCAGAGAGGAAGCTGACACAGGCGGCAGCCCCCTGACGTCTTATGGACTCCAAGACTTAGCAGGGACGTGCAGGGCTGTGAAGTCCAACGTCTGACCCTTGCTTGGAACCTGCCTTTGGTTTTCTCTGGGTGGGACACAGGGGTCTCTGGGGTATGTCCAACGGAAGGAAACTCGCCTTCTCATTAAACCCTGTCTCTACTAAAATACATTTCACCCTGGTCATTAAAAGCCATTTCACCCTCACACAACTCTGGCATTGAGACATCTCTTCTTCCATATTGACCTGAAATTGGGCTCCCCAGGTGCATCATGCTTTGCTTTGGCATATTAGAATGGGTCTTTCTCATGGTAGACTTGATTTTCTGTCCTTGCGATGGTTTGCTGAGAATGATGGTTTCCAGCTTCATCCATGAGATCTCAGAATGTGATGATGCATGCCTTCAAATATTTTTAAAAAATTGAAAGATTATGGGATAAGGGCTGGGCGCAGTGGCTTATGCCTGTCATCCCAGCACTTTGGGAGGCCGAGGCGGGCGGATCACCTGAGGTCAGGAGTTCGAGACCAGCCTGGCCAACATGGTGAAACCCCGTCCCTACTAAAAACACAAAAATTGGCCGGGTGTGGTGGCGGGCGCCTGTAATCCCAGCTACTCGGGAGGCTGAGGCAGGAGAATCGCTTGAACCAGGGAGGTGGAGGTTGCAGGGAGCCAAGATCGTGCCACTGCACTCCAGCCTGGGCGACAGAATGAGAGTCCGTCTCAAAAGCAAAAGAAGTCAGCTTGGACCTAAGTCAAGGTGGACGGTCTCAACACAGGTAACCCAGTTATGATGAGTCTGTTACACCTGCTATTACAGCAGCGTGTGGAGAGAGACTTTTCCTCCCACAGACACCCAAGGAACGGCCCCAGGTGTCCCAAACAACCTTCGTACCCCAGCTGCCCAGAGCCATCTCTTAGCAATCCCTGCTTGCCTTGCTTTGTTTGCAAACCCCACAACCAGCAGCGCAGCAAATCGGGGTTCCCATAAGGCTCCCACAACCTCCCTGTGTGCCTCTCTAACGGCTCACATGAAACTGCACAGACCAGGTCTCCTGTTTCATGTTTCCAACGGACGTCTCATCCGGGGGCCGAGGCTGTGCTTTAATCACTCCTAATACGATAAAGTGGCACTTGGAAATATGATTAACCTCATCTGTCTAGATTTGGGGCTAATAGACCATCCCTGGCACATTGTCTTGTACCTGGCAGTTATGCATATACTTATTTATTAGTCTACTCCTCCACGGAAGGGGGAAAAAATACATTCTAAAGGAAGACGCACAGCAGCCCCCTCGTACGTGGCTGCAAGGTGAGGAGGGCAGTAATTAAATGTCAGGCTTGACAGATTAAAATTATGAAATTTAAAATCACCGCGGAGCTCTTTGTCATTGTCAAATTAGAAGTCAGGGAGATGAGGAGTCGGTGGAGGGAGCCGCGTAATGGATTGAATGGGAATGGGGTACAGCAGGCAGTTTGGCTGAATCCACATCAGCCCGGAGTTCAGATCAGAAGCGGTGGGTAAGTGGGGTGCAGCGGGGTGAGCTGCAGCCTCCAGCGTTGGAAACAGGAGCCTATATATCCACCCGGGGACCAGGAGGATTCTTTTGCCTTGAAAGACGGGCAAAAGGTACAGTCCCTACCAGGATGATGTGTAGACGCAGATGGACAAGGGGCAAACCCCCCTGTCTCCGTTTACAAGGGAGTGTGGAGAGCAGGTTTCACAGCATCTTACAGTAACAATGTCATATCCCGATTTTGATTCCATACCATTCAATACCCCTGCTATGGAACCAGGCATAACCGTAACGCTAAATATCCCGATCGGCTATTTAAAAGGACAAACCGAAGCCTGGGCAACACAGTGAGACCCCGTCTCTACCTGAAAGAAAAAAAAAATTAGCCAGGCACAGTGGCTGACACCTGTAATCCCAGCACTTTGGGAGGCCTGAGGCAGGAGGATTGCTTGAGCCCGGGAGTTCGAGACCAACCTGGGTACCATAGTGAAACCTCAATGTTAAAATTATCATAAAATTAGCCAGGAGTGGTATAAATTATAATTATAATTTATTATTATAATTATAATATAATTTTATTATATAAAATATATAATATAATTTATAAATATAATTATAAAATTATTATAATTATAATTATAATTATTATCAAATTATTATAATGATTATAATTGTAAAATTATTATAAATTATAATTATAACATTATTATAATTATAACAATAATAATTATAATTATAACATTATTATTAATTATAATTATAATGATTATAAAATTATTATAAAATCTCGGCTCAATGCAACCTCTGTCTCCCTGTTTCAATTAGCCAGGAGTGGTGCATGCCTGTAATCCCAGCTACTCAGGAGGCTGAGGCAGGAGAATTGCTTGAACCCAGGAGGTGGAGGCTGCAGTGAGTCAAGGTTGTGCCACTGCACTCCAGCCTGGGCGACAGAGCAAGACTCCGTCTCAAATAAATAAATAAATAAACATCACACCTGTAATCCCAGCACTTTGGGAGGCCTGAGGCAGGAGGATTGCTTGAGCCAGGGAGTTCGAGACCAGCCTGGGTACCATACTGAAACCTCAATGTTAAAATTATTATAAAATTAGCCAGGAGTGGTATAAATTATAATTTATAATTATAATTATAATATAATTTTATTATATAAAATATATAATTTATAAATATAATTATAAAATTATTATAAATTATAATTATAATTATAATAAAATTATAAATATTATTATAAATTATAATTATAATTATAATAAAATTATAAATATTATTATAAATTATAATTATAATAAAATTATAAATATAATTATAATTATAACATTATTATAATTAGAATTATAATTATAACATTATTATAACTATAATTATAACATTATTATAACTATAATTATAACATTATGATTATAATTATAACATTATTATAATTATAATTATAACATTATTATAATTATAATTATAACATTATTATAATTATAATTATAACATTATTATAATTATAACATTATTATAATTATAATTATAATTATAACATTATTATAATTATAACATTATTATAATTATAATTATAATTATAACATTATTATAATTATAATTATAATTATAATTATAACATTATTATAATTATAATTATAATTATAATTATAACATTATTATAATTATAATTATAATTATAATTATAACATTATTATAATTATAATTATAATTATAACATTATTATAATTATAATAATAATAATTATGATTATAACATTATGCTAAATTATAATTATAATAATTATAAAATTATTATAAAATCTCGGGTCACTGCAACCTGTGTCTCCCAGTTTCAATTAGCCAGGAGTGGTGCGTGCCTGTAATCCCAGCTACTCAGGAGGCTGAGATGGGAGGATTGCTTCACCCCAGGAATTTGAGGCTGCAATGAGCCGTGATCGAGCCACTGCACTCCAGCCCGGGGGACAGAGTAAGACCTTGTCTCAAACAAAATAGAATGAAATAAAAATAAAATTAAATAATGAAATAAAATACTAATACAATCAAAGATAAAATAAATAAATAAAATAATACATTAAATAAAATGTTAATAAAATAAAATATGAAATAAATAAATGAAATGAAATAAAAGAACCAGCCCAGGTGGGTGGCTGGTAGCACCTGTTCCGAAAGATTCTGGACATGCTAAACTTTCTAGGCGTTGATTTATAAAATAGGCATCATCCACCGGGCGTGGTGGCTCATGGCTGTCATCCCAGCACTTTGGGAGGCCGAGGCGGGTGGATCACTTGAGGTCGGGAGTTCGAGACCAGCCTGGCCAACATGGTGAAACCCCATCTCTACTAAAAATAGAAAAATTAGCCGGGCGTGGTGGCGGGTGCCTGTAATTCCAGCTACTCGGGAGGCTGAGGCAGGAGAATCACTTGAACCTGGGAGGCGGAGGTTGCAGTGAGCCAAGATCACACCATCACACTGCAGCCTGGGAGACAGAGCGAGACTCATCTCAAATAAATAAACAAAAATAAAAATAAAGGCTGGACGTGGTGGCTCATGCCTGTAATCTCAGCAATTTGGGAGGCCAAGGCAGGCAGATCAGCAGGTTGGGAGTTCAAAACCAGCCTGGCCTACATGGTGAAACCCTGTCTCTACTAAAAACACAAAAATTAGCTGGGCGTGGTGCCGGGTGCCTGTCATCCCAGCTACTCTGGAGGCTGAGGCAGGAGAATCGTTTGAACCCGGGAGACAGAGATTGCAGTGAGTCACGATCGTGCCATTGCACTCCAGCCTGGGTGACAGCACGAGACTCCATCTCAAATAAATAAATAAATATAAAAAAAGTAAAACAGACATCAACAGCCTCTTGGGGAGACCCCGAGGCAGTGCCGCCGTGCACGGTTCAACATCACAAGATTCAGGCTATGCTGTAGTTAATGTCCCCACCACAAAGGTAAGTACCTCGAGCCCCTCATCCCTCTGGCGATGAAGCCCCCCAGTCCCACCTCTCCCAGTAACGAGATGGGAGCGTCTCTCACGCTCATCGGCCAATACAGGTGCAAGATACGCGGAACCCGCTTGAGAATAATTCAGCAGCTTTAACAGGTGAAATATCACTTTCTTTCCAGAAGAGCTTTCGGATTAAAGGAAAACCGAACCGGGAAACCCAAAGTCTCCCTGTAGTTGTGTGTACAAATAGCCCTGAGCCCAAGGACTGGAGATTCTATTTATTTATTATTTATTTATTTTATGTTATTTTTTATTTTGAGATGGAGTCTCTCACTGTCTCCCAGGCTGCAGTGCAATGGCACAACCTCGGCTCACTGCAACCTCCCCGCCTCCCGGGTTCAAGCCATTTTTCCGCCTCAGCCTCCCAAGCAGCTGGGATTACAGGCGTGCACGGCCACACCCGGCTAATTGTTTTGTATTTTTTAGTAGAGACGGGGGTTTCACTACGTTGGCCAGACTGGTCTCGAACTCCTGACCTCGGGATCTGCCCGCCTCAGCCTCCCAAAAGTGCTGGGATTACAGGTGTGGTGTTTATTTATTTATTTATTTGAGATGGAGACTCGCTCTGTCGCCCAGGCTGGAGTGCAGTGGCGCAACCTTGGCTCACCACAGCCTCCTCCTCCTGGGTTCAAGCAATTCTCCTGCCTCAGCCTCCCGAGTAGCTGGGATGACAGGCACATGCACCACCGCTCTTTGTGCTCTGGTATTTCTTTGAGTCTGTTTTTAGTTATTTTGGGTGCACACAGCCAGGAGTGAGATCATGCGATCGTAGGATAAGTCTATGTTTCATTTTTTGGTGAGGTGCATGCCATTTCCCACAGCGGCTGTGCCATTTTACCCTCCAGCAGTAGACAGGACTTCCAGTTTCTCCACATTCTCATCAACGCTTGCTAATATTGCCTCAACTATCCTTCTTGCCATCCTCGTGGGTGTGAGGCCGTCTCTCAACGCGGTTTTGACGTCAGTAATGGTAAGTGATGCTGGGCATCTCTGCATGCCCTTCTTGGCCATTTCTTTATCTTCTTTTGGAGAAATGTCTATTTTAGTTCTTTGCCTACTTTTTAATTGGGTTGTTTGTCCTTTTGATGTTGAGGGGTTTTGTTTGTTTGTTTTTGTTTCTTTGTTTGTTTTCTTTGAGATGGAGTCTCGCTCCATCGCCCAGGCTGGAGTGCAGTGGTGCGATCTCCACTCACTGCAACCTCCGCCTCCCAGGTTCAAGTGGTTTTCCTGCCTCAGCCTCCCGAGTAGCTCGGATTACAGGCGCCCGCCACCATGCCTGGCTAATTATTGTATTTTTAGTAGAGTCGGGATTTCACCATGCTGGCCAGGCTGGTCTCGAACTCCTGACCTCAGGTGATCCTCCCGCCTCAGCCTCCAAAAGTGCTGGGATTATAGGAGTGAGCCACAGCGCCCAGCCTTGCTGTTGAGTTTTAATAGATCCTTTTAAGCTTAGCTTTTGACCTTCCAGAGTAATTCTCTGTTCGTAGAAGATTTGTTTTTCTTCTACTGTAGCCGCTTCAGGGCCTCTGTCAAAAGACCAAAAACAAAAAAAAAAAAATGCAAGTTCATAAATTCCTGGAGCTGGAAGCCCATTTGAGGTTTGTAGTCCAAACCCTTCACTTCAGGGCATCAGAGGTTGGAGTAAATGCAATCAAACAGAGCCCAAAGCAACGTGGAAGAAACTGCCTGTTTAATTTCTGCTTTCTTCTCTCTTCCAGCAAATGAAAATTCCCTTTCTGTGATAATTACAAGAATCAGCTGTCACTCTCTGTATTAGCTTAAAGTGTCCCCTAAAACACACCGTTGCCAGGACACTATTTGTAACCTTAATTAAAAATAAGGTGTTTACAGACACGTTAAATTCAGGATTTCAAGTTGAGAGTGTCCTGAATTAGATGGACTCTGCCGTCATTTCTATGTGGCCTCCTCCTCTGTGTCTGTGTCTCCTCCTCTGTCTCCTACAGGGATGCTTGTTATTGGAATTAGAGCCCACCCTAATCCAAGACGATTTCCTCTCAAGATCCTTAACTAATTATATGTGCAAAGACCCTATTTCCAAATGCGATCTCATTCCAGGTCCTGGGAGTTAGGACATGAATACGTCTTTCCGACAGCCACTGTTCAATCCATTACAATTGTATCCAGTTCCTTCTGGAGGCCCCAGGGGAGGGTCCTTCCTGCCTCTCCCAGCTCCTGGGGGCTCCAGGCATCCCTCGGCTTGTGGCCGCATCACTCCAGTCTCTGCCTCCGTCTCCTTGTGGCCTTCTCCTCTGTGTCTGTGTCTCCTCCTCTGTCTCCTACAGGGATGCTTGTTATTGGAATTAGAGCCCACCCTAATCCAAGACGATTTCCTCTCAAGATCCTTAACTAATTATATGTGCAAAGACCCTATTTCCAAATGCGATCTCATTCCAGGTCCTGGGAGTTAGGACATGAATACGTCTTTCCGACAGCCACTGTTCAATCCATTACAATTGTATCCAGTTCCTTCTGGAGGCCCCAGGGGAGGGTCCTTCCTGCCTCTCCCAGCTCCTGGGGGCTCCAGGCATCCCTCGGCTTGTGGACGCATCACTCCAGTCTCTGCCTCCGTCTCCTTGTGGCCTTCTCCTCTGTGTCTGTGTCTCCTCCTCTGTCTCCTACAGGGATGCTTGTTATTGGAATTAGAGCCCACCCTAATCCAAGACGATTTCCTCTCAAGATCCTTAACTAATTATATGTGCAAAGACCCTATTTCCAAATGCGATCTCATTCCAGGTTCTGGGGGTTAGGACATGAACGTGTCTATCTCATGGCCACTGTTCAATCCATTACAACTCTGTCTAGTTCCTTCTGGAGGCTCTAGTGGAGGATCCTTTCTGCCTTTCCCAGCTCCTGGGGGCTCCAGGCGTCCCTGGGCTTGTGGCCGCATCACTCCAGTCTCTGCCTCCGTCTCCACGTGGCCTTCTCCTCTGTGTCTGTGTCTCTTCTTCTGTCTCCCAGAAGGACACCTGCCATTGGATGTAGAGTCCACCCAGATAATCCAGGATAATTCTTCATCTCAAGATTCTTCATTCATCATGTCTGCAAAGACGCTTTTTACCACGTAAGTGAACATTCTCTGCTTCTTAGGGATTAGGACAAGGATCTATTTCTCCAGGTCATCAACATTCAGCCTACTTCAGTGGCCAACCAAGATGGTGCCTTCAGGAGATGGTGGAAGAAAGAGTTTGGCTTTGATGGGTCAAACACTCAGAGAAGGCAACGTTGTCATCAGCTGGAAAAGAGAGGTTTAGAATTCAGATGTGGTTCCTGCTGTTGAAGACTCCTTGAAAAAAAAAATACTAAGAAAATTTTTTAAAAAGCACTTCGGGAGGTCGAGGCAGGTGAATCACCTGAGGTCAGGAGTTCGAGACCAGCCTGGTCAACATGGCAAAACCCCATCTCTAATAAAAATACAAAAATTAGCCAGGCATGGTGGCAGGCGCCTGTAATCCCCACTACTCAAGAAGCTGAAGCAGGAAAATTGCATGAACCCGGAGGCAGAGGTTGCAGTGAGCTGAGATCACACCATTGCACTCCAGCTTGGGTGAAAGAGCAAGACTCCATCTCAAAAAAAAAAAAAAAGAAAGAAAGAAAAAAGAAATCAGATGTTGGGAGCAGGCTAGAGAAAGACCCCAAGTTTTCTCTCTGAGCCATTTTGTACATCTGTCTTACAATCCTGCAGTCTCTTATCAATGAAATCCATGCATCTTCTCCACCCAGCCAGGGTATTGTCTGGGACTCTGTATTCCAGTTTCACTGGTTCTCCTCTCTTTGGTCTTCATGACATCTTATATTTTATCTTAGCTCTGAGAGCCAGCCCATGGCTTCGTTTTCAGAGGTTCACTCCCTTCAACAGACAACCATATCCATTGCACCAACGAACACCCAAAGTGAAGTCAAATTCTTCAACTTTTCATTCTCTACTAATATGTGAAAGTAAAGGCAGGGACAAGACACAGGAGAATATCTCAGCTATAGGAAAACCTCTGAGCAGAAGAGTTCACCTACTGAAGACCACCATTTCAGTGCACTTTCATCTTTTTATCAAAGTCCTGGTAATAGAGCGGCCCAACAGTGAAGAGCTGTTGGCTGAGTTTTAATCCCCGTGTGTGCTTGAAAATGTCTGAGCTAATTTACATGCTTTTCAAACTCGCATGGATTTCTGTCTCAACCCTATCCCAGTGAATCAGAATTTGTGGTTTTTTAATCTCACAAAGATGACTAAGAATGGGTTCGAATGAATTATGTTGTGGGGTTTTTGTTTGTTTGTTTGTTTGTTTTGCTTGTTGAGACAAACTCTCACACTGTCCCCCAGGCTGGAGTGCAGTGGCATGATCTCAGCTCACTGCAACCTCCGCCTCCCAGGTTCAAGCGATTCTCCTGCCTCAGCCTCCCGGGTACCTGAGATTACAGGTGCGCACCAGCACACTCAGCTAATTTTTGTACTTTTAGTAGAGACGGGGTTTCACCATGTTGGTGAGGCTGGTCTCAAACTCCTGACCTCAGGTGATCCTCCCACCTCAGCCTCCAAAGTGCTGGGATGACAGGCATGAGCCACGTCACCCAGCTTGTATGCTGCGTTTTTAACCTGGGCTCATCCTAAAACTGATTTTCGAGTTGTTTTCTTTCTTGGTCATTTTCTACATCTGTGCTTTGCATTTTATGAGTTTCTTTAGTGAGGCCCCAAATCCAAGACTGCTCGTGAAAATAGAGTAGGTAGTCTCCAACCTCTCAGGTTAAATTGCTAAACTCTCCACTAGAGAACCAGGAGTATATTTATTTCCTTGCTGACTCTGTCCTGAGGATGGGTGTGTCCACCCCACCGACTCTCACCCCCTCCAGTCATGAAACTGAAGAGAAACACCATGATTTTGAGACTCATCCAAGAGGAATTCAGTATTAGGTTGAGATAGAAATGTCCCTTGAGATGCAGAAATATACCAAAGAGCCAGAGGCAAACTTTCTCCCCAAGAACCATTTGCAAAGAGGCCTCCTTCTGGAAGAAGGAGGACAAAATTCGTGCCTTCCCTCAGGCTGGTCCCCAGAATCAGCAGATGCCACGTCCTGGAAAACAATCATTGTGTTGTTGACCCAAATCTCAACTTAAGTTTCAGCATCCCCAGGGGTAAGGTCCTAGTGCATTCTACTAAATGTAGGGAATTTTTTCATGAAGGTCTATCTATCTGTCTATCTATCTATCTATCTATCTATCTATCTATCTATCTATCTATCATCTATCTATTGATCGATCTATCCATCCATCCATCCATCCATCCATCCATCCATCCATCCATCATGTCTATCTAGTATCTATCTGTTCATCTATCCATGTATCTATCTGTTCATCCACCATCACATCTATGTATCTATCTATTCATCCACTCATATCCTATTATCTATCTATCATCTATCTGTCTATTCATCCACTCATATCCTATTATCTATCATCTATCTATCTATCTACCTATCTATCAATCTATGTGTCTATCTATCTACCTATGTAGCCATCCACCCATCTATTATCTACGTATTCATACATTCACATCCTATTATCTATCATTTGTCTATTCATTCACTAACATTCTATCATCTATCATTTATCTATTCATCCACTCACATTCTATCATCTGTATATCTATCTTTTATCCATTACATCCTATTATCTATGTATCTATTTATGTATCTATCTTATCTATATATTATCTATCTATCTATCATCTATCAATTCATCCACTCACATTCTATCATCTTTCTGTCTATCTATCTATTAATAACTATCCATCTATTCATCTATCATCTGTCTACTATCTGTCATATCTATTAAAAGAAATCCATATATCATCTCTCTATCTATTGATCAATCTATCAATCTATTCATCCATCCATCTATCCATCCACCCATCACATCTGTCTAGTATCTATCTATTCACCTATCCATATATCTATCTATCTGTTCATCCACCTATCCACCCACCATCACATCTATCTATCCATCTATCTATTCATCCACTAACATCCTATCATCTGTTTATCTATCTATTCATCCACTCATATCCTATTATCTATCCATCCATCCATCTGTTATCTGTCTATTCATACATTCACATCCTTTTATCTATCTTTTATCTATTCATCCACGCACATTCTATCATCTGTGCCTCTATCTTTTATCCATTACATCCTATCATGTATTTATGTATGTATATATGTACGTATGTATGTATCTATCTATCATCTATCTATTCATCTACTCACATTCCATCATCTGCCTATCTGTCTATCTAATCTACATCTATCTACTACCTTCCTATCATCTACCTATTATCTGTCTATCTATCACCTATAGCTACCATCTATCTACTCTCTTTCATCTATCTATTTATCATCTACCTATTATCTATTTAGCTATGATCTAACTATCTTGCTACCCTTCTCATTCTTCGGTGAGTCCCCATAGAATCCCCTGTCCCCAAGAATCCTGGGGCATCATTGCAGCCAGGACAGGAGAGCCCCCGGAACGTTTAGAGTGGGGATGGTGGCCAAGGTGAGCAAGGAGCCTGAGGAAGAACTTACTGAGTGGTTGACCAGAAGACCGAACAATCAGTGTCAGCCCCTGAGGGATGCTTGGGATCCTGGGGCCATGCACGCACCCAGCCTTGATGGTTAGAGGTCAAGAGCCACTGAGAGAGTGTCTGTGTGTCTATATGTGTGTGCTCCAAAAAGGCAGGCATGCACCCTTCTCTACTGACAGATCCCAGCACTAACATACAACATCCAAGAGAAAGCTCATCCGCTTCAGTTCTTGGGGAAGAGGGAATGAAATGCCCGGTCATTGGTCCAATGAAGCTCTGGGACATGGGAATAGAACTGGCTCAAACTGGCAGGATGTGGTGGTGCATGCCTGTCATCCCAGCACTTTGGGAGGCTGAAGCAGGAGATCCTCTGAGTGTGAGACCAGACTGGGCAATGTAGCAAGACCCCACCTCTACAAAAAGTAAAAAATAAAAAATTAGCTGACTGTGGTGGCACAAGCCTGTAGTCCCAGCTACCCAGGAGGCTGAGGCAGGAGGACTGCTTGAGCCTGTGAGTTTGAGACCAGACTGGGCAATGTAGCAAGACCCCACCTCTACAAAAAGTAAAAAATAAAAAATTAGCTGACTTTGGTGGCACACTCCTGTAGTCCCAGCTACCCAGGAGGCTGAGGCAGGAGGACTGCTTGAGCCCAGGAGATTGAGGCTGCAGTGAGTTATAATTGCACCATTGCACTGTTGCCTGGGCAGCCTAGCCAGACCCTGTTTCAAAAATTTCTAAAAAAGCACTCTCCCAAATGGACAGCAAGAGGCTGGCACCTGTGTATACCCAGTTACAAAAGACTCTCTCTTTCCGAGATTTTTTTCCAACATCCAAACATACTCTCTCCACTGTATACCATCTTTTAATACGAAGAGAAGCTCGTTTGTATAAAATTAAAGTATATCATCGTGCAATAAACTTGTAAAACAAGAGCTCCTCTGTTCCTTGGGAGTTCAAACAAGCGGGGTCATCCGTACAGCCACATACTTTTAAATTTTGGTGGTCAAACTGTAAGTTTGCTTTCTGGGTGTGGGAGGCTGTGGGTGCCAGGAACTGCTGCTAATAAGGGGTAGTGGCCACGTCGAAGATGGCTGGTTAGATGGCTGGCGAGGGCCCTGCACAGATAGCAGATTCATTTCATTCGCGCTTAAATTGCCTTCTAAACAGGCAGAAACCTATGATTTAGCAAACAAAAATCACCATCCTCATCAGCATCGTAGGGCTGCGGTAGCAAAGTCCAATGCACAGATGGGTTTAAAACAGCAGGAATATGGCCGGGCGTGGTGGCTTACCCCTGTTATCCCAGCACTTTGGGAGGCCGAGGCGGGCGGATCAGGAGGTCAGGAGTTCGAGACCAGCCTGGCCAACATGGTGAAAACCCATCTCTACTAAAAACACAAAAAATTAGCCAGGCGTGGTGGCAGGCACCTATTAATCCCACATACTCAGGAGGCTGAGGCAGGAGAATCGCTTGAGCCTGGGAGGCAGAGGTTGCAGTGAGCAGAGATCACGCCACTGCACTCCAGCCTGGGTGACAGAAGCGAGACTCCATCTCAAAAAAACAAAACAACAACAACAAAGAATGCACGTGGTGTAAGACCTGATTAAGACCTGAAGTTTAATGTAGGACTGTTGCTAGCTAGTATTTATGATTCCAAAGACGTCTCTGCATATGTGGACCCGGTGAGTCTGTCATTCAAAAAGCCAGATGCGTCTTTTAATACGAAGAGAAGCTCGTTTGTATAAAATTAAAGATCTGGTAAGTCTATCCGTGTAACGTTGATTGCCCTAAGTACATATTTCTTTAATTTCTTGCTAGGCGTAAGTTTTTTATATGAGCTTCCCTATGATGTTTGATTTAGGAAATTGTATTAAAATAGGCGATAAGGATGTCCTCTAAGATTTGCTTGTTATTTTTTTTTACATGTCATTAAAATGATTGATAATTTAGGATACGGCGGGAGAATGTGTAAGATTAAACCTGAGGCCCTCTATAAATTAGAAGGTTTTACATAAGACATGATATGCCAGGCTGTCAAAAGCTACTTCCTACACAGCTTTGAATCTACAGACAAAGAGGTGCAGGGAGGGTGGGTCAGCACAACTAGAGACAGACAGTCAGTGCATCCTTCTGCAGATGGAGGCTCCCAGAGAGGCTGGGATGTGTGGCAGGAGACCCTCTCACCCAGCAAGGGGCCAAAGTGGTGAAACCCCATGTCTACTAAAAATACAAAAATTAGCCAGGCATGGTGGCACATGCCTGTAATCCCAGCTACTTGGGAGACTGAGGCAGGAGAATCACTTGAACCCGGGAGGTGGAGGTTGCAGGGAGCCGAGATCACACCACTGCACTCCAGCCTGGGCGACAGAGAGAGACTCCATCTCAAATAATAATAATACTATTAATATTAATAGTATTATTATAAAGTAAAAACCTTTTCTGTTTTTATTTTACTAATTGATTTATTTTATTTTTAATTTCATTATTTATTTATTATTTATTTATTTTTTATTATACTCATTATTTATTTGTAAGAAAGGAAGAAGGAAAGGAAAAGGGAAGAGAAGAAAGGAAAGAGGGAAGTATGGAAGGAAAGAGAAAGAGGGGAAGGAAGGAAGCAAGGAAGGAAGGAAGATTGGCTCAAGTTATCCTCCCACCTCATCCTCCCAGGTAGCTGGACTACAGGTGTGTGCCACTATTCTGGTTAATATTTGTTTATTGTTTTTGGTAGAGACAGGGTCTCACTGTGTTGTCCCGGCTGGTATTGAACTCCTGGGCTCAAGTGATCCTCCTGCCTCCACCTCCCAAAGTTTTTTTTTTTTTTTTTTTCAGAGTGCAGCCCACACCTCTGTGAAGACTTTGTAGATTTTGAGGTTTATGTATTTGACAGTCTACACCCACCATGTATATCCACCTATTTGTTCAAATAGAAAAAAACTTGAAATCTGGGCAACTGTCTCTAAGGAGAATTATCCGAGGGCATCGGCAATCCTTTCCTTAAATGCTTTGTTTCGTTTCAGATGGAGTTTCGCTCTGTTGCCCAGGCTGGCGTGCAGGAGTATGATCTCGGCTCACTGCAACGTCCACCTCCCAGGTTCAAGCAATTCTCCTGCCTCAGCCTCCCGAGTATCTGGGATTACAGGCACCCGCCACCAGGCGTGGCTAATGTTTGTATTTTTAGTAGAGACGGGGCTTCAGCATGTTGGCCAGGCTGGTCTCGAACTCCTGACTTCAAGTGATCCACCCACCTTGGCCTCCCAAAGTGCTGGGATGACAGGCGTGAGGCACTGCGCTCGGCCCCGTTTCCTTTAACTTTTACAATCCAGACTTACAGTGCAGCTACCGGGAGGATGAGGTGGGAGGATAACTTGAGCCAATCTTCCTTCCTCCATTCCTTCCCTCCTTCTTTCTTTCCTCCCTACTTTCTTTCCTTCCTTATTTCCTTCCTTCCTTCTTTCCTCAGACTTCAGGATAAGCCCACTCTCTCCATGCATCCAG
Organism: Homo sapiens; assembly: GCF_000001405.40. NCBI lineage: Eukaryota > Metazoa > Chordata > Mammalia > Primates > Hominidae > Homo > Homo sapiens. Next base: position 806,901 of record NC_000024.10, on the reverse strand, counting down.
CATTCTTGATTTTTGGATGCTGTGTCTGCAGAGCTGTGGTGGGAGATGGAACTCTGGCCCCAGGAGAAAATGCCCTGTGAGCCGGCAGGCGGGGTCAGCCGGTGTAGACCAGTCTTTGGCCTCCCCCCTTTCTCAAGCCCTCACTGACCGATATTTGCTGGAATATCTCTGTCTCACGCGTCCGTGTGAAGAGACCACCAAACAGGCTTTGTGTGAGCAATACAGCTTTTTAATCACCTGGGTGCAGGCGGGCTGTTTCCAAAAAGAGAGTCAGCAAAGGGTGGTGGGATTATCATTAGTTCTTATAGGTTTGGGGACAGGCGGTGGAGTTATAGGAGCAATGCTTTGGGGACAGGGGATGGATCTCAGAAAGTACATTCTGAAAGGTGGGGAGAATCGCAAAGAACCTTCTTAAGGGTTAGGGAGATTACAAAGAACCCTCTTGAGGGTAGGGGAGATTATAAACAACATTGGTCAGTTACGGTTGGGCAGAAACAAATCACAATGGTGGAATGTCAACAGTGAAGGCAGGAACTGGCCATTTTCACTTCTTTTGTGGATGTTCAGTTGCTTCAGGCCATCCGGATGTATGCGTGCAGGTCACAGGGGATATGATGGCTTAGCTCGGGCTCAGAGGCCTGACACTCTCTATTCCCCATGATCAGCTCAATGAGGACCTCCAACGATACCCAGGTCCCAATCTTTAGAAGCTACGAGCATGTGAGCACTCATAGCAACAGGTGCTTCCAGATGTGATTCAGTTACGGGCAGATGGACAGGTGACCTGGGATTATCCACGTGGGCCGATGGAATCCCAAGGGTCCTTGTGTGATGAAGACAGGCGGAGATTAGGAGACAGAAGAGGAAGAAGGAGAGGAGACGCGTAGCCAGGAGCCAAGGGTTGTGGGTTTCCTGTAGGACCCAGAAAACACCAAAGTACAGATTGTCTCCTGGAACCTGCAGAAGGAACTCAGTCCTGCACACCCGTTCACGGTAGCGCAGAGAGGCTGATTTGGGAGACGTGGCCTCCAGAACCATCATGCATTAAGAGCATTGGCTCTCTCTGAGTAAAGGGTGGCTGCCCTGTAGGTGCTCACAGTGTTTAGAAGAAACATCTGCGGATATTATATCGCAGGGATGGAAATCCGTCCTGGTAGGAAAAATCACTGCCTTTTCTCAGAGCTGGGATTCCTCCCCTGCAAATGGTAACAATAGCAGCTCACTCGCTGGGAGAACAAGTTAATCACCCACAGATAACTCCATCCCCCTCTTTTCCTACCCTAAGCCCTTCCTTCCCTTTTCTTTGTTTATCGTCACTAGCAGGGTTCAGAGTCCTGGCAAAAACAGGGTGTCAGTTGATTAGAGGAGGGTCAGCTTCTCCTCAGCAGCTTGCCGTCAAGAAATTAGCAAACCGGGTAGCTGCAATTCCGTAGAAACCCTCCAAAACGAAGCGGATGTAAAGTGACAAGATCCAATTAAATTTAATTACCCAAGCTGTATTTTCATTTTAACTGACACTTTTTATTAAGGGATCCCGCGCAGGAAAGCTAGCAACCTACAGCAAATTGCATCCCGGTAATACAGTTATCTTAGGCAAAATTCTGAGTATCTAATTTTCTAAAACGAAATTAGAGACAGGGGGTTTTGCAAAAGCTTTTCTTTGTTTCGACTCCGAAACAACGGCTTCTTGGGGGAATCTCTTCACCCTGTATTATATCAGAAGGAGCTTCCCTGCACCCCAGGAAAACGTATCCAGTGACAGTATGACGACGAGGTAACAGCATTATTTGCTTTCACCAGCCCGGTGTTCCAACACGCCGGTGATCACAAACAAACGACTTTCCACCGCATCTTTCTTGAAAGTGACTTTCCTTGAGAGGAAACAGGTGCATTTGAGTGGCAGCACGTTAATGTCACACACACACACACACACACACACACACACACACACACACACACACACAGGGATGAGGTTTCCCTTCCACATTTCCACCCCAATCCTCCTTGTCCTTGCACTAAACACAATACAATTCATTCAAACGGTCTTTTAAGGACAACCGCACATTCAGGCAGCGTTGACGTGACTTTTCAAAGTGGAAGTTGAGGCACTAACAGGCTTGACAAGGGAGATCGAATTGGGAAGGGCTGTCCCTTCCCTGGGACACTGTCCCTGGGGACAGTGAGAAGGAGAAAAAATTCGCAGTTGTGAAAGTTTACAGCTACTCGGGAGGCTGAGGCAGGAGAATCGCGTGAACCCAGGAGACAGAGGTTGCTGTGAGCCAAGATCATGCCACTGCCCTCCAGCCTGGGTGAGAGAAGAGACTCCATCTCAAAAAACACAAAACAAACAAAAGGCCAGGCCCGGTGGCTCACACCTGTAATCCCAGCACTTTGGGAGGCTGAGGTGGGTGGATCATCGGAAGTCAGGAGTTCGAGACCAGCCTGGCCAACAGGGCCAAACCCCGTCTCTACTAAAAAATCCAAAAAAAAAAAAAAAAAAAAAAAGAAATAGCTCGTGGAAAGTGGTTTCTTTTTTCATTTTTATTTTAGATTCGGGGGCACGTGTGCAGGATTGTTATATGGATATATTGTCTGAAGCGGAGGCTTGAGCTTCCATGGAACACATCCCTTAAATAGTGAGCGTAGCATCAGATGGAAAGTCTGTCTTTCTTTTCTTTTCTTTTCTTTCTTTCTTTCTTTCTTTCTTTCTTTCTTTCTTTCTTTCTTTCTTTCTTTCTCACTTGCTTGCTTTCTTACTTGTTTTCTTTCTTTTCTTCTTTCTTTCCTTCTTTCTTTCTTACTTGTTTGCTTTCTTAATTTCTAACTTTCTGTCTTGCTTGCTTGCTTGCTTTCTTACTTTCTTTCTTTTCCTTCTTTCTTTCTTGCTTTATTACTTGCTTGCTTTCTTACTTTCTTTCTTTCTTGCTTGCTTTCTTTCTTACTTGCTTGCTTTCTTAATTTCTTTTTCTTTCTTTCTTGCTTGCTTGCTTTCTTGCTTTCTTATTTGCTTGCTTTCTTCCTTTCTTTCTTTTTTTCTTCCTTTCTTTCTTTCCTGCTTGCTTGCTTGCTTTCTTGCTTTCTTGCCTTCTTGCTTTCTTCCTAGATGGAGTCTCACTCTGTTGTCCATGCTGGAGTGCAGTGGTGCTATGTCAGCTGACTGTAACTTCCACCTCCTGGGTTCAAGTGACTCTCCTGCCTCACCCTCCTGAGTAGCTGGGATTTCAGGCCCACACCATCACGCCCAACTAATTATTTGTATGTTTACTAGAGATGGGGTTTCACCATGTTGGCCAGGCTGGTCTTGAACCCTTGACCTCAGGTGATCCACCCACCTCAGCCTCCCAAAGTGCTGGGATTACAGGCTTGAGCTACCGTGCCTGGCCAACCTCTCTTCTTTATAAATTACTCAGTCTCAGGTATTTGTCTGTAGCAATGGAAGAACTGACTAATACATCAGTTCATGTAGCGTCAGAAGCCAGAGAACCTAGAGACCACCCAAGTCCATTAAGTTTGTTATGGATCAGAAAACTGTCCCAGAGGCTGCCACGGGTGCATGTCGTGCTGACCAACTCAGAAGAAGAAATGCCACCTCTGGCGAGTATCTCCCACCATCCAGGGCAGAGTCTGCCGTTCTCAGCCCTATTCATATCTCTCATGCTCATTGATGTCTGCCAATGCACATACCCCCCTTCCTGCTGGAGAAAAGCCACAGGCAGCCAGATACCCCCTGCTCAGAAGGAAGGCCACCTAGAAGTGCAAAGATGCCTACGTTCCAAGGGACCCCACGCACGCTAAGCCCGTGTGCAATTTTGTGTAGGCCCATGAAGTTTGCACCTTTAGAGCTGCCAAAAAGCACCACTTAGAGATTGGTTTTTGGACAACTGCCCAGCAGCTCTGGGAAGTCCTCCACTGCCATAACTGTGAAACAGCCTGGATCTGGCTTCCAGGGAAGTGCTTTTCAATGTCATTTAAGTAATGGTGTGGCCGGCCGTGGTGGCTCATGTCTACAATCCCAGCACTTTGGGAGGCTGAGGTGGGTGGATCACCTGAGGTCAGGAGTTCGAGGCCAGCCTGGCCAACATCGTGAAACCCTGTCTCTACTAAAAATACAAAAATTAGCCAGGCGTGATGGTGGGCGCCTGTAATCCCAGCTATTCTGGAGGCTGAGGCAGAAGAATGGTTTGAACCCAGGAGATGGAGGTTGCCCTGAGCTGAGATCGCTCCAGCCTAGGTGACAGAACGAGACTCTGTCTCAAAAACACAAACAAAAACACACAACACGAAAAAATATTTTGACTCACTCCTGTCATCCCAGCACTTTGGGAGGCCGAGGTGGGTGGATCACCTGAGGTCAGGAGTTTGAGACCAGCCTGGCCAACTTGGTGAAACCCAGTCCCAACTAAAAATACAAAAAAACAGCCGGGCATGGTGGTGGGCGCCTGTAATCCCAGCTACCTGGGAGGCAGGAGAATCGCTTGACCTGGGAGGTGGAGGTTGCAGTGAGCTAAGATGGCACCACTGCACTCCAGCCTGGGCAACAAGAGCAAAACTCCATCTCAAAAAAAAAGAAAAAAGAAAGAAAGAAAGGGAAAGAAAGAAAGAAAGAAAGAGAGAGAGAAAGAAGAGAGAGAAATGAAGAAAGAGAAAGAAGAGAGAGAAATGAAGAAAGAAAGAGAGGAAAGAAAGAAAGAAAGGAGGAAAGAAAGAAATGTTGATACTAGGTAAGTAACAGAAAACACTCAATTTGCCAGAAGTCAAGTTTGGATAACCTTGGTATGGGATGGAATATTTTGTTCGTTTTGTTTGTTTGTTTTTGAGGTTTTTTTCTTTTCCTTTTAAGACAAAGTCTTGCTCTTTCACCCAGGTCTGGGTGCAGTGGCTCAATCTCAGCTCACTGCAACCTCCAACTTCCAGGTTCAAGTGATTCTCCGACTTCAGCCTCCCAAGTAGCTGGGATTACAGGCTCAAGCCACCACACCTGGCTAATTTTCTAGCATTAGACTCTTCCCATGCTGCTAATAAAGACATATCCAAGACTGCCTAATTTATAAAGCAAAGAGATTCAATGGATTCACAGTTCCACATGGCTGGGGAGACCTCAGGAAACTCACAATCGTGGCGGAAGGCACCTCTTCACAGGGCGGCAGGAGAGAGAAGGAGTGCCAGCTGGGGAAATGGCAGATGCTTATAAAACCTTCAGATCTCATGAGACTCACTCATTATCACGAGGCCAGTGTGGGGAAACTGCACCCGTAATTCAATTACCTCCACCTGGTCCCCCCCTTGACCCATGGGGATCATTATGATTCAATGTGAGAGATGAGTGGGGACACAGAGTCAAACCGTATCAGTCAATCATCTATCTATGTACAAATTCATCAATCATCTAGCTAGCTATCACCTACATAATATCTTTCATCTATCGTCTATTTACTTATCAATTATCTATCATCTCTCAATCATGTATTATTTACCTAGCTATTAATGTTATCTGTTATCTATCTATTGAATTTTTTTTTTTTTTTTTTTTTGAGACGGAGTCTTACTCTGTCACCAAGGCTGGAGTACAGTGGTGTGATCTCGGCTCACTGCAACGTCCGCCACCCAGGTTCAAGCAATTCTCCTGCCTCAGCTTCCTCAGTAGCTGGGATTACAAGTGCACACCACGGCACCTGGCTAATTTTTGTATTTTTAGTAGAGACAGAGTTTCACCATGTTGGCCACGCTGGTCTCGAACTCCTGACCTCATGTGATCCACCCACTTCACCTCCCAAAGTGGTGGGATGACAGGCATGAGCCACTGCACCCGGCCTGATTTTTTTTTTTTTTTTGAGACAGAGTCTTACTCTGTCACCCAAGCTGGAGTGCAGTGGCGTGATCTCAGTTCACTGCAACCTCTACCACCCAGGTTCAAGCAATTCTCCTGCCTCAGCTCCCTGAGTAGCTGGGATTACAGGCGCCCACCACCCCGCCTGGCTAATTTTTGTATTTTTGGTAGAGACGAGGTTTCACCATATTGGCCAGGCTGGTCTCAAACACCTGACCCCAGGCGATCCGCCCGCCTTGGCCTCCCAAAGTGCTGGGATTACAGGCGTGAGCCACCGCACCTGACTTATCTATTGATTATATATCCATCATCTATATATCTTTCATCTATCATGTAACTATCATTGACCTATATATTATCAATGTATCTGAGCTTCGACCTTCATGCCCATACTCCCATCATCCCTCAGTGTTTACACTAACATTCCATCCCCGCACATCTTTTCCAGCTGCATGACAAAGGTGCATATCCCAGGACTTCCCAGGCCAGCCATTCTGAAGTCTATATCCAGGGAAGTCCTCGGCCAGCCATTCCTAGTGAGGCTCTATCCTTTTTCAGAGTCCCTCGGCTTCCCCGTCTATGAAATGAGAAGCTGGACTAGATGCTTGGTAAACTCACTGCACCTGCTGCGACAGCGGCCCTGGTCACCATCCTTGCCCTCCAGCCCTTTCTGGTCATTTGCTCACTTGGTCAGCTCTTCCTGCCCCCAGTTCTGGACACCACTTTCAGGGAAATGGCCTGGGAATGCGTGGATGAAGTATAGACCAATATGAGTTGTATATCTTGCTTGTCTTGTCAGTGCAGCAAGCAAAACTCTAGCTATTGGTTCATCAAAGAATGAAAAAAGTCAAACGTCAAATTCCCATACAGCCCAGCCATTCTACTTCTCAACAGCTACCCAAAAGGAATGAAAACAGAGATATTTAACCAAAACATGTACATACATGTTCACAGCAGTGTTACTCACAATAGCCAAAAGGTGGAAATAGCCATGGTCCTCAGCTGACAAACAGAGAAACAGAATGTGCTCCAACCACACTGTGGAATATTATACAGCCATGAAAAGGAATGAGGCTCTGACACAGGCTACAGCATGGATGAACCTTGAAGAGATCATGGTCAGTGAAAAAAAGCCAGATACAAAATATTTTATCTCACCGGGTGCAGTGGTTCATGCCTGTAATCCTAGCACTTTGGGAGGTCAGGGTGGATGGATCACCTGAGGTCAGGAGTTCGAGACCAGCCTGACCAACATGGTGAAACCCCGTCTCTACTAAAACTACAAAAATTAGCCAGGCGTGGTGGTGTGCACCTGTGATCCCAGCTACTCAGGAGGCTGAGGCAGGAGAATGGCTTGAACCTGGTGGGTGGAGGTTACAGTGAGCCGAGATCGCACCACTGCACTCCAGCCTGAGAGACAGAGCAAGACTCTGTCTCAAACAAAAACAGAAACAAACAACAACAAAAAATATTTTACTGGCCTGGCATGGTGGCTCACGCCTATAATCCCATCCCAGCACTTTGGGAGGCCGAGGCGGGTGGATCACCTGAGGTCAAGAGTTCAAGACCAGCCTGGCCAACATGGTGAAACCCCCGTCTCTACTAAAAATACAAAAACTTAGGCAGGCGTGGTGGCGGGTGCCTGTAGTCCCAGCTACTCGGGAGGCTGAGGCAGGAGAATCGCTTGAACCCAGGAGGTGGAGCTTGCAGTGAGCCGAGATTGCGCCACTGCACTCCAGCCTGGGAAACAGAGCGAGATTCTGTCTCAAAAACAACAAAAACAACAACAAATATTTACCTCACCCATTATATGAGTCCATTTACATGAAATGTGTACAAAAGGTAAACCGACAAAGACAGAAAGTGGATTCGTGGTTGCCACAGGGGCTGGGGGATGGGGCACGGGGAGTCACTGCTTTGCGGGTACAGGGTCTCCATTTGGGGTGATGAGAACGTTCTGACTAGAATGCAGTGGTGTGATCTCGGCTCACTGCAACCTCCGCCTCCCGGGTTTGAGCTATTCTCCTGCCTCAGCCTCCCGAGTAGCTGGGATTGCAGGCGCCCGCCACCACGCCTGGCTAATTTTGTATTTTTAGTAGAGACGGGTTTTCACCATGTTGGCCAGATGGTCTCGAACTCCTGACCTCAAGTGATCCACCCGCCTCAGCCTCCCAAAGTGTTGGGATTACAGGCGTGAGCCGCTGCACCTGTCCATTTAGGATATATTATTTTTAAAACAGATTGAAAAAAATTGGCATGTCAATAAACATTCAATTTTTTCAATTTTTAAAAAGCAGTTGGGACTGGGTGCGGTGGCTCATGTCTGTAATCCCAACACTTTGAAAGATGGAGGGCAGGTAGATCACTTCAAGTCAGGAGTTCAAGACCAGCCTGACCAACATGGTGAAACCCCGTCTCTACTAAAAGTACAAAAGTCAGCCAAGCGTGTTGGCAGGTGCCTATAATCCCAGCTACTTGGGAGGCTGAAGCAGGAGAATCACTTGAACCCTGGAGGAGGATGTTGTCGTGACCTGAGCTTGCGCCAGTGCATTCCAGCCTGGGTGACAGAGAAGGACGTGGTCTCAAAAAAAAAAAAAAGAAAAAAAAAAGCAATCGACATATAAGAGGAGAGGTTAGTGCCCTCCAAAACTTGTAGCGTCTTCGAGGAAAATATCAAGGAAGGCAGGTTTTCAGGAAGCAAAGGCACTGCTTACCTTAATTAATGTACGCATGGATTGCTAATGAGACCTCTGCATCCAGGGTCTGTCCCAGTTCCTGTAATCTCATTTCCAGCTTGCCGGAGAATCTTTACAGGTGATCTCCATGATATTCTAATAACTCATCCTGTCTGCAGCCCATACACTGTATTTATTGATTTTCAGACTCAATAAAACCCTCTGGTCTGGGGCTATGCCCAATTCTCCCCTTCCCCCAGTATACGTATATATGTATACATATGTATGTATATGTGTATGTATACGTATATATGTATATATATGTGTATATATGTATATATACGTATATATGTATATATGAGTATATACGTATATATGTATATACGTGTATATATGTATATATGTATATACGTGTATATATGTATATATGTATATACGTGTATATATGTATATATGTATATATGTATATACGTGTATATACGTATATATGTGTATATACGTATATATGTGTATATATGTGTATATATGTATATATGTGTATATATGTGTATATATGTGTATATGTGTATATATGTATATATGTATATATGTATATTTGTATATATGTATATATATGTATGTATGTGTGTGTCTGTGTGTGTGTGTGTGTGTGTGTGTGTATATATATATATATATATATATATATGGAGAGAGAGACAGAATAGCTTTTACTGTTTAACCTTAAAAGTGTTGGTAGTTGTGGCCACGCATGGTGGCCCATGCCTGTAATCCCAGCACTTTGGGAGACCGAGATGGGTGGATCACCTGAGGTCAAGAGTTGGAGACCAGCCTGACCAACGTGGTGAAACCCCGTCTCTACTAAAAATACAAAATTAGCCGGGCGTGGTGGTGCATGCCTGTAATCCCAGCTCCTCAGGTGGCTGAGGCAGGAGAATCGCTTGAACCCAGGAGGCAGAGGTTGCCGTGAGCCAAGATTGCGCCACTGTACTCCAGCCTGGGTGACAAGAGTGAAACTCCCTCTCAAAAAAATAAAAATAAAAATAAAAAAATTGTCATTACTTGTTTTAAGTCCTGTTGTACCTGGAAAAAAAATTACTTTTAAAGGTATATAGTTTTCTTTCTGGTGTCTCTCCATTGTCCCCATAAATGGTGATTGGCTTTATTCCTGAAATTCTCCAGGGAATTGTGTGTGTGTGTGTGTGTGTGTGTGTGTTTGTGTGTGTGTGTGTGTGTACAGAATTTTTTTTTTTGGTGCAGTAATTTCCCTTTTTGTGTGTGCAGGCATTTCCCTTTCTCTGATTTTCTGTGTGAAAACTGAAGAAGGAAAGATGTCAGATATATGAGGCTTTCCCTAATCCCATCAAACCAGCATTGGCAATGGTTTCCATCTTTGCAACAATTTCTGTGTCTGTTGGTCCAGCCCAGGTGCACCTCTGTCCCCGCTAGGGTTTCCAGAGGCCAACGTTATCTCCGCCTCTAACCTTTTAATTTACACAAGGCATTTGAACCTCATTCACCCCAAGACTGCCCTGTAACTCCCTACTTTACAAACTGGGGAGTGGGGTCCCTGAGTTATTCTAGATCAGAACTCTGGATTCCCAGGGACTCCCATCATGGTTTATTGGTTTAAAATTTGGGGCATTCTGGCCGGGCGCGGTGGCTCATTCTTGTCATCCCAGCACTTCGGGAGGCCGAGGTAGGGGGACCTCCCGAGGTCAGGAGTTTGAGACCAGCCTGGACAACGTGGAGAAACCCCGTCTCTAGTAATACATATGTAACAAACCTGCACGTTGTGCACATGTACCCTGGAACTTAAAAGTATAATAATAATAAAAAAAAGATTAAAAAAAATTAGCCAGGCATGGTGGCCGGTGGCTGTATTGCCAGCTATTTTGGAGGCTGAGGCAGGAGAATCCCTTGATCCCGGAAGGTGGAGCTTGCAGTGAGCCGAGATCGCACCACTGCACTCCAGCCTGGGTGACAGAGCGAGACTCTGTCTCAAAAAAAAAAAAAAAATAGGTAAAAGGAGCTGTCATCCCAGCATTCTGGGCGGCCAGGGTGAATGGATCACTTGAGACTAGGATTTTGAGATCAGCCTGGGTAACATGGCGAAACCCAGTCTCTACTAAAACTACAAATATTAGCCGGGCATGGTGGCAGGTGCCTGTAGTGCCAGCTACTCGGGAGGCTGAGGCAGGAGAATCACTTGATCCCGGAAGGTGGAGCTTGCAGTGAGCTGAGATCGCACCACTCACTGCACTCCAGCCTGGGCGACAGAGCAAGACTCCATCTCAAAAAAAGAAAAAAAAAAAAGCTGAAAGAAATCCTGTCCTCTGTCTCAGCCCCAGTGAGAGGATTAGCAAGATTTTGTCTTTGAAGACCTCCAAACTTCCAGAGAAGTCTTCCAAGTAAAATATCCAAAATTCAGGTCTGATTGGAAACGTATGTTATCAATATTTGCAAATGCTTCTGCCCTGTTGGAAAATTCAAGTCCAAACAGGGCTCGTTCTGAATATCCCTGTTCACATCCAGTTATTGATCAAATTTTTCCCGGATTCGTCGACATAACCCTTGGGGACAGTCCCCTAAAACCACCAAAGGGGACATTCCCCTGAAATCATCAGAGTTATTGTACTGGGTTCAAATGCAGCTGTGAAAGAGAAGAGAGGGTAGTGAAGTTTAAAAAAAAAAAAATTCTGTATTCTACTCCATTCCCCAGGGCCCTCTCAAAATACACAGTATGCTTTTATTGATGATTGCTGAATTTCCATTTTAATAAAATAAATGGAGATACATGCGGATAATAGCTCTGTTCAATATTTATGAAGTGTCTTTTTAGAATAATTTCAGAAATTCAGTATTAATCATTACAACCATTACACTCCACGAGCATATAAATAACAAACGGAAACACCATTTACTTCTTGAAAACCTATAATGAAAAGCAGGTGAGGACCCAATTTCATGTTTGAGGAATTCATCCTTTCAGGGTTGGATTTATGGGATTCTAGAGAGACATTCTCGGCTTACCCTGGGCCCGAAATATAGGTGTGATAATCATAGCTTTCTCCCACATTGAGGTGAATAAGCGGTTTTTTATTTAAGGCAAGAAACGCCGTCCAGAATTTTTTTTTTCTTTTTTCTTTTCTGGCGAGGAAGCTGAACATTTGTCTTGCAGAGCCGAGAGCCGAGCCAGCCAGGTTGTTGCAGACACCCAAAAGAGAGAAAAAAATAGATAAAAAATGGGATACAAAAAGTAAAGGGTACTCGTATTACTGGAGAACTCAAAAAGCAAAAGCAAGAGGACGGAGCCCAGGGGAGAACCACGGCTTCGCGTGTCTTAACAGAAACACACTGGGCACGTTGGCTCACGCCTGCAACATCCCAGCACTTTGGGAGGCCGAGGCAGGCAGATCACCTGAGGTCAGGAGTTCAAGACCAGCCTGGCCAACATGGCGAAACCCCGTCTCTACTACAAATATGAAAATTAGCCAGCTGTGGTGGCAGGTGCATGTAGTCCCAGCTACTCGGGAGGCTGAGGCAGGAGAATCGCTTGAACCCGGGAGGCGGAGGTTGCAGTGAGCTGAGATGGCACCACTGGACTCCAGCCTGGGCGACAGAGCGAGACTCCATCTCCAAAAAAAAAAAAAAAAAAAACAACCAGAAACACATTCGGTGTGACTCTTGGACGGGCTTTTACGCGAAAGGTAAAGTCAGCCTGGTACCCAGTTCCTCCTGCCCTTCTGTGCACTGCTACACATGAGGAAACATCCAACTCATTCATCGAGGCCCCTGTGGATAACCTAGGGCCCTCATCCCAGTGTTTCTCGGCTTTGATCCGTGATCTCCTGGTGACTGACATCCTACGTCTGCCACACAAATGACCCCAAACCCAGAAGCTTTTACAACAAGAATTTTTCCTGTCCCAGTCCTGGCATCCAGCAGTCTGAGAAGAAGGTGTCTCAGGGCCGTGTTCCCTCTGGAGGCTGTAGGGGAGGGTCCTTCCTAACTCTCCCAGCTCCTGGGGGCTCCAGGCATCCCTGGGCTTGTGGCCGCCTCACTGCAGTCTCTGCCTCCGTCTCTACGTGGCCTTCTCCTCTGTGTCTGTGTTTCCTCTTCTGTCTCTTAGAAGGACATTCCTCATTGGGTTTAGGGTCCCCCTAATGCAGGATGATCTCATCTCAAATTCCCCCACTTAATTCCAACTGCAGAAACCTTATTTCCAAATAAAGTCCCACTCATAGGTAGCACAGGTTAAAACAGCCCGTGTCCGGCTAATTTTTTATATTTTTAGTAGAGACGGGGTTTCACCATGTTGGCCAGGCTGGTCTCGAACTCCTGACCTTATGATCCTGTCTCTTTCGGGGGACATAGTCAAGCTACCACCACAGCCAATGATCAGAGTTCTGCTGGCTTAGCTGCTTTTTCCAAAGGAAGACATTTCAGTTTCTACCCATGGAGATTTAGCTGGGGGTGGGACTACCTTTGACCTGGAATAACGCGTTGTGAAGAATTAAACCTCATTCCTGGGCTGGGCACCGTGGCTCACACCTGTGATCCCAACACTTTGGGAGGCTGAGGTGGGAGGATCAGTTGAGGCCAGGAGTTTGAGACCAGCCTGAGCAACATACTGAGACCTTGTTTCTACAAAACAGAAACAATTTAAAAAAATTAGCCAGGTGTGTTGGTGCAAACCTGTAGTCCCAGCGCCCGGGAAGGCTTGAGCTCGGGGAGGTGGAGCCTATTTTCCCCACACAGCGTCGGACTTCTAATTCATCCTCCTCCCGCACTCAGCAACTCCGCTTGGCTAATTTATTCCGGGAACCTCTGGCCACGACGGGCAGCCCCTCGCCTCGCCCTGACTGCGGGATCATTGCGTTAGCGACTCCCCTGTCTCGTTAGCGCACCTCCTGCATTGCATTAGGGCTTGTGGTCCCCGCCAATGTGATAAGAGACCCACGTATGCGATAGGCACATAGCTGATCGGATTTTGCAAATCACGTTACTGGTGCAAGGGACAGGTTTTCCTTCTGTTTAATGCCTCAGTCATGCCTGGTTGGCACCACTGGGTTCCAGCCTGGATGACAGAGTGAGACTGTGCCTCAAAAAAACACAGGAAAACACCTTGGAAGCCCTTGTACACATCAGCTCCCATCATAAGAAGTGTGTAGGACGGGCGCCATGGCTCACGCCTGTCATCTCTGCACTTTGAGAGGCTGAGGTGGGTGGATCACAAGGTCAGGAGTTCGAGACCAGCCTGGCCAACATGGTGAAACCTCACCTCTACTAAAAATACAAAAGTTAGCCGGGCGTGATGGCGGGTGCCAGTAGTCCCAGCTACTCGGGAGGCTGAGGCAGGAGAGTCGCTTGAACCCAGGAGGCAGAGTTTGCAGTGAGCCGAGATTGCACCTCTGGACTCCAGCCTGGATGACAGAGTGAGACTCTGCCTCAAAAACACAAAGTGCTTAGTACAGGAAAACACCTTGGAAGCCCTTACTCAGCTCCTATCATAAGAAGTGTGTAGGACGGGCGCCATGGCTCACGCCTGTCATCCCAGCACTTCAGGAGGCTGAGGCAGACGGATCACAAGGTCAGGAGTTCGAGACCAGCGTGGCCAACATGGAGAAACCCCAACTCTACTAAAAATACAAAAAACTAGCCGGACATGGTGGTGGGCACCTGTAATCCCAGCTACTGGGGAGGCTGAGGCAGGAGAATCGCTTGAACCCGCGAGGCAGAGGTTGCGGTGAGCTGAGATCGTGCCACTGCACTCCAGCCTGGGCAACAAGAGCAAAACTCCGTCTCAAAAAAATAAAAGATAAAAATAAAAAAATAAAAAGTCAGGAAACAACAGATGCTGGCGAGGATGTGGGGAAATAGGAATGCTTTAATACTGTTGGTGAGAGGAAAACAGGGAAAGTTAGAGTCCTGTTTTTAGTTTTTTGTTAGCTTTTTTTTTTTTTTTTTTTTGAGACGTAGTCTCCCTCTGTCACCCAGGCTGGAGTGCAGTGGCGCGATCTCAGCTCACTGCAACCTCCACCTCCCAGGTTCAAGCGATTCTCCTGCCTCAGCTTCCAGAGCAGCTGGGATTACAGGCCACAAACCCAGCTAATTTTTTGTATTTTTAATAGAGACAGGGTTTCACCATGTCTCTAGTCTCCTGCGATACTCCTGCCTCAGTCTCCCTAGTAGTTGGGATTACAGGAGCCAGTGACCACACCCAGCTGATTTTTGTATTTTTAATAGAGACGGGGTTTCACCATGTTGGCCAGGCTGGTCTCGAACCCCTGACCTCAGGTGATCCACCCACCTCGGCCTCCCAAAGTGCTGGGATGACAGACATGAGCCACCACGCCGGGCCACCCAGTGTTTTTATAAGAAAAAGCCATGATCCCAACCCCATTGCATTTTCCAAACACACATGAGCGGGTTTTCTTGAGGGGAGCGTTCACAGACTCTGCTCTCCATTTTCTACCCAGATGTTGTCAAACAATTTGCCGAGCACCAGAAGGTGAAGAATTTCCCACTGTTACACTGTGAGCTTCTCCGGAACTTTCCACAGCTCCGTTTTTTTTTTTTTTTGTTTGTTTGTTTTTTTTTCTGCTGGACACTCTACGTTCACACCTACGTCCCTGTTCAAATGCAAAAGAGATTCTTAACGGTCTTGAAACCCCGCCGAGCTTTAGGTGTGCAAATCTGCAGAGGAGGCCTCTGTAAGGCTTTGGAGAGATGGCTGAGGCCAGACATAAGCCTCTTTTCACCCCTAGAGCTTCCCAGATCTCCTCTGTCACCCCTCCTGCCCTTACGGGACGCAGACATTTCTCTCTGTAGGGTGGGGGTAGTTAGAACCTTTTTCTCTCTGCACAGTGGGGAGTAGTTAGCACCTTTATTCACGATCAGAGCAGCCGATTATCCTGTAAACAGCCCAGCAGAGTCCATCTGTAATTCGACTTTGCCACTGTTGGTTGGCTTTAGAGATTTGGCATGTCGGCTGCAAGACGTAGATTTTCAAAACTTCATTTTGAGGCGGTCGGATGACACGAGACCTCCTATTTTTTTTCCTTTATTTTATTTTATTATGATTATACTTTAAGTTTTAGGGTACATGTGCACATTGTGCAGGTTAGTTACATACGTATACGTGTGCCACGCTGGTGAGCTGCAGCCATTGACCTGCGGGTGGCTGTCGATGAACTTTGTTCGTAGGAGGCTCAATCCAATTGTGAGTGTCCCGTCCATCGGCCGGGCTGCAGTTGAGACGGATTGAAACCGATTCGGATCAATCATCCTCATCCTGCCTTCGAAGGCAGACCGGGGAGGGGGTGCTGGTGACCGGGGACGCCCGTGTGATGCTGGAGACACACGGCCCCCTGTTCCACATCTCCCGTGTGTCACATTAATTTCCACGTCATCCCGCAATTCAATGAGATGTGGACCCCGTGTCACCACGTGCAGTCCTGCTCATCTCCTCACTAATTCTCAATTACCGTAAAATGAAGCCATAAATCACGCAGACAGGGGATCGATAGGAACGTGGTTTTCCGGGTGATTGGCACAGCCTCCCCAAAGGTTTTCTGTAAGTTGGTTTAAGATGACCAGGTCCTCCGAGGGTGGGGAGAGGGGGGCGTTGGGGGTGGCCGGGACAGGCCTCTGCGTCCCCAGGCCTTGGGAGACCAAACCGAGGGACGTCGCCAATTTCAGCCCATCAGACATCCAATTCTTCTCCTTTTTATACCTGCTTTAGTAAACGAGTGACAAATTAAATTTCGCCACCCTATAGCAGCACAGAAAACCATTTTAATTTTTCATGGAAACTAAATCGTCCCCAGACAAATAGCCCCTTGATTCTATGAAAATAGACTGCCTTGCTTGGGACAGAAATACATTTGTGTCACTCTGGATATGCCTTTCTCTGTAATGTCATTCACCGCGGGCCGGTAAATGAGACGGCTGCCGAACACAATGGCCAGGAAGGGGCTGTCGGCTTCTAGGGGTTGGAAACGAGGGGAGGTGGTGCCCCCCTTCCCAGTGCAGGGAGGCGTCCTCATCACCCTGTTATTAATTTGCCGGCTGAGCTTTTACATTCATGAGGTGAAGATTGAAATGTAAATGAACCCCCCCCCCCACACACACACACAGACACACACACACACACACACACACACTCGTCAGCTGTAGCCAGGGCCCGGCCCACAGTGTCAGAGACTCTGAGAAGAACACGGAAAATACTGATCACTCAGAGAGATGAGTGCCCTGAGCATCCATCATCGGGGCTGGGAGACAATAGATACAATCGCTCCCGAGGGAGGCGTGGAAGGGAAGGTGACGATAAGAGGGCCAGGGATATGAGGACGATGTTGCTACCTGTTGTCCGGGAGCGAAGGTTGCTGTTGTCCTACCTAGAATCCTCCTCATCTCTGGCATTCTACGTGCCAGTATTTCAACAGTGACTTTTTTTTTTTTTTTTTTTTTTTTTTTAAATCTTGGCCGGGCTTGTGGGCTCACGCCTGTCATCCCAGCACTTTGGGAGGCCGAGGCTGGCGGATCACTTGGGGTCAGGCGTTCGAGACCAGCCTGGCCAACATGCTGAAACCCCGTCTCTACTAAAAATACAAAAATTAGCCGTGCGTGGTGGCAGGTGCCTGTCATCCCAGCACTTTGGGAGGCTGAGGTGGGTGGATCACCTGCGGTCAGGCGTTTGAGACCAGCCTGGCCAACACGCTGAAACCCCGTCTCTACTAAAAATACAAAAATTAGCCGTGCGTGGTGGCGGGTGCCTGTCATCCCAGGTACTCTGGGAACCGAGACAGGAGAATCGCTTGAACCCGAGAGGCGGACGTTGCAGTGAGCCGAGATCACGCCGTTGCACTCCAGCCTGGGCCACAGAGCGAGACTCTGTCTCAAAAAAAATAGTGCCATGTTTTGTTTTGTTTTTTTTTTTTAATCTCAATTTATCTCCTCCCTCAGTCCCCCGGGAAGCCGTTTGGAGGTTTTGGAGGTGTGGCGGCCACCTCTCAGTGCTGACAGATGGAGGCCCACTCGGCTTGCCTTGGGGAAACAGGCCAGGGAGTTCACTGGCTGAGCCTCCCCAGGGGCCTCCCCGGCTCACTAATGGTTTTTATGCTTTAATTGAGCAGCTCAGACTGTGTGTGGAAAAGCAAACAAAAGGCCCAGAAGGCTTGATCCGCAGCATTGAGTGAGTGCGGGTCAGGTTGAGTTGCAGGAGGGACTGGGGGGTCTGGGGGAACGAGGACTTGTAAACGGCTGTGGGGATGAGTCCTGGTGAGGGGTTCCCCTGCTCAGCAGAGTCACGGGGCCTCGGCATCTTCCCTTCGGGCCACAAAGGACAATATTTTCTGTTTTCTGCTTCCACCTGGACCTCCGGTGGATAAAGGGAATATACGAACGGCCTTCAGAGTTTGGGGCTGGTACTAGCTTAGGGGTTCAGCTTGTCTTTGGAGCTCCTCATGGGGAGGTGGGCAGACACTGTAGTTCAGACCCCAACCGTTCTCCGCTCCCCGACGCTGAAGACCCATCTCAGTGCCCATACGGAAGCCTCATCTCTCCACCTTTCCCCTCTTAGCGTGTTCGGCCCTATTGTTACAGGAAAAGCGTCCCGATCCAGACGGCAAGAGAAGGTTCTTGGATCTTGTGCAAGAAAGACTTCAGGGAAAGCCCGTAATGCAAATTAAAGGAACTTTATTAAGAAAGTAAATTGGGGCCAGACACGGTGGCTCACGCCTGTAATCCCAGCACTCTGGGAGGCCGAGGCGGGCAGATCACCTGAGGCCAGGAGTTCGAGACCAGCCTGGCCAACATGGTCAAACTTGGTCTCTATTAAAAATAGAAAAATTAGCTGGGCATGGTGGTGGGCATCTGTAATCAATAGCTACTCAGGAGGCTGAGGCAGGAGAATCGCTTGAACCAGGGAGGCGGAGGTTGCAGTGAGCTGAGATTGCACCATTGCACTCCAGCCTGGGCGACACAGTGAGACTCTGTCTCAAAAAAAAAAAAAAAAAAAAGGCCGGGGGCGGTGGCTCACGCCTGTAATCCCAGCTCTTTGGGAGGCCCAGGCGGGTGGATCACCTGAGGCCAGGGGTTCGAGACCAGCATGGCCAACATGGTGAAACCTGGTCTCTATTAAAAATAGGAAAATTAGCCGGGCGTGGTGGCTGGTGCCTGTAGTCCCAGCTACTCGGGAGGCTGAGGCAGGAGAATCGCTTGAACCTGGGAGGTGGAGGTTGCAGTGAGCTGAGATTGCACCACTGCACTCCAGCCTGGGTGACAGAGCGAGACTCTCTCTCAAAAAAAAAAAAAAAAAAAAAAAAGGAAACTAAATTGGTAAAAGAACAGCTCCTCCATAGACAGAGTAGGGCATTTCTGAAACTGAGAGGGGGAAGCTTCCACCGCAGATGCAATAGTTGTTTATATATAGGATAAAAAAATATCTTGGGGACGTATGCTCTGCTAGGAGGGTTTGTGATAAAGGATTAATGTTCTTAATTACTATATGTTGCAAGAATCAATATCATTATCTTTAAAGCAAAATCAGGAATACCTTCATTCTTCAGATATTGAGATAGCTGGATAGTCCCAAGTCGGGGTCTATTTAGTAAACATTATTAATTTATTCCTTTTTTTTTTTTTTACTCTTTTGTTTTGTTTTTTGAGACAGAGTCTTACTCTATCACCCAGGCTGGAGCGCAGTGGAGCGATCTCGGCTCACTGCAACCTCTGCCTCCTGGGTTCAAGCGAGTCTCCTGCCTCAGTCTCCCTAGTAGCTGGAATTACAGGCACCAGCCACCGCGACTGGCTAATTTTTCTATTTTTAGTAGAGAGGGGGTTTCACCGTGTTAGCCAGGATGGTCTTGAACTCTTGACTTTATTATCCACCCGCCTCAACCTCCCAAAGTGCTGGGATTACAGGCGTGAGCCACTGTGCCTGGCCTAATTTGTTCTCTTAACCATAAATACATAGAGGCTAGGAATGTTTAACTTTCTGGGAATGCAGCCAGCAAGCCTCAGCCTCATTTTCCGAGCCCTCACTCAAGATGAAGTCGCTTTCGTTCGAACGCCTCTGACGCTATTGGCCTTAATCCTCCTGATTTTGCTTGGAGAAATCATGAAAATGTCTTTCCAATCACTAAGAAGGGGTTCCCAATAGCCCCAAACACACATGGGCAGGTGATGGACCAGGCAGTTAGTTTTTTTTTTTTTTTTTTTGAGATGGAGTTTCACTCTATTGCCCAGGCTGGAGTGCAGTGGCTCGATCTCAGCTCACTGCAACTTCTGCCTCCTGGGTTCAAGCGATTCTCCTGCCTCAGCCTCCCAAGTAGCTGGGATTACAGGTGCCCGCCACCATGCCCAGATAATTTTGTACTTTTAGTAGAGACGGGGTTTCACCATGTTGGCCACGCTGGTCTCGAACTCCTGACCTCAAGTGATCCACCCGCCTCGGCCTCCCAAAGTGCTGGGATCACAGGCGTGAGCCACCACCCTTGGGCAGGTGCTTTTTAAAAGTGTTACATTCTCATAACCACCCTGCAGGTTAAATCCTCTTCTCCTCCACAGTTGGGGAAAGTGAGTCCCAGGAATGTTGGAGAGCAGGCTTGGGTCACAGTCAATGCAGGCAGTGAGCAGTCACCGTGGGCCCCTTGGCTACAGCTGGTTGAGTGGATATTCCTGAAACGCCAGTCTCAGTGGATAGATAACCATCAGTAGATAAGTCTAATAGATAATAGATCATTTGAAGCCATCAGTACTATACTGCGTTTGTACGAGCAGGTGCTTGCACCGTATTCAGGGGTGAACTAAGCTAATGTCTTGTGTTCACTCACAAATGCACAGGCCTGGTGTGGCTTGCAGACTTGAGCTGAAAGCAGGCACCACACCTTGCTAGCTGGGTGATGTTAGGGCAGCCGGACCACCTAGCACTGAAGGAAGGCATGGAAGTTTTCAGCACTCCAGACCCCTCCCTGTTTTCACTGTGGAAATGGCATAGCTTGTGAAGTGCATCTGAGGCTCTGTTCTTTGCTTGCTGCCTTAGTGATCTCAACAGTGTCAGCTTCAGCAAGAAACAGACAATTTCCAGACCCCAATGGCGTTGTAAACAATTGCATGTGTTTTTTTGTTTGTTTCTTTGTTTTGTTCATTTTGTCTTTTTTTTTTTGAGACAGAGTCTCACCATGTCGCCCAGGTTGGAGTGCAGTAGCACAATCTCAGCTCACTGCAATCTCCGCCTCCCGGGCTCAAGCAATTCCCCTGCCTCAGCCTCCCGAATAGCTGGGATTACACGCGCACGCCAGCACACCCAGCTAATTTTTGTATTTTTAGTAGAGATGGGGTTTCGCCATGTTGTCCAGGCTGGTCTCAAACTCCTGACCTCAGGTGATCCACCTTCCTTGGCCTCCCAAAATGCTGGGATGACAGGTGTGAGCCACGGCGCCTGGCTTTTTTTTGTTTTTTTTTTTTTTTCTTTTCCAAATGTTGAGGTTTTGCGGAATCCCTCTCACCTACATGAGTATGTGTAGCTGCTGTGTTGCAGCCATATCCCTGTGTGATGCGGAGTCCATGTGCTGGAAGATAACTATATCGAGTGATAAGCCGCAAGTGTATGGAGTTATAAGCTGCAAGTGTATCCAGTTATAAGCCCCAAGTGTATCCAATTATAAGCCTCTCCATGCAAAAAAGAAGTGAAGTAAAGAAAACTCCCATTGTTGGCCTGGCGCGGTGGCTCACGCCTGTCCTCCCAGCACTTTGGGAGGCCTGAGGCGGGTGGATCACCTGAGGTCAGGAGTTCGAGACCATCCCGGCTAACATGGTGAAACCCCGTCTCTACTAAACATACAAAAAAGTTAGCCGGGCGAGGTGGCGGGTGCCCGTAATCCCAGCTACTCGGGAGACGGAGGAAGGAGAATGGCGTGAACCCGGGAGGCGGAGCTTGCAGTGAGCTGAGATCGCGCCACTGCACTCCAGCCTGGGCGACAGAGCAAGACTCCATCTGAGAGAAAGAAAGAAAGAAAGAGAAAGAAAGAGGAAGGAAGGAAGAAAGAAAGAAAGAAAGAAAGAAAGAAAGAAAGAAAGAAAAGAAAGAGAGCAACAAAGAAAGAAAGGAAGAAAGAAAGAAAATAACAAAGAAAGAAGGAAAGGAAGACAGAAAGGAAAGAGAGAAAGGGAGGGAGGAAGGGAGGGGAGGGAGGGAAGGAAGGAAGAAAGAAAAAGAAAGAAAGAAAGAGAAAGAGAGAGAAAGATCGCATTGCAAGGACAGGCATGGAGATGGGTGCCTACAGGTAACATGGTGATCTTGCGTTAGGCTGCGCAGGGCGGTGTCTGCTGGAATAAGCGGGGAAACTCCTTCTTCGTGCTTGCACTCCGGGAGTCCTCCCCGATGAGTGCTCCTGGTTCCTCTTGACGGCCCCTGCAAGTGCCCCCAGGAATGACCTGACTCTCAGAGAACGTGGGTTAGACCCTCTGGGGGTCTGTCTTTGGGACAACCGGCCTGCTCAGAGGAAGCTGAATGGGTCAGGTCTCCCCGACAAGGGGAATGTCCACCGTTTTCACCCCTCCTTGTTCCTCATTAGAAGGAGAGCAAGTTCAACTTAAGAGAACTAACGAGGAGGCTTAACTGCTCTCAGATCCAGATCTGAGAGGATCAGTACCTTTATCCGTTGGGGAAAGAAGAAAAAAATAAGGATGCTTTTCCCCGTGTGTTTGATCCCTGTGGCTGTATTTGTCAATAAGTCCTGAAGCAAAGAAAGGAAGAGAAGGGCAGGGTTTGCTGGCTCACACCTGTCATGCCAGCACTTTGGGAGGCCGAGGTGGGTGGATCATCTGAGGTCAGGAGTTCAAGACCAGCCTGGACAACATGGTGAAAACCCGTCTCTACTAAAAATACAAAAATTAGCTGGGCTTGGTTGCGTGCACCTGTAATCCCAGCTACTCGGGAGGCTGAGGCAGGAGAATCAATTGAACCTCAGGGGAGGAGGTTGCGGTGAGCTGAGATCATGCCACTGCATTCCAGCCTGGGAGACACAGAGATACACTGTCTTAATAATAATAATAATAATAATAATAATAGTTAGCCAGGCATGATGGCAGGTGCCTGTAATCCCAGCTACTCGGGAGGCTGAGGCAGGAGAATCGCTTGAACCCGGGAGGTGGAGGTTGCAGTGAGCCGAGATCACGCCACTGCATTCCAGTCTGGGAGACACAGAGAGACTCCGTCTCAAAAATAATAATAATAATAATAGTTAGCCAGGCATGATGGCAGGTGCCTGTAATCCCAACTACTCGGGAGGCTGAGGCAGGAGAATCAATTGAGCCTCAGAGGAGGATGTTGCAGTGAGCTGAGATCACACCACTGCACTCCAGCCTGGGCAATAGAGTGAGACTCTGTCTCAAAAAAAAAAAAAAAAAAAAAGAATTGGAAAATGACTCAAACAGGTACTTGTCCACAAACTTCCTAACAGCATTATTCACAATAGCTTAAAAAAAAAAAACCCAAATATCCATCAACAGAAGAATCAACAAATAGATTGTATTCCATTTGTACTATGAAATATTATTTAGCCATGAAAAAGAAGGCTTGGTTGGATGCGGTGGCTCACACCTACAATCCCAGCACTTTGGGAGGCTGAGGCGGGCAGATCACTGGAGGTCAGGAGTTCGAGACCAGCCTGATCAACATGGTGAAACCCCATCTCTACTAAAAATACAAAATTATCTTGGCGTGGTGGTGCACGCCTGTAATCCCAGCTACTCGGGAGGCTGAGGCAGGAGAATCACTTGAACCTGGGAGGCGGAGGTTGTGGTGAGCCGAGATCACGCCACTGCACTCCAGCCTGGGCGACAAGAGTGAAACTTCGTCTCAAAAAAATAAACAAATAAAAAAAAAAATAAAGAAAAAGAAAAAGACTCTCCGTGAAATAAGCCAGCCACACAAAAAACCACATAACGTAGGGTTCCATTTGTAGAAACAAACTTGAATAGGCAGATCCAGAGAGACAGGAAGTAAAATTAGACATTTCCAGGGGCTGGGGGACGGGGAGTATGAGGAATGATAGTTTAATACATAGAGAGTTCCTGTTTAGGTGAAAAAGAAAAACTTTGGCTTTAGACAGTGGGGATGATGCCACAACACTGTGAATGTATTTTATTTTATTTCATTTTTTATTTTCTTTTGGAGACGGAGTCTCGCTCTGTCACCCAGGTCGGAGTCCAGTGGTGTGATCTCGGCTCACTGCCACCTCCGCCTCCCAGATTCAAGCAATTCTCCTGCCTCAGCCTCCCGAGTAGCTGGGACTACAGGTGCGCGCCACCACACCTGGCTAATTTTTGTATTTTTAGTAGAGACGGGGTTTCACCATGTTGGCCGGGCTGGTCTTGAAATCCTGACCTCAGGTGATCCACCCGCCTCGGCCTCCCAAAGTGCTGGGATGACAGGTGTGAGCTGTGAACATATTTTATGCAACTTTAATTGTTCACCTTGAAATGGTCAAGTGGCCATGTTTAGGTTCTATACAGTTTGCCACAATTTTGAAAGAAGTCTGTGGCCGGGTGCAGTGGGTCATACCTGTCATCCCAGCACTTTGGGAGGTCAAGATGGCTGGATCCCTTGAGGTCAGGAGTTCAAGTCCAGCCTGGCCAGTATCATGAAACCCCGTCTCTACTAAAAACACAAAATTAGCCGGGCGTGGTGGCGGGTGCCTGTAGTCCCAGCTACTCGGGAGGCTGAGGCAGGAGAATCGCTTGAACCCAGGAGGCGGACGTTGCAGTGAGCCAAGATCACACCACTGCACTCCAGCCTGGGTGACAGAGCAAGACTCCATCTAAAAAAAAAAAAAAAAAAAAAAAAAAGGCCGGGCACGTCGGCTCACACCTGTAATCCCAGCACTTTGGGAGGCCGAGGCAGGCGGATCACAAGGTCAGGAATTCGAGTCCAGCCTGACCAGCATGGTGAAACCCCGTCTCTACTAAAATTACAAAATTAGCCGCGTGTGGTGGCAGGTGCCTGTAGTCCCAGCTACTCGGGAGGCTGAGGCAGGAGAATCGCTTGAACCCGGGAGGCGGAGGTTGCAGTGATCCCAGATCGCTCCATTGCACTCCAGCCTGGGCGACAAGAGTGAGACTCCGTCTCAAAGAAAAAAAGAAGTCTGTGATCCACACTTATCAGTCCCCACACCCAGATCCTGACAGTTGCCCCCAGTATCACAGAATAGTGTAAGGCAAAGACTATGGAAACAAGAATGGTTTTGAGATACTTTGATTTGCAGCTGTGAGTGCAGTAGGATGTTGTGGCATAATGACAGGTGCTTTGTCCTGCCTCCTGATGTCATGCGGAGAGTCCTGCGTGAATACCATAGCTTCTAGGTCACCACCCCACGCTGCTCCGGGAGCCAAACATGCCACTGACATCCACAGCTCAGGCTGAATCAAGCTCCATCCGTCATCAGCAAACGCGTTCCCCTGAAGCGTGGCACCCTCATGCCTCCCTCCTCCTCTCCGTTCCATTATCTTCACTCCTCGTGTCTCAAAATATCTTTTTAATTGCTTATCAAATAGATAGTTATTGTATCATAAGATCTTCAAAGCCATTCCCCAGTCCCATCGAGTTGCACAGATGAACTTCTGGATGATGATATATCACAATGGATTATGCTAATCGGCTTGTTAATAGCTGCAATGCCGTTTCCCCCTAAGACCATTAACAACCCACCAGCCTCCTCGGACGGACTTGAGGATGTTTTATATGGCAGAGCACCAGCAGCCGTCATGACAGGGCCGGTAAATAATGGCAGACACGCTGAAAACTCAAGAAATACTCAGTTAAATTATTTATACATTAATCAAAAATACAGTGGTTAAACAATATCATTACTTCCACACGAATTGTTTTATGGATTTGTGATGAGTGACAGCTCTGAGTGCCCAAGGACCCTGCGGTTTCCCCGTCCTATTATTTGCTTCCCCCTGTGAAAGCCGGATTCCTCGGCCAGACGGCGTGACTGACCACAGCTTGTAAAGGAGGGAGAGCCTGGGGCCGTCCCTTTGTGTAAATTTTAGCATAAAAATACAGCTCGCCCGCTCCTGACTGAGGTCTTTGTGAGCAGTGGGGTCTCCTCTGGGTGAGATTTCATATGTGTGTAGCTCAGAGTTAGTCTTTGATCCAGTTTATACAACACCTTTTCCCAAAAGTGCTGCTAGTGATTTTACATCGTCTATCTATCCAGTATCTGTCTATCTTCTATCTACCTAAGTATGTATCTATTACCATCATCTATCTATCTATCTATCTATCTATCTATCTATCTATCTATCTATCTCTCATCCTCTATCTACCTAAGTATGTATCTATTACCATTATCTGTCTGTCTGTCTGTCTATCTATCTATCATCTTCTATCTACCTAAGTATGTAACTATTACCATTATCTATCGGTCTATCTATCTATCTATCTATCTCTCATCCTCTATCTACCTAAGTATGTATCTATTACCATTATCTGTCTATCTATCCATCTCTCATCCTCTATCTACCTAAGTATGTATCTATTACCATTATCTGTCTATCTATCTATCTATCTATCTATCTATCTATCTATCATCTATCTATCTCTCATCCTCTATCTACCTAAGTATCTATCTATTACCATTATCTGTCTGTCTGTCTGTCTATCTATCATCTTCTATCTACCTAAGTATGTATCTATTACCATTATCTATCGGTCTATCTATCTATCTATCTATCTATCTATCTCTCATCCTCTGTCTACCTAAGTATGTATCTATTACCATCATCTATCTATCTATCTATCTATCTATCTATCTATCTATCTATCTCTCATCCTCTATCTACCTAAGTATGTATCTATTACCATTATCTGTCTGTCTGTCTATCTATCTATCATCTTCTATCTACCTAAGTATGTATCTATTACCATTATCTATCGGTCTATCTATCTATCTATCTCTCATCCTCTATCTACCTAAGTATGTATCTATTACCATTATCTGTCTATCTATCTATCTATCTATCTATCTATCTATCTATCTATCTCTCATCCTCTATCTACCTAAGTATGTATCTACTACCATTATCTATCTATCTATCTATCTATGATATTCTATCTACCTAAGTATGTATCTACTACCATTATCTATCTATCTATGATATTCTATCTACCTAAGTATGTATCTATTACCATCATCTATCTATCTATCTATCTATCTATCTATCTATCTATCTATCTCTCATCCTCTATCTACCTAAGTATGTATCTATTACCATTATCTGTCTGTCTGTCTATCTATCTATCATCTTCTATCTACCTAAGTATGTATCTATTACCATTATCTGTCGGTCTATCTATCTATCTATCTATCTATCTATCTATCTATCTCTCATCCTCTATCTACCTAAGTATGTATCTACTACCATTATCTATCTATCTATGATATTCTATCTACCTAAGTATGTATCTATTACCATCATCTATCTATCTATCTATCTATCTATCTATCTCTCATCCTCTATCTACCTATGTATCTATTACCATCATCTATCTATCTATCTATCTATCTATCTATCTATCTATCTATCTCTCATCCTCTATCTACCTAAGTATGTATCTATTACCATTATCTGTCTGTCTGTCTATCTATCTATCATCTTCTATCTACCTAAGTATGTATCTATTACCATTATCTATCGGTCTATCTATCTATCTATCTATCTGTCTCTCATCCTCTATCTACCTAAGTATGTATCTATTACCATTATCTATCGGTCTATCTATCTGTCTATCTATCTCTCATCCTCTATCTACCTAAGTATGTACCTATTACGATTATCTGTCTATCTATCCATCTCTCATCCTCTATCTACCTAAGTATGTATCTATTACCGTTATCTGTCTATCTATCTATCTATCTATCTATCTCTCATCCTCTATCTACCTAAGTATGTATCTACTACCATTATCTATCTATCTATCTATGATATTCTATCTACCTAAGTATGTATCTACTACCATTATCTATCTATCTATGATATTCTATCTACCTAAGTATGTGTCTATTACCATCATCTATCTATCTATCTATCTATGTATCTATCTATCTATCTATCTATCTATCTATCTATCTATCTATCTCCCTCTATCTACCTAAGTATGTATCTATTACCATCATCTATCTATCATCTATCTATCTTCTATCTACCTAAGTATGTATCTATTACCATCATCTATCTATGTATCTATGTATCTATGTATCTATGAATCTATCTATCTATCTATCTATCTATCTATCTATCGTCTTCTATCTACCTATGTATCTATTACCATCATCTGTCTATCATCTATCTATCTATCTATCTATCCATCCATCCGTCTTATCAGTTCTGTCTCTCTAGAGAACCCTGACTAATACATCCAGGTTTCCTGGAAGCTTCCCATGTTCTTCTTCCATAATCTTGTGGGTCCCAAGTCAAAGATAATTTAAATATATAGAGGCAGTCCAAAATGGAACACTGCCCTGTTTATCCTCACAATTTACTACAAGGAGCAGGTGGTTTTGGGAAGCAATGGATGGACAGCCTCCTATCCATTGCTTTGGTAAGAAAGGGTTTCTTGTGCTAGGATGCTAGGGATGGCTGACCATGGCATGTAGCACTGGAGGCATGACAGCTACAACCACATTGATTGCTCACGTCTATGCACAGATGGGGGAAGAGGACCCTTTACAGCATGCATGTGAAGTTGCATTCTAGTACAATGAACCATCAGAAGCCATGAAAGGCAGGCTTTGTAGGAACAAGTGGGTGAGGTGGCTCCTGGTTCCTGCAGAAGAAGGTGATGGGCTTTTCTGGACAATTCCATAGGTTGGCAGGGAACTGAAACCACTACTCAGGGATGAGCAGAAATGGTCCCTCGTCCCCTTGCTAAGGAGGTCAATTTGTCTAGAGTATCTTTTTGTTTGTTTGTTTTTGTTTTTTTGAGACTGAGTCTCGCTCTGTCGCCCAGGCTGGAGTGCAGTGGTGCGATCTTGACTCACTGCAAGCTCCACCTCCCGGGTTCAGGCCATTCTCCTGCCTCAGCTTCCGGAGTAGCTGGGATTACAGGCGCCCGCCACCGCGCCCGCCTAATTTTTTTTTGTATTTTTAGTAGAGACGGGGTTTCACCGTGTTAGCCAGGATGGTCTCCATCTCCTGACCTCGTGATCCACCCACCTCGGCCTCCCAAAGTGTGGGGATTACAGGCCTGAGCCACCGCGCCCGGCCAGTGGCTAGAGTATCTTATCCGTGGGAGCAGAGTGTGGGGGAGACTTGTGACTATGCTGTGAGGAGTGGGTTTCCAGTAGCTGGAGAGAGAGCAGTCTAGGGGTGGAGATGTGGCCACCTGTCAGGACTATGGCCTTCAAGAGCCGGGTGAGGCCAGCTCCTGCCATCCCTGTAGGGAGTCATCCTGAGAAGCCAACTGTCAGACTGAAGGTGGCATCTCTGTTCCTGCCATCTTCCTGGGGCTTCCTATAGACCAAATCCAGGGACACAGGAGTCCCACACACCCTTACCCTATAAGTCAGCCTGCAGCCACAGAGCAGGACTAAGGTGACCCTGGCTCTGGAGGAGCCCCAGACACTGAGCAGCATGTTAAGCTGATTGATCAAGGACTGATTGATTGATTCATGATTGATTATGGCACAGTGCTACTGGTGATGCAGAGAAGAAAACTATACAGTTGGTGTAGGTAAATAAGTGGCTCTCAGATGATTTTTAGGGCCGTGAAGCTTCTGTGTATGTCCAAACCCATAGGATGTAGAACGCCAAGACTGACCTCAGTGTAAACTACGTACAATGCCAAGAGTGACCTCAGTGTCAACTATCACCTTTAGTGAATAATAATCAATATGGGTTTATCAATTGCAACGCATGTCCTCCCTGAATTCAAGATGTTAATAATAGCAGAAACTGCTGGGAGAAAAATGAAGGGGATATAGGGGAATTCTTTATTTTCTGCCCTCCCTTTCTCTGAAACCAAAACTGCTCTGAAAAAACAAATCTATGCATTAAACAGCATATAGTCATCCCCCTTAGAGGACCTATGATCTGTTGCGGAATCTGAGGATAAAGCAATGACAATATGCCATAATTTAACACCTGTTTGATGGCAACAGTCAAGGTTCAGAGAAACCATGGAGATAGCTCAAGCTCCAACAGGTGTCAGGAAGAATTTCCCTCAAGAGCTGCCCTGGGGAGGTGGCATGTGTTCCGTGAAGAGAAATCAGCCAACACATCTCAGAGAAAAGAATGATGCCTGGGCAACCTCCAGCATGGCGGGTGCCATCTTGAGACTGTCTTCCCAGAAGGATAGCTGGAGACAGCTCCCGTCTCTCAGTAGCCCGTCTTTGGTTTCATGCCTCGAGGTTCAGCAACCCACGCCTGAATATGTAAGGTGCTTCCTACTGATCGGGATCAGTAATTTGTACACCCCAGCAGTAGACTTGAGCAGCATAGATCAAATTGAGAAAGAGGCTTACATGAGAGAAGAAATTCTCCAAAGATCACAGCTCCCTCTTCATCATTACAATAATATCTCAGTCCTCACCTTCAAAGCGCTGGACAGACTCTGACTAATCAATTAAACATGCTCTTATCTTTTCTGATTGGAGTCCTGCTAGGCAGGTCAAACTGGCAGGGCCACGTTCCTCTGCAATGAACAGTCTTTAAAGGAAAGGCAGACGTGGATATATTCTGAATTTCCTCCTTTAAAAGCGATATCAGCACAGTGAAGTCTGTGTCTTAGAAGAACGAGATTCTGTATTGAGGTTTGCTGTTGTTTTATCGTTTTATTTTTTTTTCCTTTTCGGATAAACAGATGATTTTTGGAGAAACACATTCCCACTATAGGGCTGGAGATCCAAGAAGACAATAGGTTACCTTTTTTTGTTTGTTTTTGTTTTTTGTTTTTCATTTCATTTTCTTGGATTGGTTTTGCAAGCTACAGAATGTTGCTTGAACTTTCTCCCCAGTCTTAAAGTCTCTGCAGCACACCAAGCTAGTTGCTTTCTCTTGCTGGTTAGACAGGTTTCTCTCTAGAGTGTGGTGACACCACCTCGGCTGTTCAGCTATAGACACAAAAGCCGAATCAGTGACGGCAACCGTCCGTCCTCTCAGCCGAAAGTTAAGCCTTTTCTTGGTTGCTTTGTCATTTTCTGTTTGATGTTTCATATGGCAGAGCACCGCACGTAGTAGGTACCTAAATAGCTTCACAATGTAAAAATTCTCTGGTCTTTCAAAGAGCTGCAGACGCTACTTCTTCCAAAAGGGATAAATGTATATCTGTGTGTGCTGTTGTTTTTTTCCTAGAGATTGGAAAACGGCTTGATATAGTGTATCACACAAATTACAACGTAGATTTTTTTTTTTTTTTTTGAGACAGACTCTCACTCTGTCACCCAGGCTGGAATGCAGGGGCGAGATCTCGGCTCACTGCAACCTCCACCTCCCGGGTTCAAGTGATTCTCCTGCCTCAGCCTCCCGAGTAGCTGAGACTACAGGCGCCCGCCACCATGCCCAGCTAACTTTTTGTATTTTTGGTAGAGATGGGGTTTCACCGTGTTAGCCAGGATGGTCTCGATCTCCTGACCTCGTGATCTGCCTGCCTCGGCCTCACAAAGTGCTGGGATGACAGGGGCAAGCCACCGGGCCCAGCCAATATGCTCAATTTCTAACCGCGGTATCTGTGAAGGGGACTTTACTTGGGAATAGGATCTTTGCAGATGTAAACACTCATTTATGCCTAGTGTTCCAATAATGGAACACTAGGCTTGTGGAAGTTATTGATATCCTATGGCTGAAGGTCATCACCAAGCTCTGATTGCAAAAATTCAAAAAACTTGCAACCTTGGGAATAAGTGGGTTAAGATGTAAATGACTAGGAGGTCATACTGGGTTAGGGTGAACCTTCAATTTAATGACTAGACTTCTCATAAACAAGACGAGAGAGTTCGTAAAAACACACACAGCTATCAAGACCATGAAGGTGACGGCAGAGATTGGAAAGACGCGTCTGCAAACCAAAGATGGCTGGGATCACCAGAACATAAGAGAAAGGCATGAGGCCAGGTGCAGTGGCTCACGCCTGTCATCCCAGCACTTTGGGAGGCCCAGGCGGGCGGATCACGAGGTCGGGAGATCGAGACCATCCTGGCTAGCATGGTGAAACCCTGTCTCTACTAAAAATACAAAAAGTTAGCTGGGCACGGTAGCAGGTGCCTGTAGTCCCAGCTACTCGAGAGGCTGAGGCAGGAGAATGGCGTGAACCCAGGAGACAGAGCTTGCAGTGAGCCGAGATCGTGCCACTGCACTCCAGCCAGGGCGACAGAGAGAGACTCTGTCCCCCCTCCCCAAAAAAAAAAAAAAAAAGAGAAAGGCATGAAATGAATATGCCATCATAGTTTCCAGAAGCAATCAACCCCAGGGACCCCTTCCTTCCAGCCTTCTGGCCTCCTCAACAAGCAGAGAATCTTATTTCTGCTGCTTCAAGTCCCCCAGTTTGGGGTCCTTTTTTTATGGTAGGCCCAGGGGACTCTTACAGAGATATATGTTGAGGCCACAGTGCTGGGGGCAAATGCGGTGTCCTATTGGTGAAGACCCCCTGGGTTGGCCACGTCCTCACAGGTACGCTCTCGGAAAAAAAGCAGGGGCAGCATCCACACAGTCGTCAAAAGCCCCTCAAGGCAAGTCAGACAGTAACAAAGAAGGAAGCAAGCCGTCTGATCTCATTAAGGCTGAGAGAGGGAGCTTGTGATATCTGCAGGAGCACCCTCCAACGCCAGCCCGTTCCCCTCTTTTCTCTCACACAGTATGAATAAAAACATGAAATTAGTTTTATGTCCGGAGAACAACCCCTAAGCCACTTGTAACTTATAATTATGATTTCTAAGCTGTTTGACTTGTCAGCATCAAGAAATTCACAGCCCGAGACTTCCTGCAGTTTATGGGCTCCGACGTTCTGGGCTCGCTGCGGAAAATTAACCATGAGTCTCTCATCTGCATTCTGATTTATGAACTACGGTGAGAAGCAGAAATTAGGAAAATGGACTCCCAGCTGCTGGAGTTGCCAAAGAGTTGGCCGGGAAGGATCTGTGGACATGTGTGGTGACTTTTCCAAAAGAGCAGAGATGACCGTGGGCTGTGTTCACCTTCAACGCAGCACACACACCGTCGTTTCAGAGACAGACGATCTTTCCAGGTACCAAAAAGCACAGTCAGGAGATGGAATCACATGGAGAACATGCACCTGCCATACCCACCCTGATCTTAGCTATGGACCTTCAAGCCTCTAAGTCAGCCTGTGTGTAGAAATAGAAATATCACCCAGTTCTTACCCAGCTGATGAGACAGGGGGACTCACCATGCACCTGCCCTTTCTGGATGAAAGTCCTGTTGCCTCTGAGGTTTCTTAACGTTTCTATGTTATAGGATTTCTGCAAAATTTGGGGTGGTTAGCACGCTGTGGAGTGCCAGGTAGCACTGCTCAAGGCCTGTTGCTTACCTATGACATCCCCTAACAGCCTCCACCTGTGGGCCAGGTACGTGCATCGTCAGAACCAGGCTCGGCTACTCACCAGCGGATGACCCCAGGCCCATTGCCAGACCGTTTCTATTAGCTTCCTCTATAAAATGATAGCCTGGCACTCAGAAGATAACAAGACTCTGAGAAATCAGGTATCCATCCGTCCACCAATCATCTGCCACTTTCTCCCCGTCACCAGCATGAGAAACCCATAATAGATCAATGTTCTCCATAGCTTAGGGAATCTTAATGGCCTTTCTTCCTTCCTTCCTTCCTCTCTCCCTTCCTTCTTTCTTTCTTTTTCTCTTTCTTTTCTTTCTTCTTTCCTTTCTTTCTTCTTTCTTTTCTTCTTTCTTTCTTCTTTTCTTTCTCTCTCTCTTTCTTTTGTCCTTCCTTCCTTCCTTCTTTCCTTCCCTCCCTCCTTCACTCCCTCCCTCCCCCTTGCCTCCCTTCCACTTCCCTCTCTCCTTTCCTTCTTTCCTTCTTTCTTTGTTTCTTTCTTTCTTTTTCTTTCTTTCCTTCCTTCTTTCCTCCCTCCCTCCCTCTCTCTTTCTTTTTTCTTTCTTTCTTCTCTTTCTTTCTTTCCTTCTTTCTTTCTTTCTTCTTTCTTTCTTTCTTTCTTTCTTTCTTTCTTTCCTTCTTCTTTCTTTCTTTCTTTCTTTCTTTCTTTCTTCTTTCCTCTTTCTTTCTTTCTCTTTCTTTTTTCTCTTTCTTACTTCTTTCTTTCTTTTTCTTTCCTCTTTCTTTCTTTCCTTTTTTTTTTTTTCAGATGGAGTCTCACTCTGCCACCCAGGCTGGAGTGCAGGGGCATGATCTTGCCATGCCCGGCCAATTTCTGTATTTTTAGTAGAGATGGGGTTTCATCATGTTGGTCAGGCTGGTCTCAAACTCCTGAGGTCAGGTGATCCACCCGCCTCGGCCTCCCAAAGTGCTGGGATGACAGGCGTGAGCCACCGCGCCCGGCCAATGCCCTTGTTTTCCTGACAATGATTGTGCTTTCATTATTTCCTCTTGAGCTTTTTCATCTTATGGATTCCATGATGTCATTTCATCTTATTCACTCGATCATGAATGGATTGTTGAAAGAATGGTTGACACTTCGTGGAACATCCTTGGCTGAAATGTGCCGAACAAGCCACGTACTCACTCCTTCATTCAACAACCATTCATTGAAGACCTCAAAGAGGCGGCTTATTCAGGCACAGATAGGAATAGCAAAGCCATCTGGGCACAGTGGCTCACGCCTGTAATCCCAGCACTTTGGGAGGCCGAGGTGGGCGGATCACGAGGTCAGGAGTTCGAGACCAGCCTGACCAACACGATGAAACCCCGTCTCTACTAAAACTACAAAAATTAGCTGGGTGTGGTGGCGGGCGCCTGTAATCCCAGCTATTTGGGAGGCTGAGGCAGGAGAATCACTTGAACCGGGGAAGTGGAAGTTGCAGTGAGTCGAGATCGTGCCATTGCACTCCAGCCTGGGCGACAGAGCAAGACTCCATCTCAAAAAGAAAAAAATAAAAAAATCTTAGTTCATTCTATTTTATGAACGAAGCAGAAGATTTGCATCTGAACATTGCCCTGAAACAGCTCTCAACCTCGCTGCATATTCAAGCGTCTCTGAGATGGCCTTGGGTTGACCCGTGCTGTGAAAGGTTCTTGGTGCGGTCATCACTCCTGCAATGGAAACTTCACGCTGTGTGGCCCCCAGGGCCTCTGTCAGCTCTCCGTCCCTCCTCAGCTACAGAAGCCGGCTTCGTCTGACCCCCGCCCTGTGATCCCAGATCCCTGAGTCAACCTCACCCAGATTCCCTCTCCTGACGATTTTGAAATAGTCATAGAGATTCGTGGTTGCTTTGAAGAGTGAGACTATATTCTGTGTGTTTGGAAATGCGGGGTGGGGTCTTCCATCCACTGTGGGGATCAGAGAGAGAGAGAGAGAGAGAGCAGTGGCTGGATGGTTGGCAGGGGGTGGGGGAGAGGGGGAGATTGAACAAGAAGCAGGGCTGTGATCAAAGAGGAGAGATGACAGGCAACCAACCATCAGTCAACCCCTCTTCCAATAGTTCAGGGATGCAGATGGCAGAGACGGGCTGGGGCTGGAGGCTGAAGACAGCCTTCTCGGCCATGCTCTGTCCGCCATTCTCCTGGCCCCAGCCCCTTGCTGAGCAAACGTCTGCTCTCTGACTAAGCAGGCATCACCTGGTGTCTCCATTCAGTGCAATCTGATGACAATGTTTTGAAATGAGACAGTGGTGATGGTGGCCCAACATTGGGAATGGACTTCGTGGCACTGAACTTTGCATTTTAAAGTTGTTAAAAGGTAAATCTTATGTTATGTGTATTGTGCCATAATACAAAAGAGACATATAGATGGATGATAGATGATAGATAGATGTATAGATAAAATAGATGAGAGATACATAGATGATGGTGATACTTGATAGATAGATAGATAGATAGATAGATAGATAGATAGATAGATAGAAGATAGAGAGATACATAGATAGATAGAAGATAGGTGATGGTAATAGATACTTAGGTAGATAGATGATAGATAGATAGATAGATAGATGATAGATAGATAGATAGATGATAGACAGATGATGGTAATAGATACATACTTAGGTAGATAGAAGATGATAGGTAGGTAGATAGATAGATAGACAAATAGATAGATGATGGTAATAGATACTTAGATAGATAGATAGATAGATAGATAGATAGATAGATGATAGATAGATGATGGTAATAGATACATACATAGGTAGATAGAAGGTAGATAGAAGATAGATAGAAGATAGATAGATAGATAGATAGATAGATAGATAGATAGATAGATGATGGTAATAGATACATAGATAGATAGATAGATAGATAGATAGATAGATAGATGATAGATAGATGATGGTAATAGATACATACATAGGTAGATAGAAGGTAGATAGAAGATAGATAGAAGATAGATAGATAGATAGACAGATGATGGTAATAGATAGATAGATAGATAGATAGATAGATAGATAGATAGATGATAGATAGATGATGGTAATAGATACATACATAGGTAGATAGAAGGTAGATAGAAGATAGATAGATAGATAGATAGATGATGGTAATAGATAGGTAGATAGATAGATAAATAGATGATGGTAACAGATACATACTTAGGTAGATAGATATATAGATACATGATGGTAATAGATACATAGATAAGATGAATAGATAGATAAGACAGATATGTAGATGATTGATGATAGATAAATGAGATAGGTAGATGTATGACAAGTAGATGACAGGGAGATGATTAATACATCATACATTCATAGGATAGATAGTGTTTTTTTCTTTCTTTCTCTCTCGCCCTCTTTCTGTCCTTCTCTCCCTCCTTTCTTCTTTCTTCTTTTCCTCCTTTCTTTCCTTTCTTACTTGTCCCTCCTCCTGTCCTCCTTCCTTCTTTTCCTCCCTTTCTTCCTCTCTTCCTCCCTCCCTCCCTTTTATCTTTTCCCTCTCTCCTTTCTTCCTTCCTTCCTTCCTTCCTTCCTTCCTTCCTTCCTTCTTTCCTCCCTCCTCCATGAACCAGTTCAGGACCCCACAGAGCAGCAATGTCCAATGTACCAGAATGGATCTTGTGAGAGATTTCACGTTTTCTTGTTGTTGTTGTTTTCCTTAAAGAAAACCCTTAAGATACACTTCACTTTGGGCCCCACCAAACTGACATCCGCACTGCCAGCCCAGCACAGCTGATGTGTGTTAAGACCTCCTGTGACTGGAGACCATTGTGGGGGGAGGGGAGGGAAGGGAGGGGTAGGTCCTGGAAGAAGGGTGAGTGATGGATAGGCCTGACTCCCCAAGGAACATTTGCATGGTAAATGAGGCATGCTTGTTAGCAGCAGGGAGGTCCCACAGGGCCCCTGGCAGGTGCAGTAGGATATCCTCAGGCTGGCTGGGGCCAATGTGAGGCCTCTCCACCATTTTTCTCCCGCTGCCCACCCCAAACATTCCAAACCTCAGGCTGGAAGCAATGGCAGAGGTTTTTGTTTTACACACCTGGAAATTTCTCAAAGAACCGAAAACAGAACGACCCTTCCATGGAACAATTCCACTCCTGGTTATCTATCCAAAGGAAAAGAAGTCATTCTATCAAAAAGACACCTGCAGCAGGGCACGCGGGCTCATGCCTGTCGTCCCAGCACTTTGGGAGGCCGAGGCGGGCAGATCACCTGAGGTCAGGCGTTCGAGACCGAGACCAGCCTGGCCAACATGGTGAAACCCTGTTTCTTCTTAAAAAAAAAATACAAAAAGTAGACGGGCTTGCTGGCACACACTTGTAATCCCTGCTACTCGGGAGGCTGAAGCAGACGGATGAGAAGTTATTTAATGGGTACAATATACACTATTTGGGTGATGGATACACTAAAATCTCTGAGTTCACCATTCTGCAATCTACACATGCAACAAAATTGCACTTAAACCCCTAAAATCTATAAAAATTTCAAAATAGATCGGGCACAGTGGCTCATGCCTGTAATCCCAGCACTTTGGGAGGCCGAGGCAGGTGGATCACCTGAGGTCAGGAGATCAAGACCAGCCCAGTCTCTACCAAAAATACAAAAATTAGCTGGGCGTGGTGGTGCATGCTTGTCATCTCAGCTACTCCAGAGGCTGAGGCAGGAGAATTGCTTGAACCTGGGAGGCAGAGACTGCAGTGAGCTGAGATCATGCCATGGCACTGCAGAGATAGAATGAAACTGTGTCTCAAAAATAAATAAATAAATTAATTAAAACACGCTTGCAAACAAGTAAATACATATCTGGTAGTTGTCAGTTGGATAAAAACAAGATCCCCCTTGAGAATTGACCCGATTTACTGTTTTCCTGGATTTGACTGAGGTCAGGTGTCTGGTCAAGATGGAGCTTAGGGGAACCACAAAGCAAAGAGGCATTTCACCTGGATTTCTTCCCAGCCAGTCGTGCATATAGACACTGCATGTGTGTGTGTGTGTTTGCATGGCTGCACACACATGTGAGAGCTTGTGCACTGCGTGTGTGTGTGTTTGCATGACTGCACAGACACGTGAGAGCTTGTGCGTGGCCAGAGCAAGAATCTAGCAAAGAGAAAATTAGCCTGTGCCAACTCCCAGGCATAAAAGTTTAACCACACTGTGTGTGCGTGCACATGTGTGGATGTGTGTGCGTGTACATGTGTGCACATAGACATGAGTGCTTCTGCATGGCCACAGCAAGAAGCTAGCAAAGAATAAATCTGCATATGCCTTCTCCCAGGCACGCATGTGTATCCACACTGTGTGTGCATGTGTGTGCATGCATGTATATGCATGTTTGCATGACTGCACACATGTGAAAGCTTGTGCATGGCTGGAGTAACAATCTAGCAAAGACAAAATCTGCATATGCCACCTCCCAGGCACACATATGTAACCACACTGTGCGTGCATGCACGTGTGTGGATGTGTGTGTGTGCGCATGTGTGCATGAGTGCACACACACGTGAGAGCTTGTGCATGGCCACAGCAAGAATCTAGCAAAGAAAAATCTGCATATGCCTCCTCTCAGGCATGCATGTGTATGCACACTGTGTGTGCATGTGTGTGTGTGTATGTTTGCATGACTGCACACTTGTGAGAGCTTGTGCATGCCTGGAGCAAGAATCTAGCAGACAAGAAATCTGTATATGCCTCTTCCTAAGACTGCATGTGTAATCACACTTTGCATGCACATGTGTGCATATGTGTGTGAGTGTGCATGTGTGCATGAGTGCACACACACGTGAGAGTTTGTGCATGGCCACTGCAAGAAGCTAGCAAAGAATAAATCTGCATATGCCTCCTCCCAGGCATGCATGTGTATGCACACTGTGTGTGCATGCATGTATGTGCATGTTTGTATGAGTGCACACATGTGAGAGTTTGTGCATGGCCACAGCAAGAAGCTAGCAAAGAAGAAATCTGCGTATGCCTTCTCCCAGGCATGCATGTGTATCCACACTGTGTGTGCATGTGTGTGTGTGCATGTGTGTGCATGTTTGCATGACTGCACACATGTGAAAGCTTGTGCATGGCTGGAGTAACAATCTAGCAAAGACAAAACCTGAATATGCCACCTCCCAGGCACGCATGTGTAACCACACTGTGTGTACGTGTGTGTGTGCATTCATGTATGTTCTTATGCACGCATGAGATGGCACACACACCAGGAACAAAAGAACCCTGCAGACAGAAGCCCACAGCCCACAGAGACGTTCAACAAATAGCCCCCAACCCACTCATTGCCACTGCCGTACAAATCAACTCCTGGGATCCGCCACCCCCCTCCCCGCTTCTTCCAACGGGACAAGGTCAAATGCTGTGTCCTCGTGGGCTATAAATGTGCTTTCTACAGAGCTGGCTTGCTCCCAGCCCGCCTAATGAACGCCTACCTGACATTTGTTTTCACAACGGCAAGCATCGCAATGTTCCTCACTCTAATCCCCTGCCTAATTCAATCTTTCTGCAGATCAAAATGCGCACACGGGTCCTGACAGATCTCTCAGTCACTTTCCATGAAGGACAGGGCTGCAGCCCTATATCAATTTGCCATTACACGGTCAGCCAGGGCCCGGGGAAAGGACAGGGCCTTTTCTGGCTGTCTTCCCAACGTCTCCCCCTGCTTTCTTTTCCATAATTCCTTTTTTCTTTTCTCCTTTCTTCTTTGTTTCTTTTCTTTCTCTTCTTTCTCTCCTTCCTTCCTTTTCTTTCTTTCTCTTTTCTTTCTTTCTTTCTCTTTCTTTCTTTCTTTCTTTCTTTCTTTCTTTCTTTCTTTCTTTCTTTCTTTCTTTCTTTCTTTCTTTCTTTTTTCCTTCTTTCTTTCTTTTTTTCTTTCCTTCTTCTTTCTCAGGGTCTTGCTCTGTCACCCAGGCTGGACTGCAGGGAAATGATCCTGGCTGCCTCACTGCAGCCTCCAACTCCTGGGCTTAAGTCATCCTTCTGCCTCAACTGAGTAAGAAGCTGGAACTACAGGTGCATGCCACCATGCCCGGATGTTTTTTAAAAAATTTTTATACAAAAAAAAAAAAATTAGCCAGGCATGGTGGTGGGCGCCTGTAGTCCCAGCTACTCAGGAGGCTGAGGCAGGAGAATGGCGTGAACCCGGGAGGTGGAGCTTGCAGTGAGCCAAGATCGCGCCACTGCAATCCAGCCTGAGTGACAGAGCGGTACTCCGTCTCAAAAAAAAAAAAAAAAAAAAAAAATTATAGACATGGGATCTTGCTATGTTTTCCAGGCTGCTCTCACACTCCAAGGCTCAAGCATTTTTTCTGCCTTAACTGCCTGAGCAGCTGGAACTACAGGTTTGTGCTACCATGCCTGGATAATTTTTAAAATTTTTTTATAGACATTAGGTCTTGTGATGTTTCCCAGGCTTGTCTGGAACTCCTGGGCTAAAGCAATCCTCCTGCCTTAACTGCCTGAGTAGCTGGGACTACAGGTTTGTGCTACCATGCCTGGATAATTTTTAAAATTTTTTTATAGACATGAGGTCTTGTGATGTTTCCCAGGCTTGTCTGGAACTCCTGGGCTAAAGCAATCCTCCCGCCTTAACTGCCTGAGTAGCTGGGACTACAAGTGCATGCCACCATGCCTGGGTAATTTTTTTTATAGCGATGGGGTCTTGCTATGTTGTCTAGGCTGGTCTCAAACTCCTGGGCTCAAGAGATCCTCCCACCTCAACTTTCCTTATAGCTGGAACCATAGACACTCACCACCATGCCCTGCTCATTTTAAAAAATATTTTGTGGCCGGGTGTCGTGGCTCACGCCTGTAATCCCAGCACTTTGGGAGGCCGAGGTGGGTGGATCACGAGGTCAGGAGATGGAGACCATCCTGGCTAACACAGTGAAACCCCGTCTCTACTAAAAATACAAAAAAATTAGCCGGGCGTGGTGGCGGGCACCTGTAGTCCCAGCTACTCGGGAGGCTGAGGCAGGAGAAAGGCGTGAACCCGGGAGGCGGAGCTTGCAGTGAGCCGAGATTGTGCCATTGCACTCCAGCCTGGGCGACAGAGCGAGACTCAGTGTCAAAAAATAAAATATATATATATATATATATATATATATATATATATATATATATTGTAGAGATGGAGTCTCCCTGTGTTGCCCAGGCTGGTGTCAAACTCCTGGAATCAAGTGATCCTCCCGCCTCGGTCTCCCAAAGTGTTGGGATGACAAGCGGGAGCCACCATACCCAACCTCCAAAGTTTTTTATTTTGTGTGTCTTCTGTCTGCCCCTTTCTTTCTCTCTTCCTCTCTCCAGCAGCAAATGTCTCATGTTTTTGTATTATTTTTATTATTTTGTTTATAAAATTGAGTTACAGCTTCACAATGGACCCCTCCCTGTGTTGGTTTGTCTTATTAATGGTGACTGAGTAAAACCCACCTGGCATGACAGGTGCCTGCCACCACACCTGGCTAATTTTTGTATTTTTAGTAGACACGGAGTTTCACCATGTTGGTCAGGCTGGTCTCAAACTCCTGACCCTGTGACCCACCCACCTCAGCCTCCCAAAGTGCTGGGATTACAGCCGTGAGCCACTGCACCCGGCCAAAAAAATACATTTTAGGGTAAAATATTTAGATTTCCTCCAGGTCCTGCTCTGTGTCACATAAGGGTACACCAGAGTCAGGCAGGAATTTGGTATCTTATTGCTGCCAAGAGTATGTTCTTGTGTCTTATGACCCCCTTTTTTAACCTTTATTTACCTTTTTTCAACATTAATGGTCAGCTGGGCCTAAACTCCAAGGGTGCCAGGTATAACAAGTGCTATCTGATCTCCATTTTCATCATGGCCAGCATATTAATCAGGGTTGGCTAGAGGGACAGAACTAATAGGATTGATTAATATATAAAAGCGAGTTTATTGGCCAGGTGCAATGGCTCACGCCTGTCATCCCTGCACTTTGGGAGGCTGAGACAGGTGGATCACCTGAAGTCAGGAGTTCGAGACCAACCTGACCAACATGGAGAAACCCCGTCTCTACTATAAATACAAAAAAATTAGGTGGGCGCGGTGGCACATGCCTGTAATCCCTGCACTTTGGGAGGCTGAGGCGGGTGGATCACAAGGTCAGGAGTTCGAGACCAGCCTGACCAACATGGTGAAACCCCATCTCTACTAAAAATACAAAAAATTAGCTGGGCGTGGTGGCAGGCGCCTGTAATCCCAGGTACTCCAGAGGCTGAGGCAGGAGAATCGCTTGAACCCAAGAGGCAGAGCTTGCAGTGAGCCGAGATTGCACCACTGCACTCAAGCCTGGCAACAGAGTGAGACTCCGTCTCAAAATAAAATAAAGGGGATTTTATTAGGAGAATTGACTCACCCCATCACAAGGTGAAAATCCCACAACAGGCCATCTGCAAGTTGAGAAGCCAGAAAGCCAGTGGTGAATCCCGTCCACATCCCAAAACATCAAAAGCAGGGAGGCCAACAGGGCAGACTTCGAGACCATCCTGGCTAACACGCTGAAACCCCGTCTCTACTAAAAATACAAAAAATTAGCCGTGCTTGGTGGCGGGTGCCTGTAGTCCCAGGTACTCAGGAGGCTGAGGCAGGAGAATCACTTGAACCTGGGAGGCGGAGCTTGCAGTGAGCCGAGATCGTGCCACTGCACTCCAGCCTGGGTGACAAGAGTCCCTGGCAAACCAGTGGTGCACATCCAATAGTCTAAAAACTGATGGAGCGTGATGGAGTCTATGGTCAAAGGCAGGAAGCATCCAGCGTGGGAGAAAGATGGAGGCCGGAAGACTCAGCCAGTCTAGTCCTCCCACCAACCTCTGCCTGCTTCTATCCTAGCCCAGCTGGCAGCTGATGGGATGGTGCCCACCCAGAGAGAAGGTGGGTCTGCCTCTCTCAGTCCACTGGCTCCAGTGTGAATATCCTTTGGCAAGAACCTCACAGACACAGCCTCAATGAATACTTTGCATTCTTCAATCCAATCAAGTTGACACTCAATATTCACCATCCCAGCCAGGAATCTAGTTTTTCTCTGGAGTCTCCTTGGTTAAGAGAGGGTCAGTTCAGGCCAGGCGTGGTGACTCAGACCTGTAATCCCAGCACTTTGGGAGGCCGAGGCGGGCGGATCATGAGGTCAAGAGTCCAAGACCAGCCTGACCAACATGGTGAAACCCCATCTCTACCAAAAATACAAAAATTAGCTGAGCGTGGTGGCATGTGCCAGTAGTCCCAGCTACTGGGGAGGCTGAGGCAGGAGAATCCCTTGAACCCGGGAGGCGGAGCTTGCAGCGAGCCGAGATTGTGCCACTGCACTCCAGCCTGGGTGACAGAGCAAGACTCTATCTCAAAAAAAAAAAGGTTCAATGGGTTCAAACCCTTAAGATTTCATTTTTGGCTTACACGATGACACAGAATATATTCCATCTTTAGAGAACTTCCAAGGTAATAATGCACAAATGCCTCATTCCCCTCCATCATCTGGATGTCACAATGTCTCTCACTCCACTTTTTGTCTTCCTCTTTTGTTTGTGTCTCTTCTTTTCTGCCCCTGTTTTCAGACTTATAATTAGACTGAAAACTTCTAATGCCATTTATGTATCCTCAAAAGTGATCCAAACACCTAAAACGACTGATATTCTGCCAGGCTCATCAAAGGAAAGATAATTCATGTTGGGGTTATACATTTTTCTTTTAATGATTTGATAACCATTTATGGATTAAGATTCAAAAGAATAATGACAATAAAAATCTTTTGCAGAATTCTTCTTAATTATAGAAAAAGTACTTCATAAATATTGAAATCTGTTCTTATCTGCGAATGCCCTGATTTTTCTATACTTGGACACACTCCGAACGCAATTATTTGGTGATTAATCTATTTTTTAAACTTTCTGTTCATTAGTCGTTTGATGAAAGTTTATCTAGGCAAAGATCACACAGAGTTAGTGTATAAGGAGAATAGAATATAGATCATCGTATGAACGGAAAAGGAAGACAAGAAAATGGCCTCATGCTGGCCTACTAAGGCTATATCTTTAGGGGACAAATGAATTCTCAATTTAGCATTTTGGCCACCTTCATTTTCCATCAGGAGGGATGAACACAGCTGACTCATTCATCATATAACCCCATTCATTTTCTTTCTTTCTAAAGCACTTATAAAATATAAATAGATAATGATATGTTGATAATGTAGAAAGAACAACCATTTATAATATATAATATATGATGTTATGGGTTGAAGAGGGGAATAATATATAATATTTAATGTTACAGGTTGAATAGGGGGCTCTCCAAAAAAAAAAAAATGTTGAACTCCAAAGCCCTACAACTAGGCAACGTCGTCTTATTTGGAAAGACA
The DNA here is from genome assembly GCF_000001405.40 of Homo sapiens. Lineage (NCBI taxonomy): Eukaryota > Metazoa > Chordata > Mammalia > Primates > Hominidae > Homo > Homo sapiens. Next base: position 762,457 of record NC_000024.10, on the reverse strand, counting down.
GTCTTTACCAATGCAGTTAAGTTAGAATGACATCATTCTGGATTAGGGTGGATCCTAAATGCAATGACAGGTGTCCTTCTAAGAGACAGAAGAGGAGACACAGACACAGAGGAGAAGGCCACGTGGAGACAGAGGCAGAGACTGGAGTGATGGGGCCTCAAGCCCAGGGATGCCTGGAGCCCCCAGGAGCTGGGAGAGGCAGGAAGGACCCTCCCCTAGAGCCTCCAGGAAGAACAAAACACAACTGCAATGGGTTGGGTGGTGACGTCCAAAAGATATGTCCATGTCCTAAGCCCAGGAACCTGGGAATGGGACCTCATTTGGAAAAAGGTTATTTGTAGATGTAATTAAGGATCTGGAGATGAGATAATCCTGGATTAGGATGGGCCCTAAATGCAATGGTAAATGTCCTTCTAAGAGACAGAAGAGGAGACACAGACACAGAGGAGAAGGCCACGTGGAGACGGAGGCAGAGACTGGAGTGAGGCGGCCACAAGCCAGGGATGCCTGGAGCACCCAGGAGCTGGGAGAGGCAGGAAGGACCCTCCCCTAGAGACTGTGGAGGGAGCACGGCCCTGAGATATCTTCATCTCAGAGTCATGGTCTCCAGGACAGAGAGAGAATAAATTTCTGTAGTTTTAAGCTCCCAGTATCTGTGAACGAGAACTTATTTGAAAATAGGGTCTTTGCAGATACAGTGAACTGAAGGAGTTTGAGATGAGGTTATCCTGGATTAGGCTGGGCCCTAAATGCAATGACAGGTGTCCTTCTAAGAGACAGAAGAGGAGACACAGACACAGAGGAGAAGGTCACATGGAGATGGAGGCAGAGACTGGAGTGATGAGGCCACAAGCCCAGGGACGCCTGGACCCCCCAGGAGCTGGGAGTGGCAGGAAGCATCCTCCCCTAAAGCCTGCAGAGGAAGTGCAATCCTGAGACACCTTCATCTCAAACTTCTGATCTCCAGAACAGAGAATATAAATATTTGTTGTTTAAGCTCCCCAGACTGTGGAAGGATGAGGGGTGGGGTGGAGAGAGGAAGAAGAACAAAAAAACAAGAAGAAGGAGAAGGAAAAGGAGGAGGAGAAGGAGGAGGAGGAGAAGGAGAAGTACGGGGAGAAGGAGGAGGAGGAGTAGGAGGAGGAGGAGAAGGAGGAGAAGGAGAAGGACAAGGAGGAGGAGGAGAAGGATGAGAAGGAGGAGGAGAAGGATGAGGAGGAGGAGAAGGAGGAGGAGGAGAAGGAGGAGAAGGAGAAGGACGAGGAGGAGGAGGAGAAGGATGAGAAGGAGGAGGAGAAGGATGAGGAGGAGGAGAAGGAGGAGGAGGAGAAGGATGAGGAGAAGGAAGAGGAGGAGAAAGAAGAGGAGGAGGAGGAGGGAAGGACGAGGAGAAGGAGAAGGAGGAGGAGAAGGAGAAGGACGAGGAGAAGGAGGAGGAGAAGGAAGAGGAGGAGAAAGAAGAGGAGGAGGAGGAGAAGGAGGAGAAGGAGGAGGAGGGAAGGACAAGGAGAAGGAGGAAAAGGAGGAAAAGGAGGAAGAGGAGGAGGAGGAGGAGAAGGAGAAGGAGGAGAAGAAGAAGAAGAAGAAGAGAGAGAAAGAGCCACATATGAGCTGGAGAGGGAACTACAGGGAGAGGCACCCACCACGTCCAGCACCTGGAGGCTGGAAAGAGCTAAGAGTGTTAGGGACATGGAAAAAGGAGCTGCAGAGTGGGCACACTGTGGGTGGGAGCCTGAGAAGTTTGCTACATCCCCATATCTGGGGCTCAAAGTCCAGGGTGGATTTATTCCATGTCCCGGGGAAGAAACAGAAGAAATTGAAGGTGAAGGTTGGAGATGGCGCTGGGCAGGTGAGCCCCAAATTGGGGCTTAGCCTGGAAGGGTTTTTGGTCTCATCTAGAAAATAACTCAAGAGTGAGCTGGTGGTGTTAGACACCAACTTTTTTTTATTATTATTATACTTTAAGTTCTGGGGTACATGGGCAGAAAGTGCAGTTTTGTTACATAAGTATACACATGACATGGCGGCTTGCTGCACCCACCAACCCATGATCTACATTAGGTATTTCTTCTAATGATATCCCTCCCCTAACCCCCCATCCCCTGACAGGCCCCAGTGTGTGATGTTCCCTTCCCTGTGTCCATGTGTTCTCATTGTTCAACTCCCACTTATGAGTGAGAACATGCAGTGTTTGGTTTCTGTTCCTATGTTAGTTTGCTGAGAATGATGGTTTCCAGCTTCATCCATGTCCCTGTAAAGGACATGAACTCATTCTTTTTGATGGCCACATAGTATTCCATGGTGTCTATGTGCCACATTTTCTTCATCCAGTCTATCATTGATGGGCATTTAGGTTGGTTCCAAGTCTTTGCTATTGTGAACAGTGCCGCAATAAAGACACGCATGCATGCGTGTTTATAGTGGAATGATTTATAATCCTTTGGGTGTGTACCCAGTCATGGGATTGCTGGGTCAAATGCTATTTCTGGTTCTAGATCCTTGAGGAATTGCCACGCTGTCTTCCACGGTGGTTGAACTAATTGACAGTCCCACCAACTGTTATGAAGTGGCAGTTCACAGCAGCAGCAGAGGTGCTGGTCTTTGCAGAGCAGGCTTACCCATGGGCACTGAGTCCAGAGTAGCAGCTCAGAGGCAGTTCCACAATCATATTTATCAATGCTTCCAATTACATGCAAATTAAGGGGCAGGTTTTGCAGTAATTTCTAGAAAAAAAATATACCCCCTTCTGGGTCATTGGGTCATTGCCATGGAAAGGAGCAGTAACATCTGGGTGTTGTCATGGAAATGGGACCAGGTGGGTGTGTCTTATTGTATTTGTAGCATGACATGGTACTGGTGGGTGTGTCCTTTCGTATTTGTCTGTTCTCATGCTGCCAATAAAGACATATCCAAGACTGCATAATTTATACAGGAAAGAGGTTTAATGGACTTACACTTCCACTTGGCTGGGGAAACCTCACGATCATCGCGCAAGAGCAAGGGACTTCTTACATGGCGGCAGGCAAGAAGAGAATGAGAACCACATGAAACAGATTTACCCTTCTAAAACCATCAGATCTCATGAGACTTATTCACTTCCACAAGAACAGTATGGGGGAACTGCCTCCATGATGAAATTATCTTCCACAACACATGGGAATTATGGGAGCTACAATTCGAGATGAGATTTGGGTAGGGACACAGCCAAACCACATCACTAATGGAGAGCTGCTTCTGCCCTAGACCTGCTTTAGCTAGTCCTCAACCTGGTCCAGTGTCTTAGCCCTGCCTCTGCGGTCATGTCCTGCTTCCTACCTTAGAGGCATGAGAATGACGTAATTTGACTTCAAAGAATATTAGCTGCTACGTGGAGAATGACTGGAAGAAGTCAAGGATGGGAGTTGAGGAGCACTTTGGGAAGCTGCCGTCTCGGTAGAGAGCATGTGGTGGCTGAAGCTTCAATGAGGGTAGCAGCATCCCAGGGAGAAGGGGAGGGAAAGCTAATGTGGACCTTTAATAATGCTTCTAGCTGCAGCCTCTACCTGAGATCATCTGTATCTGAGTCCTACACACTTCATTCTCAGCATTGTCTGGGTGTGCACGGTTCTACATTCACCCTGGGTGAAGACATCTATGACCCATAGGGAAGATCACCTGGATGCTTTCTTTTTTCTTTTTCTTTTCGTTTTTTTGTTTTTAAGACTGAATCTCACCAGGCGCAGTGGCTCACGCCTGTCATCCCAGCACTTTGGGAGGCACAGGTGGGCAGATCACAAGGTCAGGAGATCAAGACCATCCTAGCTGACACGGTAAAACCCCATCTCTACTAAAAGTACAAAAAATTAGCCGGGCTTGGTGGTGGGCACCTTTAGTCCCAGCTACTTGGGAGGCTGAGGCAGGAGAATGGCGTGAACCCGGGAGGTGGAGGTTGCAGTGAGCCGAGATCGCGCCACTGCACTCCAGCTGGGGGACAGAGTGAGATTCTGTCTCAAAAAAACAAAAACAAAAACAAAAACAAAAAAACAAAACTGAATCTCACTCTGTTGCTCAGGCTGGAGTACACTGACATGATCTCAGCTCACTGAAACCTCCACCTCCTGGGTTCAAGCAATTCTCTTGCCTCAACCTCCCCAGTAGCTGGGACTGCAGGTGCACACCACCAATCCCAGCTCATTTTTTTTTGTATTTTTAGTAGAGACAGGGTTTCACCATGTTGTCCAGGCTGGTCTTGATCTCCTAGCCTCAAGTGATCCACCCACCTCGGCCTCCCAAAGTGCTGGGATCAAGGTATGAGCCACTGCACCCAGCCAAAGATGCTTTAAGGTCGAGGTAACAAGGACTGTATCTACATATGATAAACCCAAGAATACTCCCTGGAAACTGGGCCAAAGAATCCATCATGGGAAGGATGTGATGTGGCCCCAGCAAAACATGGCTGGGTTTTTGTTGTACTCAGGTGAAGTTTCGGTTGTGAGCCATACCAGGAAAAGATATGGAGACATCAGATCTCATGCAGAGGAGGACAGGTCAAGTGTATTGAGTCCCTAGTCCTGTGTAGGATCTGGGCTGATGACGCCCTCCTCACCTTATAGATTCCTCACAACAGGGAGATTCCAGAAAACAGCCTTAGATATCAGCAAACTTCCCTTGACAATGTACTATATCACTCTCACCCTACAAAGTCCCTTTTGGTGACAGACACACTTAAGGTCATCTCCATGAACCATGGCAAAATAAGTGGTTAAATTTTCTCAGATGCGTTTCTGCTACCTTGATATGGATGTAGGTTGAGTACCCTAATCTCACTAAATGCTGTCTAGAGAGTGAATCTCCACAACTTTCATCTGCATAAGAAAGATATCTTATGATATGCTAATGATAAAGGTGGAATCCTTAATGAGTATTACAATTAAGGACAAATAATTAAATGCTTACCTTTTTTGGATTCTTTGAACATCAGCCTCAAAGCTGTCTGCACTGATAAAATATGGCATAGAAAAGACAGCTAGTTCTTCTCTTCCTGATATTTTGGCTTCAGTGACTATTTTGGGGGGCTCTGGGACTGTCCAACTCTACAGTGTTGTGGCCAAATTGGAAGAGTGGAATGAAAATGCAGGCTCTGGGCTGATGAGACCATTTTCACTTCATCTATTCCTCACACAGGGAAGGACAGGTCAAGTGTATTGAGGTCCTGATCCTGTGGAGGCTCTGGGCTGGTGAGACCTTTCTCATTTCATATATTCCTCACATGAGGAAGGAGAGGCCAAGCATATTGAGGTCCTTGTCTGGTGCAGGCTCTGGGCTAATGAGAACCTCTCACTTCATATCTTCCTCACACAGGGAAGGAGGGGCCAAGTGTATTGAGGTCCTGGTCCTGTGCAGGCTCTGGGCTGGTGACACCCTCGTGTCTTCATCTATTCCTCACATGAGGAGGGAGAAGTCAAGTGTATCGAGGTCCTAGTCATGTGTAGGTTCTGTGCTGGTGACACCCTCATCACTTCATGTATTCCTCACACAGGGAAAGAGTGGTCAAGTGTATTGAGGTCCTGGTCCTGGGCAGGCTCTGGGGTGGTGACACCCTCCTCACTTCATGTATTCTTCACACAGGGAAAGAGTGGTCAAGTGTATTGAGGTCCTGGTCCTGGGCAGGCTCTGGAGTGGTGACACCCTCATGACTTCATCTATTCCCCAGATGGGGAAGGAGAAGTCAAGTGTATTGAAGTCCTAGTCATGTGCAGGCTCTGGGCTGATGACACCCTCGTGACTTCATATATTCCTCACACAGGGAAAGAGTGTTAAAGTGTATTGAGGTCCTCATCCTGTGCAGACTGTGGGCTGGTGACACCCTCGTGACTTCATCTATTCCTCACATGGGGAAGGAGAAGTCAAGTGTATTGAGGTCCTGGTCCTGTGGAGGTTGTGGGCTGATGAGACCCTCGTCACTTCATCTATTCCTCACATGAGGAGGGAGAAGTCAAGTGTATTGAGGTCCTAGTCATGTGTAGGCTCTGGGCTGGAGACACACTTGTCACTTCATATATTCCTCACACAGGGAAAGAGTGGACAAGTGTATTGAGGTCCTCATCCTGTGCAGGCTCTGGGCTGGTGAGATTCCTCCTCACTTCATATATTCCTCACACAGGGAAAGAACGGTCAAGTGTGTTGAGGTCCTAGTCCTGTGCAGGTTCTGAGCTGGTGAGACTCCCCCTCATTTCATGGGTTCCTCACTCAGGGAATGAGAGGTCAAGTGCATTGAAGTCCTGGTCCTGTGCAGGCTGTGGGCTGGTGACACCCTTTCTACTTCATGAACTCATCACAGCAAGGAAGCAGTCTATTAAGGTAAAGTGTATTAAGTTCATAGTCCTGTACAGGTTGACCTGACCCTGTTTATATCATTTACTTCTCACAGATGACTTTATCAACCCTGGGTCACCTACGGTCCTGGGATTAACTCCACTACGGGTTGTTCCTTTCACCTCTCTACACCCTCAGAACACCTACCCCTGCTCTTCTCAATGACAGAGGAATTTCAGAGGCAGTTCAGCCACCAATAATCCATACACAAACAAGGTGACCTTTCAACTTCTTACATGTAATACCTTGAAGAAGAATGGAATTAATTATATTTCAGTGAAAATGACATTGTCCTGGACACTGTAAAAGTAGGCTGGGTGCAGCGGCTCACGCCTGTAATCCCAGCATTTTGGGAGGCCGAGGTGGGTGGATCATTTGAGGTCAGGAGTTCGAGACCAGCCTGGCCAACATGGTGAAACCCCATCTCTACTAAAAATACAAAAGTTAGCTCGACATAATGGTGCACACCTGTAATCCCAGCTACTTGGGAGGCTGAGGCAGGAGAATGGCGTGAACCCGGGAGATGGAGGTTGCAGTGAGCCAAGATCGTGCCACTGCACTCCTGCCTGGGCAACAGAGCTAGACTCCGTCTCAAAAAAAAAAAAAAAAAAAAAAAAAAAAAAAAAAAAGAATTGCCACTTGCCACTCCTGCGTATGACATTTTTTTGTTTTGTTTTTTTTTTTTTTGAGACAGAGTCTCACTCAGTCCCACAGGCTAGAGTGCAGTGGTGCGATCTTGGCTCACTGCAAGCTCCACTCCCAGGTTCACACCATTCTCCTGCCTTAACCTCCTGAGTAGCTGGGACTACAGGTGCCCGCCACCACGCCCAGCTAATTTTTTGTATTAGTAGAGATGGGGTTTCACCGTGTTAGCCAGGATGGTCCCAATCTCCTGACCTCGTGATCCGCCCGCCTCGGCCTCCCAAAGTGCCGGATTACAGGCATCAGCCACCCCACCCGGCCTGTCCACTGTTATCTAAACAGACTCACAGCTGCTTTTGAGCACCCTGCCCTATAGCAAAATCAAACAAACAAAAAATAATCCATCTCTAAATGCTATTCTAACCCATCTCTAAATTCTATTCTATCTGTCCTGCCTACAGGTAGAATATAATTTAGACCCAGGCTGGGTGCAGTGGTTCACGCCTGTTAGTCCCAGCACTTTGAGAGCCCGAGACAGGTGGATTGCTTGAACCCAGCCTGAATGACACACACAAAAACACCCAACTCTACCAAAAATACAAAACTTAGCCAGGCGTGGTGGCGGGCACCTGTGATCCCAGCTACTCAGGAGGCTGAGGCAGGAGCCCAGGGGGCAGAGGTTGCAATGAGCCGAGGCTGTACCACGGCAGTCCAGCCAGAGTGATAGAGCGAGGCCCTGCCTCAAAAAGAAAAAAAAAAGGAAAAAAGAATAGAATTTAGGCCTGGACAGACACTCTGTCCAGGTCTAAATGTCTACTCTTCCAACTGTAGAGTTGAGGGTACTTTTTGTACCACTCAGCCTGGATTCAAGCAATGCACCTGCCTCAGCCTCCCAAAGTGCTGGGACTGCAGGCATGAACCACTGCACCCAGCCTGGGTCTAAATTCTATTCTATCTGTCCTCCCTACAGTTACAATCAAAGTTAGAGATGGGTTACAATAGAACTTGGAGGCCGGGCGTGGTGGCTCACGCCTGTCATCCCAGCACTTTGGGAGGCCGAGGCGGGCGGATCACTTGAGGTCGGAAGTTCAAGATCAGCCTGGTCAACATGGCGAAAACCCGTCTCTACTAAAAATACCAAAAATTAGCCGGGCCTGGTGGTGGGCGCCTGTAGTCCCAGGTACTCGGGAGGCTGAGGCAGGAGAATTGCTTGAACCCGGGAGGCGGAGGTTGCAGTGAGCCGAGATCGCACCACTGCACTCCAGCCTGGGGGACAGAGAGTGAGACTCTGCCTCAAAAAATAATAATAATAATAAAAATATAGAATTTGGAGGTGGGTCATTTTCTCCAGGGCAGCTAGTCAAGCTGGTAGATACTGCTAGCTCGGCCTCGAGGTAGTTCAGGAGCTGGCAGTTAAGTCTCAGCTCCTGGACCGGGATGTAACCCCCTCTTAGTCCTGGTGTTCGGTCTCAGCTCCTGGCTGAGTTAATTGCTAGCAGGTTTACGAAGCATCTAATTGAACTGGACATCTCCGTGAGCTCTAACCGCCAGGCCGTTGCAAGACGTCCCGGACATAAGGCAGCCTGCAGGTTATTTAGTACGTGTGAGGACTTTGCATTTTTCTTTACCTTCCATGTGAAAATAGTTAACCGCAGTGAAACGTCCCAGCCCTGCACTTTGCAAAATGGTGAAATTAAGTTTTCCACGGAGCAGCCCGGGAAACAGAGTCTTCATTGATTCCGCAGAAAGAAACTTGTTCGTATTCAACAACGATAACCTTTTAGAAGGTTTCGAAAGCAAATCTGACACCCCATTAAAAGGCAAATGATTTTTTTTTCTCTCCACACAAGAAAAAGAAACGTTTAAAACACAGAAGGCTATTAATAAATAATGGGGCTCTTTTTTTTTTTTAATATAGGAAACCCTGACATCAAAGGGAAGCCGTAAACTGTATCGGAGGCGGCGTGTCGGACCCCGTGCCTTAATTGTCAAGGCAGCGAGGGTCTTGTTTTTATTAGTTGCGCAAAAGATATTTTATTGAATGTCAGGTTGTAATTTGATTTTAAAAGGAATAGAAAAAAGATGACATTTTCGAGTGCATAACACTGCAAAAAAAAAAAAAAAAGAGAGAGAGAAAAACTCTATTCACTCTAAATGCTAACTGCCACACAGAAAAATGCCATTACTCCAGAGAAATCTCTGCACCAGAAACCGTGAGCATTTTCAACGTACGCAGATACCGTCCCTCACTCATGTTCTGTGACAGTGGCCATCCTTAAAACAAGAATTAAAAAAAAGAATGGCGTATTTTGTATTCCCAAGGGGAGAATTTGCTAGAATTGCAAAGAAAAATGTACCTGCACCCGTGACTGTAGGATTTGCTTTTTGTAGACATCATTTATTCATACGTTAAGGTTTTTTTCTTTTTTGCAAACTTCCCTTCCAGAGAAACAGATTCAACAGGGGAAAGATAGGCCAAGCATGGTGGCTCACGTCTGTCATCCCAGCAGTTTGGGAGGCCCAGGTGGGTGGATCTCCTGAGCTCAGGAGTTCGAGACCATCCTGGCCAACATGGAGAAACCCCGTCTCTACTAAAAATACAGACATTACCTGGGCATGGTGGCGGGTGCCTGTAATCCCAGCTACTTGGGAGGCTGAGGCAGGAGAATCGCTTGAACCCTGGAGGCAGAGGTTGCAGTGAGCCGAGATGGCACCACTGCCCTCCAGCCTGGGCGACAGAGCAAGAATCTGTCTCAAAATAAATACGTAAATAAATCAATAAGAAGAAATTAATGTACTGACATGGTAAAGTCAAAACAAGAACTTGGCCTCTTGGTGTCCCGTGAAGGACTCTGAACGCCTTGATGATCCACAAGTGATAAGGAAGAGACGAAAACGAGACAGATCGAACTCTCCCAAAAATACAAAACTTAGCCGGGCATGGTGGTTCACGCACCTGTAATCCCTGCTACTTGGGAGGCTGAGGCAAGAGGATCGCCTGAGCCCAGGAGGCAGAGGTTGCAGTGAGCCGAGGTTGTAACACAGCAGTCCAGCCAGAGTGACACAGTGAGGCCCTGCCTCAAAAAAAAAAAAGAGGAAAAAAGAATAGAATTTAGGCCTGGACAGACATTCTGTCTGTACTAAATGTCTATACTCCCAACTGTAGATTGTAAATGTCTATACAAGTGTAGAGTTGGGGTCTTTGTGTATCACTCAGGCTGGATGCAAGCAATGCACCTGCCTCACCCTTCCAAAGTGCTGGGACTGCAGACATGAACCCCTGCACCCAGCCTGGGTCTAAATTCTATTCTATCTGTCCTCCGTACTTTTGCACCTGCTCAATAGGAATTCCCTGGCTGGCATTCTGAAATGGCTCAGAAAAGAGGGTCGTCCCAGCTCCGTGGGGCAATTGTCTTCTTGGCCGTGAAGTCCCTGGAAGGCTAACGCCCACACACACACAGCACCTGGAGTGGACGGGGTGTGCCTTTGGGGCTAACTTTGGCCTTCTGCCCACAGATGTGGGAGTTCATCTCTCAAACCGAATGGACATTTTTGTCCTTCTCATCTTTCTTCTGCGTTGTTAGAGTTGACTTCCCTGAGTGTGGAATGGAATTAAGCATGTGTTGCCTCTTTAGCTGGGTTCATGGAGGGGCTCTGATTCTCCATAGACCCCAAAAAGAGCTATATACCTTGTCTGCCCATGTGTTGACCACTCCCCGGAAACCAACAGGAGAGAGGACCACCAAGTCAAAACCAACCAGCTCTCCAAGGGGATCCTCGATTAGCGATCACCACCTGCCCCAAGGGGCTCCTTTACCTTAGTAGATAATTCCAAGAATGCTGCTGTGATGGTCATTTTCCTCTTTCACGTGCTTCTGCTATATCCAAATACATATATTTGGTAACAGGATTTTAAAAAATATATTTTAATATAAATTTATTTATTGTATACTTTTATTTAATATTTATATGAAGGAATAAATTTATTTAAATAAAGTTATTCCTTCATATAAATATTAAATATTAGTGTAATATATATTAATGAATAAATTTATTTAAATTTATTCCTTCATATAAATATTAAATATTTGTGTAATATATATTAACGAATAAATTTATTTAAATTTATTCTTCATATAAATATTAAATATTTGTGTAATATATAAATGAATAAATTTATTTAAATTTATCCCTTCATATAAATATTAAATATTTGTGTAATATATAATTAATAAATTTAATTCCTTAATAAAAATATTAAATATTTGTGTAAGATATAAATGAATAAATTTATGTAAATTAATTCATTAAGATAAATATTAAATAAATATTTGTGTAATATTTATATTAATGAATAAACATTTGTTTAACATTTATATTTAGTAAATTTATTTATTTAATATTTATATTAAATATATTAAATAAAAATTATTTGGGCTGGGCGTGGTGGCTCAAACCTGTAAGATTCCAGCACTTTGGGAGGCCGAGGTGGGTGGATCATGAGGTCAGAAGTTCGAGACCAGCCTGGCCAACATGGCGAAATCCTGTCTCTACTAAAAATACAAAAATTAGCAGGGCATGGCGGCAAGAGCCTGTAATCCCAGCTACTCAGGACGCTGATGCAGGAGAATCGCTTGAACCGGGAGGCGGAGGTTCAGTGAGCTGAGATAAAGCCACTGCACTTCAGCCTGGGTGACAGAGTAAGACACAGTCTCAAAAAAAAAAACAAAAAAAAAAAAAAAAGAAAAAAAAAAAGAAAAGAAAAGAAAGAAAAAAGAAAAAAGAAACCAGGAGTGGCTGAGTCACTACGAAGCATTCCTCCAACACCAGTTAGACCAGAGGTGGGCAAATCTTTTAAGTGAAGAGCCAGATAGTCAATATTTTCAGTTTTGTGGACCACACAGTCTGCCATGCAAGGATTTAGCTCTGCCCTTGTGGCAGGAAAGCAGCCACAGACGGTGTGCACAAGAATGTGTGTGTGACCATGTTTCAATAAAACTTTATTGACAGTAACGTGCAGGGGGCCGGATTGGCTTCGTTTGCAACACCCCCAATATGCTGGGTTATACTAAACTGTGAACCACTCCAACATTCTGCATCTGATCCTCAATGTATCTCTTTCACCTCTGCACTGCCCCAGCCCTTGGCAATGAATACAGTATCTTCTCACTGTTAAGATTCTGCCAGATATTTATTAATTTTGTTTAAAGAATCAGCCAATTGTGGTGGTTCATGCCTGTAATCCCAGCACTTTGGTAAACCAAAGCAGGAGGATTGCTTAAGGCCAGGAGTTTGAGGCCAGCCTGGGCAATATATAGCAAGACCCCATCTGCACAGAAAAAAAATTAAAAATTAGCCAGGCATGGTGGTGTGTGCCTGTGGTCTCAGCTGCTTTGGAGGCTGAGGTGGGAGGATCGCTTGAGCCCAGGAGGTCGAGGCTACAGTGAGCCATGATTGCACCAGTGCACTCCAGCCTGGGTGACAGAGTAAGACCTTGTCTCATAAAATAAAATAAAATAAAATATAAAATAAAATAAAATAACTTGATACGCCTGTTTCCCGCTGAACAAATTCATCTGTCTATCTTTCTTTCCTTCTTTCTTTTTTCTTTCTTCCTTTCTGTTTCTTTATTTTTCTTTCTTTTTTTTGAGACAGAGTCTTGCTCTGTCACCAGGCTGGAGTGCAGTGGCGTGATCTCAGCTCACTGCAACCTCTGCCTCCAGGGTTTAAGCGATTCTCCTGCCTCAGTCTCCCGAATAGCTGGGACTACAGGCACCAGCCATCATGCCCGGCTAATTTTTGTATTTTTATTAGAGATGGGGTTTCACCATGTTGGCCAGGATGGTCTCAATCTCTTGACCTCGTGATCCACCTGCCTCGGCCTCCCAAAGTGCTGGGATTACAGGCGTGAGCCACCACGCCCAGTCCCTTCCTTCCTTCCTTTCTTTTTTCTTTCTCTCCCTTTGTTTGTCTTTCTTTCTTTCTTTCTTTTTCTTTCTTTCTTTCTTTCTTTCTTTCTTTCTTTCTTTCTTTCTTTCTTTCTTTCTTTCTTTCTTTTTCTTCCTTTCTCTTTCCTGCTTGCTTGCTTGCTTGCTTTTCTTTTTCTTTCTTTCTTTCTTTCTTTCTTTCTTTCTTTCTTTCTTTCTTTCTCTCTGTGTCTCTTTCTTCTTTTTCTTTATTTCTTCTTTCTCTTTATTTTTTCTCTCTTTTTTCTCTTTCTTTCCTTCTTTCTTTCTTTCTCTTTCTTTTTTCCATCTTTCTGTCTGTCTCTTTTTTATGAATATAAAGACCTCTTTTTTTGAAAGAAGTCAAATCTGGGACTTCTGTATTACCATAACGACATAGATAATCACATTTTGTTCTGTTTCAGTGTTTTGTGCTAAAAATACCCCAGCTGCCCTATTTAATGAGGAAATGCAGCAGTGATCAATACTGATGTATTTCCGGAACAATGTGTTCAGGGCCTCAAGGAGCCTGGTTAATTTTAGGCACTAACAAATGAATAGAACATGTTCCAGTTAACTTAGTAGCAGCTTGGACCCAATACTTCAAGCCACAGGAGTTATTATAATCAGCATCTTTCTCTCTCTAATGCCAATAAGTGGCTATTCCAGGATACAATTTTCTGAAAAATCAAGCTGATGAGAACAGAAGCTACGACCACCACCTACGTGGGCACTCGTACCTGGGACATGATGAGTCATAGGATGTAGGCAATTGGTACCAGTTAGCCAGCATCCTTCTAGCAGGTGCCATGTGCTATTTTGATACAGTCATTATGTAAAAAAAAAAAAAGAAAAAAAAACTTATGGCTAGAAAATATCATCCACACACCTATTCTTTCTGGAAATGTCTGCCTTCTCATCTGGTATCCCTGCCTTTTCTTTTTGTTGTTGTTGTTTTTGGATAGTTTGTTTGTTTGTTTGTTTTTGAGACAGAGTCTCACTCTCTCACCTAGGCTGGAGTGCACTGGAGTCATCTCGGCTCACTGCAACCTCCACCTCCCAGGTTCAAGCGATTCTCATGCTTCAGCCTCCCAAGTAGCTGGGATGACAGGCGCCCACCACCACACTTGGCTTATGTTTGTATTTTTTTTAGTAGAGACGGGGTTTCACCATATTGGCCAGGCTAGTCTTGAACTCCTGAACTTGCGATCCACCTGCCTCGGCCTCCCAAAGTGCTGGGATTACAGGCATGAGCCACGTGTGCCCGACTGGACATTCACTATTTTTTTTTTTTTTTTGAGATGGAGTTTCACTCTTGTTGCCCAGGTTAGAGTGCAATGGTGGGATCTCGGCTCTCTGAACCTCCACCTTCCAGGTTCAAGTGATTCTCCTGCCTCAGCCTTCTGAGTAGCTGGGATTACAGGCACCTGCCACAACACCTGGCTAATTTTGTATTTTTTTAGTAGAGACAGGGGTTCACCATGTTGGTGAGGCTGATCTCGAACACCTGACCTCAGGTGATCCACCTGCCTCGGCCTCCCAAAGTGGTGGGATTACAAGCATGAGCCATGTGTGCCTGACTGGACATTCACTTTTTTTTTTTTTGAGATGGAGTTTCGCTCTTGCTGCCCAGATTAGAGGGCAATGGCGGGATCTCGGCTCTCTGAACCTCCGCCTCCCGGGTTCAAGCGATTCTCCTGCCTCAGCCTTCCGAGTAGCTGGGATTACAGGCACCTGCCACAACACCCGGCTAATTTTGTATTTTTTTGGTAGAGACAGGGGTTCACCATGTTGGTGAGGCTGGTCTTGAACACCTGACCTCAGGTGATCCACCTGCCTCGGCCTCCCAAAGTGCTGGGATTACAGGCATGAGCCATGGTGCCTGGCCTATCCCTGCCTTTTCTGAGGTCCCCCAAACAATGTGGCATTAAGGATTTTTATATCTGTCATCAATGAGAAATACAACTATAATTACAAGAGAGGTGGCCTCTTTGGTGGGCTTGGAAACAGCCTATGCTCACTGCCTGCAGGGGCAGGTGCTTGCATTAGTTTTGTTTAGGCTGCCCATGACAGGGGACTACAGACTGGGTGGGTTAAACCAGGGTCTCCCAACCCTTGCGCCACAGATTGCTACTAGTCAGTGGCTTCTGAAGAACCAGGTGCCACAGCAGGAGGTGAGCAGTGGACAAGCAAGCAAAGCTTCATCTGTGTTCCCAGCCACTCCCCATCTCTCCCATTACAGCTTGAGCCCCACCTCCTGTCAGATCAGCAGCAGAGGCATTTGATGCTCATAGGAGCACAAACCCTACTGTGAACCGTGCATGTGAGGGATCTAGATTTCACTGCATGCTCCTGATGAGAATCAATACCTGATGCTCTACTGTGTCTCCCATCACCCCCACAGGGGACAATCTAGTTGCAGGTAAACAAGCTCAGGGCACCCACCGATGCTACATTATGCTGAGATGGATAATTATTTCATTATATATTACAATGCAATGATAATAGAAATAAAGTACACAATCAATGTAATGCACGTGAATCATCCCCAAACCAGACCCCCTCCCCAGTTCGTGGAACAATTGTCTTCCGTGAAAGTGGTCCTTGGTGCCAAAAAGGCTGGGGACCGCTGGGTTAAACAGCAGACATTTATTTTCTCGTGGTTCTGGAGGCTGGAAGTCTGAGATCAAGGTGTGGACAGGGCAGACTCAGTGTCTGGTGAGGGCTCTCTTTCTGGTCTGCAAACGGCTGCCTTCTTGCTGTGTCCTCACACAGTGGAGACAGAGAGAGAAAGAGAGAGAGAGACAGAGAGAGTTCTGGGGTCTCTTCCCCTTCTCATAAGGACACAAATACCCCTATATCAGCGGCCCCCCAACCTTTTTGGTACCAGGGACCAGTTTCCTGGAAGACTAGTTTTCCATGAAATGGGGGTTGGGGAGGTGACTTTGGGATGATTCAAACACATTACATCTATCTATCTATCTATCTATCTATCTATCTATCTATCTATCTATCATCTATCTATCTGTCTATCATCTATGTGTCTATTATCTATCATCTATCTATCTATCTATCTATCTATCTATCTATCTATCTATCTATCATCTATCTCTGCCTGCCTATCTATCCGTCATCTATCTATCTAGATATCTATCTATTGATTTTTCTATCTGTCTGTCTGTCTATCTATCCTATCACCAATCTTCCCTGGAGTAAGATGCTCTGAGCACCCAGCAACCTTCCTGCTGCCAAGTGGGTCTCCAGATGCATTTGGAGAAGAAAAAACAGCCAAACATAGAATGTGGTTAGCTCTGGTAATTATTTCAGAAAGCATGGACACAAACCCTTCCATAGACTCATAGCTGCTAGGGAGGGAGAACTGCTGCTACCCCTGGCTGTAATTTTAAAATACCCATGAAAAACCAGAGGAGAAAACTGACTTCTCACCCATAACCCCATAGCAGTCATTCTTCTGAAGATACCAGCATATTTGCAAGCTTCTTGTCCAAATCAGGAAGAGCGAGGAAGACTATACTCAAGGGTTTTTTTACTCATTGGCTTAGTCAAGATTATTTTATCAGATTCTGTTTGTAGTACAGCAAAACCTCAAGATACAAGTGGGACAAGTGGGAGGAGGAAAAAGGAAGATGAGGAAAGGGGAACCATCATGTGGGCAGAAGCTGGGATGGCTCCAGGCGAAGGTGGTTTCAGGGGATAACTGCCACCAGCAATGGAGGTGGACGATGCAGAAGACAGTACCCCTCACCCCTTGAGTTCTGTTTTGCAAAGGGCTGATAGTTTTACTCAATTTAAGAATGGGAAATAGCCAGTCTTGCTCTGGATGAGGATGAGGAGGGTGGATCACGAGGTCAGGAGTTAGAGACCAGCCTGGCCAACATGGTGAAAGCTTGTCTCTACTAACCTCTCAACCTTCCTTACACTCTTATCCATCCACCTCCACGAACACTCCCAAAGAAAAAAGCGATGGGTCTCTTCTCTCCAATGGTGATACGCTTGGTTCCAAATTTGTCCGAGTTTCGAGCAACTTGAGGTGTTGTTGATTCAAGTAACTCTGGTGGTGTTTGCTGAGGACATCTGCCATCAGTTGATGGATCCCAGAAATCTTGAGTCTGAAAACCCTGAACTTCATCCACGTAGATTGTGGTGGCTCTTCTGGGACCATGTGGATGGCTGAGCCATGAACAGAGATGCATGCCCGGAGACCACCACAGTGAGGACACTAGGAGGTCATCCAAGCCCCATGCTAAGGTGTGAATATTTGTTCCCTCCAAAACTCCTGGGGAGACTTTATCCCCTACATGGCAGCATTGAGAGGTGAGTTATTTAAGAGGTGATTGGGCCGTGAAGGCTCTGCTCTTAGAGATGGATTAATCCAATCATAAATTAATGGATTAATGGTTTATCAAGGGAGTGGGACTAGTGGCTTTATAAGAAGTGGAAGAGAGACCTGAGTTAGCACTCTCGGCCCCATCACCATGTGATACCTGTGTCACCTTGGGACTCAGCAGTGAGTCCCCAATAGCAAGGAGGCCCTCACCAGATGCCGCCCCTTGACCTAGAATTATTGAGCCTCCAGAACTGTAAGAATAAATTTGATTTCTTATCATTTACTCAGTTTCAGGTATTCTGTTATCAGCAAGAAATACATCCCATTACCCAACATTGTCTATCGGACCTTTCTTAAGCACCAGGTATATAGTGAGGTGACATTGTAATGAGTGAATGAAACCATGACAAAGTAGAGATGTCTATATTCCTCAAGCATTCCAGAGAAACAGATTCAACAGGGGAAAGATAGGCCAAGCATGGTGGCTCACGCCTGTATTCCCAGCACTTTGGGAGGATGAGGCGGGTGGATCACGAGGTCAGGAGTTCGAGACCAGCCTGGCCAACATGGTGAAACCCTGTCTCTACTAAAAATACAAAACATTAGCTGGGCATGGTGGCAGATGCCTGTAACCCCAGCTACTCGGGAGGCTGAGGCAGGAGAATCATTTGCACCTGGGAGGCAGAGTTGTAATGAGCCAAGATCACGCCATTGCTCTCTAGCCTGGACAACAAGAGTGAAACTCCATCTAAAAACAGAAAAAAAAAAAAACAGAGAAGAGATAGATAAATGATAGATAGCTATGTAGAAGCTACAGAGACAGGGGATAAGTAGATGAATAATAAATAGATATATGATAAAAACATGATTTTCAGATGATAGTAGGGATAATAACAAATGATAAACAGATAATAAACAGATAGGTAGATAATATAATATAATAGATGATGATAGATAGATAGATAGATAGATAGATAGATAGATGATAGATAGATAGATGCTAGATTTATTATGAGAAAATAGGTCAGTTAAATATGGAAGCTGAGAAGTTCCTTAATCTACTGCTAGAAAGACAGAGATCCAGGAGAGCCAAGGGTCCCTAGTTCCAGTCTGAGTCTGAAGGCCTGAGACCCAGGAGAGCGGAGGTTGTGAGTTCCAGTCTGAGTGTGAAGTCCTGAGACCCAGGAGAGACGAGGGTGTGAGTTCTAGTCTGAGTCTGAAGGTCTGAGACTTAGGAGAGCTGAGGGTGTGAGTTCTAGTCTGAGTCTGAAGGTCTGAGACCTAGGAGAACTGAGGGTGTGAGTTCCAGTGTGAGTCAGAAGTCCTGAGACCCAGGAGAGCTGAGGGTGTGAGTTCTAGTCTGAGTCTGAAGGTCTGAGACGTAGGAGAACTGAGGGTGTGAGTTCCGGTCTGAGTCTGAAGGCCTGAGATCCAGGAGAGCTGAGGGTGTGAGTTCCAGTATGAGTCTGAAGTCCTGAGACCCAGGAAAGCCAAGGGTCCCTAGTTTCAGACTGAGTCTGAAGTCCTGAGACCCAGGAGAGCTGAGGGTGTGAGTTCCAGTCTGAGTGTGAAGTCCTGAGATCCAGGAGAGCTGAGGGTGTGAGTTCTAGTCTGAGTGTGAAGTCCTGAGACCCAGGAGAGCTGAGGGTGTGAGTTCCAGTGTGAGTCTGAAGTCCAGAGACCCAGGAGAGCTGAGGGTGTGAGTTCCAGTGTGAGTCTGAAGTCCAGAGACCCAGGAGAGCTGAGGGTGTGAGTTCTAGTCTGAGTCTGAAGGTCTGAGACCTAGGAGAACTGAGGGTGTGAGTTCCAGTGTGAGTCAGAAGTCCTGAGACCCAGGAGAGCTGAGGGTGTGAGTTCCGGTCTGAGTCTGAAGGCCTGAGATCCAGGAGAGCTGAGGGTGTGAGTTCCAGTATGAGTCTGAAGTCCTGAGACCCAGGAAAGCCAAGGGTCCCTAGTTTCAGACTGAGTCTGAAGTCCTGAGACCCAGGAGAGCTGAGGGTGTGAGTTCCAGTCTGAGTGTGAAGTCCTGAGATCCAGGAGAGCTGAGGGTGTGAGTTCTAGTCTGAGTGTGAAGTCCTGAGACCCAGGAGAGCTGAGGGTGTGAGTTCCAGTGTGAGTCTGAAGTCCAGAGACCCAGGAGAGCTGAGGGTGTGAGTTCCAGTGTAAGTCAGAAGTCCTGAGACCCAGGAGAGCTGAGGGTGTGAGTTTCAGTCTGAGTCTGAAGGCCTGAGACCCAGGAGAGCTGAGGGTGTGAGTTCTAGTCTGAGTCTGAAGGTCTGAGACGTAGGAGAACTGAGGGTGTGAGTTCCAGTGTGAGTCAGAAGTCCTGAGACCCAGGAGAGCTGAGGGTGTGAGTTCCAGTATGAGTCTGAAGTCCTGAGACCCAGGAAAGCCAAGGGTCCCTAGTTTCAGACTGAGTCTGAAGTCCTGAGACCCAGGAGAGCTGAGGGTGTGAGTTCCAGTCTGAGTGTGAAGTCCTGAGATCCAGGAGAGCTGAGGGTGTGAGTTCTAGTCTGAGTGTGAAGTCCTGAGACCTAGGAGAACTGACGGTGTGAGTTTTCGTGTGAGTCTGAAGGCCCGAGACCTGGAAGAGCTGAGAGTGTGAGTTCTAGTCTGAGTCTGAATGCCTGAGACCCAGGAGAGCCGAGGGTGTGAGTTCTAGTCTGAGTCTGAAGGTCTGAGACGTAGGAGAACTGAGGGTGTGAGTTCCAGTGTGAGTCAGAAGTCCTGAGACCCAGGAGAGCTAAGGGTGTGAGTTTCAGTCTGAGTCTGAAGGCCTGAGACCCAGGAGAGCCGAGGGTGTGAGTTCTAGTCTGAGTCTGAAGGTCTGAGACCTAGGAGAGCTGAGGGTGTGAGTTCTAGTCTGAGTCTGAAGGTCTGAGACCTAGGAGAACTGAGGGTGTGAGTTCCAGTGTGAGTCAGAAGTCCTGAGACCCAGGAGAGCTGAGGGTGTGAGTTCCGGTCTGAGTCTGAAGGCCTGAGATCCAGGAGAGCTGAGGGTGTGAGTTCCAGTCTGAGTCTGAAGTCCTGAGACCCAGGAGAGCCAAGGGTCCCTAGTTTCAGACAGAGTCTGAAGTCCTGAGACCCAGGAGAGCTGAGGGTGTGAGTTCCAGTCTGAGTCTGAAGATCTGAGACCTAGGAGAGCTGAGGGTGTGAGTTCCAGTGTGAGTCAGAAGTCCTGAGACCCAGGAGAGCTAAGGGTGTGAGTTTCAGTCTGAGTCTGAAGGCCTGAGACCCAGGAGAGCCGAGGGTGTGAGTTCTAGTCTGAGTCTGAAGGTCTGAGACCCAGGAGAGCCAAGGGTCCCTAGTTCCAGTCTGAGTGTGAAGGTCTGAGACCTAGGAGAACTGACGGTGTGAGTTCCCGTGTGAGTCTGAAGGCCCGAGACCTGGAAGAGCTGAGAGTGTGAGTTCTAGTCTGAGTCTGAATGCCTGAGGCCCAGGAGAGCCGAGGGTGTGAGTTCTAGTCTGAGTCTGAAGGTCTGAGACCTAGGAGAACTGAGGGTGTGAGTTCCAGTGTGAGTCTGAAGTCCAGAGACCCAGGAGAGCTGAGGGTGTGGGTTCTAGTCTGAGTGTGAAGTCCTGAGACCCAGGAGAGCTGAGGGTGTGAGTTCCAGTGTGAGTCTGAAGTCCAGAGACCCAGGAGAGCTGAGGGTGGGAGTTCTAGTCTGAGTTTGAAGGTCTGAAATGCAGTAGAGTTGATAGCGTGAAGACCCTAACTTAGCTGAAGGCCTGAGACCCAGAAGAACCGAGGCTGTAAGAGCCAGTCTGAAGACAGATGATGGAATGAGATGTCCCAGCTCAAGTAGTGTTGCAGGAGAAATGGAGCAAATCCTGTTGCACACCCTCAACAGAAGGCCTATCCTTACCAGTTTTAAAGCGGATGATGTTTCTTTTCGTGAGCCCATGAACTCAAATGCTAGTCTCCTCTAGAAACATCCTCACAGATACATCCAGAAATCATGTTTAACGTGTTCATTGCAAGACCTGATCAGACTGACTTATAAAATTCACCATTGTAGCATCCAAGCAATTGTCAGGGATGGCTGCAATGTGCTTCTTCCGGGTGCAGCATTCTTTTTTCATTTTTTTTTTTTTTTGAGACAAAGTCTTGCTCTGTCACCAGGGCTGGTGTGCAGTGACACAATCTTGGCACACTACAACCTCTGCCTCCGTGGTTCAAGCAATTCTCCTGCCTCAGCCTCCTGAGTAGCTGGGATTGCAGGTGCCTGCCACCACTCCCAACTAATTTTTTTATTATTATTATTTTTAGTAGAGATGGGGTTTCACTATATTGGTCAGGCTGGTCTCGAACTCCTGACCTCAGGTGATCTGCCCACCTTGGCCTCCCAAAGTGCTGGGATGACAGGCATGAGCCACCGTGCCCAGCCAGGACTGATTCCTTATATGTAACTGTACATTTTTTTTTTTTTTTGAGACGAAGTCTTGCTCTGTCACCAGGGCTGGTGTGCAGTGGCACTATCTCGGCTCACTGCAAACTCAGCCTCCCTGGTTCAAGCGATTCTCCTGCCTCAGCCTCCCAAGTAGCTGGGATTGCAGGTGCCCGCCACCATGCCCAACCATTTTTTAAAATTATTATTTTTAGTAGAGGTGGGATTTCACCATATTGGTCAGGCTGTTCTAGAACTCCTGACCTCAGGTGATCCGCCTGCCTTGGCCTCCCAAAGTGCTAGGATGACAGGTGTGAGCCACCACGCCTGGCTGGGTACAACGTTCCATCTTCCCCCTTCCTGCAGCTCTTCCCTGAGAACAGACACCTCTGGGTTTGATTTCTTGTTAAAACCCATTGGGATTAAGTCAACAGCATTTCACTTAATCCAATCTTCCTCCCTACCACGTACCCCAGGCGTGGAGCCCTCAGCCATCACCTCCAAGTGCCTTAGGCATCCCCATATATGTTTCTGTGGCCCCCACATTGTGTCCTGGTTTTCTAACCATCACCCCGTCATTCATTTCCCAAGCCAGGCTCTGGGCACAGAAAAACACCTCGGCGAGGATTAACAAGGAAACGGTTTTATGACGAGTCTTGGCGACTTCAGGGCTGAGGTGGGAAGAGGTGGGGGTGAGCTCTAAATTAAACCTACAGGGTTTGCTTTCTTTTTCTTTATTAGTGTGCACCCAATAGACTCTTTATTTTGCAAAATATATTGATTGTACCTTGACTCTTGGATAATGGGCTTCTCCAGTCTGTTACACGGATTAAATCAAGAGCAGTCAATGGTGCCCCTGGTAGTGACGAAGAATGCCTAACGTGTAGACAGATCGGCCACCCGTCCCTCCACGTCTGCTCTGACTTGAACTTCAGATTCATTTGCTTCAGGACAGCGAATCTTGCATTTACTTCAAGCCACACAGGAAGGCGACCCAGTCAGCAGAGTGGCCCCGGGATGCATGTTTGGAATGGAGTCCAATTCCATGGGAAAAATCCTGGGTTTGGCTCCTGGAGGCCTCCACACACTGCAGCTGCTGGTGCTAGTCAGTGGCTTCTAAGGAACCAGGTCCCACAGCAAGAGGTGAGCGGTGGGCAAGCAAGCAAAACTTCATCTGTGTTCACAGCCACTCCCCATCTCTCCCATTACGGCTTGAGCCCCACCTCCTGTTAGATCAGCAGCAGACGCATTTGATGCTCATAGGAGCACAAACCCTACTGTGAACCGTGCATGTGAGGGATCTAGATTTCACTGCATGCTCCTTATGAATGCCAGATTCCCCGTGGCTGGTGGCCTCCCGTAAGCCCATCGTGCCCCTGAATCTCCTTCTGCCTTTATTACGCTATGGTGTTTGCTGGGCAAACATGGACAGAGTATGCCAGGGGCCCCCGGATTCCCATGACAAAGTGTGACAGTCTCAGAGGTGGCCTTTGAGAGGGACGAGGGGTCTGACTCAGTGGGGAGGGGTCTCTCAATGGGAAGTCTCTCTGGGGAGGGTCCTTCGTGACTCTGGACAGTAAATATGAGATTCCTGGGCTGACCATGAGAGGAGCAGGTGAAGCACCTGTTCACGAATACACACGCAATACCGAGAGGCACTGATACACTCTCAATGCCACAATGCACACAATGCCACAATGCATTGATATACATTAAATGCTACAATTCACTGATATGCACTGAATTCCACAGTGCACTCATATGCACTCAATGCCACAATGCACTGATACACCCTCAATGCCACAATGCACTGATATGCACTCAACGTTTCAATGCACTGATACATGCTGAATGTCACAATGCACTGATACACACTCTATGCCACAATGCACTCATATGCACTCAATGCCACAATTCACTGATATAGATTAAATGCCACAATTCACTGATATGCACTGAATTCCACAATGCACTGATACGCACTCAATGCCACCGTGCACTTGTACACACTCAATACACACTAAGTGCCACAATGCACTGATATGCACTCAATATTATGATGCACTGATACATGCTGAATGCCACAATGCACTGATACACACTCAATGCCACAATGCACTGATACGCACTCAACATTACGATGCACTGATACGTGCTGAATGCCACCATGCACTGATAGGCAGTCAACGCTGCAATGCACTCATAGGCGCTCAATGCCACAATGCCCTGATATACATCAAATGCCATGATTCTCTGATACACACTCAATGCCACAATGTACTTGTATGCACTCAATGCCACAATTCAGTGACATAGATTAAATGCTATGATTTACTAATGTGCACTGAATTCCATGATGCTCTCATATGCACTCAATGCCACAATGCATTTGTACACACTCAATACACACTCAATGCCACAATGCACTCAATGCTACAATGCACCAATATATATTAAATGCCACAATGCACTGATATACATTAAATGCCACAAGGCACTGATATGCACTTAATGCTTCTAGGCATTCATATGCACTCAATGCCACAAGGCACTTGTACACACTCAATATACACTAAGTGCCACAATGCGCTGATACACGCTGAATGCCACAATGCACTGATATGCACTCAATCCCACAATGCACTGATACACAATCCCACAATGCACTCATATGCACTCAATCCCACAATGCACTGAAAGACACTCAATCCCACAATGCACTGATATATACTCAATCACATAATGCACTGACAGACACTCAATCCCACAATGCACTCATATGCACTCAATGCCACAATGCACTGATACGCACTCAATCACATAATGCACTGATACACACTCAATCCCACAATGCACTCATATGCACTCAATCCCATAATGCACTGATACACACTCAATCCCACAATGCACTCAAACACACTCAATCCCACAATGCACTCATATGCACTCAATCCCACAATGCACTAATACACACTCAATCCCACAATGCACTCACATGCACTCAATCCCACAATGCACTGAAAGACACTCAATCCCACAATGCACTGATATATACTCAATCACATAATGCACTGATAGACACTCAATCCCACAATGCACTCATATGCACTCAATCCCACAATGCACTAATACACACTCAATCCCACAATGCACTCACATGCACTCAATCCCACAATGCACTGAAAGACACTCAATCCCACAATGCACTGATATATACTCAATCACATAATGCACTGATAGACACTCAATCCCACAATGCACTCATATGCACTCAATGCCACAATGCACTGATACGCACTCAATCGCACAATGCACTGATACACACTCAATCCCACAATGCACTCATATGCACTCAATCCCATAATGCACTGATACACACTCAATCCCACAATGCACTGATATATAGTCAATCCCACAATGCACTCATACGCACTCAATCCCACAATGCACTCAATCCCACAATGCACTGATACACACTCAATCCCACAATGCACTGATACACCATCCCACAATGCACTCATATGCCCTCAATCCCAGAATGCACTGATACACATGCAATCCCACAATGCACTGATACACACTCAATCCCACAATGCACTCATACACACTCAATCCCACAATGCACTCATATGCACTCAATGCCACAATGCACTGATACACACTCAATCCCATAATGCGCTGATACACACTCAATCCCACAATGCACTGATATATAGTCAATCCCACAATGCACTCATACGCACTTAATCCCACAATGCACTCAATCCCACAATGCACTGATACACACTCAATCCCACAATGCACTGATACACACTCAATCTCATAATGAACTGATACACACTCAATCCCACAATGCACTTATATGCAATCAATACCATGATACACTTGTACACACTCAATACACTCTAAATGCCTCAACGCACGGATATACCATCAATGCCACTACACACTGATACACACCGAACGCCACAATCCCCTGATACTCATTGAATGCCACGAACAGGGCCATGGGGGGCACGTCCACAAATCAAGACCTTCAGAAACTGAAGTTGTGTGATCAAGTGCCATGGAGAAAACCCCCAAGGGAACTGCCTCTTGAGAAAGGTGAAGGAGGAGTCTCCAAGCAAAGGCTGGAATGCTGGTGGGTGGCCAGGGGAGGTCTGTGGGAACTGCATCATCCCAGCAGTCGGCTTGGACATCACCAGGACCTGGGGGTGAGGGTGAGTTTGAGGTGCTCAGAGCAGCAGAAACTCCAGGGAGGGAGAGTGGGGATGAGGAGATGGGGGCAGGAGGAGAGGAGAAGGTCTCAAAGAGTCAGGAATTTTCGGGGTCTTTTGGACAAGGTTGGTCTCAGGTCTTAGCCCAGGTGTCACGGACGGGTGTTGTAGGAATTACTGAGCAAGGGCCGGGGCTGAAGTCCAGCAACCAGATGTCCACAAGGATGTGAGTGGCTGGAGGAGGGGCTCTGTGTGGGACGTCGGAAGGGACTCAGGGGCCAAGGAGGGGGTTGGTATGACATTCAAATGGTGTTAAAAGCTGGTGGCAGAGACCTGTTTGAAGGCCTTCCCTTCTAATTGGGGGTTGCGGAAATGTTGGTTGAAGGACACAGAGCGTCAATTTGTCAGGAGGAAAAAGTTCAAGAGCTCCAATATATGGCATGGTGACTGGTAACATTGTATCCATTTACAGTGCAACAAGATAACATTGTTGATAATAATATACGTATTGTTGACTTAAAAATGGCTGAGTTGATGTTACTCTTTCTCACCACAAATCAATAGTAAGTCTCAGAGATAGGGCATTGGCTAATCAGCTTAATGCCACGAATTCTACAGTGTCAAAACCTCATGGCACACAACCTAAATATGTACAACTTTCAGTTGTCAGTTAAAACGTTAATGAGGCTGGGTGTCGTGGCTCACACCTGTAATCCCAGCGCTAGCATTTTGAGAGGCCAAGGTGGGAGGATCGGTTGAGGCCAAGAGTCGGAGACCAGCCTGGGCAACAAAGGGAGATCCTGTCTCCACAAAAGAATTTCAAAATTAACCAGGGGTGCTGGTGCATGCTTGTAATCCCAAGTTCTCGGGAGGCTGACGTGGGAGGATCATCGGAGTCCAGGAATTGGAGACCAGACTAGGGCACCAATTGAAACTGTGTCTCTACAAAAAAAACAAAAATTAAAATTAGCCAGGTGTGGTGGTGCATGGCTGTAGTTCCAGCTACTGAGGAGGCTGAGATGGGAGGATCGCTTGAGTCTAGGAGCTCAAGATCAGCTTGAGAAACACAGTGAGACCTCATCTCTGCTAAATGAATAAACAAACAAACAAACTAGCCAGGTGCAGTGGTGCACACCTGTAGTCCCAGCTACTCTGGAAGCTGAGGTGGAAAGATCACATGAGCCTGGGAGGTTGAGGCTGCAGTGAGCTGAGATTGCATCACTGCACTCCAACCTGGGCAACAGAGCAAGGACCCTGTCTCTTAAAATGCAATGCAATGAAGCCTGTAATCCCAGCACTTTGGGAGGCCGAGGTGGGTGGATCACGAGGTCAGGAGTTAGAGACCATCCTGGTCAACATGGTGAAACCCCATCTCTACTAAAAATACAAAAAATTAGCTGGGCGTGGTGGCAGGCACCTGTAGTCCCAGCTACTCGGGAGGCTGAGGCAGGAGAATGGAGTGAACCCAGGAGGCGGAGGTTGCAGGGAGCTGAGATTGCACCATTGCACTCCAGCCTGGGCGACAGAGCGAGACTCCATCTCAAAAAACAAAAGCAAAAACAAAAATGCAATGCAATGAAGTTTTATTTAAAAATAAATAGAAAAAGAAAATTAAAAGCCTCTCTTGAAGATCCCGAAGACCAGAAGCTAACGCCAGGCTGTGAAAACAGTGTCCCACAACACTCGTTTTATCTACACCAAAATAAGCTATGTAGGAAGAATCTGCAGGTCTTATTCCCCTCCCCAAGATACTCTGTAGATGCCCCAAAATGCTTCCCACCCGGGGCAGCTCCCCCACGAGCCGCCGCAGCCTCCAAGAAAGAAGTTTCTTCTCCACCTGCACCTGCGGATTCTCATCCCCCAGGTCCCCGTATCTCTGGCCGGTGCTGGCCGTGCTAGACACTTTCCGCAGCCCTGCAAAGCAAAACCTCAGGCAGATGCAAAACCATCATTAGGATGGCAGAGTCGTCCTCACGCAGAGTGAGCAGACCAGGGCGAGATCAAAGGCAGAGTCTCCGGTGGCGGCCTCGGGGGTCCTGGCCATGCCATCAGGAGGGCCCCCCCACTCTCTCTGGGGACCCTGCTGTGATCAGAGATTGAGCTCATGGGGGCCGGGCCGCTCTGTGACCGTCCCAGCCCCCGTTCAGGCTTTTGGGAGCATCTAGGAACTGCCTGCTTGCTGTTCATTGCAGTTAATTTTTTTTTTCCGCTTCCAATGCAGGCTGGTCCTTGCCTCTCTCTAATAGATCTAATTATCAGAAAATGCACTTTGCAATCAGTCCCACACAACACCGGCCTTCTCTTGCAGTATGCCAGCCAGCTGTTTTGAAAAGTACAGCTCAAATCTCTTTGCTGCCACATGTTGAAGCAGATGAAAGTAATTTTCTGCTCAACTGTCTATAAGTAATTAGGCTGCCATGTAAAAGGGGGTCTTTATGCATCCGTTTGGAATGAGGTACCCTCTGTGCATACGGAGTAATTATCAGCCATCCTCTTCCACAGTAAGGTACATCTTATGCATTTTACATGAGCGCCGGTTATTAACATAACCTGACGATCAAAAGCCCTCTGGATCGGCTGTCTTCCTTTTCATGTAACGGGCTGAAATTCCCCAGAAATATAATAATTTGAAAACGGGGCAATGGTGATTTGTTTCAGCTGTAATTTGTTAAGTTTTTTTTTTTCCTCCTCTTTGTTATTTGCCTAGTATAGACCAAGGGCTGCTGGGGGCTCCCATACACACAAACAAGTGTTCTGCCTGCCCGGCGAGGTGGGTTTTAATATGCAGAAGGGGTCTCGGGGCTGCAGACGCACAGATCGAATGCCTTCATCTTATTAATTAGGAGGTCAGGAGAAGAGTTGCATTTGGCTAAGTGAGTCCTGTGCAGAGAAGGACCATGGTTCCAAAAAACAGTTTGTAGACACCCCAACGAGACACAAACTATGTTTGTGCTTTTCAGATCATCCGAGTGGTGGGCGAAGAGGTTTGTGTGGAACCTTAGGACACCATCTTTATGTCATCTAATGCATCAGACAAACAGTGCTGGGAATTCCATGCCCATTGGCCGTTCTGTGCCAGCACGATGCCTGGACAGGTGGCACTCTGCGGGTGACAAGAAAATATAAGGTTAAGAGAAGTTTAATGTCCGGGCGTGGTGGCTCACGCCTGTAATCCCAGTACTTTGGGGTGCCAAAGTGGGTGGATGACTTGAGGTTCGGAGTTCGAGACCAGGCTGGCCAACATGGTGAAACCCTGTCTCTACTATAAATACAAAAATTAGCCGGGCTTGGTGGCGGGTGCCTGTAGTCTCAGCTACTCAGGAGGCTGAGGCTGGAGAATCGCTTGTCTATTTGGACGCCTGAGAAGACATTTATTGAAAATAATATTTTGAATGTATATCTGAGATGTTATTCATAGTTCTTTTTATTATTATTATTATTACTATTTATGGAGGTGGGGTCTCACTATGTTGCCCAGGCTGGACTGCAGGGGCACGATCTCAACTCACTGCAACCTCTGCCTCCTGGGCTCAAGCGACCCTCCCACCTCAGCCTCCCAAGTAGGTGGGATTACAGGCACACACCACCACACCTGGTGAATTTTTGTCCTTTTTGTAGAGACACGGTCTCACCAGGTGGCCTAGGCTGGTCTCAAAGCCCTGGGCTCCAGCGATCCTCCCACCTGAGCCTCCCAAAGTGCTGGAATTGCAGGCAGGAGCCACTGTGCCTGGCATTTCCCAGGTTCTTTTTTTTTTTTTCTTTTTTTTTGAGACAGAGTCTTGCCCTGTTGCCCAGGCTAGAGTGCAGTGGCACAATCTTGGCTCACTGCAACTTCCGTCTCCCAGATTCAAATGATTCTCCTGCCTCAGCTTCCCACGTAGCTGGGATTACAGGTGTCTGCCACCACACCCAGCTAAATTTTGTATTTTTAGTAGAGACGGGGTTTCACCATGTTGGTCAGGCTGGTCTTGAACTCTTGACCTCGTAATCCTCCCGCTTCGGCCTCTCAAAGGGCTGGGATTACAGGTGTGAGCCACTGTGCCCAGCCTGCTCCAGGTTCTTAAAGGCCAAATGGCCACTCCAACTAGTCAAGCATAAACTGCCAGGGAGATTGGAATTTTCTAAAGAGTCCCTGCAATTTTTTTTGGAAAAAGCATCACAAGGAAAACTTGGCCAGAGGGATTTTTTTGGATATGAAGACGATGCCAAGGAAAGATAAGGCTAAGATAAGTTTAATGGCCGGGCACAGTGGCTCACACCTGTAATCCCAGTACTTTGGGACTCCGAAGTGGGTGGATGCCTTGAGGTTAGGAGTTCGAGACCAGCCTGGCCAACATGGTGAAACCCCGTCTCTACTATAAATACAAAAATTAGCCAAGCATGGTGGCGGGCACCTGTAGTCCCAGCTACTTGGAGGCTGAGGCAGGAGAATCGCTTGAACCCAGGAGGTGGAGGTTGCAGTGAGCCGAGATCACAGCACTGCACTCCAGCATGGGTGACAGAGCGAAACTCTATCTCAAAATAAAAAAGTCCGTCTTTATCTGCAATTCTCTTTGTAAATTATTTTACCCCTGCTTACCTGAGACAATATCTATAAACACAGAAAGTAGATTCGAGGTCACCAGGGGTTCAGAAGTGGAAATGGGGGTGACTGTTTAATGGGGTTCAGGGTTGCCTTTTGGGGTGACGAGAATGTTCTCGGACCAGAGAGAGGTGACAATTCTATAACATTGTGAATGTACTATCGGCTCCTGAACTGGACGCTGTAAATTGGTTACTTGTATGGTATGTAAATTTCACTACCATAAAATCAAACTAAAATTCTGCCCAGTGAATAATATATATTTAGCCCTTACCTTATACCATGAAGAGGCGATGGGTACAATTCAAAAACAGCCGTCGTTGGAAGCAAAGTCCAGTTTAGAGCGGGAGTTTTTCTCCACCCCTCTGCATTCATTCGACAGAAAAATGCTCAAGTCCCAGGAGGGGTCAGGCACAGCTCCAGGGCAGCATTCTAGAAGGGACACCCCCTAAGGTCTCCGTGAGAGAGATGGGAGGTTCCAGAAAAGACTGAACAGGCACAAAGAAGCAACCTTCGAAAAAGGGAGCAGAGACTGGGCGCAGTGGCTCACACCTGTCATCCCAGCACATTGGGAGGCCGAGGCGTGTGGATCACAAGGTCAGGAGTTTGAGACCAGCCTGGCCAACATGGTGAAACCCCGTCTCTACTAAAAATACAAAAATTACCTGGGCGTGGTGGCACACACCTCGTGTAATCCCAGCTACTCAGGAGGCTGAGGCAGGAAAATCGCTTGAACCCGGGAGGCGGAGGTTGCAGTGAGCCGAGATCGCACCCCTGCACTCCAGCCTGGACGACAGAGAAAGACCCCATTGAAAGAAAGAAAAAGAAAGAAAGAAAGAAAGAAAGAAAGAAAGAAAGAAAGAAAGAAAGAAAGAAAGAAAGGAAGGAAGGAAGGAAGGAAGGAAGGAAGGAAGGAAGGAAGGAAGGGAGGGAAAGCTGAAAGAAAGAAAGAAAGAAAGAGACAGAAAGAAGGAAAGAAAGAAAGAAGAAAGAAAGAAAGAAAGAAAGAAAGAAAGAAAGAAAGGAAGGAAGAAAGACAAAGAAAGAAGGAAAGAAAGGAAGGAAAGAAAGGAAAGAAAGGAAAGAAAGGAAGAAAGGAAGAAAGAAAGAAAGACAAAGAAAGAAACAAAGAAAGAAAGAAAGGAAGGAAGGAAGGGAAAGGAAAGATGAAAGAAAGAAAGAAGAAAGAAAGAAAGAGAAAGAAAGAAAGAAAGAAAGGAAGGAAGAAAGAAAGGAAGAAAGAAAGAAAGACAAAGAAGGAAAGAAAGAAAGGAAGGAAAGAAAGGAAAGAAAGGAAGAAAGGAAGAAAGAAAGACAAAGAAAGAAAGAAGGAAAGAAAGAAAGGAAGGAAAGGAAAGAAAGAAAGGAAGAAAGGAAGAAAGGAAGAAAGAAAGACAAAGAAAGAAAGAAAGAAAAAGAAAGGAAAGAAAGAAAGGAAAGAAAGGAAGAAAGGAAGAAAGAAAGACAAAGAAAGAAAGAAAGAAAAAGGAAGGAAAGAAAGGAAAGAAAGGAAGAAAGGAAGAAAGACAAAGAAAGAAACAAAGAAAGAAAGAAAGAAGGAAAGAAAGAAAGGAAGGAAAGAAAGGAAAGAAAGAAAGGAAAGAAAGGAAGAAAGAAAGACAAAGAAAGAAAGAAAGAAAGAAAAAGAAAAAGAAAGAGAGAAAGAATAAAAGGGTAGCAGAGACTGCTGCAGCTCCTAGGCGTTACAGCTGACGGCAGCTGGACAGATTTAGCTGGACACAAAAATCCCGGGAAAAACGCCACAACACTCTGGCCCTGACTTCTGACCTGGGCGTTGGCGGGGCTCAGCCCGTCTGTTGTGAGTTCTGCAGGACCCCATGTCTCACGTGTATTAAATGCCCAGCTGACCTCTGACTGGGGCGTTAGCAGGGTCTGGTCCCATCTGGGATGAGTATTGAATGTTCACGTCCACTGTGTGTACCTGACCTGTGCCCAGGATGTTAGCAGTGCCTGGACATGTCTGTGGTGAGTTTTGCAGGGAACCCGCATTCCCTGTGCATTAAATGCCGCCGTCTGCCGTCTATACCTCAGCTAAACTGGCCTGGGTGTTAGCAAGGACCAGGACTGTCTGTGGTCAGTTCTGCAGGGAGCCCACATCCCCTGTTCCCATCTTCTGTGTGCACCTGATACTCACCAGGGTGTTAGCAGGGCCTGGTCCCATCTGTACCTGACCCAGTCTGACCTGGGCGTTAGCAGGACCTGGGCTTGTCTGTGGTGAGCTCTGCTGGGAGCCATCGTCCCCTGTGCATTGAATACCGGCGTCCACTGAATGCACCTGACCTGTGAGTGGGATGTTAGCAGGGCCTGGACCTGTCTGTGGTGAGGTTTGCATGGAGTCACGTCCCCTGTGCATTGAATACCGGCGTCCACTCTCTGCACCTGACCTGCGACCGGGGCGTTAGCAGGGCCTGGACCTGTCTGTGGTGAGGTTTGCAGGAAGACACGTCCCCTGTGCATTGAATACCGACGTCCACTGTCTGCACCTGACCTGCGACCGGGGCGTTAGCAGGACCTGGACCTGTCTGTGGTGAGGTTTGCATGGAGTCACATCCCCTGTGCATTGAATACCAGCGTCCACTGTCTGCACCTGACCTGTGACTGGGATGTTAGCAGGGCCTGGGCCTGTCTGTGGTGAGGTTTGCATGAAGTCATGTCCCCTGTGCATTGAATACCGGCGTCCACTCTCTGCACCTGACCTGCGACTGGGGCGTTAGCAGGGCCTGGACCTGTCTGTGGTGAGGTTTGCATGGAGTCACGTCCCCTGTGCATTGAATACCAGCGTCCACTGTCTGCACCTGACCTGTGACCGGAGCGTTAGCAGGGCCTGGGCCTGTCTGGGGTCAGTTCTGCTGGGAGCCCACATCCCCCCTGCATTAAATACCAGTGTCCACTGTCTGCACCTGACCTGTGACCGGGGCATTAGCAGGGCCTGGGCCTGTCTGGAGTCAGTTCTGCAGGGAGCACATGTCCCCTGTGCATTGAATACCAGTATCCACTGTCTACACCTGACCTGTGACCGGGGCGTTAGCAGGGCCTGGGCCCGTCTGTGGTGAGGTTTGCATGGAGTCACGTCCCCTGTGCATTGAATACCGGCGTCTACTGTCTGCACCTGACCTGTGACCGGGGCGTTAGCAGGGCCTGGGCCTGTCTGTGGTGAGCTCTGCTGGGAGCCCACATCCCCTGTGCATTGAATACCAGCGTCCACTGTCTGCACCTGACCTGTGACCGGAGCGTTAGCAGGGCCTGGGCCTGTCTGGGGTCAGTTCTGCTGGGAGCCCACATCCCCCCTGCATTAAATACCAGTGTCCACTGTCTGCACCTGACCTGTGACCGGGGCATTAGCAGGGCCTGGGCCTGTCTGGAGTCAGTTCTGCAGGGAGCACATGTCCCCTGTGCATTGAATACCAGTATCCACTGTCTACACCTGACCTGTGACCGGGGCGTTAGCAGGGCCTGGGCCCATCTGTGGTGAGGTTTGCAGGGAGACACGTCCCCTGTGCATTGAATACCGGCGTCCACTGTCTGCACTGGACCTGTGACTGGGGTGTTAGCAGGGCCTGGGCCTGTCTGTGGTCAGCTCTGCTGGGAGCCCACGTTCCCTGTGTGTTGAAGGTTTTCATCCTCTATCTGTACCTGACACTCACCAGGGCGTTAGCAAAGCTGGGCTCATCTTTTTGCGGGTGCGTTTGATCTTCCTTAGTGAACGCTCACGTCTCCTCTTCTGAAGCTTGCCTGAGATTACGTCGGTCGTGGTCATCATCCATAGAACCTCCTCCTGGTCCCTCCTGCTTTTCTCATAGAACAAAGTAGGGCTGCCCCACAAATCTAAATAAATAAAAGAGAAAGGAACTCAGAAGACAATCTCTCCAGGGCTCCCTCTACCTGCAGGACGGGGTGATGCCGAAAACGTGTCTTCCCGCGAATTTGCAGCGTCCAGCTCAGCCCAGGGGCAGCGCAAGAGGGAGGGGCCCACATCACCCTGGACTGTGTCCATCATCTCCCTTGGCTGCTGGCCAGGCTCAGAACAACAAGGAGAGCTGGCCTTGGCTCTCTCGTTGCCTCTTTTATATGGGACCAGGCCCTGCCTTCCAGGTGGTGTCCCCACTGTCCTCAATGCTCAGTCATCAGAAACACTGCAACCTTGGGGAACTCAAAAGGAAAGGTGTGGTGTCCCCATGGGGATCCCTGCCCCAGCCCAGTACCCCTCATAGCAATAGCCAAGGGCAGCGCATCTCCATCAGCTCCAGGGAAGGGATGGAGGCCTTGGAGGTCGCCCTCCCAAATGCACAATGGCAGAACATACATTTCCTTTTGTACAGGTGTATTAGTCACGGTTCTCTAGAGAAGAGAACTAAAGGAGAGACATAAATATATATACTATGAGAGACAGAACTCTTATTTATATATATATATACACTATTAGACGTATATATCTATTCTGTATATATACATTCTGCAGTTATATATAGTTATATATATAACTATACATATATTATATATCACTATATATAGTTATATATATAACTATACATATATTATATATATCACTATACATAGTTATATATATAACTATACATATATTATATATATCACTATATATAGTTATATATAAATATATATTTAAATATATATTATATATTATATATAGTTTATATATAGTTATATATAAATATATATATTTAAATATATATTATATATTATATATAGTTTATATATAGTTATATATAAATATATATTTAAATATATATTATATATTATATATGTTTATATATAGTTATATATAAATATATATATTTAATATATATTATATATTATATATAGTTTATATATAGTTATATATAAATATATATATTTAATATATATTATATATTATATATAGTTTTAACACTATATATAGTTATATATTTATATTTAACACTATATATAGTTATATATAGTTATATATAACTATATATATTTAAATATATATTATATATTATGTAGTTTATATACAGTTATAGTTTTAACATTATATGTATATTACTATGTAGTTATATATAGTTTTATATAGTCTTATATATAGTTTTATAGTGTAGTTTTATATATAGTTTTACATAAAACTATATATGTAGTTTTACATATATAAAACTATAACTATATATTTTTACATATATGTATAGATATGTAAATGTAACTATATATGTTACACATAGTTTTATATGTTATAGATATATATTTATATATAGTTTTACATATATGTATATATAAATATAACTATATATAGTCATATATAGTTTTATATATGTAAAACTGTATATAGTTATACAGTTTTATATATAAACTATGTAGTTATATATAGTTTATATATAAATATCTATATATAACACTATGTATCATTCTATATATAAAACTATATATATAGTTCTCTATCTATCTTTCCATCTATCTGTCTATCTTTCTATCTATCTATCTACCTATCTTTCTATCTTTCTATCATCTATCTATCTATCTACCTACCTACCTATCTATCTTTCTATCTATCTATCTAAAGGAGAGTTTATTAAGCAGCATTAACTGACATGGTCACAAGATTCCACCACGGGCCATCTGCAGGCTGAGGAGTAAGGAGCAGCAGTCCAAGTCCCCAAGGGGAAGAACTTGGAGTCCGATGTTCGAGGGCAGGAAGCCTCCAGCAATGGGAGAAAGATGTAGGCTCGGAGGCTAAGCCAGTCTAGCCTTTTCACGTGTTTCTGCCTGCTTTATATTCTGGCCCTGCTGGCAGCTGATGAGATAGTGCCCACCCAGATTAAGGGTGAGTCTGCCTTTCCCGGCCCCGTGACTCAAATGTTAATCTCCTTTGGCAACACGCTCACGGTGACACTCAGAATCGATACTTTGCATCCTTCAATCTGATCCTGTTGACACACAGTATTACCCATCACAAAAGGTGTCTCCCTCCCATACCAGGAAGAGGAGCATGGCTCTTTTATTTTATTATTTTTTTTTTGAGACGGAGTCTGGCTCTGTCACCCAGGCTGGAGTGCAGTGGCGTGATCTCGACTCACTGCAAGCTCCGCCTCCCAGGTTCACACCATTCTCCTGCCTCAGCCTCCCGAGTAGCTGGGACGACAGGTGCCCGCCACCACGCCTGGCTAACTTTTTTGTATTTTTAGTGGAGACGGCGTTTCACTGTGTTAGCCAGGATGGTCTCGATCTCCTGACCTTGTGATTCACCCCCTTGGCCTCCCAAAGTGCTGGGATTACAGGCGCGAGCCACTGCGCCTGGCCGAGCATGGCTCTTAATTATTTCAGATGACACGTGTCATGGAGAAGGCATCAAAGCTGATGAAATCACCCTTATCTTCCATTTCTTTCCCAAAGATATGTAGCTTCCCACAATGTACCACCCCTGGAAGTCCATAATTTTTTTTCCCTTTGCCTAGGTAATCCTCCAGGAATTCATCATCCTTTGTTAAGATGGTATATAAAACCCTGCTTATGTACCATCAGGTGTTCAGACCTCAGGTGGGGAGGGTACCTGTAGGTGGTGAGGTGTTCAGATCTCGGGTGGGGAGGGTCACTGCAGGTGGTCAGGTGGTCAGATCTTGGGTGGGGAGGGTCTCTGCAGGTGGTCAGGTGTTTAGATCTCAGGTGGGGAGGGTCTCTGCAGGTGGTCAGGTGTTTAGATCTCAGGTGGGGAGGGTCCCTGCAGGTGGTCAGGTGTTTAGATCTCAGGTGGGGAGGGTCCCTGCAGGTGGTCAGTTGTTTAGATCTCAGGTGGGGAGGGTCCCTGCAGGTGGTCAGGTGTTCAGATCTCAGGTGGGGAGGGTCACTGCAGGTGGTCAGGTGTTCAGATCTCAGGTGGGGAGGGTCCCTGCAGGTGGTCAGTTGTTTAGATCTCAGGTGGGGAGGGTCTCTGCAGGTGGTCAGGTGTTCAGATCTCAGGTGGGGAGGGTCCCTGCAGGTGGTCAGGTGTTTAGATCTCAGGTGGGGAGGGTCACTGCAGGTGGTCAGGTGTTCAGATCTCAGGTGGGGGAGGGTCACTGCAGGTGGTCAGTTGTTTAGATCTCAGGTGGGGAGGGTCTCTGCAGGTGGTCAGGTGTTTAGATCTCAGGTGGGGAGGGTCCCTGCAGGTGGTCAGGTGTTTAGATCTCAGGTGGGGAGGGTCACTGCAGGTGGTCAGTTGTTTAGATCTCAGGTGGGGAGGGTCTCTGCAGGTGGTCAGGTGGTCAGATCTCAGGTGGGGGAGGGTCACTGCAGGTGGTGAGGTGGTCAGATCTCAGGTGGGGACGGTCACTGCAGTTGGTGAGGTGTTCAGATCTCAGGTGGGGAGGGTCCTGCAGGTGGTCAGTTGTTCAGAACTTGGGTGCAGGACAGGTTACTCCAGTACCACCTGGCTACTTCTTAGCCCCAGCTCCTGGATCACAGGTAGATGCTGGCACCTGTCCTGTGACCTCGCAGTACAAAAAGGAAGAAGGAATTTGACGGTTTTGACTGGTCCTGACAGATCCCAGCCTCAGGCCAGGCCGACCTCCCTCAATCCACCTTTGCAACCAGGTTCAAGAGCAGAGAGGCAGCTCTTAGCTGACTTCCCACAATGGCAGAATCAATTGTGGATGCTGCAGCAATTTTCTGCCCTACAAAGATCAACGATATCCACCCTTTCTCTTCTCAACCTTCTCCCAGACCCAAAAATCCAGACTCCAAAAAATATCCTTCTCTACATGAGCACATTCCTTTGAAACAGAGACACCAAGTAGGGAGGCTGAACCATTTTTATGGATCACAGGGAACCTCGAACCAGAGGAAGACAAAAGCATTTTTGTCTCTAAACAGCTTGGTGGTTTCTCAAAAGGCTAAACATGAAGCTACCCTAAAGCCGGCCATTCAACTCCTGGGTACGTACCAAAAAGAACTGAAAACGGATGTTCAAACAAAAACCTAGACACAAATGTTCATAGCAGCATGACTCACAATGACCCAAAGCTGGAAACAACCCAGGAGTCCATTGGCAGTTGAACGGGTAAACAGAATATGGTCCATCCAGACAGTGGAATATTATACAGCCATGAAAAAGAACAAAGCTCTGACACTGGCTGAAGTGTGGAAGAACCTTGAAGACATCATGCTCAGTGACAGAAATCGGACATCAAAGGACAAATATTGGAGGATTCCATTACATAAACGTGTCCAGAAGAGGCAAATCCAGAGAGACAGAAAGCACATTGTGCAGAATCATGCCATGTGGTGTCAAAAACAGAGAATAGAAAGCACATTGGAGCTTCCCGGGAAAGGGGGAGGGGAATGGGAGTGACTGCTTAAAGGGTACAGGGTCACCTTTTGGGTACTGAGAAGGTTGTGGTACTAGATAGAGGTGGGGATTGCATGATGTTCTGAATGTCCTCAATGCTCCTGAATTGAGCACTATAAAATTTCATGTTATGTGAATGTCATCTTAATTTTTTAAAGGGAGAGAGAGCTATATACTTACCACCCATTGGAAGCTAAATGTGCCACACAGAATCACTGAGCATGTTTAGGCAGGCAAGAATAAGAAATTATATATATAATATATTTATATTATACTATATATATAGTATACAATATATAGTATGCTAATGTATATATATTTATATTATACTGCATAGTATATAATATACAGTATACTAATGTATATATAATATATTTCCATTATGCTATATAGTATATAATATATAGTATACTAATGTATAAATAATATATTTATATTATACTATGTATAGTATATAATATATAGTATACTAATGTATATATAATATATTTATATTATACTATATATAGTATATAATATATAGTATACTAATGTATATATAATATATTTATATTATACTATGTATAGTATATAATATATAGCATACTAATATATATAATATATTTATATTATACTATGTATAGTATATAATATATAGTATACTAATGTATATATAATATATTTATATTATACTATGTATAGTATATAATATATAGTATACTAATGTATATAATATATTTATATTATACTATGTATAGTATATAATATATAGTATACTAATGTATATAATATATTTATATTATACTATGTATAGTATATAATATATAGTATACTAATGTATATAATATATTTATATTATATTATGTATAGTATATAATATATAGTATACTAATGTATATATAATATATTTATTATACTATATAGTATATAATATATAGTATATTAATGTATATACAATATATTATATAGTATGTACATATATTTATATATAATATATAAAGCTGTATAATATATAATTATATGATATATAGCTTAAAATATTATTACAATATATCATATACAATTATATATTGTATAGCTTTATATATTATATATTATATGTTAATATATTATAATATATGATATAAAAGATTGTATATTATTTGAAGGTATATAATGTATAATATATGATATATATTATAACATATATTATATTATATATTATATACCTAAATATATTATATTATTATAATACAATATATAATTATATATTATGTAGCTTAATATATTAAGTATTATATTAATATATTGTATACATTAATATACAATATAATATATGTTATATAATATATTATGTATTTATATATTGTATACATCAATATATTATATAATACATTTATATATTATATACATTAATATACATTATATATTATATACATTAATATAATATATATTTGTATTATATAATACATGTATATATTATATATACATTAATAAACTATGTAGTGATATATTTACATGTTATATATTATAGATACATTAATATACTATGTAATAATATAGTATATAATATATATTCAACGACTATGTATAAGAAACTATATATAGAAATATATATAGAAACTATATAGTATATATGTATATATACCAGTATACTGTATATATACATTATATACTGTATATATACAGTATACTGGTATATATACAGTATACTGGTATATATACATATATACTGTATATATACATTATATATGTATAGATAATATATAACATGTAAATATATCACTACATAGTGTGTGTGTATACATATATATAAAAATATATATATATTTTCTTATATATAGTTCAGTGGCATTTGGTGATTTTTTTTTCCCATTGAGCAAACTCCGTGTATATCTTTGCCTAAAAATAAGTTGCTCAAATTTATAACAAGAGATATAAACAGATTAACCTACGACACTGGACCCACTTGCCTGACACACACACACACACACGCACACACACACACACACACGCAGGTGACCCCAGGTTGGAACTTTTCCCAAAACTGACGTTCACAGTGTCATAGGTTGAGTCAAGTCCTGTTGTTGATAATCAGGTGTGGGGCAGGGAGTCACCCCCAGGCTGCCCTGGCACTTCCATTGTGTGGGTTACGATCACTGCCGCCACCTTCTAAAAGAGACGCGGGCAGATCACGTAGGAACCTGGTAAAGCTCACGGCTGTGGCAGAGACCCACAATTCAGAACCAATGCACTCCAGCCCGGGTAGTGATGGCTCGGCCATAGCAAGTAGGGTCATACGATAATATGAACCGTTCTGCTGGGGATCTTTCTGGCTTCCCCAAATCGACTCTTTCTCTGCACAAACTCCACTCTTTCCCCAAGTAGCTGACATTTAGCACAAGTTGGACCAAAAGCTGTTCCCAAATCCTTCTTATCCGCCTTTACAATGTATGTCAGCAGAGACCATCAGCAAAGGGGAAAAAAAAATACAAGTTGATTTTACACTCACACACACACACACACACACACACATATACATACACACGATAATGAGATCCAAGCTTTTAAAGGCAATAATTATACCATTTCCAAACACCCCCATCGCGACAGCCCCGCGATGATCAAAATTCCTTTCCTCCAATTTAAAAAGAAAATTTCTCTCTGTGGAGATGGCCAACACAGACGTTACATGTTCTGCGACCCAGAGTTCCACTTCATGGCAAAGGTGATGAGGATCGCTTGCTCCCTGATGGATGACTGTGAGGCTGTTTCACTTATATTGACCTTGTAATAAATAATCAGGTCATGTTACAGCAATTTATTTGCTTGGCGGAATGGCTGTTACATGGTGGTTCAAATTATGATGATGGGGAGTGGCCACTTGGCCCCTAATGGCAGGCTTGGTAAACATCCAGGTCTTTCCCTGCTATTGTTCTGATAAAATGGTTAAGAAGTCTAAATCCTTAATAGCTGCAAAGACAGAAAAAGAGAGGAAGAAGGCGATTAGGTTAGACCCTTAAATCCTCTCAGCCATCTGACTGATGGCCGTGGTCCAAATGTCCCAGAAAGAAACAGAGGTCACAATTGTATTTTTCTGACCCCTCATCTGGTTCCATTTGTTTTTCTTCCTCCCTTAGGATTGAGACGGGGTTTCTCCACGACTTTGGAATCCGGTTTATGGGAGGACTTGATGCAGATGAAGTAAAATGGTTCTTCCATGAGACATCGGCATGAATTTGGCAGGTGGGCAAGTTCTGTGTCTCTACTCAGTACAAACCATGCAGGCTTGAAGGTAATATTAAGAAGACAACGTTAGGGAAGTATGCCAACCTCTTTGCAGAAAAGAACTTCTCCTGAAATGTAAAAAACTGCAGAAAAAACAAACCAGACTACCAAAAGGGGATGTTTTAGCCATTCTCTGCTCTCACTAGGGGGAAAAAAAAAGAAAAGCTATCATTGGGCACTTTTCCAAATAAAACAAAATTTCAGTCAAAATATTTAGCAGTAGGGTGCACTTGGTCAAAAGAAGTCGACTGTTGACCCGGTGCGGTGGCTCATGCCTGTCATCCCGGCTGACGCCTGTCATCCCAGCACTTTGGGAGGCTGAGGCAGGTGGATCACCTGAGGTCAGGAGTTTGAGACCAACCTGGCCAACATGATGAAACCCCATCTTTGCTAAAAATAGAAACTTCAGCTGGCCGTGGTGGTGTGAACCTGTAATCCCAGCTACTCCCGAGGCTGAGACAGGAGAATTGCTTAAACCCAGGAGGCGGAGGTTGCAGTGAGCTGAGATGGTGCCATTGCATTCCATCCCGGGCCACAGAGCAAGACCCCATCTCAAAAACAAAAAACAAACAAACAAACAAACAAAGAAGTCAACTCTTTTAAAAACATTGGTGGAATGAACAGAAAAACGTGAAATAGCAATGACTCCATAAGAGATGCCCCAATTTAATTAGCCTTCTTAAAACTAAAGTGTGGCCAGTAAAACTCGTAAGTGGAATCTCGGTTAATCAAATGTGTCAAGTGAATCAAATAACCCACTTCTTTATTTAATCACATGAGGTTCCATCTGTCATATTATACTAAGAAGGTGTGGCATATTAAAATATTAATTATCTGGTGGGAGTGTAAATTAGTTCAACCATTGTGGAAGACAGTATGGTGATTCCTCAAGGATCTATAACTAGAAATACCATTTGACCCAGCCATCCCATCACTGGGTATATACCCCAAGGATTATAAATCATTCTACTATAAAGACACATGCACACGTATGTTTATTGTGGCACTGTTCACAATAGCAAAGACTTGGAACCAACCCAAATGTCCATCAATGATACACTGGATAAAGAAAATGTGGCACATAGACACCATGGAATACTATGCAGCCATAAAAAAGGATGAGTTCATGTCCTTTGCAGGGACATGGGTGAAGCTGGAAACCATCATTCTCAGGAAACTCACACAGGAACAGAAAACCAAACACCGCATGTTCTCACTCCTAAGTGGGAGCTGAACAATGAGAACACATGGACCCAGGGAGGGGAACATCACACACCGGGGCCTGTTGGGGGGTGGGGAACTGGGGGAGGGAGAGCATTAGGAGAAACACCTAATATAGATGACAGGTTGATGGGTGCAGCAAACCACCATGGCACATGTATACCTATGTAACAAACCTGCCCGTTCTGCACATGTACTCCAGAACTTAAAGGTATAATAAGAAAAGAATTGGGGGGGCACCCAATATTCAGTCCATAGTAGACCTGTAGGCTCCCAGAATACCCAGGTGTCTTGCTTTCCTGCTTTATCCTCCAACTTTGGAGAAAGCGTAGGGTGAAGGAAGTAGTCCTTGGGAACCCAGGAAAGCATTCGGACCTGGCAGAACTCACTTCCTGGTGCCCCAATTCCAGTTTCTTACCCAGACGTTCATTGCATCCTAGCTGCTTGGTTCAGAACCGATACTCACTACTGCCCCTCAATACCCTACCCTAGCCTGGAACTGAAGACCCCAGGCAGAAGTTTGCCACCACCATACGAAGACCATCTTGATGTCTCCGGAAGAGAAGGATGTGCCAATAGGTTGTCATTTTCTAATATTTTAATTTTTTTAGTAGTTTTAGGTTCATCACAAAGAAGGCAGAGAGATTTTTCCATCTACCCTCCACCTCACACACATGCACAGCCTCCTCCATTATCAATATG
This sequence comes from Homo sapiens, assembly GCF_000001405.40. NCBI lineage: Eukaryota > Metazoa > Chordata > Mammalia > Primates > Hominidae > Homo > Homo sapiens. Next base: position 718,501 of record NC_000024.10, on the reverse strand, counting down.
CCACCAGACTGGTGCATTTGTTACACTCAGTGAACCTCCATGGACACGTAATCATCACAACAGTTCACAGTTCACGTTACAGCCCCCTCCTGGTGGGGTATATTCTGCACGTTTGGACAAACGTATAATGACGTGGACCCACCATTGTCATTTTACCCAGAGTAATTTGACTGCCCTAAAAATCCTCTGATCTCCTCCCATTCATCCCTCCCTCCCCGCAGCCCCTGATTCTTCCTCTGTTTCTGTCGTTTTGCTTTTTTCCACAGTGTCCTATAGTTGGACTCATAGACGGAGTCACCTTTTCAGACTGGTTTCTTTCACTGGGTCATAAGGAACTAAATTTCCTCTGAGAGCATGACAATTTTAAGCCATTATGATTGGGGTCATTTGTTACGCAGCATAGCTAACTATTGCAATGGCTGAAACCAGCATACCTCATTTGACCCATTAACTATTTCTAAAGACAGTTGCTAAAAAAAAAAAAAAGTGTTGTAATTCCATGTGTTTTGAGGCATTATTTTGTTGGACTGTCAACATGCCTCAACCGTCCTGTTGAAGAGAAACTGGAAGGAAGCAGGGAGCTCTCACGTTCTTAAAATTGGAGCGCTCACTGGGCTCTGTGGGGAACACTCCACAGGCACCATCTCATTTTATGTAATGACTCTAGATATGATGCACTGTCATTCCTCAACCCATGTGACAGATGAGGACACTGAGCTCGCAGGGAGGTCATACCTTGTTGAACTCTCCAACAAGTACACAGCCTAGGAAATCCAAATCCTGCTCTTGCTCAAACTCCTTGACTCCTTTCTGAAGTGTTTGTTTGTTTGTTTGTTTGTTTGTTTGTTTTTGAGACAAATTCTTTCTCTGTCGCCCAGGCTGGAGTACAGTGGTGCAATCTCAGCTCACTGCAACCCCCACCTGCCAGGTTCAAGCAATTCTTCTGCCTCAGCCTCCCGAGTAGCTGGGACTACAGGCACCTGCCACCATGCCCGGCTAATTTTTCAAAAAAAAATTTTTTTTTTGAGACAGAGTCTCGCTTTGTCACCCAGGCTGGAGTGCAGTGGTGCAATCGCGGCTCACTGCAAGCTCCACCTCCCAGGTTCACGCCATTCCCCTGCCTCAGCCTCCTGAGTAGCTGGGACTACAGAGACCTGCCACCACGCCCAGCTAATTTTTTTGTATTTTTTTAGTAGAGACTGGGTTTCACTGTGTTAGCCAGGATGGTCTCAAAGTCCTGGACTCGTGATCCGCCCGCCTTGGCCTCCCAAAGTGCTGGGATTACAGGTGTGAGCCACCGTGCCCAGCCTAATTTTTGTATTTTTAGTAGAGACGGGGTTTCACCATACTGGGCAGGCTGGTCTCAAACTCCTGATCTCATGATCCACCTGCCTCAGCCTCCCAAAGTGCTGGGATTACAGGCGTGAGCCACCGCGCCTGGCCTTTTGTTTGTTTTTTAATAGAAATTGGGTCTCGCTATGTTGCCCGGGCTAGTGTCAAACTCCTGGGCTCCCACAATCCTCCCACCTGAGCCTCCTAAAATGCTGGGATTACAGGTATGAGCCAATGCTCACCGTCTGTAATGTTCTGTGCAAACAAGCCTTGTGTGGACCCCAGGATCACTCATAACGACAACTGCCAGCAAGGAGTTGATTTTTCAGAACAAAAGGGAATTTGAAGTCTTTGAGATGAATAAGTGGAAATTCCCATATGATATACACGTTGAACAAATACGAAAACAGGTGAATCTGGCCCCAAAAGAACTGCAAATTTTAAAATGAGCAGACGCTGAAGCTTGGGTATTTTACGTTCCCACTGACCTGGGAGACGGGTCCTCACACATGGAGCCACAGCGCCTGTTTAAACAGACGCGTTCAAATGTGGTCAGTCTCCAGCCGGGATCACACAGAACACGCAGAGAGGAGCAGTCACGTCGGGTGACGTTTGGGGGTTGGCAAAAAACGTCTTCAACTGGTTTTTCAAACGTTTGGGTCTTGGCAAAGCCCAATTTAAAAAAAAATTGTGTTCTTCTTTATTTTTAAGCCCATGAGTATTTCAAGGGAAATGCAATTCACATGTCAGAAGCATTTTTATTCTGCTTGACTCCAAAGAAAGTGGGCAGGTTGACTCATTTGGGTATCAGCTGGAACCAGCTACATCAATACCCTTGTGGGAGAAGTCAGTCGTTTTTTAAACTGAAGGATGCAAGGAGTTGAACACAAAATAATTCAGTGACTCACCAGAAAAGAAAAAAAAATAGCAAGGAAATTCAGCCAGGGAAATGGAATGAGAACTCACCATACAACAACTTCAGTGTTCCTACAGAGCTTTGCTTTATCTCTGACTTGTTCCGGGCACACAGGAGGGGAAGATGAAATCAGACAAAACACAAATACCATTTCCTCACCTAAGCAGCCTTGTTCATAAAGACAGAGGGATGACAGAAAAGTAGGGAACCCAGAGCTCGTAACAATTGAGCAACATACTCGTCCCTAAAATCAGGCGAGCACGCACCAACTCCTATACACAGTTACTGCTGGATCTCTGCCTGTCCACCTGAGCTCCTGCCAATAGCCGGGCATTGCACAGGGTCCAGGGCCTGGTAGGATGGGCCCGGGATGGGTCAGGCCAGAGGTGGGTTTCTTCCAGAAAGCAGAATTGGAGGAACGTTTCTTGGACACCTTTTTTCTTGGATTACAAATAGAGACATGAGAGCCCCAAAGGGAAGAATTTCATTACTAGAGAACAGTGGCATGGAATTCACGCCAGGGAGGAGCCCTCTGGACATGAGGGAGGATCCCTTGGTTTATGAGGGAGGAGCTCTGGGTCCTCCCAGGGAGGAGGGAGGATCCCTTGGTTGATGAGAGAGGAGCTCTTAGTCCATCCAGGGAGGATGGAGGATCCCTTGGTTTATGAGGGAGGAGCTCTCAGCCCATCCAGGGAGGAGGGAGGATCCCTTGGTTTATGAGGGAGGAGCTCTCAGTCCATCCAGGGAGGAGGGAGGATCCGTTGGTTTATGAGGGAGGAGCTCTCAGCCCATCCAGGGAGGAGGGAGGATCCCTTGGTTTATGAGGGAGGAGCTCTCAGCCCATTCAGGGAGGAGGGAGGATCCCTTGGTTTATGAGGGAGGAGCTCTCAGTCCATCCAGGGAGGAGGGAAGGATCCCTTGGTTTATGAGGGAGGAGCTCTCAGCCCATCCAGGGAGGAGGGAGGATCCCTTGGTTTATGAGGGAGGAGCTCTCAGCCCATCCAGGGAGGAGGGAAGGAACCCTCGTGGGATTGTTTGTTTTATGCGCCTACTTGGCTGGGCCACGGCACCCAGATACATGGTGACATGTTATTCTGAAGGTTTCTGTGAGGGCTTTTGCTCTATCTCTATCTAGCTCTACCTCTATCTCTCTCTATCTGGACTACAGGCACCCACCATAATGCCCAGCTAATTTTTTTGTATTTTTAGTAGAGATGGGGTTTCACCATATTGGCCAGGCTGGTCTCGAACTCCTGACCTCAGGTGGTCCAACCAACTCAACCTCCCAAGGTGCCGGGATTACAGGCATGAGCCACCGTGCCTGGCCCAGAGCACGTTTTTAAATATAAGAGCACAAAGCGCTTTGGGAGACTGAGGAGGGTGGATTGCCTGAGGTCAGGAGCTCGAGACCAGCCTGTCGAACATGGTGAAACCCCGTTTCTACTAAAAATACAAAAAAAAATTAGCTGGCCATGGTGGTGCATGCCTGTAGTCCCAGCTACTCGGGAGGCTGAGGCAGGGGAATTGCTTGAACCCAGGAGGCAGAGGTTGCAGTGAGCCGAGATCACGCCACTGCACTCCAGCCTGGGTGACAAAGTGACTCAAAAAAAAAAAAAAAAAACCCACAAACGACAAACAAACAAACAACAAACAAACAAACAGGGATTTCCAAAACAATCATTCCTGTTCTAAAACTCAAAGCATTGAATGAGCTGTAGGGAAGGTGTATTTGATTTAGTTTGCTGATGTGTGCAGGACTTGGGACGGGTGCCCCTTCAGAGAGCCAAACTCAAGAGTCCCACGCAGATTCCGTTAGAAATCAATTAATCCCTGTCTGCTTGGAGACACTGCAATCATCACAGTTTATGCATAGTGCCTGCTGGTTTTATGCCTGCTAAATAAGTAGTCCCTGGGTACCCTGTAATGTGTAAACAGCATAACAAATGATCCTTTCTTCTTGCAGGCTCGATTTGCTCCTTAATTGAATCAGCGTGGCTCTGATAACAGGGAATGCTCACTTTCACTGCTGCACGCACTCATCCAATGATCCCTCTGCCCTCTTTTAAGTCCAGAACAATTTTATTTTTTCAAGCTCATGGGTTTTTTTTGGCCAACTACTGGAAACTAGACCTTTCTCACCCCCTCCTTTATCCCAGAGAAGCAAAGTAAATTTGTATTTAGGGCACCATTTTCTACCAACTCAACCATGTAGAAGGGATATACCAATTAGGGTAGGGCTGTGCCCCAAATGTAAGCTGGCTTCCCCTCTAACATAACCTTCATTCTGACGGTGGCATCTCTTCTCAGGACTCCGTTTGGCCAATTTTCTGGGTGTGGCCCAGGCTTGTACCCCCTAAAAAGAGGAGAGACAGCCAGTGCTACAAAATACTCCCCAAACGTCACATAGGCTGGGCACAGTCCCTCATTCTCATATTTGGATTTTCATGTGGGGATGGCCAAGAAAAGATTCCAAAAGCCACTCTCAGATTTTGAATGAACTAATTTTCCTGTATGCTCCTCTGGAGGGCTCTCATTTGCCAAAGAACAAAACAGGCATCTACAGAGAGTGAGTCTATCAGTAAATTTCCATCTGCTGCCCCTCCCCCCATTCAAAACTCAAAGAAACAAACACAATGTAAGTAGTATTTTTATTTGTGTGTTTGTTTTTGTTTTTCAGACAGAGTCTTGCTCTTGTCACCCAGGTTGGCGTGCAATGACGTGATCTCGGCTCACTGCAACCTCCGCCTCCTGGGTTCAAGTGATTCTCCTGCCTCAGCCTCCTGAGTAGCTGGGATTACAGTCACCTGCCACCAAGCACAGCTAATTTTTTTTTTTTTTTTTTTTTTTTTTAAGACGGAGTCCTGCTCTGTCACTCAGGCTGGAGTGCAGTGGCGCAATCTTGGCTCACCGCAAGCTCCGCCTCCTGGGTTCACGCCATTCTCCTGCCTCAGCCTCCCGAGTAGCTGGGACTACAGGTGCCCGCCACCACGCCCGGCTAATTTTTTTTTATATTTTTAGTAGAGACGGGGTTTCACCATGTTAGCCAGGATGGTCTCGATCTCCTGACCTCGTGATCCACCTGTCTCAGCCTCCCAAAGTTCTGGGATTACAGGTGTGAGCCACTGCACCTGGCCTAATTTTTGTATTTTCAGTAGAGACAGGGTTTCACCATGCTGGCCAGGCTGATCTCAAACTCCTGACCTCAGGTAATCCACCTGCCTCAGTCTCCCAAAGTGCTGGGATTACAGTCATGAGCCACCACACCCAGCCAAAATGTAGTTTTAAAAAATCTTTTAAAACACATCAAATATCTAGCAAAAACTGATACACCACCTGACCAAAATCTGTGAGAATCTTACAGGTGATTCAAGGCCTCTTTTGTCCTAGCTACATTTTCCCACCCAAAAAGAAACAGAAGAAAATTTAATATCCAATCACAATGTCCTTGTAAGGCTAGGGAAGCAAATAAGTTACCACACGAGGCATAAAGATGTAGATAACATGATGGGCTTATCAGCAAGCTCAAATGGTTTCATTCATGACTTAATGCATAAGAAAAATAATCAAACTCTTACACCCTCCTTCAGAGTATAGAAAATAAAAAGTAATTCTCATACAACTCAACAAGGACAGCATAAGAAAAGCAAAGTGCAAGGAAGCCTTGGTTTCTAAACATGAATGCACATCCTCCCAATAAGATATGAGCAAACCACATCCACAAATACGTAGGGTGAAAACACCCAAGTTGGGTTTATGTTAGGAATGCAAGGATAGTTCAACACCAATTTTCTCATGCATTTCACCACATCAAAGATGAACACGGAAAACATTTGATAAAATGCAAACACAATTAAAAAGAGCTCTTACAGAAGTAGGAACAAAATAATTTTTCTTCAATTGATAAAGAGTGTATATCAAAAATCTATAGCCCACTTTCTATTTAATGGTGAAGAGTTTAAGGTTGTTCATTGTAGATTGATGACAAGGTGTGGTGCCTAGCTAGTACCACTTCTAAGAACCACTGTGCTGTTTGTTAACACCTGGATAAAAATAAAATTAGAAGAGACATGGATTGGACAGAGATGAAATAAAACTGTTATGATTAGTAGATTATATGTCCACAAACAGAGATAGAGAGACTGAAGTGTAAAACTGCGTGTGGTAGGACCTAGAATGTCAGGGCAGAGCAGTTCCCCAAGACTCCAGGAACACATTAAAAGCAAAACCATTTAACCATCCTTAAATCCAAGAGTCCTCCCTCAGGCTGTGTCAGAAATCGGGGGTAAATCAACAAAAAAGTTGACTTCTGGGAGGTGGTTGGGGAAAAGACAGATGTCGATCAAAGGGTACAAAGTTTTTGTCAAACAGCAGAAATACGCTTAAGTGATGCATTGCAAAGCATGGTGACTATTATGAATAATAACACATTCTGTACCTCAAAATTGTGAAAAGAGTTGATTGTAAACATTCTCTCCACAAAGAAATAAGTAGGTGATGGCCGGGCATGGTAGTTCATGCCTGTAATCACAGCACTTTGAGTGACTGAGGTGGGGGGATCACTTGAGGTCAGGATTTTGAGACCAGTTTGGGCAACATAGTGAGACCCTGTCTCTACAAAAACAAAAAAACACAAGAAAAACAAAAAACAAAAAACATTAACCCAGTGTGATGGTACACACATGTAGCCCCAGCTACATGGGAGGCTGAGATGGGAGGATCACTTGAATTCAGGAGTTTGAGGCTGCAGTGAGCCATGATCGCAACAGTGCACTACAGCCAGAGCAACAGAGTGACACCTTGTCTCCACAGAATAAATAAATGCATAAAAATTAGCTGGGCATGGTGGCATGTGCCTGCAGTCTCAGCTATTCAGGAAGCTGAGGTGGAAGGACGGCTTGAGTCTAGGAGTTGGAGGCTGCAGTGAGCTACGATCACACCAGTGCCCTCCACCCTGGGCAACAGAGTGACACCTTGTCTCTACAAAAATAACAAAAAAATTAGCTGGGCATGGTGGTGTGTGCCCATAGTCTCAGCTACTTGGGAGGCTGAGGTGGAAGGATTGGTTGAGTCCAGGAGTTGGAGGCTGCAGTGAGCTACGATCACACCAGTACACTCCAGTCTGGACAACAGAGCCAGACCCTGTCTGTACATAAATAAATAGATAAATAAGTATATTTATCTTATTTAATAGGTGAGGCGATGGATATGTTAACTAGCATGATTTAATCTTTCTGTAAGTCATACATATACAAAAACCTTGCAATGTACCCCATGAATACATACAGTTATTATTTGTCAATTAAAATTTTTTAAAAGTAAAATTAAAAAAAAGAAGAGAAGGTGTAGCTCCTTTGGGTGAAACATGTCTCTATGTGTCTTTATATTTTTGGTTTCTTCCAAGTTCTCCTGAATGGAACCTGAGGAACAAAAACTATACAGACTTCAGAGGGAGAAGAGGCAAAGAGAGGTGAGAATGTGTTTGAAGCAGCTCCTCAGAGCTGTAGGACAAAAGTCCCTAGTGCAGACCTGATCAGCTTGCTGAGCTGAGGGGGTTTCTGCACAAGCAGCCTGCAGGAGATTTATGGAGATGGGGACTGAGTTTCCCCAGGAATCCCTGGTGGACAGAGCTAACAGGCACCATGAACCAGAGGTGGATGTGGTAGGCTAAGGCATGGCCCACCTCTTCAAAAATGTTCACTTCCTAACCCTGGCAACCTGTGAATTCCGTCTTATATGGCAAAGTCTTTGCAGATGAAAGATCTTCAGATGCAGAGATCATCCTGGTATATTTGGGCAGTCCGTAAACCCAGTGACAGGTGTCCTTCTAAGAGACAGCAGGGAAGACACAGACACAGAGGAGACGGCCTCGTGGAGACAGAAGCAGAGACTGGAGTGATGCGGCCACAAACACAGGGACACCTGGAGCCCCCAGGAGCTCGAAGAGGCAGGAAGGATCCTCCCCTAGAGCTTCTAAAAGGAACCAGACCAAATTGCAGTGGGTTGAATGGGGATCCCCCAAAGACATGTCCAGGTCCTAAACCTTAGAATCCGTGAATAGGACCTCATTTGGAAATAGGGTCTTTGCAGATGTGATTAAGGGAAGGATCTCAAAATGAAATCGTCTTGCATTGGAGTTGGACTCTAAATCCAATGAGGGGTGACCCCATAAGAGACAAAGAGGAGACACAGACACAGAGGAGGCCACGTGGAGATGGAGGCAGAGACTGCAGAGAGGCGGCCACAAACCCAGGGATGCCTGGAGCCCCCAGAAGCTGGGAGAGGCAGGAAGGACCCTCCCCTAGAGCCTCCAGAGGAAGCATGGTCCTGAGACCCCTTGATCTCAAACTCCTGGTCTCCAGGACTGGGAGAGAATAAATTCCTGTTGTTTTAACGTTGTCCTTTGTTACAACTGCAGAAGCAAACGCAGAGGGTAAAATTGTCATTAAGCACGTGTGAGTCACTGAACAGACAGGGTTCATTTCCTCAGCTCCTATCTTGCTACCTGGACCTCCAAGGAAGCAGAATATGTTCACAGTGGGAATTCCTACCCTGTTACCATTCGAGCATGGGGTACTTGGGATAGAGGATGCCGTACATGGCACATTTTTAAATTTTATTTTATATATATATATATATATATATTTTGAGATAGAGTCCCACTCTGTCGCCAAGGCTGGAGTGCAGTGGCATGATCTCGGCTCACTGCAAGCTCCGCCTCCCGGGTTCATGCCATTCTCCTGCCTCAGCCTCCCTAGCAGCTGGGACTACAGGCGCCTGCCCCCAAGCCCGGCTAATTTTTTGTATTTTTAGTAGAGATGTGGTTTCACTGTGTTAGCCAGGATGGTCTCGATCTCCTGACCTCATGATCCACCCGCCTCAGCCTCCCAAAGTGCTGGGATTATAGGCGTAAGCCACTGCACCCGGCCATTTATTTATTTATTTATTTACTTATTTATTTATTTATTAATTATTGTTTTAGAGATGGAGTTTCACTCTGTCACCCAGGCTGAAGTGCGGGGGCGCGATCTCTGCTCACTGCAACCTCCGCCTCCTGGGTTTAAGCGATTCTCCTGCCTCGGCCTCCCAAGTAGCTGGGATTACAGGCATCCGCCACCACGCCTGGCTAGTTTTTATATTTTTAATAGAGACGGGGTTTCACCATGCTGGCCAGGCTGGTCTTGAACTTCTGACCTCAGGTGATCCACCCGCCTCTGCTTCCTAAAGTCTTAGGATTACAGGCGTGAGCCACCGTGCCTGGCACATATATCCGTTAAAATGTATATGTAATATTTTCTTCAAAGCAACACATTGCAAAACTATTCAAGTAACTCAGAAGGAACTGTGATTAAAATACAACCGTCCCCATCCACGCGTCCTCCATCCCATTTTATGATCTTCAGCATCTCACCTCTTCATAAGAAGTGCACTTTTTAATTTTTTATTTTAATTTTTTTTTTTTTAGACAGAGTCTCACTCTGTAGCCCAGGCTGGAGTACACTGGGGTAATCTCGGCTCACTGCAACTTCCGCCTCTGGGTTCAGGCGATTCTCCTGCCTCAGCCTCCCAAGTAGCTGGGATTACAGGCATGCGCCGCTAGGCCCAGCTAATTTTGTATATTTAGTAAAGATGGGGTTTCACCGTGTTGGCTAGGCTGGTCTCGAACTCCTGACCTCAGGTGATCCACCCACCTTGGCCTCCCAAAGTGCTGGATTACAGAAAGAGAGAAAGAGAGAGAGAGAGAGAGAGACAGACAGAAAGAAAGAAAGAAAAAAGAAAAAGAAAGCAAGAAAGAGAAAGAAAGAAAGGAAGGAAAGAAAGAAAACAAAGAAAGAAAGAAAGAAAACAAACAAACAAAGAAAGAAAGAAAGAAAAGAAAGGAAGGAAGAAAGGAAGGAAGAAAGAAAGAAAGAAAGAAAGAAAGAAAGAAAGAAAGAAAGAAAGAAAGAAAGGAAGGAGGGAGGGAGGAAGGAAGGAAAATGGAGGAATGAAGGTAGGAAAAAGGGAAGGGAAGGAGGGAGGAACTGAGGGAGGAAAATGGAATAAAGGAGGGGAGGAAGTAAGAAAGGAAGGGAGAAAACGAAGGAAGGAAAGGAAGGATGAAAGGAACAAAGAAAGGAAGGGAGGGAGAGGAAGGAAGGGAAGGGGGAGAGGGAAGAGGAAAGAGAAAAAGAAAGAAAATAGAAGAGGGAAAATAAGGGAAAAAATACTTGTAGGCTGCTGGGTCAGAGGCCTGTTGAGGAACCGATTTACCACATTCTCCAAGGACAAGATGGCTTTTGTAAATGCCTTATGGAAATTAGTCCTTAGCACACAAGACATAAATCTTAATATTAAGATGATTTACCTCACCTTTCCTGCCATGTATGCTCCGTAAATTAGGCCCATAAATGCCATTTGCTTTGCCACTAGCTGAAGACAATTGAACAGACTCTTCTGCACACACAGAGTCCCATTCCCTCATTCCCCGTTTTCTTTCTCATTTCTCCCTGATCCATGCCACCAGTCACAGCACCCGGGGGCACCCGCACGCTGACTGCCCTGACCCAACATGTGGGCCTGGTCAGTAGGGTCTAGGAAAAAAAAAATTCATTATTTATGAGTGCCAACAAAACTCTTTCATGGTTCTGCAATTCGAAACACATGTTCCTGGAAGTCTCCAGCCATTTGCGGAATATCATTAGTCGATGCTGAGAATTCGGCTGCAAATGAATGCTGGTTTCCAGCACCTCGGATCTGACTGCATTTATATCTCAAGAAAGAAAGGAACGAGGGTTTTCTTTTTACAACGTTCCCACATGTTCTCTCTGAGACACCTCACGCTAATAATTCATTCCTCTGCACCGCTGTGTAAAAAGAAACGTGGAAATCAGAACTGGGGTGTTGGAGCTGCACCAAGAACTTTTCCTTGATGGTTGATGCCCCAACACGGACCAGGTGCTGGCTGTCACCGACAACCAGAAGGACAAGCCTTGGTCTCAGGTCACTCCTTCCTGTCACTCATCAGGAAGTGTGTCTTGTTCTTGGACTTCCCAGCCTCCAGAACTATGAGCAAATACATTTCTGTTCCTTATAAATTACCCAGTCCCTGGTAGTCAGTTGTAGCAGCACAGAACAGACTAAGACAGACAATTCCTCCTTAGGAAAGGTTCTCCCATGCAGAGGAACTTGGTCACCTGACTCATGCCCCCCTCTCTCTTTCTCTGAGGATAGATTGAGCCATCTCATCACCCACTATTTTTTTTTTTTTTTTTTTGAGACGGAGTCTCGCTCTGTCGCCCAGACTGGAGTGCAGTGGCACAATCTGGGCTCACTGCAACCTCTGCCTCCCAGATTCAAGTGATTCTCCTGCCTCAGCGTCCTGAGTAGCTGGGACTAGAGGCGTACACCACCACACCTGGCTAATTTTTCGTATTTTTAGGAGAGACAGGGTTTCACCATGTTAGCCAGGATGGCCTCGATCTCCTGACCTCGTGGTCTGCCCCCCTTGGCCTCCCAAAGTGCTGGGATTACAGGCATGAGCCACCACATCCAGCCGACCCACTTTTAATGTCTAAGCTCTCCCCCATTTTTCCTTTCCTTGGGGAAATGAGTTTCTCTTCTGGCCATTTTTCACCCATTCTAAGCTGCATAGAAAATGTCAGCCAGTGCAGTAATCCCGCTGCTGAATATGTACCCAAGATAAATTAAATCAACACTTTATAGAGCTATCTTCACTCTCCTGTGCATTGCAGCACTATTTGCAATAGCTAAGATATGCAGTGAACCCAAATGCCTATCCATGAATGAAAACAGAAAATGTAATATATGTACACAATGGAATAGTATTTGGCCTTAAAAAAAGAGTCTGGGTGTGGTGGCTTATGCTTATAATCTCAGCACTTTGGGAGGCTGAGGCAGGAGGGTCACTTGAGTCTAGAAGTTCAAGACCATCCTGAGCAACATAGTGAGACCCCATGTCTACAAAAATTTTTTTTAAAAACTAGCTGGTCATGGTGGCACCTGTGGTCCCAGCTACTCAGAAGGCTGAGGTGGGAAGGTTGCTTGAGCTCAGAAGTTCCAGGCTGCAGTGAGCTGAGATTGAACCACTGGACTCCAGCCTGGGTAACAGAGTGAAACCTTGTCTCAAACAATAAAAATGAAAATAAAGGAAATCCTGCTATTTGCAGCAACACCAATGAGCCTGGAAGATACGGTGTCAAGTGAAATAAGCCAGACATTGAAAGACAAATACTACATGGTCTCACTCATATCCAAAATCTAAAAACATCAAACTCAACCAATCAGAAAGCAGAATGGTGGGTACCAGAGGCTGGCTGTGGTGGATGGAGAGATGTTAGTCAAAGGGTGCAAGATTTTAATCAGACGAGAAGAATAAGTGCAGGAGGTGTATTATGCAGCATGGTGACTGTAGTTAATAATAATGTATTGCCTACTCTTGAAAATTATGAGAGAGTAGATATTAAATGTTCTCACCACAAAAATGTGATGAGTATACGAGCTCATTCATATGTGAATTAGTGCCATTGAGCCATTCCACAATGTATCCATATTTCAAAACACATTGCACACAACAAAGACAATTTTTTATTTCTCAATGGAGTGAACTAATTAATTAAATGAATGTTGTTTAAAGAGAGAGAGAGAAATCCACCCATGGCTTACTCCAATGGAGGTGTATTATGCAGCATGGTGACTGTAGTTAAGAACAATGTATTGTCTACTTTTGAAAATTACTAGAGAGTAGATATTAAATGTTCTCACCACAAAAATAGGATGAGTATACAAGCTCATTCATATGTGAATTAGTGCTATTGAGCCATTCCACAATGTATCCATATTTCAAAACACATTGCACACAACAAAGACAATTTTTTATTTCTCAATGGAGTGAACTAATTAATTAAATGAATGTTGTTTAAAGAGAGAGAGAGAGATCCACCCATGGCTTACTCCAATGGTTCTTTGCAATGGTTATCTCTAAACATTAGGCTTGACCCTGTTTGTTCTAGAATCACTCTCTTTCCTTAAAGTCTTTGCCTCTGATTTTTTTTTCTTTCATATATTTATTTCCTCTCCCTAAACACTAGTACTTTATGTTTGTACTTTCTCTTGGAAAAAGAAAAGCATAGAGAAAGCTACCATATTATTCCAAATGGCTCTGTCACTCCAGGGGCAACCTAGCCAACCCTCTCTGAAATCCATGCCTGCATTTACTTTCATCTGCCATCTTTCTTTGTAAATTTTTGCTCACAATTCTCTTTCTTGTCCTCTGATTCTTTATATTTTCAAATTTTCTGTCTTCCATGCACCATCAGTACTTTCCTATAGACACTTTTCAGGGTGCAGATTCAAGCCTGTGCCCTAAATTGTTTTGGGAATTGTCTGAGGCCAATATCATGTTGCCTTCTTTTTGTCTGCTCACACCACTTTCCAAGTTTGAGGTCAGGGGCTGCTGGGGGAGACCTGGTCTTACATGCTTGTGCTGTCTCCTGTGTGCTGAAGTGTCTCCTCTTCAAAATGAAATATTCTCAAACACCACAAGCCCTTGCTAGCCCTTCCTGTCTTAGTCTGTTTTTTGCTGCCATAACAGACTACCAGGAACTGGGTAATTTATAAAGAAGAGACATTTATTTTCTCACTGTTCTGGAGTCTGGGAAGTCCAAGACCAAGGCACCATCATCTGGTGAGGACCTTCTTGCTGTGTCAGCCCATGGAGAAAAAGCAAAGAGAGGAGAGAGAGAGACAGCAAGAGGGGGCCAAACTTATTCTTTTAGAAAGAGAGAAAGAGAGTGAGAGGGGCTCAAACTCATTCTCTCACAGGGAACTCACTCTTTCCATAACAGCATTAAACCATTCACGACAGCAGAGCCCTCATGGACTGATGGCCTCTTAAACGTCTCACCTCTCAACACTGTTGCAATAGCAATTACATTTCAACATGCATTTGAGAGGGGAGAAATACGCAAACCATAGCTCTTGCAAACCCTGGAAGTCAATCGTAACATCTATGGTGCAATCAGAGATTTGTATTGCTCCATGTCCATGACATATTGCAAATAATATGAGTTTTTGTCTTTACATTCTCAGGAGGGGTTTCTCTATGTTCTGCACGGTGAGGCAGAAATTGCTCATTTACTTATAAACCACATGATGCTCACTGGCTTTCATGCAGTTCCCTGAGCCAGCAGCCACCTCCAACTCAGTGTTATTTCTCCCTGCATTGACTGTTTCCCAAGAAACTCAAGGGAATGACTCACCCCTTTTTCTTCCATTCCTCCCATGATGTCATCATCTTTCCCCTTCTTCTCGCTTCTCAGTTCCTAGGATACTTTTATATTCATTGTGTTCTGATAGAGCTCTGGAATTTGGGAGGCTTGAGGTTGAGGTGAGGAGAAGAGATAAAGAGGTCTAATCTCAGAGCATCCTGTCCTATAATTTTGGCTTAGAAATGACGCCCAAGGGAGTTGAACATCAATGACCCCAGAAATCAGGTTGCATCTACCACTCAGCATTTCTCATCTCTTTTAACAGAGCTGTAAAACTGGTTTCCAGCCTGGAAACCAGTTTGTGATGTTGTTTTTCTTTTATTTTTTAGAGACAGATTCTTACTCATCACCCAGGATGGAATTTGGCCCCCTCTTCCTTTCTCTCTCTCTGCCTCTGTCTCTGTCTCTCTCTTTCTCCGCTCTTTGCTCTTTCTCCATGGGCTGACACAGCAAGAAGTTCCTCACCAGATGATGGTGCCTTGGTCTTGGACTTCCCAGCCTCCAGAACTGTGAGAAAATAAATGTCTGTCTTTATAAATTACCCAGTTCCTGGTAGTAAATCACAGCAGAACAAAACAGGAAAGTTTGACAGGATTATCAAAACTGGTTTCCAGCCTGGCATGGTGGCTCACA
This sequence comes from Homo sapiens, assembly GCF_000001405.40. Classification (NCBI taxonomy): domain Eukaryota; kingdom Metazoa; phylum Chordata; class Mammalia; order Primates; family Hominidae; genus Homo; species Homo sapiens. The sequence goes on along the minus strand of NC_000024.10, from coordinate 703,354 downwards.
CCTACAGTCCACAGCCCTTTGGAAGGCCAAGTTGGGAGGGTCATTTGATCCCAGGAGTTGGAGACCATCCTGGGCAACACAACAAGACCCAATCTCTACAAAAAGTTTTTTAAAATTAGGCAGGCATGGTGGTGTCACCTGTAGTCCCAGCTACTTGAGAGACTGAGATGGGAAGATCACTTGAGCCCAGGAGTTCGAGGCTACAGTGAGCCATGATTGTACCACTGCACTCCAGCCTGGGTGACAAGCAAGAACCTGTCTCTAAAAAATAAAAAATGACATCACAAACACACATAAAAACTCCCCGTGGTTTTTCTATCATTAGTATCCCTTCAGCAAGCAGGGTTTATTGCATGAAGTTAGTGACTTGAAGATAAACGAGATGTGCGTCGTGTCCCCTGAGTGGCAAATAGTTTAAAAAAAATAAAAAGAATTACACAAAATAGAAAATAAAATTAACAATGACTTCCTGATGAAATGAGCAGATTCTCTAAGGAAAAGGGGATTTATAGGAGGATTTAGATATTCATCCCTCTCCCTAAGACCCACACGTGATTCCGCTGACATTGATTTTGTCCCTGACTCTATGACATTCAGGAACAACCAGCGCTGCCTGACTGCAGGAATCTGGAAAGGTTTATCTTCCCATGGGCCTGAGCTTTGTGATGCCTGTGATCACCCTGATGGACATGGGACCCCAAAGTGTGCCACGCCACGTGGGTGCCATGGTTTGGGAGGGAGGGTCTGTGGATGAGTGTGTTTTGTTTTCCATCGAAGTGAAATGCACGTAACCTAAAATTAACCATTCACCATGATAAAGTGCACACAATTCAGTAACTCTGAGTGCTTTCATTACGTTGTACAACCACCACCTCCATCTGGTTCTGGGTCATTTTAATCACCACCCAGAGAACCCTGAACTCCATCTCAACAGCAGTCACTGCCTGTTCCATTCCTGGGCGTGCACCCAAAGGAATTGGAAATGGGCCTGGCATGGTGGCTCATGCCTGTAACCCCAGCACTTTGGGAGGACAAGGCAGGCAGATTCCTTGAGCCCAGGAGTTTGAGACCAGCCTGGACAATGTAGGAATATGTTGCTTTTGCAAAAATTTAAAAAAAAAAAAAATTAGCCAGTGTGGTGGTGACGTGCACCTGTAGTCCCAGCTACTTGGGAGGCTGAGATAGGAGGATCACTTGAGCCTAGGAGGTGGAGGTTGCAATGAGCTGTGAATGCACCACTGCACTCCAGCCTGGGCAACAGAGTGAGACTCTGTCTCCAAAAAAGAAAAAAAAAAAAAAAGACTGGGAAATGGGTGTTGGGGCAGATGTACTTGTGCACACATATCCACAGCAGCAATGGACTGGAAGCAGCTCAATGTCCATCAGTGGACTTGGAGGTACACGAGGCTCTGTTCACCCACAGAGTGGGATGTTCTCCTCTCATAGCAGGAACGTAGCTCTGATGGGGTCTGCACCATGGTTGAGCCGGGTAGCTACCGCTCATGGGCTGTGTATGCCCTCCACCTCCATAGGTTCTGGGGAACATCTTTCCTGCTTTCCATCTGAGCAGCCCCCACCACCCACTCCTTGTAGGGGGACACGCCTTCCTTGGCTAGGGCTGGGCAGGATCACAGGGGCACTGAGGGGTGGGGTTATAACACCACCTGTTGGGGGCAGGGGTCACTGTCCCTGAGGTCAGGAGCTCAGTCACATACTTCAGAGCTGCTGCAGGTGGGAACCCACACTGCACCCCGTCCCCTCTCTACATCGAAGATCGGGAGCTGAACGAGAGAGTCAACCTTGCCTCCCCTGGACAACAGCCACAGACAGGACATTTTGGGAAACAACATGACCCAAAGGCAGCCTCCTTTCCTTCTGCTTGGAAGGGGTGAGCCCAAAATATCTGAGACAGGTCCCAACCCATTTGACAAGTTTACTTTGCCAAGGTTGAGGACGTGCGCCCGTGACACAGCCTCAGGAGGTCCTGATGACAGGTGCCCAAGATGGTCAGGGCACAGCTTGGTTTTATACATTTCAGGGAGACGTGAGACATCAATCAATATGTGTGAGACGTGCGTGGGTTCAGTCTGGAAAGTCAGAATAACTCGAAGCCAGGAGGAGTCTTCCAGGTTACAGGCAGATAAGAGACCAATGGTTGCATTCTTTTGAGTTTCTGATTAGCCTTTGGCTAAATGCATAATTTACAGGGATCGTCACTTGTCCTCCCTCCACAAGGAATTTCCTTGTGGGCCAATGGTGAGGGAGGTATGTAGCTTTTTGATCTTGGTAACATCTTATTTACAAAGAGAATGGAAGGCAGGTCTGTGGGACAAAGTTCCCAGTTTGACTTTTCTCTTTGGCTTAGTAATTTGGGGGTCCTGAGATTTCCTTTCCTTTCACAAAGGCGATGAGGATGAAAGGGAAGACACACAGAGTGTATATGTCAGCGTTATCTAGAGGAACAGAACCAACGGAATATGGAAAGGGAGAGACACAGAAAAAGAGAGAGAGAGAGACAGAGACAGAGAGAGAGATTTATTTTAATGAATTGGCTTTTACAGGATTGTGGAGATGCAACTTCAAACGCTACAGGTTGGACCCAGTGCCCACAGATCAGCAAAGGGCTAATGTTGCATCTGGAGGCAGAATTCCTTGTTCCTTAGGAGACTCCCATTATTTTTTCCTCTTAAGACCTTCAACTGATTAGACGACGCCCACACACTATGAAGGTTTTTTTAATTATTATTTTACCAGCATCTACCGATTTAAATGCTTACTTCATATATAAAAGTAGCTTCAGGATGGGCGCAGAAGCTCACGCCTGTCATCCCAGCACTTTGGGAGGCCAAGGCGGGTGGATCACCTGAGGTCATGAGTTCGAGACCAGCCTGGCCAAGATGGTGAAACCCTGTCTCTACTAAAAATACAAAAAATTAGCCAGACTTGGTGGTGGGCACCTGTAATTCCGGCTACTTGGAAGATTGAGGCAGGAGAATCGCTTGAACCCAGGAGGTGGAGGTTGCAGTGAGTGGAGATTATACCATTGCACTCTGGCCTGGGTAACAAGAAAGAAACTCCATCTCAAAAAAAATAAAAAAATAAGTAACTTCAGGATGGGTACAGTAGCTCATGCCTGTCATCCCAGCACTTTGGGAGGCCGAGGCGGGGGGATCTTTTGAGGTCAGGAGTTAGAGACCAGCCTGGGCAACAAAGCAAGACCCCATGTCTACAAAAATGTTTAAAATACTGGCTGCGTGTGGTGGCAGGTGCCTGTAGTCCCACATACTCAGGAGGCTGAGGTGGGAGGATCGCTTAAGCCGGGGAGGTTCAGGCTTCAGGGAGCTATGATTATGCCACTGCAATCCAGCCTGGGCAGCAGAGCAAGATCCCATCTATAAATTTTTTTAAAATTCAAAAAAACGGGGCCAGGCCCAGTGGCTCACACCTGTAATCCCAGACTTTGGGAGGCTGAGGTGGGAGGATCATGAGGTCAAGAGATGGAGACCCTCCTGGCCAACATGGTGAAACCCCATCTCTACTAAAAATAAAAAATTAGCTGGGCATGGTGACGGGTGCCTGTAGTCCCAGCTACTCAGGAGGCTGAGGCAGGAGAATCACTTGAACCCGGGAGGCGGAGGTTGCAGTGAACCGAGATCACACCCCTGCACTCCAGCCTGGCAACAGAGCGAGACTCCATCTCAAAAAAACAAAAAAAAAATTGAAAAAATGTTAGCTTTGCAACAAAATCATTTGGCATACATGTATCAAAATATCACATGGTACACTGTAAACGGATACAATTTTTATTTGTTAATGATACCCTCATAAAGTTTGGGTTTATATAAAAACAAACAACATCTACATCAGTGTTTGGCCAAATAACCTAGGTACTGTGTCCCAGCCGGGTTGACACACACTTTTCCACCAGCACACAAGGCATCTGCAAGTTGAGGTCCAGGGTCCCAAAAGTCACAGGTTCGGCGCTTAGAGAAATGCCTTCTCAAAAGGGTCCTTCTTACATCGAAACCATCGTGGCTAACACGGTGAAACCCCATCTCTACTAAACATATAAAAAACTAGCCAGGCGTGGTGGCGGCCGCCTGTAATCCCAGCACTTTGGGAGGCTGAGACAGGCGGATCACGAGGTCAGGAGATCGAGACCATCCTGGCTAACACGGTGAAACCCCGTCTCTACTAAACATATAAAAAATTAGCCGGGGGTGGTGGCGGGCACCTGTCGTCCCAGCTACTCGGGAGGCTGAGGCAGGAGAATGGTGTGAACCTGGGAGGCGGAGGTTGCAGTGAGCCGAGATCATGCCACTGCACTCCAGCCTGGGCGACAGAGCGAGACTCTGTCTCAAAAAAAAAAAAAAGGGTCCTTCTTACCACTGGGCCCCCACTTAGAAATACCATAGTCAGGACCTCATAGTGTTTTACTCTGTTTCTCCCATAATATCTTCTCACACCCCCGCACGCCAGGAGAAAATGTACCCTCCCTTCCATTCTACAGACAAGAGTCTTGCCCAAGTCCCCCAGCCTAATCTCTAGAGGTGCTGAGATGGGCATGGAATGTTCTGGCCCTCAAAATGCTCCCGTGTACCTGCCGGCCAGGGGAACACCTCACTTGTCTGCCTTTTCTGCAACACCACCCTTCAGAGAGTGACGGCTGCTTCATGCATCTGAGCTGTTGCAAGCAAAGCTTCCTGTAAGTTCCCTTAATTTTTTTATTATTGTTGAGCCGGACGTTCCAGTCACAGATGAAAATATGAAAATGTCAACCGCCTCTAATGGCTTCGTTTATATGAGCGTGATTATGGCCGGTGCTTATGGAGTTGGGACAGGGAAACAGGACATTTTTCCGTTCGCCGTCACGCGCCAACCCGTCCTGTTCTTCATTCTGGCAGGAAGTTGTAAACCAACTTGGTTCCCGGTTGTGCAACATTTGACATATTCTGATTATGAAGCATTTGCAGCGGTCCGCGATTTATGGGAAATAATCCCTCCTGCAATATTCACAGCTCAATAATTCACAGTCCGGAGGCAAGTGAGCTTCTTAAAAATGACATTATACCAAAGATCACTGTTTGGAATTTACCACGGGCATCCTACTTTCAGAATGTATAACGCGTGCAAAACGGTCCAAGCGCCATTTATCAAGTCTTTTAACACTTTTTAAAACACTTTTCCTTCCTATTGCTTTTTTTTTTTTTTTTTGAGACAGAGTCTCACTCTGTCACCCAGGCTGGATTGCAGTGGCATAATCTTGGCTCACTGCAACCTCTGCTTCCCAGGTTCAAGACATTCCCCTGCTTCAGCCTCCCAAGTAGCTGGGATTGCAGGCACCGGCCACTACACCTGGCTAATTTGTGTATTTTTAGTACAGACAGGGTTTCAGCATGTTGCCCACACTGGTCTCGAACTCCTGACCTCACGTGATCCACCCGCCTCGGTCTCCCAAAGTGCTGGGATGACAGGTGTGAGCCACCGCACCCGGCCAGCTCCCACTTTTAAGTAAAAACATGTGGTACTTAGTTTTTGGTTCCTGCATTGGTTTGCTAAGGATAATGGCCTCCAGCTACATTCATGTTCCTGCAAAGGATAGGATCTCGTTCTTTTTCATGGCTGCATAGTATTCCATGTATATGTGGCACAGGCTGGTCTCAAACTCCTGACCTCAGGTGATCCGCCTGCCTCGGCCTCCCAAAGTGCTGGGATTACAGGTGTGAACCACCACACCCAGCCCACCTTTTGGGGGTTTGAATAAAATCCTGCACCACCCACCAGTCAAATATCCTAATGGGCAAATGAAACATGGCGGCTGCTAGATGGGGATATGGACTGGATGGAGGATGAGAGGTCATGAGGAAACAGGATTCACTCTGACTGTGAAGATGAAAAACTGTCCTCTGTCTCAGGCCCTGGAAAGATAATAGGTGTCAGGCCTCTGAGCCCAAGCGAAGCCATCATAGCCCCTGTGACCTGCACATATATCTCCACATGGCCTGAAGCAACTGAAGAACCAGAAAAGAAGTGAAAATGGCCGGTTCCTGCCTTAACTGATGACATTCCCCCATTGTGATTTGTTTCTGCCACACCGTAACCGATCAATTGACGTTGTGACATTCCTTCTCCTTAACAATAAGTCTCTGGGCCTCCCCCACCGAGCACCTTGTGACCCCCGCCCCTGCCTGAAGAGAATAACCCCCTTTGACTGTAATTTTCCACTACCTACCCAAATCCTATAAAACTGCCCCACCTCTATCTCCCTTTGCTGACTCCTTTTTCAGACCCTGCACCCAGGTGATTAAAAAGCCTTAGGCCGGGAGCGGTGGCTCATGCCTGTAATCCCAGCACTTTGGGAGGCCGAAGTGGGTGGATCACCTGAGGTCAGGAGTTCGAGACCAGCCTGGTCAACATGGTGAAATCCTGTCTCTACTGAAAATACAAACATTATCTTGGCATGGTGGTTCACGCCTTTAATCCCAGCTACTCGGGAGGCTGAGGCAGGAGAATCACTTGAACTCGGGAGGCGGAGGTTGCAGTGAGCCAAGATCGCGCCATTGCACTCCAGCCTGGGCGACAAGAGCAAAACTCCATCTAAAAAAAAAAAAAGAGGCCGGGTGCAGTGGCTCACACCTGTAATCCCAGCACTTTGGGAGGCCGAGGCGGGTGGATCATGAGGTCAGGAGATCGAGACCATCCTAGCTAACATGGTGAAACCCCGTCTCTACTAAAAATACAAAAAATTAGCCGGGCGCGGTGGCGGGCGCCTGTAGTCCCAGCTACTCAGGAGGCTGAGGCAGGAGAATGGCGTGAACCCGGGAGGCAGAGCTTGCAGTGAGCCGAGATCGCGCCACTGCACTCCAGCCTGGGCAATAGAGCGAGACTCCATCTCAAAAACAATAATAATAATAAAAGACCGGGTCTCACTATGTTGTCCACGGTGGTGTAGAGCTCCTGCTCTCAAGCAATATCCTCCTGCCTCAGCCCCTCAAAGTGCTGGGATTACAGACACGAGCCACTTGACCTAGCCAGCTTCACCTTATTTTATGCGATGTTTGGTTTTCGCTGGCCTCACGCAGGTCTTTAGGTCTTGAGGCTGACACCCCACTCACCCCTGTGCCCTTCCACCAGAGTGGGCCCCACAGGGAACAGTGAGGTCACCATACAGCCAGAGTTAAACACTTCCAGAAGCTTCTTCTCGCCAAACTCTGGTGCACTCCAGCCAGGCATTTCCCACCTACCTCCGTAGTTGGCCAAGACTCCACCATATTGGTGGGTGCAGAAAAATAAAACATTTCTCTACCTCACATACTGAAAGCCCTTGGGTCAAAAGACCTGTGTTTCCATTCCCATAGATCGCAAGAATGGGGCTTGTCAGTTAGAGCAATGCTGGACAACTGTAACAAAGACACCCAGAGTCTTGTCGGGTGCCGTGGTTCATGCCTGTAATCCCAGCACTTTGGGAGGCTGAAGCGGGAGGATTGCTGGAGCCCAGGAGTTCAAGGCCAGCCTGGGTAACATAGTGAAGCTCCAGCTCTCCAAAAATAAAAAAAGTTAAAAAATTACCTGGGCCTGGTGGTATGCACCTGCGGTCCCAGCTACTTGGGAGGCTGAGGCAGGAGGATCATTTGAGCCCAGGAGTTGGAGGCTGCAGTGAGCCATGCTGGTACCACTGCATTCCAGCCTGGGTGACAGGGTGACAGCCTGTCTCTAAATAAATAAAAATGAACAAAATGAAAAAAGACCCCTGTATTATCAGTTTATTTCCTTCTGTTTCTCACAACAGCCCCACGAGAGCTCTCCATAGTACCAGATGCTCTGCTCCACACAGTCACTCAGGGACCCAGGCTGCTCCAGAGGCCCCTGTGGCCTTCTCATTTTCTTCCTGTTCAGAGCTGGATCTTCCAGGGTCCCTGCTGGCCAGCACGAGATAGCATGCGAGATTCTGTTCTGAGGCTCAAATCCAAAAGGCGCACCTGCCATTCCTGTTTCCTGAAACTCAAGTACTTAATCAATCCCAACCAAAACTCAGAAAAGTCTAACTTTCTGTTCACGGTGGGAAGAGGAGGGATGGATTTTGGGGTGGACAACCATTAGCTATGGCCACAGGGCTGAATAATCAGATCACTAAAAGACCACTTTCTAAAAAGCATTTGATTTCCATGGCGTGGGCTGTGGCTGCAGGACGGCAATAAATCGCATATCCCACTTTATCTTTATCAAAGGGACAGTGAAGACAAACCACCTCTCTCCGCCTGTCTCAGGGCACCATTGGCGTCCGTACAGCCTACAGAATTTATCTCTGCCTTCATCAAATGCTGTCCTTTTAAAGGTAACCTGGCGCGGAGCCGTGAGGACATCAGAAGATTAATGAGGTCTTGAAGGGAGATCAGGCGCTCACCGTTCGAGGCTGCAAAGCATTCTCTCGACGTTATTAGCAGTCGTGTTTAATGAATGCAAGCAAGATCTTTGCAGCGCGAGTGTCTACTAAGATGCCCCAGGTACCGGGAGGCCAGAAGGCTGGTTGGGAATATCTGTCAAACCGTAATTGAGGAGCTCTGTCTCTCTGTCTCTGCACCTGCGTCTTATGCCAGGGGAACGTCCTTTGTGCAAAGAGGAAAGCTCCAGAAATGGTGCTAAGCAGTTGAATTTGGCCCCAGAAAACACCAGGAAAAAAAAAAAAACAATCGTGAGAAAAAAGTAAAACCAAGCAGCAGATGTACGTGGAAATTATCTGAGAGTAACGAAAATCCTTCTTGCGTGAGAGGCTCAAATAAGGGGAATGATCATGATGGAAACGGTGGGTCAACCAGACATGGCACTGGGGACACTCTTCACTGATGAGTGCCTTCTGAATGAGGGGAGATGTGTTTTTATTTTTATTTTATTTTTATTTATTTATTTTTTTGAGACAAAGTCTCCCTCTGTCGCCCAGGCTGGAGTGCAGTGGCACGATCTCGGCTCACTGCAACCTCTGCCTCCCGGGTTCACGCCATTCTCCTGCCTCAGCCTCCCGAGTAGCTGGGACTACAGGCACCCGCCACCACGCCCGGCTAACTTTTTTGTATTTTTAGTGGAGACGGCGTTTCACTGTGTTAGCCAGGATGGTCTCGATCTCCTGACCTCATGATCCACCCGCCTCGGCCGCCCAAAGTGCTGAGATTACAGGCGTGAGCCACCGCGCCCGGCCTATTTATTTTTTTATTTTTCGAGACAAAGTCTCTCTCTGTCACCCGGGCTGGAGTGCAGTGGTGCAATCTCAGCTCACTGCAACCTCCACCTCCCAAGTACACGCCATTCTCCTGCCTCAGCCTCCTGAGTAGCTGGGACTACAGGCGCCCGCCACCACGCCCAGATAATTTTTTTTTTTTTTTGTATTTTTAGTGCAGACAGGGTTTCACTGTGTTAGCCAGGATGGTCTCGCTCTCCTGACCTCATGATCCACCCGCCTCAGCCTCCCAAAGTGCTGGGATTACAGGCGTGAGCCACTGCGCCCGGCCATAAATTTTTAATTAACAAATAATAACTGTATATTTACGGAGTAAAAGGTGATGTTATGATAAGTTTTGGTGCTGTATTGTACAGCATGGTGACTATAGTTCATAATGGTGGATCGTATATTTCAAAATTGCTTTCAAAACATATATTTTAGGCTGCACGCGGTGGCTCAGGCCTGTAATCCCAGCACTTTGGGAGGCCAAGGTGGGGGATCACAAGGTCAGGAGTTCAAGATCAGCCTGACCAACATGGTGAAACCCCATCTCTACTAAAAATACAAAAAAAAAATTAGCCAGGCGTGGTCACGGGTGCCTGTAGCCCCAGCTACTCAGGAGGCTGAGGCAAGAGAATCACTTGAACCCAGGAGGCGGAGGTTGCAGTGAGCCGAGATCAGCCTGACCAATGTGCTGAAACCCCATCTCTACTAAAAATACAAAAAAAAAAAAAAAAGCCAGGGGTGGTCATGGGTGCCTGTAACCCCAGCTACTCAGGAGGCTGAGGCAGGAGAATCACTTGAACCCAGGAGGCGGAGGTTGCAGTGAGCCAAGATCGCGCCACTGCACTCCAGCCTGGGCGACAGAGTGAGATTCCATCTCAAAAATTTAAAAAAAAAAAAAAAGCCTCCTTCCGCAGCACCCCCACCTAAACCCCATCATTCTATCCCTGGATAACAGTGAACAGTTCGGTCGTGCAATCTGACATTTCAGATGGAAAGCCTTCTGTGCCCAGAATGAAACCAACTATTTTAGGGTATTTGAAGGTCACAGTAAAAGGATGGAGTAATAGCATATCCCTAAGTTGTTAAATTGTCCGTTCTGTACATCACAGCCCTGGACAAGCCACGAAGCCAGGTAGGACCACCAGAAGCCGACTGTCCCAAGAACCCAGAATAAACACCACCCAGGAATAAACAGAGAAGAAAGAGCTGGCGTCGGGTAGTCGGAGGCCACCGTTTAGGGTGTTCCGTCCTGCAAACGCCCCTGACCTCAAAATCATTAATTATTGACTTTCTCCTAGTTCATTAACTGCTAATGGTTCTCAGGAAGAAAAATAGTGATGTTTATGTAAAAGGAAGGATCCCTCACACAGGTTTACGCCCCTTAACATGGAGGGTTTTGTTTCCTGAACCTTCACCCAGGTCATAGGTAGAAGTTTCTCAGCCTAGCACAGTGGCTCACACCTGTAATCCCAGCACTTCGGGAGGCCGAGGCGGGCAGATTCCCTGAGGTCAGGTGTTCGAGACCAGCCTGGCCAACATGGTGAAACCCCGTCTCTACTAAAAATACAAAAATTAGCTGGCTGTGGTGGTGCACGCCTGTATCTCAGCTACTCAGAAGGCTGAGGGAGGAGAATCGCTTGAACCCGGGAGGTGGAGGTTGCGGTGAGCCAAGATCGCACCATTGCACCCCAGCCTGGGCAACAAGAGCAAAACTCCATCTCAAAAAAAAAAAATTAGCCGGGCCTGGTGGCAGGTGCATGCAATCGCAGCCACTCAGGAGGCTGAGGCAGGAGAATCACTTGAACCCGGTAGGTGGAGGTTGCAGTGAGCCGAGATCGCACCATTGCACCCCAGCCTGGGCAAGAAGACTGACACTCCATCACAAAAAATAATTAGCCCAGCATGGTGGCAGGTGCGTGCAATCCCAGCCACTCAGGAGGCTGAGGCAGGAGAATCACTTGAACCCAGTAGGTGGAGGTTGCAGTGAGCCGAGATCGCACCATTGCACCCCAGCCTGGGCAAGAAGACTGACACTCCATCACAAAAAATAATTAGCCCAGCATGGTGGCAGGTGCGTGCAATCCCAGCCACTCAGGAGGCTGAGGCAGGAGAATCACTTGAACCCGGTAGGTGGAGGTTGCAGTGAGCCGAGATCGCACCATTGCACCCCAGCCTGGGCAAGAAGACTGACACTCCATCACAAAAAAAAATTAGCCCAGCGTGGTGGCAGGTGCGTGCAATCCCAGCCACTCAGGAGGCTGAGGCAGGAGAATCACTTGAACCCGGTAGGTGGAGGTTTCAGTGAGCCGAGATCATGCCACTGCACTACAGCCTGGGTGACAGAGCGAGGTTCCATTTCTAAAAAAAAAAGGTCGGGGGGAAATCCAACTGTAAAACTGTGGACCTTGAAGATGGTACCCTATATTGAATAACTCCTCAATAGACAGGTGTTTGTTAAGTAAAGGAATACAATGTGTGCGTCCCGGCTTTGTACAGAAACTAGAATGTTGCAGCCTCTGTTTCCTGAAAGACCCATCAAGCAAAGGGGCAGTGTGCCCCATTTCCCAGCTCCCATCCCGATTCAGCCCTGCTCTGCGGGGAGCCTGCCATGTGCTATGTTTTACTTCATTTTCACTTGGGATGAAGTGGAAACTGAGGCTCGAGTTCTATTCTCAGTTGTGATTTTCAAAAGTCTCTAGAAATCCCTGCGATTCTGGGGTGAGTTCCAGAGGGGTGGTTGGTTAGGAACTTGAATAGAGGAAAGAATGTCACAGCACTCACCCACCCAGCCCTGGTCCCCGCCTATCCCCCAACTCACATGATTTTCTTTTTCTTTTCTTTTTTTTTTTTTATTATACTTTAAGTTCTAGGGTACATGTGCACAACGTGCAGGTTTGTTACATATGTGTACATGTGCCATGCTGGTGTGCTGCCCCCATTAACTTGTCATTTAATATTAGGTATATCTCCCAATGCTATCCCTCCCCACTCCCACCACCCCACAACAGGCCCCAGTGTGTGATATTCCCCTTCCTGTGTCCAAGTGTTCTCATTGTTCAATTCCCACCTATGAGTGAGAACATGCAGTGTTTGGTTTTTTGTCCTTGTGATAGTTTGCTGAGAATGATGGTTTCCAGCTTCATCCATATCCTTACAAAGGACATGAACTCATCGTTTTTTATGGCTGCATAGTATTCCATGGTGTGTATGTGCCACATTTTCTTCATCCAGTCTATCGTTGTTAACCTCATATCACCTCCTTGTCCTTCTGAAAATACAGACGGGACACGGGTGGGTGTGCAGGGACCTCACTGGTGGGGATTAATTACTCAACAGGACAACAGGTTTCCTTTGCTTTTAGGGACAGGATCTGGCTCTATCATCCAGGCTGGAGTGCAGCGGTGCAATCACTGCTCACTGCAGCCTCGACCTCCTGGGCTCAAGCGATCCTCCTGCCTCAGCCTCCCGAGTAGCTGGGATTACAGGTGCACACCACCAAGTCTGGTAATTTTTTTTTTGTAGAGATGGGGTCTTGCTATGTTCCCCAGGCTGGTTTCAAACTGCTGGTCTTAAGCATTTCTCCCACCTCAGCTGCCCCAAGCACTGGGATTCCAGGCGCGAAGCACCCTAATTTGTACCCCAGGCACACCAGGACTAATTTACCTTTTAATTACAAATACCCATGAGGGCAGCCTCTGAGGGCTCCCAGACCATCCATGTGCAAGCTCCTACTAAGTATGTAAGCTCCTACTAAGCACATAAGGACCTGCTAAGCACAGAAGCTCCTACTAACCACTTGAGCTCCTACTAAGCACATAGCACCCACTAAGCACATGAGGGCCTAACTAAGCATGGAAGCACCTACTAAGCCATAAGGACCTGCTACGCACATAAGCTCCTAATCACATGAGCTCCTACTAAGCACATAGCACCCACTAAGCACATGAATGCCTACTAAGCACGGAAGGACCTACTAAGCTCAGAAGCTCCTACTAAGCACGTGAGCTCCTACTAAGCACATAAAAACCTACTAAGCACGTGAGCTCCTGCTAAGCACGTAAGCTCCTACTAAGCATATGAGCACCTACTAAGCACGTGAGCTCCTAGTAAGCACATTAAAACCTACTAAGCACGTAAGCCCCTACTAAGCTCACGAGCTCCTATTAAGCATGTAAGCACCTACTAAGCACGTGAGTTCCTACTAAGCACATAAGCTCCTACTAAGCATATAAGCACCTACTAAGCATGTGAGCTGTTAACTAAGCACATGAGTTCTTACTAAGCATGTGAGCCCCTACGAAGCACGTGAGCTCGTGCTAAGCATGTAAGGTCCTACTAAGCACGTGAGCTCCTACTAAGCACATAAGCACCAACTAAGCACGTAAGGACCTACTAAGCTCATAAGCTCCTACTAACCACGTGAGTTCCTAGGAAGCACATAAAAACCTACTAAGCACGTGAACTCCTGCTAAGCACGTAAGCTCCTAGTAAGCAAGCACATAAGGACCTGCCAAGCATATAAGCTCCTACTAACCACGTCAGCTCCTACTAAGCACGTAGCACCCACTGACCACATGAGCTCCTACTAAGCACAGAAGGACCTACTAAGCTCATAAGCTCCTGCTAAGCGTGTGAGTTCCTACTAACTGTATGAGCTCCTACTAAGCATGTAAGCACCTATGCACGTGAGCTCCTACTAAGCACGTGAGCTCCTACTAAGCACATAAGGGTCTACTAAGCACATGAGCTCCTACTAAGCACGTGAGCAGCTATTAAGCACATAAGGTCCTGCCAAGCATGTGAGCTCTTAGTAAGCACATAAGCTCCTACTAAGCACGTAAGTACCTACTAAGTACATAAGTACCTACTAAACACTAACTGGATGCTGAAGACCAGCTGAGCTCAGGGGACAAGCTCCGGGGTGACAGGTCCCCAGGGAAGACTCTGGGATGAGAAAGCCAAGGTCAACCCAAGGTGAGAGTGAGCAACCTGTGGGGAAATCGGGTTACCAGCTTTCTAGCCTATGTCTGTACATCTGAGAGGCATTTCTGATGGGTGGAGCCGAGGAGTGATGCTGGGCAGACAGCCATGGTGATCACACATGGGCTATTTTATTTTATTTCGTTTTGTTTTTGAGATGGAGTCTCACACTGTTGCCCAGGCTGGAGTGCAATGGCACGAGCCCTGCTCACTGCAACCTCCGCCTCCCGGGTTCACGCCATTCTCCTGCCTCAGCCTCTGAGTAGCTGGGACTACAGGTGCCCGCCACCACGCCCGGCTAATTTTTTTGTATTTTTAGTAGAGACGGGGTTTCACTGTGTTAGCCAGGATGGTCTCGATCTCCTGACCTCGTGATCCGCCCACCTCGGCCTCCCAAAGTGCTGGGATTACAGGCGTGAGCCACCGTGCCCAGCCTTGTTTTATTTTATTTTATATTTTATTTTTGAGATGGAGTCTCACACTGTTGCCCAGGTTGGAGTGCAATGGCACGAGCCCCGCTCACTGCAACCTCTGCCTCCCGGGTTTATGCCATTCTCCTGCCTCAGCCTCTGAGTAGCTGGGACTACAGGTGCCCGCCACCACACCCGGCTAATTTTTTTGTATTTTTAGTAGAGACGGGGTTTCACCGTGTTAGCCAAGATGGTCTCAAGATTTGCAGTTTTCTAATCACCACTCTGGCCCACAGTTCTTCCAGCAACAGAAGAATACATTGAAACCTTGGACCCAGGAGATACATTAAAAATATTTCCAGAATCCTTACGGCCCCTGCTCCACTGTAACCACACATTTCACTCCTACAGGATGATAAACTTCCTGTGTTACAGGAACAAAGTTTCCAGTGGAAACCTTAGCCCTTTATTTCCCATGCATACACCCTACAATAGCTCTAGCAATAATTTTTATTTTGAGACAAAGTCTCATTCCTGTCACCCAGGCTGGAGTGCAGTGGTGTAATCACTGCTTGCCGTAACCCCGACTTCTCCGGCTCAAGTGATCCTGCCCACCTGAGTTCCCCCAAGTAACTAGGACCACAGGTGCACATCACCATGCCTGGCTAATTCTTGTATTTGTTTTGTAGAGAGGGGGTTTCACTATGTTGCCCAGGCTGATCTCAAACTCCTAGGCTCAAGCGATCCATCCACCTCGACGTCCCAAAGTGCTTGGATTACAGACGTGAACGCCACACCTGGCAATTTTTTTTTTTTTTTGAGACGGAGTCTCTCTCTGTCCCCCAGGCCAGAGTGCAGTGGCGCCATCTCTACGCTCTGCAAGCTCCGCCTCCTGGGTTCACGCCATTCTCCTGCCTCAGCCTCCCGAGTAGCTGGGACTACAGGCGCCCGCCACCACGCCCGGCTAATTTTTTGTATTTTTGGTAGAGATGGGCTTTCACCGTGTTAGCCAGGATGGTCTCGATCTCCTGACCTTGTGATCCGCCTGCCTTGGCCTCCCAAAGTGCTGGGATGACAGGCATGAGCCACCACACCCAGCCACACCTGGCAATTTTTAACTGTCATAAACAAAATGCAACAGTGAAACCACCCTTTTACTTATTGTTCATCACTAGAGATTTGTGGTACTTTATGCATAATTTGCTAGTTGCTAAAGTAAGTATAAACACTTGTTCATTCTTTTTTTTTTTTGAGACAGAGTCTCGCCCTGCCGCCCAGGCTGCAGTGCAGTGGCACAATCTCGGCTCACTGCAACCTCTGTCTCCCGGGTTCAAGCAATTCTCCTACATCAGCGTCCCAAGTAGCTGGGATTACAGGTGTGCACCACCACCCCTGGCTAATCTTTGTGATTTTAGTAGAGACAGGGTTTCACCATGTTGGCCAGGATGGTCTCGAACTCCTGACCTGGCAATCTGCCCACCTTGGCCTCCCAAATTGCTGGGATTACAGGCATGAGCCACCACTCCTGGCCAACACTTGTTCATTCTAAAATAGAAGATGCAAGACAAAGCAGGCAGCCATTAATCCGCGTCTCATAATTGGCCATATTCTCCTATCAAAGCAAAGCTCAAACTTTGAAGTTCTGTGTGATTTCAGTTTTGAAAAAAAAAAAAATAATCCACGTACCAAAATACTTCAAGCACCAAAACATCTACGTTTGTCCAGGCAATATTGGCATCATATAAAAATAAATAGGATGCTGATTAAATAAAATGCTGATTAAATAAAAGCATGTTCACGGAATACTCGGGGGCTATGCAATAATAAGAATCACAATAAAAAGTTAAAAGGGAAATGCTGTAATTCCACGGACTTCCAGCAGCATGCAAATTTCACTGGATTCAGACCGCAGTTCAACAAGAAAAGCAATATCACGGGTAGCCATTCCATCTTGTCATGAGCCCGAATCCATTTCCCCAGAAGCGAAGGCAGGTAAATTACACCTCATGAACTATTAGGAAATTAAACTTCATAAGCAATATGCTGCTGTTTTGTGCAATGCATTTGCTAGAAGAATTGTTCCATTTATCTTTTTTTCCCGCAGCATTAGGAGACAGAGACTTTGAATAAAACTCATTTCATTAGAGCACCTGGTTATGTTGGGAGAGGAGATCCATTCGTGACTCAACCCATCACTCCAAGCCGTCACAAACTCATCGAGATGTGAACGTCCGGGGTCCGGGGGAAAACGGTCAGGCGAAACTTCGCCATGTTACTGGAGGAATACGTGAGCAAAATCTCAAAGATGGCTTGGCGAGGCTGACCACCTCCAAGAGCATCTATGCCGCTGCAGCAAAGAAAGCATTAACGAATCTTAAGTCTGCTTGAGTGGGTAGATTAGTCTGTTCTCATGCTGCTAATAAAGGCATTTCTGGGGCCAGGCATGGTGGCTTATGCCTGCCATCCCAGCACTTTGGGAGGCCGAGGCAGGCGGATCACCTGAGGCCAGGAGTTCAAGACCAGCCTGACCAATATGGTGAAACCCTGCCTTTACTAAAAATACAAAATTAGCCAGGCGAGGTGGTGCATGCCTATAAATACAGCTACTCGGGAGGCTGAGGCAGGGGAATAGCTTGAACCCTGGAGGCGGAGGTTGCTGTGAGTTGAGATCATGCCATTGCACTCCAGCCTGGGCATCAGAGCAAGGCTCTGTCTCAAAATAAATAAATAGAAAGAAAAAAAGAAAGAAAGAGAAAGAAAGAGACAGAGAGAAAGAAAGAAGAAGAAGGAAGGAAGGAAAGAGAGATAGAGAGAAAGAAAGGAAGAAAGAGAAAGAAAGAAAGAAAGAAAGAAAGGAAAGGAGAAAAGAAAGAGAGAAAGAAAGGAGGAAAGAAAGAAAGAGAGAAAGGAGGAAAGAAAGACAAAGGAAGGAAGGGAAGAAAAAGAAAGAAAGAAGGAAGGAAGGAAAGAAAGAAAGAGAAAGAGAAAGAAAGACCAAGAAAGAAAGAAAGAAAGAAAGAAAGGAAAGGAGGAAAGAAAGAAAGAAGAAAGGAAAGAAAGAAAGACAAAGAAAGAAAGAAAAGAAAGCAGGAAAGAAAGAAAGAAGGAAGGAAGGAAAGAAAGAAAGAAAGAAAGAAAGAAAAAGAAAAGAAAGGAGGAAAGGAAGGAAGGGAGGAAAGAAAGAAAGAAAGAAAAGAAAGAAAAGAAAAAGAAAGAAAGAGAAAGAAAGAAAGAAAGAAAGAAAAAGAAAAAGACATATCTGAAACTGGGTAATTTATAAAGGAAAGAGTTTTAATGAACTCACAGTTCTGCATAGCTGGGGAGGCCTCACAATCACGGTGGAAGGCAAAGAGGGAGCAAAGCCACGTCTTCCATGGCAGCCGGCAAGAAGCTTGTGGAGGGGCCGCCCCCTTTATAAAACCGTGAGATCTCGTGAGACTTATTCTCTATCGCGAGAACAGCACGGGAAAGCCCCGCCCCCCACGATTCAATTACCTATCACTGGGTCCTTCCGATGAAACGTGGGAATTGTGGCAGCTACAATTCAAGATGAGATTTGGGTGGGGACACAGCCAAACCCTGTCAGTTGGTTTAGCCAAAAACCTGCAAAACACAGCTTGTCATTGTTTATCTGCAGTGTGAACTTAGAGGCCACACAATTATTATATGATTGCATATAATAATTGCAATCATATTGAAACCCACACACTTATGTTAACAAAAATGGGTTGTGTCCCCAACATGAGGGCTTTGGCTACAATCCGTGAACCGGAACGCCCGTGCAAATGACTTCCTTTGATGGGAATTTACAATTGTTGAATGAAAGACCGTGTACACACTTTGTAAATCAATTGCCTAGTCCCCACAGCACAGAGAACCTTTCCAAACACCTTGGTAATTAATCAAATCCAGAGTGGAACAGAGCCAGAGGGGGAGAAAAAAATTTACAACGTATGTCAAAAAAAAAAAAAAAGAAAAGAAAAGAAAAGAAAGAAAAGGAAAGGAAACCCTCTGCATTCTCTTAGTATCAGGGTTACAGGAGCTCCTTACAGAATGAGGTCTACTTTGCAACAGTTGAGACCACAGTCATCTCTATCCTGGGTCATTCTAAAAAAAAATGAAGGTGGTTGGTGCTTTTTTTTTTGTCTTGGGTTAAAGCACTGAGAGCTTGAATTTGGGGTGTAAAAAGTAAAATAGAGGTTCCTCTTCAAAGACTTCCCTCCCCGTCTAATTAGGAATAAATAGTAACTTCTCTTAGAAGCAAAATTTATGCAAAGAACTGTGCTAACGTTCTTAAATATCTGCTGGCCGTAATAAAGAAATCAATGTACTTTATGTTCTTAGCTCCCACAATTTAGCCTAAATATTTGTCCTGGCATGCTTATACTGGTCCAAGCAAGCATTACGTCATAGCCTGTTCCTCTTCTTTATTTAAAAGTGCTTTTACCTTTCTCAGCATTCCACAAATTACTTCCTCCTTCCTTTGTTCTCCTCTACCTTTGCTTCTTTTTAAAAGTTCTAAGTTGCTGGCCAGTCGGGACAAATACAGAATGTGAGGTCCCGTTCCAGCCAATGGAAACCGGACACGGCAGTAGGGTGGACGCGTCAGGTTATAAACGACCCTGTCCCCTTTGTTCGCTGTACTCTCATGGCAGAACTGCTGGTGAGTGTACCCTTTCTGCAGAAAGTATAAAAATGGCCTTACTAAATAAATTAAAATTATGTTCAAGTGCTGTTTCTTGATGGCACAGGGGAACAAGCATTTCAAACAGGGGTGTGTGGGATGGTTGCAGTCCATCTCAGTGGACATTTGGCTTCATGACACCTGGTAGCAGGAAGCATGTTGGAGGATCTGTGTTCTATTCCCACCCCTGCTAGCAGCCTCATGCAATGCCTGCCTCTGAACAATGAAGTTGGCTCTGAACGCCTTGGTGATTTCATCACAATGGCCCACACCTGTGAACCAAAAGACAGTACAATCAGCCATTCCGGCCTCTCGATACAGCCGCATTGAAATGCATCTGTTTCTCTGCCTTCCACGGGCCAGCGCTGTTCTGACGGTTACCACCTCCTCCCCGGAGGAAACAACTCTTGCCTCTGGATATCTCTTCCTCCTATTAAACCAGCCCTCCCCTGCAATCCAGTCTCCACACTGGAGCCTGAATGGTTTTCCAAATATATTTCCAAAATATAATTCTGGTGGGAGATGCAGTGGCTCACACCTGTAATCCCAGCACTTTGGGAGGCTGAGGCGGGCAAATGCCATGAGCTCAGAAGTTTGAGACCAGCCTGGGCAACATAGCAAGACCCCATGTCTAAAAAAAAAAATACAAAAATCACCCGGGTACATGTCACACGTCAGGAGTCGCAGCTACTTGGCAAGCTGAGGTAGGAGGATTGCTGCAGCCCCGAGGGGTTGAGGTTGCAGTGAGCCGTGATGACACCACTGCACTCCAGCCTGGGTGACAGAGTTTCTTCTAGAGCAGCCATAATGATTCTGAGACAGTCATGATTCTGAGACAATCACAGCACAGGTGTACCCATGATGAAAAGCCCATCATTGGAGGTGGCTCTTGCCTGAGTCTGCCAGATAGTCGGCTAGACGTCCACGGACCTATGTTGTAACCAAACAGATCACGTGCGTTGTCTTGGGCCACATGTGGGATGCACTTTACCCTTCATACAATTAAAAGGCAATTTTTTTTTGAAGGCTCCAATCAGCAGCTCCAGTTGAACCAAGAATCCAAGACTGTTTGGTCGAATGCTTTGGCTTTGCACGTTCTATGCAGGAAGGATTTTGTCATGGACAGGTCATCAATGCATTCAATGGAATTTTTTCTTTCCGTGTTCTCACTCTACGAGCTGTGACTCTATCCAATGCTACTGGTAAGCCGTGGGTGATTTTAATCCACTTCTTTGCTCGGGATCCTACAGGTTTCCATCTCCATTCCTGCTTGCATCTCAGAAGTTGCCCCAGATCTCTCTCTCTTTCTCTCTCTCTGTCTCTGTTTCTGTCTCTCTCTCTCCCTTTTTTTTTTTTTTTTTTTTTTTTGAGACAGACGACTCTTGCTCTTTCACCCAGGCCAGAGTGCAGTGGCACGATCTCGGCTCACTGCAACCTCCGCCTCCCAGGTTCACGCCATTCTCCTGCCTCAGCCTCCTGAGTACCTGGGACTACAGGCACCCGCCACCATGCCCGGCTAATTTTTTTGTATTTTTAGTAGAGACGGGGTTTCACCGTGTTAGTCAGGATGGTCTCGATCTCCTGACCTCGTGATCTGCCCGCCTCAGCCTCCCAAAGTGCTGGGATGACAGGCGTGAGCCACCACGCCAGGCCGTATCTCTCTCTTTCTTTCTCTCTCTCTCACTCTCTCTCTCTCTCTTTCTCCCCCTCTTTCTCTCTCTTTTCTCTCCTTCTCTCTCTTCCTTTCTCTTTCTACCTCTCTCGCTCTTTCTCTCTCTCCCTCTTTGTCTCTCTCTCTCTTTCTTATTATTATAAGTGGCATGATCACCACTCTCTTTCTCTTTCTTTCTCTCGTTTTGTCTCTCTGTCTCTCTCTCTTCCTCTCTCTCTCTTTCTCTCTCTCTGTCTCTCTCTCTCTTTCTCTCTCTTGCTTTCTCTGTCTCTTTCTGTGTGTGTGTCTTTCTGTCTCTCTCTCTTCTCTCCTTCTCTCTTTCTTTCTCTCTCTCTTTCCCTTTTTCTGTCTCCTTCTCCCTCTCTGTCTCTGTCTCTCTGCGTCTGTCTCTCTTTCCCTTTCTCTGTCTCTCCCTTTCTCTCTCTCTTTCTGTCTTACTCTCTGTCTCTCTTTCTCCCTCTCTTTCTCTCTCCCTCTTTCTCTGTCTCTCTCTTTTCTCTCCTCTTTCTCTCTTCCTTTCTCCTTCTACCTCTCTTGCTCTTTCTCTCTCTTTCTTATTATTATAAGTGGCATGATCACCGCTCTCTTTCTTTCTCTCTTTCTGTCTCTCTCTCCCTCTCTCTCTTTTTGTCTCTGATTCTCTCTGTCTCTTTCTCTCTCTTTCCATCTCTCTCTCTGTCTCTCTCTCACTCTCTTTCTCTGTGTCTTTCTCTCTGTCTCTTCTCTCCCTCTTTTTCTCTCTTCCTTTCTTTCTCTCTTTCTTTCCCTTTCTCTCTCTCCTGCTCTTTCTGTGTCTGCCTCTTTCTCTCTCTGTCTCTCTCTCACTCTCTCTCTCCTTCTCTCTCTGTCTCTCTGTCTCTTTCTCTCTCCCTTTCTCTCTCTCTCTCTAAGTCTCTCTCTCTGCCTGGTGTACCTACATCAGCCCTCTGGAATTTACCTAGAAGGCATGAATTGGAGACATTTCATCCAGACACATATGTGTCTCCCCCACCCAGGGCTGGCTTCGTGGACGTGCAAGCTGTATGATTGGACAGAAATCGCACCAGGACGGGCCCTGTGCTTCGTTGAATGCTAAGAGGTTGCCATCTTAAAACCCTGAGTCACTTTTAGAACAAAAGGTCCTTCTTCTGTTCTGCACCCCACAAACTGTGCAGCCGGCTCTGCCATCCACCGGCATGGGAAGAAACGTGCCTGCAGTGGACTGAATGTTTGCATGACCCGTAAATTCCCACATTGAATCCTCACCCCCGAGAGATGGTGTTAGGAGGTGGGACCCTCTCATGAATGGGATCAGTGCCCTTATAAAAGGGACCCCAGAGAGCTTCCTCGCCCCTTCCACCACATGAGAGCACAGGAGGTCGGTTCTCAGTAGGCGCTGACCCTGCCAGGCCTTGATCTGGCATTTCCAGCCTCCACAACAGTGAAACCAAATTTCTGTTGTTTATAAGTCTCTCAGTGTAGGTCGGGCGCGGTGGCTCACGCCTGTCATCCCAGCACTTTGGGAGGCTGAGGCGGGTGAATCATAAGGTCAGGAGTTCAAGACCAGCCTGGCCAACACGGTGAAACCCCGTCTCTACTAAATATACAAAAATTAGCCGGGCGTGGTGATGCATGCCTGAAATCCCCACTACTCAGGAGGCTGAGGCAGGAGAATGGCGTGAACCCGGGAGGCGGAGGTTGCAGTGAGCCGAGGTCGCGCCACTGCACTCCAACGTGGGCAACAGAGTGAGACTCCGTCTCAAAAAAAAAAAAAAAGCCTCCAACGCATCTTCACTGATGGACACAGCCCAAGCCAGACATCTCCGGAAGCTGTTTCCGTCCCTGCAAAGCTTCTCCACGGAAGCCACCCTGGGTACGTGCGTGTTTGAGTTCTGGGCAGACTCCAGGTACCTCAGGCACCTCCGCACTTTGCAAGACATGAAGACACCAGTGCCTGCAGGAATGTTGAACCAGGAGAGCCTGCACACACACACACACGTGCACACACAGACACACACGTGCACACACAGACACACACGAAGACATACAAGTGCACAGACACATGCATGCAGACGTGCACACACAGACGCACACATGCACACATGCAGACATGCACGTGAAGACATACAAGTGCACACACAGACACACGTGAAGACATACATGTGCACACACACAGACACACGTGCATGCAGACGTGCACACACAGACGCACATGTGCGCACACACATGCACACACACATATGCCCACAAGCACGTGCTTTAAAAGCAGGAAATATTAACTGGACACAATCGCATACCTCAGGCACCTCCGCACTTTGCAAAACATGAAGACACCAGTGCCTGCAGGAATGTTGAACCAGGAGAGCCTGTGCACACACACACACACGTGCACAGACACAGACACACACATGAAGACATACAAGTGCACACACATGCATGCAGACGTGCACACACAGACGCACACGTGCACACATGCAGACACACACGTGAAGATATACAAGTGCACACACAGACACACGTGAAGACATACATGTGCACACACACAGACACACACGTGCATGCCGACGTGCGCACACACACGCACACACACAGACACGCACACGTGCACACACAGACACACGCATGCACACACAGACAAAACACGTGCACACACACGTACGCACACGGAGACACACACATACGTGCACACACAGAGGCATACACGTGTGCACACACAGAGACACACACGTGCACACACAGAGACACACATGCGTGCACACACACAGGCACAGACACACACACACATGCACGCGTACACACACACATGCCCACGGCACGTGCTTTGAAAGCAACCAGGAAATATTAACTGGAAACAATCGCGTGCCTGTCAGGCAGTAATTGCTGATCTTGAAAACTGCGTAGCAAAAACCTTCCAGTCTCTAATGCAGAGTGACAGTTGTGTGTTTTACGTCCCGTCTTCCACAATGGCGTCTACCCAAGGAGAGGGGGGCCGGCTGTTTAAAACGGTTGAACGGCGTCTTTATCATGTTTGACAGCTCCTTCTGCAGCCAGACGCTCGGTTTATGGTTCTGAAGTGGCGGGTTCCAGCTAATGCCCTGGCCTTTCACCTTTAGGAATCGGGCCCCTGGCCAGGCGGCGTGAATCTGAGAGTGTCTCAGAGCAGCCTGGTGAATGCACACACGCCTTCAGAATCTTCTACCGATGCCTTTCTTATTTCCCCTTGGAAGAGTCCCAGAAATGGCACAAAAGGAAGGTTTGGGGTTCAAGACAAGGAGGTATGCGTCTCCCAGACACCCTCCACCTCGGAACAAAATGCTGGGAGAAGTTCTACAGTTGGGGGGCAGAAAGGAAAGATTTGGGGTTCCAGACAAGGAGGTATACATCTTGCAGGCACCCTCCACGTCAGGACCAAAAGCTGGTTATTCTACTGTTGGGGGGTAGAAAGGGAAGGTTTGGGGTTTCAGATGAGGAGGTATACATCTCCCAGACACCCTCCACCTGGGAACAAAATGCTGGGAGAAGTTCCATTGTTGGGGGGCAGAAAGGAAAGATTTGGGGTTCCAGACAAGGAGGCATACATCTTGCAAGCACCCTCCACATCAGGACCAAAAGCTGGTTGTTCTACTGTTGGGGGGTAGAAAGGAGAGGTTTGGGGTTTGAGACAAGGAGGTAAACGTCTCCCAGACACCCTCCACCTGGGAACAAAATGCTGGGAGAAGTTCCACTGTTGGGGGGCAGAAAGGAAAGATTTGGGGTTCCAGACAAGGAGGTATGCATCTTGCAGGCACCCTCCACGTCAGGACCAAAAGCTGGTAGTTCTACTCTTGGGGAGTAGAAAGGAGAGGTTTGGGGTTTGAGACAAGGAGGTAAACGTCTCCCAGACACCCTCCACCTGGGAACAAAATGCTGGGAGAAGTTCCACTGTTGGGGGGCAGAAAGGAAAGATTTGGGGTTCCAGACAAGGAGGCATACATCTTGCAAGCACCCTCCACATCAGGACCAAAAGCTGGTTGTTCTACTGTTGGGGGGTAGAAAGGAGAGGTTTGGGGTTTGAGACAAGGAGGTAAACGTCTCCCAGACACCCTCCACCTGGGAACAAAATGCTGGGAGAAGTTCCACTGTTGGGGGGCAGAAAGGAAAGATTTGGGGTTCCAGACAAGGAGGTATGCATCTTGCAGGCACCCTCCACGTCAGGACCAAAAGCTGGTAGTTCTACTCTTGGGGAGTAGAAAGGAGAGGTTTGGGGTTTGAGACAAGGAGGTAAACATGTCATAGACACTCTCCACATCAGAACCAAATGCTGAGAGTTCTATCTTTGGAGGGTAGGAAGGAGAGGTTTGGGGTTTGAGACAAGGAGGTAAACATCTCATAGATATCCTCCACATCGGAACCAAATGCTGAGAGTTCTGCCTCTGGCGGGTAGAAAGGAAAGGTTTGGGGTTTGAGACGAGGAGGTATTCATCTTGCAGGCACCCTCCACATCAGAACCAAAAGCTGGCAGTTCTACTGTTGGGGGGTAGAAAGGAGAGGTTTGGGGTTCAATACAAGGAGGGATTCATCTCACAGACACCTTCCACGTTGAAACCAGGAGCTGGCAGTTCTACGGTTGGGGGCTGCCTGAATGTCCTTTTCTTCCTGGGTACCCCATGTCCCTGCAGAGGGAACGCAGATGGGCACAGACTTCCAGGGAGAAATCCATCTTTCTGGTGCAGACAAGACCGGGCCTGCCTGTGGAGAAGTGGCCAGAGGGTCTCTCTGAACCCATGGCCCTCACAGCAGTGGGAGGCTGCCCTGGGGACTCAATGTCCACGACCAGACGATGAACAGTTGTGGCTCTTCCTACCAAGCCCTGAGGCCGGCTGCTGGCCGCGTGGGTCCCAAGCTCTCCAAACTCCGAAATCCGGTTGCCCTTGGAACTCGGCATCCCCAGGACCGGGTGTCAAATCTTTGCATAAACCTCCTCTCCACCCCAGCCTCTCCACACGCTCTCGTCCAGTTACAAGACACCTTTTCCCTCCTTTTGTCTCTGATATCCACGGCTCTCCCAGCCTCCACGTTCCTTCACTATCCCAACCCGGGGTTCAGCATATTGTCATATCACTGGCATTTTATTTTATTTTATTTTGAGATGGAGTCTTGCTCTGTCGCCCAGGCTGGAGTGCAGTGGCATGATCTTTGCTCCCTGCAACCTCTGCCTCCCAGCTTCAGGCAATTCTCCAGCCTCAGCCTCCCGAGCAGCTGGGTCTACAGGCGCCCGCCACCACGCCCGGCTAATTTTTTTGTGTTTTTAGTAGAGATGGGGTTTCACCGTGTTAGCCAGGATGGTCTCGATCTCCTGACCTCGTGACCCACCTGCCTCGGCCTCTCAAAGAGCTGGGATGACAGGCGTGAGCCACCACGCCCGGCTAATTTTTGTATTTTTAGTAGAGATGGGGTTTCACCATCTTGGCCAGGCTGGTCTTGACCTCCTGACCTGGTGATCTGCCCGCCTCGGCCTCCCAAAGGGCTGGGATGACAGGCGTGAGCCACCATGCCTGGCACTCTTCGCTCCTTTTGTCTCTGATATCCACGTTCTCCCAACGTCCACATTGCTTGACTATCCCACAGGTGCAACCCGGGGTTCAGCGTATTGTCTTATCACTGGCATTTTATTTTATTTTATTTTATTTTATTTTATTTTATTTTATTTTATTTTATTTATTTTATTTTATTTTGAGACAGTCTCGCTCTGTCGCCCAGACTGGAGTGCAGTGGTGTGATCTCCGCTCACTGCAACCTCCGCCTCCCGGGTTCAAGCGAGTCTCCTGCCTCAGCCTCCCGAGTAGCTGGGACTACAGGCACCCGCCACCACACCCGGCTAATTTTTGTATTTTTAGTAGAGACGGGGTTTCACCGTCTTGGCCAGGCTGGTCTTGAACTCCTGACCTCGTGATCTGCCCGCCTCAGCCTCCCAAAGTGCTGGGATGACAGGCGTGAGCCATTGCGTCTGGCCCTCACTGGCATTTTTATAAAAACCACCTTGCACCCTGACCTTAAAAATCTGCGTCTCTGTTCAGTTTCCCAGCAAGGAACTGGGCCCCGGCCCTAAAGTGGCCGTCATCACACCTCTGGGGCCCTCAGGTAGCACCGGATCGAATTCTCGTCTCTCGTTGGATGTTTTTTATGGTGAGCTTCATTCGTGAAACACAGGCTCTGCTCCTCCAAGAAGCAGCAGAGCCAGCCCCCTCCCTGCACACGTCGTCATAAAGAGACAAAAGGCCTCCAGACGCTGGATGGGCCCTACCCGGGGGTCACACGCCTGCTGTCTCCACCAGAACAAAGCAGCTTGTGAGAAGGCGTGCCGGGGCACCCTTCTCCTTCTAAATCCACCCTTGGAAGGTATCATCTCACCGGGCCGACAATAACAAATGGCCTTCCCCAGGTATACCTCGGAAGGCAGGCTTGCAGGAACACAGCTCTCCTTTCAGGAGGGAGATTAGCTCCCCACATGTGTCACGGGCTCTCAGGAAACAGGGCTCTTGCTCTCTCTCAAAAAAAAAAAAGAAAAGAAAAGAAAAAGAAAAAGAAAGGGCTGGGCGTGGTAACCTGGGGCTGCTGCCCTATTACAGAGCTGGGACATGGACCCAGCATATCCCTGGAGGAATCCACAGCCAGGAAATGGGGCCACACTCAGAAATGGTCCAGGAGGGAGGGGAAGGCAGGGACGCAGGGGAGCCCGTGTTTTGCCCTGATGGTGGCTCAATTTATCAAGATCAGGGAACTGGGACTTACACAGTTTTTGCCACCAGGGCCTGAGCAGTCCCTTCATTCCTTCCTTCCTTTCTTCCTTCCTTCCTCCTTCCTTCCTTTCTTTCTCCTTCTTTCTTTTTCTTTGTTTTTCTTCTTTCTTTCTTGTCTTTCTTTCTTTCTTCCTCCCTTCGTTCCCTCCCTCCCTTTCTTTCTTTCTTTCCTTTCTCTCTCTCTCCGTTCCTTTCTTGCTTTCTTTTTCTTTTTTCCTTCCTTACTCCTTCCTTCTTATTTTTTTCTTTCTCTTTCTCGTTTTTCTTTCTTTCTTTCTCTTTTTGTTTTTACTTTCTTTCTCTTTCTTTTCCTCTTTCTTTTTCTTTTTAAAGAACTAGGCTCTTGCTCTGTGACTCAGGCTAGAGTGCACCGGTGCCATCAGAGCTCACAGCAGCCTCCGACTCCCTGGCTCACGCCCTCCTCCCACCTCAGCCTTCTGAGTAGCTGGGACCACAGATGCATGCACCGTGCCAGGCTAATATTTTTGTGCCTTTGTAAAGACGTGGTGTCGCTATGTTGCCCAGGCTGCTGTTTAAATTCTGGCCTCCAGTGATCCTCCTGCCTTGGCCTCCCAACGTGCTGGGATGACAGGCATGAGCCAGCATGCCTGGCCTTTACTTTCTTTTTGTTTCTACCTTTTAAACTTTCATTCCTTGATTCATTCATCATCATCTTTCCAAAATCCTGAGAAGGCTTACAACAAAACACATAAAATTGCAGGGCCCAGTGGCTCACGTCTGTCATCTCAGCACTTTGGGAGGCCGAGGCAAAAGGTGATCACCTGAGGTCAGGGGTTCAAGACAAGCCTGGCCAACATGGCAAAACCCCATCTATACTAAAAATAAAAAATTAAAAAATTAGCCAGCTGTGGTGACAGGTACCTGTAATCCCAGCTACTCGGGAGGCTGAGGCAGGAGAATCACTTCAACCTGGGAGGCGGAGGTTGTCGTGAGCCAAGATGGTGCCACTGCACTCCAGCCTGGGTAACAGAGGTGAGATCGCGTCATTGCACTCCAGCAGGGGGAACAGAGCTAAAGTCTATCTCAAAAAACAAAACAAGACAAAACAAAAAAAAAACACACAAAATGAAATCATTAACTACCATAGGAGCAGAGGTCAAGACTGAGGCAGGTCCATTCAGAGAATGACTTTCGTGGAGGGGTGACCTCAGCTCTGGGCTTCCCGGCAGCCATGGCAAAAAGGGAAAGACGTGCCACTTATGACCAGATCTGTCCTGTGATCTGTTCTTGGGAGAGGGATGGTCTCCTCTGTACTATAGTCTAAGAGCAGGTAGTGGGTTAATTTTTTATCCCCCCAAGAGATATGTCTGCGGACCCTTACTACCTGTGAATGGGGTGTTATTGAGAAATAGGGTGTTTGCAGATGTAATGAGGTTGAGATGAGGTTGTACTGGAGGAGGGTGGGCCCTAATTCAATGACGGTGACTTGCGATCCTTCCCCAGCTGGCTCCTTTATTCACTGGGATCTGATTTTTTACCCTTACTCCAACACTGCAACGAGGAGCCCTCTAGGTTCCAACCTTGGGGTCTCTGCCTCATCTGTGCCTCCCTGACCAGCAGTGGGGTCTCAGCAACACCTTTTTTTTTTTTTTTTTGAGACAGACTCTCGCTCTGTCACCCAGGCTGCAGTGCAGTGGTGTGATCTCGGCTCACTGCAACCTCCGCCTCCCAGGTTCAAGCCATTCTCCTGCCTCAGCCTCCTGAGGAGCTGGGATTACAGGTGCCCG
This sequence comes from Homo sapiens, assembly GCF_000001405.40. Taxonomy (NCBI): domain Eukaryota; kingdom Metazoa; phylum Chordata; class Mammalia; order Primates; family Hominidae; genus Homo; species Homo sapiens. The sequence continues at coordinate 673,882 of NC_000024.10, read as the reverse complement.
CCACCATGCCCAGCTAATTTTTGTATTTTTTAGTAGAGACGGGGTTTCACCGTGTTAGCCAGGATGGTCTCAATCTCCTGACCTCGTGATCCGCCCGCCTCGGCCTCCCAAAGTGCTGGGATGACAGGGGTGAGCCGCCGCGCCTGGCCCTCTTCCCTCCTTTTGTCTCTGATATCCACGGCTCTCCCAACCTCCACATTCCTTGACTATCCCACGGGTCCATCCTGGGGTTCAGCGTATTGTCATATCACTGGCATTTTATTCTATTTTATTTTAAGATGGAGTCTCGCTCTGTCCCCCAGGCTGGAGTGCAGTGGTGTGATCTCGGCTCACTGCAATGTCCGCATCCGGGTTCAAGCGATTCTCCTGCCTCAGCCTCCCTAGTAGCTGGGACTACAGGTGCCCATCACCACGCCCGGCTACTTTTTTGTATTTTTAGTAGAGACGGGGTTTCGCCGCGTTGGCCAGACTGACCTCATGATCTGCGCACCTCGACCTCCCAAAGTGCAGGGATGACAGGCGTGAGACACCGTGCCCAGCTAATCTTGTATTTTTAGTAGAGATGGGGTTTCATTGTGTTGGCCAGGCTGTTCTGGAACTCCTGACCTCAGGTGATCCGCCTGCCTCAGCCTCCTAAAGTGCTGGGATGACAGGCGTGAGCCACCGCATCCGGCTGGTAGTGCTATTTATACAGCTCTCCTATCTCATCTCTCGTACTCTAGGGATATTGCACCTCCTCCAATCTCCTCCTTTGCAGACTCCTCACCATCCTGGAATGTCCGTGCCTCCAGGCTTGGTGTGGTGAAATCAAACAGCTTCACAAAGCGTCCATCCAAGGGCAGCCCTATAGTGGGTGTCACCTGCTCAGAGGACCCCACTGCAATGCCAACCCCCCACCCACCACATGCCTTTCACTGCTGGTTGCTCTTCCTTTCCCATCTCATAGTCCTAAATAATCAACTAGTGTCCACCACAAATGTCTTTTTAGCCTGTATCATACACAGGCAGACCATCTAGATATATCTACACACCTGCAGGGCGTCTACAGACATCTACACACATAGAAGGTGTCTACAGACATCTACACACCTTCTGGGTGTCTAAAGTCTACACACCTTCAGGGCATCTACAGACATCTACATATACAAGAATATCTTTCAGACTGTGTACTGCAAACTTGCGGTGTTGACAACATTTCTCATGAAAGTATCTGAAAAACGCCCAGTGCTTTGGAACGGTGGCTCAGGTATGGAAGGTCCAGATCTAGGCATTTCATAAAAGCTGTTCACGTCACTGTACCTTCCAGAGCAGCCGTCCGTTTGACTGTATGCACTTAACTGGGGGTAACCCTCATATTCTGTGTCCCTAGGTGAGTAATGATTCTATTAGCCACCCTGAACTCCGATCTCCGTTCCAGGCAAGACCCCAGAAGACAGATGGGTCCTCACGAGGCAACCGTATCAACACGACCTGTTCTTGCCACGAGTTGTCAGTGTTAGCAAATTGCTCATAATTGTGTATCAACGGGCAGAAGAGAAAGACGGTGCTGTGTGCTCTTATGATGGTATTGATTTTCAATGACACCCTCTCTCGGAGCTGTTTGTGTTGTGTCTTTGGCTTGAACGGCAGGGGAGTTTCTGGAGGGTATGCAATGGTGCCTCTGCGGGGGTAGCTGGAACTTCACACCCAGAATTTCCCATACATGGTCCCGGTATCATGTCAGACATGAGATTCCTATTTATGGCTGTGTTGCCTGGAAGCCACGGAGATGTTTAAAGGATCACAGATATCATACGTGTAGTGAGACCCTCTTTCTTTCAGCGTGGGTTTGGGATATGTCCAGGGCACACCTGCTGTGTGCAACGTGCAGGACAGGTCTTGGGGAGAGAGCGGGGAATGAGGTGGGATCCCTGCTGTTAACTTTTAAAAACACAATATATACATTTAGAAAGGGGAAGGAGACTTTATGTCTGGTAAAGAGTTAGAGGGCCGGGCACGGTGGCTCATGCCTGTCATCCCATCACTTTGGGAGGCGAGGCGGGCGGATCACCTGAGGTCAGGAGTTTGAGACCAGCCTGGCCAACATGGTGAAACCCCGTCTCTACTAAAAATAATAAAATTAGCCAGGCATAGTGGCAGGTGCCTGTAATCCCAGCTACTCCGGAGGCTGAGGCAGGAGAATCGCTTGAACCCGGGAGGCGGAGGTTGCAGTGAGCCGAGGTCGCGCCACTGCCCTCCAGCCTGGGTGAAAGAGCGAGACTCCATCTCAAAAAGAAAGAAAAGAGAAAAGAAAAACAGAAACAATTTTGCATCAACTTCAAGGAAAGCATTTTATTCTTCCCGACGGCCTCCTAAGAAAGGGGGGAAAGGAAAACAGAAACACAGCACTTTGGGAGGCCGAGGCAGGCAGATCACTTGAGGACAGGAGTTCAAGACCAGCCTGGCCAACATGGGGAAACCCTGTCTTTTCTAAAAATACAAACACTAGCCGGGCGTGGTGGCGGGCGCCTGTAGTCCCAGCTACTCAGGAGGCTGAGGCAGGAGAATGACTTGAAACAGGAACGTGGAGGTTGCAGTGAGCTGAGATCATACCATTGCACTCCAGCCTGGTGACAGAGCGAGACTCCGTCTCAAAAAAAAAAAAAAAAAAGAAAAAGAGAAGAAAAACAGAAACAATTTTGCAGCAACTTCAGGGAAGCATTTTCTTCCTCCCAATGGGCTGCAGAGAAAGGGGGAAACCCCCCAGGCCCAGGCCCACAGAAGATTGCTTTGTATTTGAAGCAGGGAGAAAAAGTTCAAAGAAAGTCTCTTGATTGTGTTCCTCTCCTCTCCCCTCCCGGCTTCATCCCTTATAACGATTATTTAATGAATTTTTATTAGAAAAGCATGGCCGTGCTTATGAATTTTTTTCTTCCCTCTGAAACCAGGAGCGGGGGGCGTGTTTTTGCTGGCATTAGCCTCTGTGTGTTTTAATAACAGGTTGCACCGAGGTTCACTCCGAAGCCGTAAGCTCACAAAGGGGAACTCTTCGGGAAAGGAAACCGTAGGCCTCATTCCAGAGCGAGGGGCCCCTCTTTGAAGTGAAGACAGGAAATGGGAACATGCCTGCCTGGGTCCCCACGGACCCCCCCCCCCCCAGCCCCGTCTTTCTTCCTCTGACTTTCCACCCTCTCCCTGGGCCTGAGGAGCACCAGAGGAAGGACGAGAAAGGGTGAAGGCAAACATCCACTTTCTTTTTCCCGGAATGAAATCACTACTATTTGCCTTGACATTTTATGTTTTGTTTTCCCTGCAGGACAGGTGAAAAGACAAACACGGACAGGGATTTGTTTCTAAAGTAAAGTTTATTTGTTTATTTATTTATCTATTTATTTATTGTAAGACGCAGTTTCGCTCTTGTTGCCCAGCCTGGAGTGCAGTGATGTGATCTCCGCTCACTGCAACCTCCGCATCCCGGGTTCAACCGATTCTCCTGCCTCAGCCTCCCGAGTAGCTGGGATTACAGGCACCCGCCACCACGCCCGCCTAATTTTTGTATTTTTTAGTAGAGACGGCATTTTGCCATGTTGGCCAGGATGGTCTCAATCTCTTGACCCTGTCATCCACCCACCTCGGCCTTCCAAAGTGCTGGGATTACAGACGTGAGCCACCGTGCCCGACCTATTTTTATTTTTTTACATTTATTTATTTATTTATTTTTTGAGACAGAGTCTCACTCTGTCGCCCAGCCTGGAGTGCAATGGCACGATCTCGGCTCACCGCAACCTCGGCCTCCCGGGTTCAAGTGATTCTCCTGCCTCAGCCTCCCAAGTAGCTGGGATTACAGGTGCCCACCACCACTCCCTGTTAATTTTTTTTTGTATTTTTAGTAGAGACAGGCTTTTGCTATGTTGTCCAGGCTGGTCTCAAACTCCTAACCTTGGCCTCCCAAAGTGCTGGGATTATAGGTGTAAGTCACCAGGCCTGGCCTTTGTTTTTTTGTTTGTTTGTTTGTTTTTAAATTTTACTTTAAGTTCTGGGGTACAAGTGCAGAACGTGCAGGTTTGTTACATAGGTATGCATGTGTCATGGTGGTTTGCTGCACCCATCAACCCATCATCTACATTAGGTATTTGTCCTAATGCCCTCCATCCCCTAGCCCCTCACCCCCCAACAGGCCCCCAGTGTGTGATGTTCCCCTCCCTGTGTCCATGTGTTGTCATTGTTTGACTCCCACTTATGAGTGAGAACACGTGGCGTTTGGTTTTCTGTTCCTGTGTGAGTTTGCTGAGAATGATGGTTTCCAGCTTCATCCATGTCCCTGCAAAGGACATGAACTCATCCTTTTTCATGGCTGCATAGTATTCCATGGTGTCTGTGTGCCACATTTTCTTTATCCAGTCTATTGTTGATGGACATTTGGGTTGGTTCCAAGTCTTTGCTATTGTGAATAGTGCCTCAATAAACATACGTGTGCATGTGTCTTTATAGCAGCATGATTTACAATCCTTTCGGTATATACCCAGTAATGGGATGGCTGGGTCCAATGTTACTTCTTGTTCTAGATCCTCAAGGAATCATCACACTGCCTTCCACAATGGTTGAACTTATTCACCTCCCACCATCGAGAGTAAAAGCTTTCCTATTTTTCCGCATCCTCAGAAAACCAAACACTGCATGTTCTCACTCGTAAGTGGGAGTTGAACAGTGAGAACACATGGACACAGGGAGGGGAACATCACACACCAGGGCCTGTGGGGGGATAGAAGGCAAGAGGATGGAGAGCATTAGGACAAATACCTAGTGCATGTGGGGCTTAAAACTTAGATAATGGGTTGATAGGAGCAGCAAACCACCATGGCACATGTATACATATGTAACTAACCTGCGCTTTGTGCACATGTACCCCAGAATGTGTTTAGTTAACACACATTTACTTACTTTTACTTAAGTAAAGTATGACTTTTTTAAAGTAAAATTTAAAAAATTAATTAATTAGCACATGTATCTCAGAAGTTAAAGTAAAATGTAAAAAATTAATTAGGCTGGGCGCGGTGGCTCATGCCTGTCATACCAGCATTTTGGGAGGCTGAGGAGGGCAGATCATGAGGTCAGGAGACCGAGATCATCCTGGCTAACACGGTGAAATCCCGTCTCTACTAAAAATACAAAAATTAGTCGGGTGTGGTGACGGGTGCCTGTAGTCCCAGTTACCCGGGAGGCTGAGGCAGGAGAATGGCGTGAACCCAGGAGGTGGAGCTTGCAGTGAGCCGAGGTAGCGCCACTGCACTCCAGACTGGGCAACAGAGCCAGACTCCATCTCAAAAAAAAGATTAATTAATTAATTAAAAAAATAAAAATAAGTAACAGAATCAGAAGGATGAGGTGGAAGGATCTCTTGAGCCAGAGAGGTGGAGGCTGCAGTGAGCCAAGATCGCACCACTGCACTCCAGCCTGGGTGACAGAGGAAGACCATTAGAAAAAAAAAAAAGAAGAAGAAAAAAAAGAAAAGAAGAGAAAAGAAGAGAAGAGAAGAGGAGGGGAGGGGATGGGAGGGGGGAGGAGAGTGAGAAGTGGGGGAGGGGAGGGGAGGGGAAGAGAGGAGGGGAGGGGAGGGGAAGATGGGAGGGAGGGGAGGATGGGAGGGGATGGGAAGGGGGAGGGGGAAAGGGGAGGAGAGGGAGGAGGGGAGGGGAGGGGAAGAGAAGAGGGGAGGGGAGGAGGGGACGGGAGGAGGGGAGGAGAGTAGGGGAGGAGGGGAGTGGAGGAGGGGATGGGAGGGGGGAGTGGGAAAGGAGAGGGGAGGGGAGGAGGGGAGGGGAGGAGGGGAGGGGAGGAGGGGAGGAACAGAGGGAAGGGGAGGAGGGGAGGGGGGAAGGGGAAGGAGAGGGGAGGAGGGGAGGGTAGGAGGGGAGGGGAGGGGATGTGAGGGGGTGAAGGAGAGGGGAGGGGAAGAGGGGAGGGGAGGGGAGGACGGGAGGGATGGGATGGGGGAGGGGGAAAGGAGATGGGATGGGAGGAGGGGGAGTAGAGGGGGAGGGGGAGGGGATGGGGAGGGCAGGGGAGGGGAGGGGGGAGGTCAGGGGAGGGGAGTGGGGAGGGCAGGGGAGGGGAGGAATTCAGCACTTGAACGGTAAATGTAGTAGCCGCAGGGAATAAAATCAATTTCGTGGCATCATTGTGAGGAAAGAGGAAATAGGGTGTGTAGCCCCACGTAAACTTTGCACACAAAAAAATCCTGCATTTTCCCTTGTGCATATCAAACGCTTTGGCTTCCCATTCCATTCATTCTTGGCAAAATAAAACTTCCTGTTTTTCAGGAAAACAAGCAAGCCGAAGACCTTCTTTTGCCAGGGTTACAAACTGACGGAGAAATGTGGGCTCTGACTTCGGATGTGAGAAGCACTGGAGACCTTCGAACTTCACTGCCAAGTTCACGACCCCCCCAAAGACGTCTACGGTTTTGTTTGCAGGATGACAGTGTCCACGTATCAAAAAGATAGACATTCAGCTTCCCTTGGAATTCATAGGATTGCAAGACTCAAGAACAAAAAGTACTTGGGAAAGAGGAAAAAAAAAATGGGCTTGGAATTCCATTCAAGCCAAAACCATTTGAAAACAGTAAGAAGCATGAGATGTATCCAAAATGTGGCCGGCCCATCATTCCGTGGGCTGCCGAAAGAGACTTTTCCATGGTTCTGCTCCCAAAGATGATCCTCTTTCGGAATAAAAATGCTTTCACAGCAGGACTCTTCCTCACAGAGAGCCACGATGCAAATGTTTTCGTTGGTCCTTGCGTCTTCCGGCTGCAGCTCTGGGAGGCAACCGAAATTCTCTGCACCATTACTCCCCGTAAGAGTGTCAGCCGCAGAGAAGATGGAAAAGCAACAAATCCACAGCCGGAGAAGCCACCATCCTGATGGGCAAAACCCCGCAGGTCAGTTTCTTAGATTCCTGAGTCAGCCGTAACAAAGGACCAGGAATGACGATGCATGCCGCAGGAATTCATCCCCGTCAAGTCCTGGAGACCAAGAGTCTGAGGTCAAGGAGTCTCAGGACCATGTTCCCTCCAGAGGCTCTAAGGGAGGGTCCTTCCTGCCTCTCCCAGGCCTGGAGACCAGGAGTCTGAGGTCAAGGAGTCTCAGGGCCATGCTCCCTCCAGAGGCTCTTGAGGAGGAGACTTCCTGCCTCTCCCAGCCATAGAGACCAGAAGTCTGAGGTCCAGGTGTCTCAGGGCCATGCTCCCTCCAGAGGCTCTAAGGGAGGGTCCTTCCTGCCTCTCCCAGTCCTGGAGACCAGGAGTCTGAGGTCAACGTGTCTCAGGGCCATGCTCCCTCCAGAGGCTCTAAGGGAGGGTCCTTCCTGCCTCTCCCAGTCCTGGAGACCAGGAGTCTGAGGTCAAGGAGTCTCAGGGCTGTGCTCCCTCTGGAGACTCTAAGGGAGGATCCTTCCTGCCTCTCCCAGCTCCTGGGGGCTCCAGGCATCCCTGGGCTTGTGGCTGCATCACTCCAGTCTCTGCCTCTGTCTCCACGTGGCCTCCTCCTCTGTGTCTGTGTCTCCTCTTCTGTCTCTTAGAAGGACACCTGTCATTAGATTTATGGTCCACCCTAATCTAGGATGATCTCATCTCCAGATCTTCCACTTAATCACATCTGCAGAGACCGTATTTCCAAATAATGTCCCATTCACAGATTCCAGATGATCAATACATGGACAGGTCTTTTGAGGGGCCACGGTTCACTTCACTTCAGTTGTATCCAGTTCCTTCTGGAGGCTCTAGGGGAGGATCCTTCCTGCCTCTCCCAGCTTCTGGGTGCTCCAGGTATCCCTGGGCTTGTGGCCCCATCACTCCAGTCTCTACCTCCTTTCACAGGTTCTTGGGTTAGAATATGAACATATTTTTGGGGGGTACCATAGTTCAATCCACTTCAACCATAAGAAGTTCCCTCTGGAGGCTCTAGGGGAGGATCCTTCCTGCCTCTCCCAGCTCCTGGGGGCTCCAGGCGTCCCTGGGCTTGTGGCCGGATCACTCCAGTCGCTGCCTCCGTCTCCACGTGGCCTTCTCCTCTGTGTCTGTGCCTGTGTCTATGTCTCCTCTTCCATCTCTTAGGAGGACCGTAGTCATTAGATTTATGGTCCTCTTCTGTCCCTTACAAGGACACCTGTTATTGGATTTAAGACCCACCCTAATCCAGGATGACCTCATTTCAGATCCTTCCCTTAAAGACATCTGCAAAGACCCGGTTTCTACATCAAGTCCAGAAGCTTAGAGTCCTCATCCCATTCCTCCTGTGGAATTTGGCTATAGATGTTTTGAACACACCTCAACAAACGGTTATGGTGATGAACTGACACACTCCGAGTGGAAGGACCCAAGGTCTTCCACTGGGGCTACGCTTTTTGAGAATGAATTTGTTGTCCATGAAACGGCACCACCCAGGATCTGGAGAAGGTCTCCCTTAAGACAGGCTGTGAGCATGAGCTCTTACTAAAAACTCCATGAGCCTGGGCTGGGTGCAGTGGCTCACATTTGTAATCCTAGCACTTTGGGAGGCTCAGGTGGGTGGATCACAAGGTCAGGAGTTCGAGACCAGCCTGGCCAACATGGTGAAACCCCATCTGTACTAAAGATACAAAAATTAGCCAGGTGTAGTGGTTCACGCCTGTAATCCCAGCACTTTGGGAGGCCGAGGCAGGCGGATCACAAGGTCAGGAGATCGAGACCATCCCGGCTAACATGGTGAAACCCCGTCTCTACTAAAAATACAAAAAATTAGCCGGGCGTGGTGGCGGGCGCCTGTAGTCCCAGCTACTCAGGAGGCTGAGGCAGAAGAATGGCGTGAACCCAGGAGGCACAGGTTGCAGTGAGCCAAGATGGATCCATTGCACTCCAGCCTGGGGGACAGAGCAAGACTTGGTCTCAAAAACAAAGGAAAAAATTAGGCAGGTGACGGGCGCCTGTAATCCCAGCTACTCGGGAGGCTGAGGCAGGAGAATCACTTGAGCCTGGGAGGCAGAGGTTGCAGTGAGCCAAGATCGTGCCATTGCACTCCAGCCTGGGCGACAGAGTGAGACGCCATCTCAAAAAAAAATAAAAAAAATAAAAATAAAAAACTCCGTGAGCCTGACCCAGGCGCAGTGGCTCACACTTGTAATCCCAGCACTTTGGGAGGCTGAGGCAAGATAATTGCTTGAGGCTGGGAGATCCAGATCAGCCTCAGCAATATAACAGGACCCCATCTCTATGAAAATTTAAAAATGACACACCTGTAATCCCAGCTCTTTGGGAGGATTATTTGAGGTCAGGAGTTCGAGACCAGCCTGACCAACATGGTGAAACCCCGTCTCTACTAAAAATACAAAAAAAAAAATTAGCCAGGTGCGGTGGCGGGTGCCTGTAATCCCAGCACTTTGGGAGGCCGAGGCAGGTGGATCACGAGGTCAAGAGATCGAGACCTTTCTGGCTAACATGGTGAAACCCCATCTCTACTAAAAATACAAAAATTAGCCGGGCGTGGTGGCGGATGCCTGTAGTACCAGCTACTCAGGAGGCTGAGGCAGGAGAATCGCTTGAACCCGGGAGGTGGAGGTTGCAGTGAGCTGAGATTGCACCACTGCACTCCAGCCTGGGTGACAGAGTGAGACACTGTCTCAAAAATAAATAAATGAATAATAATTAAAATAAGAGAAAATGACAGACCCCATGACCCGCCACAACATTCTAAGCTCCATGCCAGAGGAGAAGGTGCTTTTCAGAAACAGACCAAGTGGATGAAGTTAAGAGGCAAAAATGTGAAGCCGAACGCTGCTCCGTGCAGAGAAAACTGGCAAAGGCCATTCGAACCGGTGGCAACGCGGTCCAAGCTCATCATTAACTTGCCCTGGACCTAGAGGTGTCAATTAGAAGGAGCATCGTATCACCCATCTTCCCCGTGGTTCTCCCAGCGTCATCCACGCCACCCGTCACACCGCCATCGGGAGCCTGGCTGGCCGGCTCTCTTAACTGCATTTTCCGCTCACGGTAAGAGATCTTGCAAAGCTGACTTTTTTTTTTTTTTTCTTTTTGCCTGGGGAGACGTCCCTTCTGAAAGAAGGAGGGTTTGCATTGGCTGGCTTCAGAAATATGATTGCCTCATTTCGCAGTCTACATATTTCTTAATATAAATGAACATGGCCTGCCTCGTACTTATAGGCTGAATGGGAAAAAAAAGTGCATATATATACATATGTGCATATACATACATATGTACATATATATACACACATATATACACTATATATACATATATACACACATATATACACAGATATACATATATACACAGATATACATATATACACATATATACACTGATATATATACATATATACACATATATACATATATACACACATATATACACAGATATACATATATACACAGATATACACTGATATATAAACATATATACACATATATACATATATACACACATACATACACTGATATATATACATATATACACATATATACATATATACACACATACATACACTGATATATATACATATATACACATATATACATATATACACACATACATACACTGATATATATACATATATACACATATATACATATATACACATATATACACACTATATACACATACACACAAATATATACATATGTCCACACATATATACATATAAGCAGACATATATACACTATATATATGCATATATACATATATACACATATATTTACATGTACACACACATAGATGCACATATATACACACTATATATACACACATATACACATATATACATATACACATATATTTACACGTACACACACACATAGATGCACATATATACACTATATATACACACATATACACATATATACATATATACACATATATTTACATGTACACACACACATAGATGCACATATATACACACTATATATACACACATATACACATATATACATATACACATATATTTACATGTACACACACACATAGATTCACATATGTATACACACGTATATACAGATATATACACACTATATATACCCACATATATACACATATACACACATATATTTACATGTACACACACACATAGATGCACATATATATACACACGTATATATACATATTCAGAGTAGGAGAGGTGTAGAGAGATGGGAAGCAGGTTAATGGTTGCCCAGGCTAAATGGAGAAACCTGAGACTGATGGCGGAATGGGCTTGCGGTTTCTTTTCAGCGTGATAAAAACGCTCTGGAGTCTAACAGATGGTTACACCCTGTTGCAAATATCCTAAAAGCTACTGATCACGGTTTCCTACGTTATATGAATGATGCTGTAACAACAACAACAAAAAAAGAAATTTAAAAAATGTTGTTAAGATCAGGCAGGGCTGTCTGCCTCAGAGTATCATTAATGAGGTCATTAGCACACATGAGTCTGGGGTTCTCCGTGACGGCTAAAATAACCCAGAAAACGCGTCTCGTGTTTCTCCATCCGTATTGAGAAACAGGATATTCTGCAAAGCTGTGAAGGTTCGAGACAGATGCAGACGGCACGGCCACCCAAACAGATGGGACGCTTGCGTGAACAACAGAGTGCTGGGAAGATTTTAAAAGGCAGGACCCTAAACTCAGGGGGTCGGCGAAGGCGACCTTCAGCCTCACGTTCCTCAACGTCCAAACGCCTGACATTTAAAACAGACATCCACACCTGTGCCACGTCCCCGAGAGCCACACTTTCAGAACGGCAGCTTCTGGGAACCCCAGAAAATAGGCACGGGGTCCCAGACACTCAAAGTGTCATCAGATAGGCATGAGGGAGATCCAATATCCCGTGGGATTTCTGAGACAATTTTAAGTTTGCTCTTTGTTATTTATTTATTTATTTATTTGAGAAGGAGTCTCGCTCTGTCGCCCAGGCTGGAGTGCAGGGGCGCGATCTCGGCTCACTGCAACCTCCACCTCCCAGGTTCATGCCATTCTCCTGCCTCAGCCTCCTGAGTGGCTGGGACTACAGGCACCTGCCACAGCACCTGGCTGATTTTTTGTATTTTTAGTAGAGATGGGGTTTCACCATGTTGGCCAGGATGGTCTCGATCTCCCAACCTCGTGATCCACCCACCTCGGCCTCCCAAAGTGCCGGGATGACAGGCGTGAGCCACCGCGCCCGGCCTTAAGTGTGCTCTTTGCAAATGGTTCTCCAAGGAAATATATATTTGGGACCTGGCTCTCTTTTCTTTCCTTTTTGCTTTTTGTTTTGTTTTCCGGTGTGTGTGGGTTTTTTGTTTGTTTCTTTGTTTTGTTTTTTGTTTTTGTTTTTTGAGACAAGGTTTTGCTATGTCATCCAGGCTAGAGTACAGTGGCTGGATCACGGTTCACTGCAGCCTCTACCTCCCAGCCTCCAGCAATCCTCCCACCTCAGCCTCCTGAGTAGCTACAACTACAGACATGCGCCACCGCGTCCGGCTAATTTTTGTGTATTTATTTTAGAAATGGGGTCTTGCTGGCCGGGTACGGTGGCTCACGTACAGGTGAGCTACAGGTGAGCTGCTGCAGGTGAGGTACAGGTGAGGTACAGGTGAGCTGCTGCAGGTGAGCTACCAGTGAGCTGCTACAAGTGAGCTACACGTGAGCTACAGGTGAGCCGCTGCAGGTGAGCTATACCTGAGCTATGGGTGAGCTGCTTCAAGTGAGCTGCTGTAGGTGAGCTACAGGGTATCACTAGTAGTCAGATGGCCTCTTGCTGCAGCATGGTTTCCAAGGAATATCACTTGCATTTACGTCAGAAAAGAAGAAGAAATGTGGGGCACAAACACAAAAGTTAGGTGCCACCATTGGTGGTGTTGGGACAGGCGTGGCCAATGTACCATCTACACTTAGAGTAAAATACTCTGGCCCCTCATGGTTCCTTAAGATGTAACAAACATCTCCATGTCATTCTTTCTGTAACACTGAGTAACCCATGACCCTTGTCCGTAGCCTGGAGAAAGGCTTTGGAAATCTATAACTTCTCAGCATTAACAATTACTTAGATATTCTGTTTACAAGACAAGAAGTTACAGATTCCCAAAGCATCTTCCCCATGCTCCCTCCAGAGACTCTTGGCGAGAAGAGATGGGGAGGGAGACTGGAGCAAAGTCCACTGCACCGTATTTTATGTTCCCTTCCAACCCCAGCCCTGCCCACCCCAATGGTCTCCTGAGTTCAGTATGATTTCATTATATTAATTAATTGATTAATTAATTGTTTTCAGACAAGGTCGTGCTCTGTCACCCAGGCTGGAGTGCAGTAGCTTGGAGAGCTTCTCAGCATTAACAAGTACTTAGACATTCTGTTGAGAAGCTTGCCTGGCCAAATGAAGCACCCTCAGTTTCTGGCAATTGGCTCACTCACGATTGAGAACAGGCTACAGACAAGAGGAGACATCCTTTCACTCTCCTTTCTCTTCGCTGGACGTCTCTTTTTCTCCTCAGAGTGCGGAAACTACCCACTTTCTGATTTCCTAAGACATGACGTCTGGCCGGGCACCGTGGCTCACGCCTGTAATCCCAACACTCTGGGAGGCTGAGGCAGGAGGATCATCTGAAGTCAGGAGTTCAAGACCAGCCTGGCCAATGTGGTGAAGCCCCGTCTCTACCAAAAAAATACAAACATTAGGTGGGTGTGGTGGCGGGCACCTGTAGTCCCAGCTACTCGGGAGGCTGAGGCAAAAGAATTTCTTGAACCTGGGAGGTGGAGGTTGCAGGGAGCCGAGATTGCACCACTGCACTCCAGCCTGGGCAACAGAGTGAAACTCCATCTTAAAAAAAAAAAAAAGAAGAAGAAGAAGAAGGCTGGACGCGGTGGCCCTCGCCTGTCATCCCAGCACTTTGGGAGGCCCAGGTGGGTGGATCACCCGAGGTTGGGAGTTCAAGACCAGTCTGGTCAACATGGAGAAACCCCGTCTCTACTACCAATAAAAAATTAGCCAGGTGTGGCGGTGGGCGCCTGTAATCCCAGCTACTTGGGAGGCTGAGGCAGGAGAATCGCTTGAATCCAGGAGGCAGAGGTTGCAGTGAGCCAGGATCACGCCACTGCACTGCAGCCTGCAACAGAGCGAGACTCCGTCTCAAAACAAAACTAGCCGGGTGTGGTGGTGTGTGCCTGTAATCTCAGCTACTCGGGAGGCTGAGGCAGGAGAATCGCTTGAACCCAGGAGGCAAAGGTTGCTGTGAGCTGAGATCATGCCACTAGCCTGGGCAACAGAGTGAGACTCTGCCTCAAAAATACAAATAAATAAATATAAATAAATAAAATTTAAAAACAACATGTATCTTTACACAGTGAGGGTAAGAAGGAATGAGAGATGGAGGTGGTGGTAATAACAATTAAATACATGAAATCAGGAGACTGCACACACACACGCGCGCACACGCACACACACCCTCAAACTGTACAATTAACAAAGAAAAGACGAGAACAGGAAGCTAGAACATCCACGTAACAGTCCTTTTTTTGGAGACCACGGGCAGTGGTTCATGCTTGTAATTCTAACACTTTGGGAGGTGGAGGTGAGAGGATCTTTGGAGCTCAGGAGCTCAAGACCAGCCTCAGCAGCAAAGCAAGATCCCGTCTCTAGTAAAAATCAAAAAAATTAGCTGGGTGTGGTGGTGGGTGCCTGTAGTCCCAGCTACTCAGGAGGCTGAGGTGGGAGGATTGCTTGAGCCCAGGAGTTTGAGGCTGCAGTGAGCTATGATCGCACCAGTGTGCTCCAGCCTGGGTGACAGAGCAAGACTCTGTCTTTCTTAAAAAAAAAAAAAAAATTAAAAATAAAGTTACAAAGGCCGGGCGCAGGGGCTCACGCCTGTCATCCCAGCACTTTGGGAGGCTAAGGCGGGTGGATCACCTGAGGTCAGGAGTTCGAGACCAGCCTGGCCAACATGGTCAAACCCCATCTCTACTGAAAATACAAACATTATCTTGACATGGTGGTGGGCACCTGTAATCCCAGCTACTCGGGAGGCTGAGGCAGGAGAATCGCTTGAACTCGGGAGGCGGAGGTTGCAGTGAGTCGAGATCATGCCATTATACTCCAGCCCGGGCGACAAGAGCAAAACTCCATCTAAAAAAAAAAAAAGGCCAAGTGCAGTGGCTCACGCCTGTAGTCCCAGCACTTTGGGAGGCTGAGGCGGACGGATCATGAGGTCAGGAGATCGAGACCTTCCTGGCTAACACGGTGAAACCCCGTCTCTACTAAAAATACAAAAAATTAGCCGGGCGCGGTGGCGGGCGCCTGTAGTCCCAGCTACTGGGGAGGCTGAGGCAGGAGAATGGCGTGAACCCGGGAAGAGGAGCTTGCAGTGAGCGGAGATCGTGCCACTGCACTCCAGCCTGGGTGACAGAGCGAGACTCCGTCTCAAAAAAAAAAAAAAAAAGAGTTCTTTTTGAGAACATGCCTTATCCTAATATTGCATGCAACTGCTACAAAAAATACTAACCATCAATGATAGGTCGACTTTTTCTTATTTTTATAAAATTACAACTCTAAAACCCATACACTGAGTCTGTCTATCTTCATGGTTTAAGGCTCAGAGAGAAAGCTGCTTTAATACCCGCTAAAAAGACCACCTGGGGCCGGGCGTGCTGGCTCATGTCTGTCATCCCAGCACTTTGGGAGGCCGAGGCAGGCGGATCACCTGAGGTCAGGAGTTCAAGACCAGCCTGGCCAACATGGTAAAACCTCATCTCTACTGAAAATACAAACATTAGCCAGGCGTGGTGGTGCACACCTGTGATCCCAGCTACTCGGGAGGCTGAGGCAGGAGAATCGCTTGTACCTGGGAGGCTGAGGTTGCAGTGAGCCGAGATCACGCCATTGCACTGCAGCCTGGGTGACAGAGTGAGACTCTGTCTCAAAAAAAGAGAGAGAGAGAGAGACCACCTGGAGAAGCTAAACTTCCAAAGTAATCCTCTTGGTATTCCCATATATGGCCTTCCAAAGGAAAACAGCAGTATTCATTTCCATCTGCCCCTTCCACTCGTCAAATAAATCAACCCAAATGTGTGGTCATACCCCATTTAGCTTCCTGAATGTGTTCCATTCAAACACATAATTTGCATGGGTGACATTTCTCTACTCTGTGTGTGCACGTCGTATTTTATCTTTTCCAACAATCGTTCAACTCGCTTCTGAGAAGGGCATCTTTTCAGACGGGTTACGGTTCCCTGGGGAAAGAGAAGGTTTTTGTACATCTTTGCATATGGCCAAATCCTCAGAGAGTGCATAGGAAACAAACCTGTGCTTTTATGATAAAACATACATCCTGTTAATTCACCTGTGTGTGGGGGTGTGGGGGGAGCAGGTTCTTTGTGCAGGTTCTTCTCTGAAAAAAACTGGTTCTTGTGATGTATTTTGTGTGGCTTTTGTCTTCTAGAAGGATGGGCAGCATTTTCTCACCATAACATCCACTCCCTTTAAATACATATCTTCCTCCCAAGGGTGCATTGTGATTCCAAGAATGTGGGACAGATACAGGAGCTTCCAGACAGACCCCATGCAGAGGCTGGAAGCTTTATTTAAACAGGCATCAGTGAGTAAATCTGCCCTGCAGTTACAGGGATGTGTTCTTCTGAATGGGGCTCAGAAACAGTTCCTCAGGTGGAAAACTCATTGGTTTTCTGAAGAGGTCACTGCACGATGCACTGATTTCTGTGTGAATTGCTTTCTTGGTTGTGGAGATGGCAGAAAGCTGAGGCTTGCTCTGTTGCCCAGGCTGGAGGGCAGTGGTGCAAACACAGCTTGGGCAGCATTTTTTTTTTTTTTGAGACGGAGTCTTGCTCTGTTGCCCAGGCTGGAGGGCAGTGGTGCAAACACAGCTTGGGCAGCATTTTTTTTTTTTTTGAGACAGAGTCTTGCTCTGTTGCCCAGGCTGGAGGGCAGTGGTGCAAACACAGCTTGGGCAGCATTTTTTTTTTTTTTTTGAGACGGAGTCTTGCTCTGTTGCCCAGGCTGGAGGGCAGTGGTGCAAACACAGCTTGGGCAGCAGTTTTTTTTTTTTTTTTTTGAG
Source organism: Homo sapiens (assembly GCF_000001405.40). Classification (NCBI taxonomy): domain Eukaryota; kingdom Metazoa; phylum Chordata; class Mammalia; order Primates; family Hominidae; genus Homo; species Homo sapiens. The sequence goes on along the minus strand of NC_000024.10, from coordinate 656,839 downwards.
ACGGAGTCTTGCTCTGTGGCCCAGGCTGGAGGGCAGTGGCGCGATCTCGACTCACTGCATGGTCCGCCTCCCAGGCTCACGGCATTCTCCTGCCTCAGCCTCCTGAGTAGCTGGGACTACAGGCGCCCGCCACCACGCCCGGCTAATTTTCTTTGTATTTTTAGTAGAGACGGGGTTTCACCGTGTTAGCCAGGATGGTCTCGATCTCATGACCTCGTGATCCGCCCGCCTCGGCCTCCCAAAATGCTGGGATCACAGGCTTGAGCCACCACAGCTGACTAAATGTTTTATTTTTTGGAGAAACAAGATCTCACTTTGTTGCTGAGGCTGGTCTTGAACTCCTGGGCTCAAGCAATTCCGCCTCAGCCTCCCAGAGTACCGGGATTACAGGCATCAGCCAGCACAGCTGGCTAAATTTTTGATTTTTTTGGAGAAACAAGATCTCACTTTGTTGCTGAGGTTGGTCTCGAACTCCTGGGCTCAAACGATTCTGCCTCAGCCTCCCAGAGTACCGGGATTACAGGCATGAGCCAGCACAGCTGGCTAAATTTTTGATTTTTTGGAGAAACAAGATCTCACTTTGTTGCTGAGGTTGGTCTCGAACTCCTGGGCTCAAGCCATTCTGCCCCAGCCTCCCAGAGTACTGAGATTACAGGCATGAGTCACCACAGCTGGCTAAATGTTTTATTTTTTGGAGAGACAGGGTCTCACTTTGTTGCCGAGGCTGGTCTTGAACTCCTGGGCTCAAGCAACTCTGCCTCAGCCTCCCAGAATACCGGGATTACAGGCATGAGTCACCACATCTGGCTAAATGTTTTATTTTTTGGAGAGACAGGGTTTCACCATGTGGCACGGGCTGGTCTTGAACTCCTGGGCTCAAGTGATCCTCCTGCCTCAGCCTCCCAGAGTGCTGAGATTACAACAAGCGTGAGCTACCACGTCCAGCCTAACTTGCTTTCCAATTTCTGAATTACAAATCCTGGTCTCCTTTCTCAGCGTGTCTTTTGGAAGTGCAGTTTTATGGGAAACACGGCAAACGCACTGCAGCTCTTTAAACACGAACAGATTGAGTTTGTTTCTCATTCAATACAACTTCCTTGGAAATCTTCAATACATGACAATTTCACTTTCCCAAGGGGAAAACCAGTAGATGAGCTGGTCACCCAGCAATTTTTGAAACTCATATATATATATATATATATATATATATATATATATATATATAGAGAGAGAGAGAGAGAGAGAGAGAGAGAGAGAGAGAGAGAGAGAGACAGAGAGAGAGTCCTTTTTGCTGAGGTTGGTCTCGAACTCCTGGGCTCAAGCAATTCTGCCTCAGCCTCCCACAGTACTGGGATCACGGGCAGGAGCCACCACAGCTGGCTAAATTTTTGATTTTTTGGAGAGAAAAGGTCTCACTTTGTTGCTGAGGCTGGTCTTGAACTCCTGGGCTCATGCCTGTAATCCCAGCACTTTGGGAGGCTGAGGCAGGCAGATCACAAAGTCAAGAGATCAAGACCATCCTGGCTAACACGGTGAAATCCCGTCTCTACTAAACATACAAAAAATTAGCCGGGCGTGGTGGCGGGCACCTGTAATCCCAGCTACTCGGGAGGCTGAGGCAGGAGGATTGCTTGAACCCAGGAGGTGGAGGTTGCAGTGAGCTGAGATGGCACCACTGCACTCCTGCCTGGTGACAGAGCAAGACTCCATCAAAACAAAACAAAAAAAGTTTCTGCCTGTATTTATTCATTTATTTAGAGATGTGGTCTCACTCTGTCAGCCAGGCTGGAGTGCAGTGGTGCAATCATGGCTTCCTGCAGCCTCCACCTCCTGGGATCAAATAATCCTCCTGGGCCAGGCGCGGTGGCTCACGCCTGTCATCCCAGCACTTTGGGAGGCTGAGGCGGGTGGATCACCCGAGGTCGGGAGCTCAAAACCAGCCTGGCCAACATGGGGAAACCTCGTCTCTACTAAAAATACAAAAGAAATTAGCCAGGTGTGGTGGCGGGCACCTGTAATCCCAGCTACTCGGGAGGCTGGGGCAGGAAAATCGCTTGAACCCGGGAGGCAGAAATTACAGTGAGCTGAGATCACGCCACTGCACTCCAGCCTGGCAACAGAGCGAGACTCTGTCTCAAAAAAAATTAAAAAACAAAAACAAAGTATCCTCTTGCCTGCTGAATAGCTTCAACCGTAGGAGAGCACCACCATGCCTGCCTAATTATTTGACTTTTTTTAATTGTTATAAAATGTTTATTCATTTTGTAATTTTTATTGGCTGCATTATATTTCAGCACAGGATGCCCAACAATGATTTATTCAATTTTTTATAGCCTTTTTAGAAATCAGTTTATTATACTGTCTTCTCAGAATACTTTCAAGGATTCTTCCATTGAATTGTTTTATAAGTTTATGCAAGTCCTTATGTGTTAGGTGAGTCTCTTGAAGGCACCAGCAGGCAGTTGATTGGTGAATTTTTTTTTAATTTTTTTATTATTATACTTTAAGTTTTAGGGTACATGTGCACAATGTGCAGGTTTGTTACATATGTAACAAACCTTTTTTGTAGAGATGAGGGTCTCGCTATGTTGCCCAGGCTGGTCTCAATCTCCTGGGCTCAAGGGATCTGGCTGTTTCGCCTCCAAAAGTGCTTTGATTACAGGTGTGAGCCACCGAGCCCAGCCTGTATTTTTCTTATTATGCTATAGTGCAAAAGTAACTGTGGTTTTGGCCACTATTGTTCATGACAAAAATTTAACTTTTAACTCTCAGCATCTGTGAGTTCAAACAAAAGAAATTAAAATACGTCTGTTTTGGGAAAACGTGTAGAGTAGACGACCGACACTATTTTTCTTGGCTCTCTTGCTTATGAGTTCAATATAGGCATGCTTGCAAAGTTTAAAACAACTTTTTTTTTTTAACGACAACTCCAAGAACAAAGGCTTTAGAAAGCTTATCTCCGTGTGTTTGGTCAGTGTTTTTGCTTTCTCTGCATTTTTCTTTAAATCCCTACATTGTCTGCTATTAAACATGAAAGTCTAACACCAACAGAAGCCTCAGAAACAGAAGGACATGTTAGCAGGAGGCGAAGTCCGTGGCTTTTTGTGTGTAATTTGGGAATCTGAGAACTGATGGTAAGAATCTGTTACATAAAAACTCAAAGATCTCATTCCTATTGAAACCGTGTCCGTGTGAAAAAGTTAATTTTTTTTTTTTTAAATGTGGTCAAGTCCAGAGAAGTCTGCAAGACAACCCATGGAAAAATCAGAAAGAAATTCAGGGCTGAGACACTTACTTTTCAGGTTGAACTATGCAAAAAAAATGAAGATCTGGAAGCGATATCCAGGAAGATTCCATTCATTTTTGAAAAACATTCTTTGTGATTGGCAACAAGCTATTTCTAAGGGAAAAGATCTCTCAAACCATTTGAATATTCTGTTCATTTTTGAAACAGATTCATTACAATTGGCAACAAACATCTATTTCTAAGGGACAGAGTCTCTCAAACCACGTAAAACAATAGGAGTGGATTTGCAGAACAAAGCTGAACGTTTTATTTTATTTAGTTCCTGTTATTTTATTTTATTATTCATTTTTTTGAGACAGCGTCTGGCTCTGTCGCCCAGGCTGGAGTGCAATGGCGCGATCTCGGCTCAGTGCAACCTCCGCCTCCTGGGTCCAAGCGATTCTCCTGCCTCAGCTTCCTGAGTAGCTGGGATTACAGATACACACCACCACGCCCGGCTAATTTTTGTATTTTTAGTAGAGATAGAGTTTCACCGTGTTGGCCAGGCTGGTCTCGAACTCCTGACCTCAGGTGATCCACCCGCCTCGGCCTCCCAAAGTGCTGGGATGACAGGCGTGAGAGCCACACTGCGCCCGGCCAAAGCTGAATAGTTTAACCATGAAATAACTGTGTGCATTCAGAACTTGCCTGCGTTTGCCCCTAAAAAACAGGCTGGAGATGGACGCGTTGAGGTCAGCCATGAAAAGCACCTCTGCTAACACGCAAAAAGCACCATTTTTCTTCTGTCCGGCAAGACACACACAGGCTGGGTGAAGAGAGGGCTCTGAGCTTCAGACCACGCAGGCCAGAAAAGGAAAGGAACGGTCAAGTTGCACTTTGCAGAATGGCCTGGACACACGGCCTCTGAAACCCCTTCTCTGGCCAAGAGAAGCTTTCAGGAACTACCAGGAGTCAGCAGGAAGAACGGACGGTACAGACAACGGACGGTTTAGACTCCAGGCAACTGGGGAGGTGTCGGAGAGGCTCACCTGTCCTCAGGCTCTGAGCCCCCCACAGAGAAAGCTCCCCCAGCACTGCCCACCCTGTAACCGCGGTGGGAACCCTGTGTGGGCAGCTGTGTCCCTCCCCCACTTCCCTCCCAGCTCACATGTGTTTTTTATCACAGCCGGGAAGCAGTCAGGCCGGCCAAATCCAATCATGAACTTTCCTTTACATAAAGAGAGAAAAATCTATGCAAAAAAAAAAAAAAAAATTTGTCATTTTTAAAAGTCGATTTCTTTTTCCATTTATTATTATTATATTTTTTGTCTCAAAAATGACTCAATCATCCTTGCAAGACCGTGCTGGAAAATCCGTGCCACTGTCGAAAACTGGAACAAAATAAAAGTTAAAAGCACACACATCACCGGCCGGGCCCAGACGCGGGTGGATCACGAGGTCAGGAGTTCGAGACCAGCCTGACCAACACGGTGAAACCCCATTGCTACTAAAAATACAAAAATGAGCCGGGCGCGGTGGTGCAGGTGACTGTCATCCCAGCTACTCGGGAGGCTGAGGCAGGAGAGTCGCTTGAACCCGGGAGGCGGAGGTCGCGGTGAGCCGAGATCGCGCCCCTGCACTCCTCCGGCCTGGGCGACAGAGCGAGACTCAGTCTCAAAAAAAAAAATAAATTAATTAATTAAAGAAAGTGGAGAATTAGCAGCTCTGACTTGATTCAAATCAGGGCTTTTTCCTCTGTTTTTTTTGCCACCTTCTGGGGGGACGTTGGCTGAGAAGCGGGGAGGTAGGTTTCAGTAAAGGAAGGGGATGGGATACAAGCAAAAGTCAATGGTACCTCCCGATCTAAGGCTGGGGGGCAACACTGGGTACCCACCCTGGAAATGCACGGAGCAGAACAACACTCTGTGTTCAGCCACGGCCGACTCAGGATTTTTTTTTTTTTTTTTTTTTTCCAATAAGCCTGTCCTCAGGGGAGAGGTTGAGAATTTTTTTTTTTTTAACACTTGAATACAAATATTTATAAGTTTATTTATATCTCAGTTTTACAAGATGTACATTCATACTACGGGGCGTCACAAAAATACAGTCTGTTGCTGCAACTCAACATTGAGATTATTGAACGTTAGGAGAATGAGGGCGTCACCAGAGAAACTCAGGGTGGTTTTTTTTGGTTTTTTTTTCTGTTTGTTTGTTTGTTTTTTTTCTACCCCTCACCGCCTGCCGACAATAACAGAGGGATAGAAATGTGAAGACTGTTGGTTTGGGAAACGGTGTGTGATTTGTTTTCATCTGAAGCAATCCCTGAAAATATCTGTAGATGTATTTGTAACCCGGACGCGGGGGCCGCTATGTCGTCAATGGGGGAGGGAAAAAGAAAAAGCAACAGTTTTCAGAAATATAAAAATAAATGCAACGCGATGTCAAATTTACACTCGACATAATTAAAATAGTACATATTTATGAACGTCCGACCAAGGAAAAAAAAATAAATAACAAATGCACATACATCACAAAGTAAGAAGCAGGGGCTTTTGCCTCCTTCCCACGGGACCTGCACGTACAATGGGCTGAACTCGTGAAGCCACATCCCCTTTCAATAAATAGCACATTTCATAGCTTTGAAACGGGATATTGTCTACATTCCTTAACCGGCTTCTCATTAAATATCAAATTTCAATAAAACATTTATAAATGGCATCAACTTACCCACGTGTGTCGAAGAATATCAGCATATACTCGCTAAGCTAATTCTCTTTAATAAATTAGGCACCAGTTTTTTTTTTTTTTTTTTTTTTTTTTTAATGTCAAACGTGTCCACCGAAAGCCTCTCTCCTCCCCAGACCTCCCAAAGCTGGAGGAGACAAGCGGCTTCCAGCAAAGTGCCTCCGAAATGTGTGTCGTGGGAGTGGCTGCCGTGTGCCATCCTCGCTATGTCCCCGGGAAAACTGTGGAGCTAAAGGGAGCTGGAGGCTTCTGCTTGTTCTTAGGGGAAAACAAATGTTAGAAAGGTCAGCATGAAACCCAGAGGCGAGGACAGAGGACTCTGGTATTTCCCTTTCATCCTGACCAGAGCTTGGCACCAAAACCTGAAACCCGTCTCGGCTTCATTTCGGTTAAACGCCCAGCTGTCCCCAGACTCTGCGGTATCCACAGATGCTCCCACGTGCTGACGTGGCCAAGGACAGCAGCAAGACCAGAACAGAAACTCAGGCTTCCAAGGAAATGGGACCATTTCGGGGGCCTGGCTGGACTTTGGCGGGATGGAGAGGCCATTCCTACGACAGGGCGTCTTTGGAGCGGCCCAAAGGCCTCCTTCCCGTACGGGAGACACCAAGCCCGTCGCACCACCAGCTTTGTAAGTGGAAAAACGGGTGTTGGACGCGGTCAGTTACGCTCTAAATCGTACAGAGGCACAGAATCTGTCCCATCTCTTTATCCACGGCGCTGGAGAAGACAGCCACAGCCAAGGGGCCCTGTCACCACTGCCTGTGAAACAACACCCCAACGGCCACCAGAGAAGGTGCATTTTTCTAACTCTTGGCAATTGCCAGGAACACACCTTTGCAAAGTATGCACCAGTCAGAGACTCGAACGGAGAAAGAAAATCTAATAGCAACATCCGATACATCCAATTCCTTCTCCCTGTGGGTGCTTCGCAGTCAGAGAGAGAGAAAAGAGAGAGAAAAGTGGATATGTCAGAAACAGATTTCACCAGAACAGCCACTCAAAGGAAGAAGTGTTTTTTGCTCAACTGCGGCGACTGACAACCCTCCACGGACTATTTGGCCAAGTTTTGGGGAGAGGAGGGAAGAAAATACGTATCAATCAGGACCCAACCCAGCATCGTTCAGTTCGGCCAGCAACGTGTTCCTATCAGTGTGCTGGAGCTGGTACGGATCTCACACACCAAATCCTCTCTCTGCAACGGCGTTACATCGGAACACAGCCCACGTTGCTCTCTGGGTGGTATTCCTTGCTCTGCGAGCGAGCTCACCGGGAAGCCACAGGGAAAGCAGGAACGTGACTTTCAAAAGAACCTTGTTTTGAGCAAAAAGCACCAAGAATCGCCAGCGTACACCCACCCCATAAATTCAATTTCTCACCTCCTGTGGAGAGACGTATGTTGTTTCCATGCTGAATGTTCACGCAAACGTGTCTCTGGAGGGCCTTCCGGGAAACCAAACCCACGCACATCACATACAGAGGGTCCCCATCAGCCCAGTCCTTCCTAAACATCTCAGAAAAAGAGAGAGGAGGCCGGGCGCGGTGCCTCACCCCGTAATCCCAGCACTCTGGGAGGCTGAGGCGGGTGGATCATGTGAGGTCAGGAGTTCAAGACCAGCCTGGCCAACATGGCGAAACCCGGTCTCTACTAAAAAATACAAAAATTATCCGGGAATGGTGGTGGGTGCCTGTCATCCCAGCTACTTGGGAGGCTGAGGCAGGAGAATTTCTTGAAGCCAGGAGGTAGAGGATGCAGTGAGCTGGGATTGCACCACTGCACTCCAGCCTGGGTGACAGAGTGAGACTTCATCGAAGAAAGAAAGAAGAAAGAAAAAGAAAGAAAGAAAAAGAAAGAAAGAAACAAAAAAGGAAAAGAGAAAGAAAAAGAGAGAAAGATAAAAAGGAAAGAAACAGAAAGAAAGAAAAGAAAGAAAGAGAGAAAGAAAGAAAAAGAAAGAAAGGAAGGAAGGAAGGAAGGAGAAGGGAGAGAGAAGAGGGCGTTGGTGGTGAGAACTGGTCACAGCCCAAGCTGAATTTCTTACTTCCTTCCATCCGAGAGTTTCAGGGAGAAAGAAGCAGCTAGCATACACGTACCCCACACTCATTCAGGGATCACTCATCCACCTACAGAAAGTCACCCAACTTCTCTCGCAGGAGAAAAGCCAAAGGCAGCCAGTGTCCACAGACACTCGTGTCCCACCCTCACAGTTCTCTGCGTTTGATCTGCTTCGGGGACCCATTTGTGAGGATGACACTTGGCCCTCTTTCCATATTAAATCAAACTGAAACCGTCCCCGCACAGTTGAGAGTCAGTAACTCCCTTTTAAAAGTTCAGATTCAGGCCAGGTGCGGTGGCTCACGCCTGTAATCCCAGCACTTTGCGAGGGACAAAGCGGGCAGGTCAACCTGAGGTCAGGAGTTTGAGACCAGCCGGGCCAACACAGCAAAAACCTGTCTCTACCAAAAATGCAAAAAAATTACCCAGGCCTGGTGGCAGGTGCCTGTAATCCCAGCTACTCGGGAGGCTGAAACCCTGTCTCTACTAAAACTACCAGAAAGTTACCCAGGCCTGGTGGCAGGTGCCTGTAATCCCAGCTACTCAGGAGGCCGAAACCCTGTCTGTACTAAAAATACCAGAAAGTTACCCAGGCCTGGTGGCAGGTGCCTGTAATCCCAGCTACTCGGGAGGCTGAAACCCTGTCTCTACTAAAAATACCAGAAAGTTACCCAGGCCTGGTGGCAGGTGCCTGTAATCCCAGCTACTCAGGAGGCCGAAACCCTGTCTCTACTAAAAATACCAGAAAGTTACCCAGGCCTGGTGGCAGGTGCCTGTAATCCCAGCTACTCGGGAGGCCGAAACCCTGTCTCTACTAAAAATACCAGAAAGTTACCCAGGCCTGGTGGCAGGTGCCTGTAATCCCAGCTACTCGGGAGGCCGAAACCCTGTCTCTACTAAAAATACCAGAAAGTTACCCAGGCCTGGTGGCAGGTGCCTGTAATCCCAGCTACTCGGGAGGCTGAAACCCTGTCTGTACTAAAAATACCAGAAAGTTACCCAGGCCTGGTGGCAGGTGCCTGTAATCCCAGCTACTCGGGAGGCCGAAACCCTGTCTCTACTAAAAATACCAGAAAGTTACCCAGGCCTGGTGGCAGGTGCCTGTAATCCCAGCTACTCGGGAGGCTGAAACCCTGTCTCTACTAAAAATACCAGAAAGTTACCCAGGCCTGGTGGCAGGTGCCTGTAATCCCAGCTACTCGGGAGGCCGAAACCCTGTCTCTACTAAAAATACCAGAAAGTTACCCAGGCCTGGTGGCAGGTGCCTGTAATCCCAGCTACTCGGGAGGCCGAAACCCTGTCTCTACTAAAAATACCAGAAAGTTACCCAGGCCTGGTGGCAGGTGCCTGTAATCCCAGCTACTCGGGAGGCTGAAACCCTGTCTCTACTAAAAATACCAGAAAGTTACCCAGGCCTGGTGGCAGGTGCCTGTAATCCCAGCTACTCGGGAGGCTGAAACCCTGTCTCTACTAAAAATACCAGAAAGTTACCCAGGCCTGGTGGCAGGTGCCTGTAATCCCAGCTACTCGGGAGGCTGAAACCCTGTCTCTACTAAAAATACCAGAAAGTTACCCAGGCCTGGTGGCAGGTGCCTGTAATCCCAGCTACTCGGGAGGCTGAGGCAGGAGAATGGCTTGAACCCGGGAGGCGGAGGTTGCGGTGAGCCGAGATTGTGCCACTGCACTCCAGCCTGGGGGACAAGATTGAAATTCCGTCTCTAAAGAGAAACGTTCAGATTCTACAGGGACCAGGTAGATGTCTTTCTACTCACGTGGAGTGAGCTTTTTCTTGGGAGGAAATGATGACACACTGTTATGTTTCGATTTTTCAAAATTACTCAGCCTTTTTGGTTAAAAAAAAAAAATCTAGGGCTGTACATATCTTACCAACCACTTTTCCAAAGGGTTACATACTCTGATGAATGAACCTACTTCCCAAAGATTCAAAATGCAATTCTTCTTTTCGATAAAAATTTCAGCTTAACTATTAAAGCCTCTCTCTCTCTTTTTTTTTTTTAATTTCCAGCTTTTAAGAAAAATGGATGAATGAGGCAAACTCTCTAATACCGTTAATGTCTGGGATTCTTTCTCTCTCTCTCCGTCATTTTACAGCGGTTGTAACATTTTGACATAAAAAATGTTGAAGGGGACTTTTGGTTTGTATAAAGAATATCAGAAGATACAAATGAGACGGGTCCAAATGGATCTACAGTTCAGCTCAGTGACAAGATAGAAAGTGTTATGCGGAAGAAAAAAAGAAGTTGTTTTTTTTTTTCTTTTATCCCCACCTCAGGGAGAAGTATCTAAATCAGAAGTTAGGAAAGAAAACCACCAAGCTTGAATCCAGAAAGATGCAAATGTGTTATGGAAATAAGAGAGTTGACCAGTGGATGTTAGTAAATGTTGGGAGAAGATAGTTTCTCTCTGGGCAGGCTGTGGTAACTAATGCCAATCATGCAGATGGATCTTCTCGGAGGTCACCAAACCCCTTGCTGTGTTCCCAGAAAACCAATCAGAACATGGAACGTGGATCTCCCGAAATCTGGGGGCAGAACCCTTGAATGTTTTTGGTTAGGTCATTTCAAGCAACTGTCCAGCCCATGCCAGCTGTGACGACAAGTTGCTATCTGCTGTTTATAAAACTGGGGGCACGTTGGGAGGCCGAGGCGGGCAGATCACCTGAGGTCAGGAGTTCGAGACGAGCCTGGCCAACACGGTGAAACCCCGTCTCTACTATAAATACAAAAAATTAGCCGGGGGTGGTGGCAGGTGCCTGTAGTCCCAGCTACTCGGGAGGCTGAGGCAGGAGCATCGCTTGAACCCGGGAGGCGGAGGTGGCAGTGAGCTGACATTGCGCCACTGCACTCCAGCCTGGGCGACAAAGCAAGTCTCTGTCTCAAAAATAAAAAACAAAGAAATAAAAGAACTGGGGGAACGCAGAAGATGGAGTAGGGGAGAAAGAAAAGCTGGAACCACCTACATCTGCAAAAACTTGAAAACTCTCTGGATCTCTCCCTGGCTTTTACGCTTCCCAACCAGAAACAGCTCAGGTACCAAACTGATATCTTGGCACCACCGTGCCCTCTTTTATCCCCTTCAGAAACACAACCACACTCCCAGCGCGCCCAGGGCCATCTCTACACCCGTGATTTTTGCAAAGGGCCCTCAGTGGCCAGGCGGCCAGCGCTGGGAGAAGAGGTAACGCCTTTTCCACGTTGGACGCTGACGGGGTCAAGAGTGCACGGCTATTTTTTTTTTAATCTATAATATTTATAATATTGCACTTCACTCCATGTCAGTAAAGTTAATGCTGCATATCAGTATGACACCTTGCAACCACGCGTCCGTCTCTTATGCAAGTCTTTTGCGTCTGAATCCTGTAACACAGCAAAAAAAAAAAAAAAAAAAAAAAAAAAAAAAAATACCAATCCAAAACAAAACCAGACCCAATTTGGGAATCAAACACTGGAAAAGTTATAAAGTCGGTCCTCATTCAGGTCCCCGGAACGTGGGAGTCCCAACGTGGGAGGTTCGGGTCTCCCTCCCCTCCCTTTCCAAAGCCCGCGGTTCACGTCCTCAGCCTCAGCCAGAGAACTATTTCCTTATTGCTGCCTGGGAGGCTCCGGGGGAGCGGTGGAGGAGAGCCCGGCCCCTGCCTCCTGGGATTCCGAAGTCCACATTCAAATCCACACCCGTTCCGCAGCCTCTCGGGATGAAGGAAGGAGCATGGTAGTAAAGAAAATCGTTGGCAACGAAGAAATGGCATTTTCATCGGAGACCAGCTCCGGGATCTTTGCAGTTTCAATAGACTCTAAGGATCTTCCAAACGTGTGTAGTTAACCGCATGCATAGGGTATAGCAGAGGAAGACGCAGCCAGGCGGGGGTTTACCCTTCTCCAGGGTCCCAGGACGCACGGGCAGCCTTGGAGAGGCCCGGGCTGGACGCACGGCCGCTCACCCGCTCCGCCTTCTGCACCATCTCCGCGAGGGTCTGGCTGGGTCGTGCGTGGACGGTCCCGGGAGCCTCCCTCCTCAGGCCTCTTGCAGGAGCTCCCGGGGTGCCCGGAGCACGGTGGCCGCGGAAGGAGCTCCAGGCGGGGTTGAGTGCAGGACGCGCGGTGCAGGCGGGGTGCGCGGAGCCCGGGAGTCCGGGCGCGCGGGGGGCTGCGCGGCGGGTCAGAGCCCCAGGGCCTCCGCGTGCTTCCGCGCCTTGAGCCGCAGGTCGGCGATGCTGGAATTCTTGCTGTTGCTTTTGGCGGCGGCGGCGACCACGGCGGCGGCCGAGGCGGACTCGGCCAGCGACGCGATGGGCAGCCCGAAGGGCGGCGGGGGGAACATCAGGTAGGGCGCGTGCGCCGCCAGGTGCGGGTGCAGGTGCGGGTGCGCGTGGGCCACGCCTTCCAGCTGCAGCTGAGCCTGGACCTGCGGGAGCGGACCCGGCGGGGTGAGGGCGCAGGATGGGGACTGGGGGGCCTGCTCCGCCCCGCGCCCCCGGAAACCTCCAACGTGCCTCTTCTCCCCTAGGGAGCGTCGCCCCTTCTCCAGCCGTGGAGACCACCCCACACCCGCCTTTCCTCCTTCCCCCTGGCCCAGAATTGGCGCTGCCACTGGATGCATCCGCGGGAGCCGGGCCAGGGGAATCCGAACAGCTCCCTGCAAAGCGCATGGGAGGGGGGTCCACAAATGGAACGCCCTCAGGGGGAGCTCCCGATGCGCTCTCTTCGCAGGGATTCAGGGACTTTGGCTCACAACGTTCTCTCCCCCAACCAGCCCCCGTAACCTCTCCCGGGGACACCAGGTCCCCAAGCCTCTCCCGGGTCCCCAGGTCACCAAGGCTCTCCCGAGACACCAGGTCCCCAAGCCTCTCCAAGATCACCAGGTCCCCAAGCCTCTCCAAGGTCACCTGGTCCCCAAGGCTCTCCCGGGACACCAGGCTCCCAAGCCTCTCCCGGGACACCAGGTGTCCAAGCCTCTCCCGGGTCACCAGGTCCCCAAGGCTCTCTCCCGAGACACCAGGTCCCCCAGCCTCTCCCCAGGACACCAGGTCCCCAAGGCTCTCCCGGGTCACCAGGTCCCCAAGCCTCTCCCGGGACACCAGGTGTCCAAGCCTCTCCCGGGTCACCAGGTCCCCAAGGCTCTCTCCCGAGACACCAGGTCCCCCAGCCTCTCCCCAGGACACCAGATCCCCAAGGCTCTCCCAGGACACCAGGTCCCCAAGCCTCTCCCGGGACACCAGGTCCCCAAGCCTCTCCCGGGTCACTAGGTCCCCAAGGCACTCCCGAGACACCAGGTCCCCAAGCCTCTCCAAGGTCACCAGGTCCCCAAGGCTCTCCCCAGGACACCAGGTCCCCAAGGCTCTCCCGGGTCACCAGGTCCCCAGGCCTCTCCAAGGTCACCAGGTCCCCAAGCCTCTCCTGGGACACCAGGTGTCCAAGCCTCTCCCGGGACACCAAGTCCCCAAGCCTCTCCCGGGACACCAGGTCCCCAAGCCTCTCCCGGCTCACCAGATCTCCAAGCCTCTCCCAGGACACCAGGTCCCCAAGCCTCTCCCAGGACACCAGGTCCCCAAGCCTCTCCCCAGGACACCAGGTGTCCAAGCCTCTTCCAGAGACACCAGGTCCCCAAGCCTCTCCTGGGACACCAGATCCCCAAGGCTCTTTCAGGACACCAGGTCCCCAAGCCTCTCCAAGGTCACCAGGTCCCCAAGCCTCTCCCAGGACACCAGGTCCCCAAGGCTCTCCCGGGACACCAGATCCCCAAGGCCCTCCCGGGTCACCAGGTGTCCAAGCCTCTTCCAGAGACACCAGGTCCCCAAGCCTCTCCCAGAACACCAGGTCCCCAAGCCTCTCCCAGAACACCAGGTCTCCAAGCCTCTCCAAGGTCACCAGGTCCCCAAGCCTCTCCAGGGACACCAGGTCCCCAAGCCTCTCCCAGGACAACAGATCTCCAAGCCTCTCCCAGGACACCAGGTCCCAAAGGCCCTCCCAGGACACCAGGTGTCCAAGCCTCTTCCAGAGAAACCAGGTACCCAAGCCTCTCCCGGGACACCAGGTCCCCAAGCCTCTCCCGGGGATACCAGGTCCCCAAGTTTTTCCCGGGGACACCAGGTCCCCAAGACTCCGGTGCGCAAAGCCAGGCAGGCCTGCGGGCTCCAACGGCCTAATTTCACTGGGTCCCGCCGTCGGCAAAAGACGGTACAAGAAGTAGGCTCGTTCCCCCACCTCAAGGCCAGGTACCCAGGAGAGGAGAACCGCGGAGGGATGCGGACCCCTCTCCTTCGGGCCTGGGCCAGGGAGAGCTGGAGAGCTAGCGGCGACCAGCGCTCGGGGTCCATTTCTGAGTTGTTTACTTATGATTTATACGTTTATACCTTCCGCGCTCCCCACCGCCACCCCCCAAGTCCCTGCACCCTCAGCCAAACACGCGCCCAAATACAATCCCCAGCCTGTCCCCTTGGAATAAAACGGTGAAGAAGGGAGGCCACGCGTCCGCCCTGCCAGAGCCCCCCCCCCAAGCCCGTTCCGCCCGCGCATGCACTCCCGACCCCCAAATTAGGGACCGAAGGGGCAAGGGGCACCGCAGCCGGGCGCTGCGCTGCGCGTTCAGGCAGGGCGCACGTGGGCGCTGCGCTCTCTCCTCCTGTGACCCTTCACCTCCTTCCACGCAGCTCCCCGCTTCCCCCCATCCCATCCCCACCACTAAGCCAGGGCAGGGCGGGGGCGCCCTTGGGAAGCTTGGGCTCCGCGACCGAACCCCGACTCCCTGGAAGCCCCAAATCCACGCTGGGCACCCAAGCGCTGCTCACTCCAAAGTAAGTGGGGAGCTGAGTAGGGTGTCTCCAGCTCAGAGGTGCAGAGCCCAAGCCAGGGGCCAGGGGCCAGGCAGACGCCCCAGGCCCTCGGGCACTCGGGGGTGGTGATGAAAAGGGAATGGGTGTCTGTCCCATCTCTGGTATCCAGGCACAGGCATCTGCGCCCTTCTTAACCAGGCAGCAAGCCAGGTGGGGGTGCCTGACTGTGTGGACTTTTCACCCCTCTGGTTTTTGTCAGATTTCTGTTTGGGCTTGTGTGTGTTCACCTTCCCAAAAGTGGATTTTTACAGCCTGATTTTTTTTTTTTTTTTTTTGAGATGGAGTCTTGGAGTCTCACTCTGTCACCCAGAGTGGAGTGCAGTGGCGCGATATTGGCTCACGGCAACCTCCACCTCCCAGGTTCAAGTGATTCTCCCTCCCAAGTACCTGGGATCACAGGTGTGCACCACCACGCCCGGCTAAGCTTTGTGTTTTCAGTAGAGACGGGGTTTCAGCATGTTGGTCAGGCTGGTCTCGAATTCCTGACCTCAGGTGATCCACCTGCCTCGGCCTCCCAAAGTGCTGGGATGACAGGCGTGAGCCACCACACCCATTTTGTATTTTTAATAGACAGGGTTTCGTTAAGTTGGCCAGGCTGGTCTTGAACTCCTGATCTCAGGTGATGCACCCTCCTCAGCCTCCCAAAGTGCTGGGATGACAGGTGTGAGCCACCCCGCCTGGCCCAGCCTGATTTCATAGGTGCCAAGGTGCCTGTAAATGCCTCCTCGGAAAAGAGGCTTTTTTTCTAAGGGCCAGCTGAGAAGTCTGCAGGGGCAGGGAGGGACTAGGAGTGTCAGGATGCGGCAGCAAATAGGGGAAAGGGGAAGGGAGCAGCAGGTCCCTAGGGATCTTCAGAGGAAGAAAAAGTGAGCTACCTGTTGGAAAGGCATCCGTAAGGCTCCCATGTTGACGTAGGGTGCCACTCGGCAGGCGTCTAGGTGGTTGGCTGTGCCCAAGATGACGCCTGTGTCCAAAGGGAGCAGGTGTCAGTGTGGTGGTCCTGGGTGTAGCCAGCACCTCGTCGACCCCATCCCTCCTGGAGCAGGATCCCCCAGCTTCAGGTCCCCCCAGTCCCGACACCCACCTTTATGCATCTGATTCTCTTGTTTGCGGCACTTGGCTCTCCGGTTCTGGAACCAAACCTTGGGGAGAAGCAGAGAGAGATGTGAAGAGCCCTGTGAACCCAGCCCAGCCTCCCCAGGGAGCATCCTTCCCATGAGGCTGAACCAAGCACTTTGCACCTCTGGGAGCTGGGAGGTGACTGATGGTGGGCGCCCAGACACTTACCGCCCCTCTGTCTCCAGCCCTGCATCACTGACTACCTAGTACTGGAAATTGGGGTTTTTTTGGATTTTTTGTTTTGTTTTGTTGTGGTGGTGGTGGTTCTGAAATCAAGTCTCGCTCTGTCGCCCAGGCTGGAGTGCAGTGGCACTATCTCGGCTCACTGCAAGCTCCACCTCCCAGGTTCAAGCCATTCTCCTGCCTCAGCCTCCCGAGTAGCTGGGACTACAGGTGCCCACCACCATGCCCGGCTAATTTTGTATTTTAGTAGAGACGCGGTTTCACCATGTTGGCCAGGCTGGTCTCTTGTTTTTTGTTTTTGCTTTCTTTTGTTTTTGAGACGGAGTCTTGCTCTCTGGTCCAGGCTGGACTGCAGTGGCACTATCTCGCCTCCCTGCAACCTCCACCTCCCAGATTCAAGCAATTCTCCAGCCTCAGCTTCCCGAGTAGCTGGGATTACAGGCGCACACCACCACACCTAGCTAACGTTTGTATTTTTAGTAGAGATGGGGTTTCACCATGTTGGCCAGGCTGGTCTCGAACTCCTGACCTCAAGCGATCCACCCTCCTGGGCCTCCCAAAGTGCTGGGATGACAGGCGTGAGCCACTGCACCTGGCCTAGAACTGGAAATTGGGTTTTCTTTTTTGATTTTTGTTTTGTTTTTGTTTTATTTTGTTTTTGAGACAGAGTCTTGCTCTCTCATCCAGGCTGGAGTGCAGTGGTGTGATCTCACCTCACTGCAACGTCCACCTCCCAGGTTCAAGCGATTCTCCTGCCTCAGCCTCCCGAGTAGCTGGAATTACAGGTGCTCACCACCATGCCTGGCTAATTTTCGTATTTTAGTAGAGACGGGGTTTCACCATGTTGGCCAGGCTGGTCTCAAACTCCTGACCTCAAGCGATCCACCCTCCTGGGCCTCCCAAAGTGCTGGGATTAGAGGTGTGAGCCACCGCACCTGACCTAGAAGTAGAAATTGTTAAATCATCCGTGCCCTGCCTAAGTGAGACCTATGCGTTACCGCTGATGAACTTAAGGTGAAAAAGTGAGTTCCGAGCCAGTGGAAGTGGACTGTCGAACTTTCCAGCGTTCTGTGTGGGCGCCCCGCCCCCCAACTCCTGTAGACCCTGTAGGAGAACCGAAGTTTCCACCTTCAGACTTTAGCCACAAACGGAGAGGGTGAGCTGATGGCTAAAGAGTTCCAAATCCAGCCCCTTCTCCAATCTAGCTCTTGACACACCAAGCCCAGAAAATGTCTTTGCCCTTCTCGGCCTCCTCGGAAGTGTCTTTGCCCTTCTCGGCCTCCTCGGAAGCCCTGGGGAGCTGAAGGCGTCCCATTCATATTACCAAGGGTCCCCATACATGAAAGGGTCCCATTCATGACCAAGGGTCATGAGGACGCCCAAGGATAGCAGGCTTTGTGGTGGGGGCATTCTGCCCCTCTAAGGACTTCTGAGTCTTGGGGTAAACTATCAAGAAGTTGAGTGCAATAGCGCAGGGGACCCTCAGGAGGCTGGAGAAATTCACACAGGCCTCATGTGAAGATTTGCATGCAAATTCCACCCCCTCTCACCTCCTACGAGCCTCCTCTGCTCTCCCAGTATTGACAATCCCCTCCTCCACAGACAGACCAGCTGGAGAGTGCAGGCAGTTTAGCCTATGCCTGGTAATCTGGACACCACCCCCTCCTCTCCCCCACCACCACCTCCCTGACAGTCTTAGTCGCTTAATTCCTCCTAACAGGTTTTCTGTGGCAGAAAACCTGCACCTTGACCCACAAGGCAGTCACCACCCAAGAGAAATGATTCGTCCAGAGAACAGGCGTCCTCCGCCAAGGCGGTGAGTGAACCAGTCACTCCGGCTGTTGTGGGCAAAACACGTGCTGGGTCCCTCGGCCCACAGCCACCCTTACACACTGTGCATGGCCCAGGGCCGGTGCCCCTATGAAGGGAACCTCAGAAAACCCTCAGAGTTTGGGAGCAGCCAGGAGTCTACACAGCGCAACGTGAACTTGCTCTTGAACCCAACACGGAAGCTTCCAGCCCAGCTTTCGGAACTGGCTTTTCATTTCCAAAGTGGGTCCTACCGGGCTGCAGTGCGCCTGGAGAACCTGATCCTGTTTCCCAGCAAAGTCATCCTCCCTCACACCCCCGCCAAAAAGGCCCCTGCCTGGTGCTGACATCGAAATTCACCAATAATTTCCAAAGCTGGCGCCTTCAGACCTCCACCTCCACTGACCATCCAGGTGACCTGCCACTGTGCCTCTCCATGCCCACCTGGACTCTCCGCCTGTCTCCTCCAGGGCCCAGAAAGCAAGCCAGCCACCCAAAAGCCTCTGGAAGGGCATTTTTCAAAAAAGAAAATCCTCCTGAAACGTGGAAAGCCTCATTCACTCTCCCTTCAACACGGCGAGAGGAAAAAAAAAAATGATGAAGAATACAAGTGATGAATTAGCCGCTGCGTGAAGCGCTAATAAATCAGTCTTGGAGTGATTCACGATCCATTCCAATTAGGCCCGAATATGGTAAGTGAAGTGTGTGACACTGCTTAAGACAGTTATTTCTTCATTAAAGAGCACTCCCCGCTTTCTTTCCCAAATGCCGTAATGCGATTTCCTTTTGATTTCCATTACAGACAGTGAATAATGACATTTAATTTAGCTCTGCGCCATAAACCCAAAGATATTTGTTGTAATTAAATTACCGCCTGCCCCTCACCGTGGTCTCATAACTTTCGATTAGAAGCCTGACAGCTGGGTGATACGACTTTGCAGGGCCACGCTAAAAATAAAAGGTTAATCAGCAACAGCTTCTATCGGATGCTCAATTTATTTACAGCAAATTTCCACAGTAAATTGAAACTCTATCCGGTCACAGCACGGGACGGGCTGTACTGAGACGCATGTGACCCAAGAATTCACAGAGAGATGGGATTCAAATATGGTTTCTTTTTCTGTCCCTGCTCGTCCCCGTCCCCTCAACGCGGGACGTGGGTGTTGGAACTAATTGATTTTTATGACCCCTCAAAGCGCACTCGCCTTTACTATAGGATCCTTTCCCCCCGCGGCGATGGAGAATTATGTCTTTTATTGCATTCCCATGTTTGTTGTTATTATTATTTACCGTCGTTAAATTTTCATGCGACCCCTGCAATCGATAACCCCCAGCTTGTCCCCGATTTGTCTTTATTTTAGGGCGTTCTCGGGGTCCGCACACACCCCACAACCAATTTTCCGCAGCTGAACTAACGTGCTCTCGTCGGTAATAGACTACGGAAAGAAATAGTGTGGAATTAAATTACAAGTAATTTATTTTTATAGAAACAGTACATCAAGGGCTGGGATATATTGCAGATCCCAGGCACACAGACACCAGGAGATGACACATAAACTCGATGTCCCCTTTAGCGAAACTTTAATCTTTTCATTAATTTATACGGGGCAGCCCAATCCATCTTCTGCCAGAGGGGTGGACAGCGAGGAAACCCCTGTCTGATGCAGCTTCCTTCCCTCACTGAGGCCACAGACGCCCTAAGGAGGGACACAGTCCTTCCTCCAAGTCACCAAAGCCTCTCTCCCTCCTGGGCTGTATCGCTTTGGGGACCACAGCCCTCGGTAAAGATGCCTGGGGAGGGTTGATTTAATCCTAACGATCTTAGGGAAGCCTTTTAAAATGCAGCCACATGGGAAGACGGAAGAGAATCAGGAGCCAAAATATATATATATATATATATATATTTTTAAATGAAAGAGCTCGTAAAACCCTCTCCATCAAACGCATCTGTATCCTCATCTCCTAAGCAACATCGATGGAAAAGTTGTGTTTGAATGTGTTGACTCAATCACCCATCCCACAGGAACCGAAGGGAATCAGGGGCCAAAAATATATATATATTTTTATATGTATATATATGTTAATATATATATTTTTATATGTATATATATGTTTATATATATATTTTATGTATATATATGTTTATATATATATTTTATGTATATATATGTTTATATATGTATATTTTATATGTATATATGTTTATATATATTTCTTTATATGTATATATATGTTTATATATGTATATTTTATATGTATATATGTTTATATATATTTCTTTATATGTATATATGTTTATATATATTTTTATATGTATATATATGTTTATATATATATTTTATGTATATATATGTTTATATATGTATATTTTATATGTATATATGTTTATATATATTTCTTTATATGTATATATGTTTATATATATTTTTATATGTATATATATGTTTTTATATATATTTATATATATACAATATGTTTGTATATATTTATATATGTTTATATATTTATATATGTTTATATGTTTATATATATTTATACATATTTTATATATGTTAATATATTTATATATTATATATGTTTATATATTTATGTTTATATATTATATATGTTTATAGATTTATATATTATATATGTGTTTATATATTTATATATGTATATAGATTATATATATTTACATACATTTATGTATGTTTATATATTTATATATGTTTATATATAGAGACACACATATAATGAAAGATGTAACACACTTTGGATCAAATGCATCTGTATCTTCCTCTGCTCAGCAAAATCGAGAGCAAGCTGTGTTTGAATGTGTTGACCTCATAACCAGTCCTACGGGAACGGGCTTTCAGTTCGTCTCTTTGCTTTGAACGCCGTTTGCTTTGTCACGGTTCTCTCTCTGGTCGGCAATCTTAATTTCATTTATTTTTGACGGGGTCCCCAGGGTCCGGGGATCCTGACCGTCTCTCTCTCTCTCTCTCTCTCTCTCTCCCTCCCCCCACTTCTGTCCTGCCCAGAACCAGGAGAAAGGACTAGAGGAGTTGACCTTCCAGGGGAGCTGAACTGTCAGGCAGGGGCTGGAAGAAGCCATTTGGAGGCTCTCCCAGCAGCACCCCTGAAATAAACTCATACCTTTAAGTGAATGTTTAGAATGCGGAGGAAGGCTCTGCCCGCCCGTCCCTCTGCGCACACCCAAGGCCCCTCCGCCCCCCAGTGCCTGGTCTCATGGGGCAGCGTGAATTCGCGCGCTCCTCGGGGAGCCCCCGTGCCCCGCTAATAGTCTCCGCTCATCCAGATGCCCAACGTGCTCCTGCGCTCCCCACAGCCGGAGGGAGGAGGGGGTGGTTTGTAGCAGAGGACAGGGCTGGAGAGGGGAGGAGGGAGATAGAAACGGTAGGTGAAAAAACGGAGGAAAGAGAAGACCCTGTTTCTCTCCACCTAGGGACAGAGGACACCCCTCTCCTTTCATCCTAAGGAAACCTTTTCAATGCAGCCACACGGGAAGACGGAGGGGAATCAGGGGCCAAAAGACACATTTTTTTTTAAATGAAAAATCTTGTAAAACACTCTGGATCAAACGCATCTGTAGCTTCGTCTCCTAAGTATAATCCAGGGAAAGTTTTGTTTGCATGTGTTGCCCCTATAACCAATCCCAGGGGAACCGAAGGCAGTCAGGAGCCAATATATGGGTTCACCGGGTGTCTTTGCACCAAGGACGAACAAATATCTATAATATATACAATATACCCATCTGTATAACATATATATTTATTTGTTATTTGTATAATATATATGTATATATATTTGTTTGCTGTTGGTGAAAAACAAACGCAATGAACCCATCCTACAGGCCTCAGGCGTCTCCAAAAGTCCAGGAACCCCAGCCCGTCCCTCACCCAACCTCCCCGCGCTCCGGGAAGGGGACGGCGGCGGCCCGGGCGCAGGTGGCTGTACGCGTGCTGTGCGCTCCCGAGGACCAGGCGATGGCTCCGGGCCCCCCGCCCCCGCCCCCGGGTTCCTACCTGCACGCGCGCCTCGGAGAGCCCCAGGCGCTGGCTGAGCTCCTCGCGCATGAAGGCGTCGGGGTAATGGGTCTCGTCGAAGAGTCGCTCGAGCTCGTTCAGCTGCTCCAGCGTGAAGTTGGTGCGGCTGCGCCTCTGTTTCAGCTTGGTCTGCCCGTCCTCGTCCTCCGACTTCACGTCCTCGCGCTTCTCTTTGCATTCATAAATCCCTGCGTGGGGAGCGGAGGGCACAGGGCTGAGGCCGGGGAGGTTTTGCGCAACGTGGCGAACCCCTTCGTGCATCCCGCGGTGGAAAGGGGGCCCTCGAAAACCAATGCGCTTTGACGCAAAAACTGCGTGGGGTCCATAAGGCAAAAGCCGAGGAGGATACTCGCTGCTTTCCCAAAAACCTGGGCTTTGCACGAGCGTTGTTTTCTTGGCCTCATCTCAGAATCGTTTCCTCAATTATCCACTTCACCTCTGTTGACATAACCTAACCTTTTTTTCTTATTTTTTTTTTTAAGGAGAGTGGGGTGTCAAATCCTATTTTTAAGGGAAAGAATTTGAGGAAGAGCTGCCAACTGTGGGATCCCCGGCGGGACGCCCGGGAAGGACACGGGGAGGACCCGGGGCGGGTTGCAGATTCTAGGCCTACGGAGAGACGCTATCCCCACCGCTGCAGCGCAGGAGGGCTGGGGGTCCCTCCGCGATCTGGCGGAGCTAGGAGCCCCTACCCGAAGCCTGTTTCTCAGCAGAACAGCAGAACCGCGTCTGAGTACCTGAATGCGCCACCGCGCCTGGGGGCTGAACCGCGTGCGCAGAAATCTCTCCTTCCCACTTTTTCACACGCGGTCGGGCACCTACCCCACCAGAGTGTGCCAAAAATGGCACTTTCTCATCTCCAGTAGTTGGTGACCTGTCTGTATTTGCTGGGGGAGTCAGAAGGGCAGAAGACTCAGCCCTCAAGCGTTTCCAGGTGAAAAACCTTTTCTTCCTCATTTTAGACATTCAGCCTCTCTGACCAAGCTCAGGGGTTTAAGTAAAAGGTGTCTCCCTCGCTCCCCTTCAACCCAGGGCTGGTGGAAGTGGCATCTCCAACGCCCCTCTGTTCCTATCTCGGGCCTGCTGAGCACAGATGAGAAGCACGCGATGCCCTAATGAGATGTCCCTTGCTGTCAAGGGTAAGGGGCTGACATTTGGAAGTTTAGTCTGGAAACAGTCTCAAAGGGGCACAGGCAAGGCCGCTGCAACCAAGAAGCTTGCAAAGCTGACAAATCCAGGGTGTCTACAGGGAACGGGGTAAATACTAGCACCCTGTTCTGTCTTTCTTCCTTCCACGATCCACACCAGGGCCCTCCCACCCCACCCCGAGCTACATTCAGCGCTGGACGCTTACTCCAACGTGGATTTCACATTCTGTTTCACCTCCTATCAGACACGTGCCTGCAAGAACACTCCATTCCTTCCCCCCAAGTGAATCGTTTCCTGGAGACGACCCCAGCTCTCCCTCCTTCATTTCTCTAAGTCTGAACCCCAGGAATTGAGCCCAACTGACAAACTGGTCTTCAAAGTCCTCAAACACCCGCAGGCTTTGCAGAACCCACGGGCTCCCAGGCTCGGCGGGGACACGCTGTTCCCAAAAACTCCAGGCTTCCACGGTAACCTCAGACTCTCCCCTGCCCTCCAACCTCGATTTAACTTGGATCTGATGAATAAATAGTAGCCTGGGTGGCAGTCCTGGCCCGGGGGTCTTTCTGCACCCAGCCAAGGGGAAAATGTAACGGGGACTCTCTGTCTCCTCTCCTGTGGCCCTGGGTCTTTGGCCTGGTCTTTATTTTCCTCTCACTTTCGAAAGGTCTGGAGGACACTTTGCTCTCCCGGGTCCACGGCCAGGGGGAGAAGAGAGAGTTCAGAGGAGCAAAACGGTGTCTGCGAAGGACAACCAAAAAGCAACCCCACAGAAGCGGCCGCCGGGCGCTGCGAACCCTCTTAAATTACACGCAGGCCCTCAAGCGGCTCCCAGCCTTGCGTCCAGGAAGGCCAACTCTCTGTGTATGAATTACAGTGCCGGGTGCCCGCAGCAGTGTGTAGGGAGGAACTCCTCTCACTGTCAAAGGCAGGCTGGGCTCCTGCCTCTTAGACGGTCAGAAACCGGGGACTGCTTTGTAAACCGTAGCCACAGCTTTCTGCTTCGACAAAGTCAGGGCCTTGGGAAGCTGCCTGGTGCCTCCTACGAATACAAGGGCTATTTCCCGGGGCCACTCCACACCCCAAATGCAGGGCCCCGGAGAGCAGGTAGCCCCAGAGTCTTAGGAAGAATTACCTTTGGGGCATTCACCCTCGCACCTCAACTCTGCGAATCAGCAAAAGCCGAGGCTAGATTCTCTGCGTCTTTGTAATGAAAACATAACAGGCGTCCATAGCCGTCTCCAGCTGTGCCCCGACACAGCCAGCCCATTTTATTCTTAAGATGTATGCCGCCCAGTTGTCGTGTGTGCACAGAGATCCCCGGGGCCAGCCCCTCTCTCTGAGCCTCTTACTCCCCGATTTCCACCACGGGACGACCCACCACTGAGGTCTCAGGAGGAAGGGCCAGAGGGGAGCTCCCCCGGGCCGCGCACAACCGGCTGCGCTCTGACAACCTTGACTTAGGACGCGCCCGCGAAGCCGCCAGCTTCCCCGGGGCCCCTCGCGCCCCATCCAGATCCCGGCCACCTCCGCTCACGGGAGTGGTTTTTATGGACCCAACAGCTTTCGCCAAGATCAAGCCTCGACGTTCAAAGGAAAACAATGAAATAATAATGAAGGGTTCCTTAAAGGAAACAGAACCGAGCTGACCCGGGGCCTTCCCGTCTCCTACCACGCAGCCTCGAGTCTTCCCGTGATCTCCGGGGGCCCGGCAGGCGCTGAGCGCTGGGAAGGCGCGTGGAGACGGCTCCTCTGTGCGTCTGGGTGACCGTAAATACAAGGCAGACAGGCAGAGACAGAAACACACATCCTAAGCCGTCAGGACCCAGGCCGGGCGCGGTGCCTCACGCCTGTCATCCCAGCACTTTGGGAGGCCGAGGCGGGTGGATCACCTGAGGTCAGGAGTTCGAGACCAGCCTGGCCAACATGGTGAATCCCCGTCTTTACTAAAAGCACAAAAATTAGCCAGGCGTGGTGGTGCATGCCTGTAATCCCAGCTACTGGGGAGGCTGAGGCAGGAGAATCGCTTGAACCCAGGAGGCAGAGGTTGCAGTGAGCCGAGATCGCACCACTGCACTCCAGCCTGGGGGACAGAGCGAGACTCTGTCTCAAACAAACAAACAAACAAAAAAAGGAAAGGAAAGAAAAAGAAAATGAAAAAGACATCTCAGGCCCTACGGCTTCAGGCACAGCCACCCGGATCCACCCCAGCCCGGGACCTTCCCGTGTCGGTGCCCACGCGCGCGGCCCCCGCTGCGACCCTCCCTGGGTCCCCCCGCACCCCGCTACCCACCACCCGCGTCTCCGGTCGGGTCCACTCCTGCCTTCCTTCCTTTCTTAGGCAAAGCCTGACGGCCCGGGCCTTACCCTGGCGAGACGGGAGCTGCAAATGTGCACAGCGAGGGGCGCGCGGGGCCGACTCCGTGGCGAGGAGGCGCCGAACCCCAGGAGGGCCCCCCTGGAGCCGGAGCGCAAAGGAACTTACCTTCTGCCACTCTCGCGGTGCCGAATTCTTTCAGTTTCTCCTTGTCATTGTCTACGTGGTCCTTGAACAAATGCACCGGGCAGTGGCCGCCGCCCTCCGTGATGTCCTGGAGGCTGGAATCCGACGTCCCCAGCTCCCGGGAGCGCGCCAGTCCGCTCTCCAAAACTTCCCGGTACGTAATGGAATCCTTCTTACCTCCGCCGCCTCCGCCTCCGCCGTTACCGTCCTTGCTTTTCTGGTCAAAAGACTTGGATACAAAAGCCGTGAGCTCTTCCATGGCTGGGGCCGGGGCTGGCGAGCAGCCGGGGCTGGTGGATGCGCGCGTCTCCCCGCGCGGAGAGGACGGCCCGTGCGCGCGGGTGGATCACCAGCGCTGTTATTTACGCCTTTCCATTGGAAATCTCACTATTTATACGCGGCGACCTCGCCCAGCCCCCCATGCGCTGCCTGTCTGGTGCAATTACTGGTCTCCGGGCTCCGCGGCGGACGCACGCAGAGACGCTGTGTCTCCCCCACCCCCCAGGCCGGCAATTGGCTTTCTTCTCATTTCATCACTGTTTGGCGTCCGTACACCTTGGTGCGAAGGGGGAAAGATCCCATTTTTGGAAGGGAGAGCGCGCGCGCAGGAGGGGGGCGCAGGCGCCCGAGCCCCCCACACAGGTTACCCGCGTTCTCTCCGTGGCCGGAGGAAAAGCAAACTCCAGTTTTCCTGCAGAGAGAGACAGAGAGACAAGGAGTTCACGGCTGGAGAGAGGAGGGTCCCAGTCGTCCGGCCGCCCTCGCTCCCGGGAGGAGCGCAGAGCCCGGCGCCTGGATCTTTCCAGGAAGCGCCCGGGTCGCGCCGGGGTTGAGATGGCGAGGGGGGGATCCGGGCGCCCCGGGGACGCACGATCTTGGGAGAAGATGAGCTCCAAGTTGGTGGCGGCGCGCCCTTGGATGGAGAGTTGGTGAGATGGAACGCGGCTGGAGAATCCCCGAAAGTGAGAAGAAGGGGCCGGGTGTCCCCAAACCGGGACGCGGGCGCTTGGGAGGCGGCGGCGGCGGAGGCCGAGGATCCCCGGGGCCGCCTCCCGGGTCTCCAGCGCCCGCAGAAAGAAGCCCAGGTCCCCGGGAGATCCGGTTCGTAAAGATCTATATTCTTTCCGCCCGCGCCAGATCCCGGCGGACCCCGGCGCGAGGCCTCCTCCCTTAGCGCCGCGCTGTCACCCTGGCGTCTGGGGTATTTACCGGGTGAAAAAAATACTTGTGTTTTTGGTTTTCATGGTGGGATGCTCCTGCTCGCTCCCTCCCGCCTCTCGCTATTGAATGTGCTTCAGGGGAAGCCGGTGCTCGCCATCGCGACCTGAAATTCGTTTTCCAAGTCCTGGAAACCAAACGCGTCACGGTTCCTGCCAAGGACCTTCTGCAAATAAAGTGGGGCACCAGGAGGCCCGGAGTCCCCTTCCTCCCGTAACCCCACGGCGCATCTTCCTCCCCGGCGGGGCCTGGGGACCCAGGATGACAGCTGAGCTGTGAACTTGTGTGAGATGGCACAGCAGTGGGGGGACATGAGTGACGGTGGGTTGGGGTGTGTGTAAGACACAGAAAGAGAGAGACAGACAGGGAGAGGCAGAGAGAGAAACGGAGAGACGGGGAGATGGAGAGAGAGAGACAGGGAGAGAGAGAGATGGAGAGAGAGAGAGAAAGAGAGAGACAAGGAAAGACAGAGAGAAAGGGAGAGACAGAGGGATGGAGACAGAGAAAGAGACAGAGGGGGAAAGACGGAGAGAGATGGAGAGAGAGAAAGAGAGACACAGACAGGGAGAGACAGAGACATGGAGACAGAGAGAAAGAGAGTCAAGGAGAGACAGAGAGAGATGGAGACAGAGAAAGAGACAGACAGGGAGAGACGGAGAGAGATGGAGAGAGAGAAACACAGGGAGAGACAGAGAGAGATGGAGAGAGAGAAAGAGAGACACAGACAGGGAGAGAGAGGGAGAGATAGAGAGAGAGAAAGAGAGACACAGACAGATGGAGAGAGAGAAACAGACAGGGAGAGACAGAGAGAGATGGAGAGAGAGAAACACAGGGAGAGACAGAGAGAGATGGAGAGAGAGAAAGAGAGACACAGACAGGGAGAGAGAGGGAGAGACAGAGAGAGAGAAAGGGAGAGACAGAGAGATGGAGAGAGAGAAACACACAGGGAGAGACAGAGAGAGATGGAGAGAGAGAAAGAGAGACACAGACAGGGAGAGAGAGGGAGAGACAGAGAGAGAGAAAGGGAGAGACAGAGAGATGGAGATAGAGAAACACACAGGGAGAGACAGAGAGAGATGGAGAGAGAGAAACACAGGGAGAGACAGAGAGAGATGGAGAGAGAGAAAGAGAGACACAGACAGGGAGAGAGAGGGAGAGATAGAGAGAGAAAAAGAGAGAGACAGACAGATAGAGAGAGAGAAACAGACAGGGAGAGACAGAGAGAGATGGAGAGAGAGAAAGAGAGACACAGACAGATGGAGAGAGAGAAACAGACAGGGAGAGACAGAGAGAGATGGAGAGAGAGAAACACAGGGAGAGACAGAGAGAGATGGAGAGAGAGAAAGAGAGACACAGACAGGGAGAGAGAGGGAGAGATAGAGAGAGAAAGAGAGAGACAGACAGATGGAGAGAGAGAAACAGACAGGGAGAGACAGAGAGAGATGGAGAGAGAGAAACACAGGGAGAGACAGAGAGAGATGGAGAGAGAGAAAGAGAGACACAGACAGGGAGAGAGAGGGAGAGACAGAGAGAGAGAAAGGGAGAGACAGACAGATGGAGAGAGAGAAACAGACAGGGAGAGACAGAGAGAGATGGAGAGAGAGAAAGAGAGAGACAAGGAGAGACAGAGAAAGAGATGGAGACAGAGAAAGAGAGAGACAGGGAGAGATGGAGAGAGAGAAAGGGAGAGACTGGGAGATGGAGAGAGAGAAAGAGCGACACGGACAGGGAGAGAGAGGGAGAGAGAAAGAGAGAAACGGAGAGACAGAGAGATGGAGAGAGAAAAAGAGAGACACAGATAGAGATACAGAGAGAGACAAAGAGAGGCAGAGACACAGAGAGGGAGACAGGGAGGGGGAAGAGAAAGAGGGAGAGAGGCAGAGACAGACAGAGAGGGAGATTCGGAGAAGGGTCTCTGGCTTAGAGCAACTTTCTGGGTCCTCAGAGGCCGGGTAACTTTTCTGCTTCTAAAGGCCTCCCCATCTCTGCCTCTGCTGGGAAACTGGGTCCCCAGGGACTGCGCCGTAAACCTCTCACAGCTGCTCACTGTCTCCCTACCGAAAACCCTCCGTCCTCCCAGCTCAGCTGTCTTCTCCAACCCCAAGGACCAGGCTTTCCTGGGGGGTCCCGTGAGGCCCAGGCTTTCCCCGACCTGAGGTTCCTTCTTGGGCCGCAATCTGGACCCCTTTGTCTAGTAGGAAACTCCGCTCTACCAGGGTGTCCGAGCCTCCAGGAATGAGCATGGGGACACCAGTCAGGAGCTGTGTGGCTATTCAAGGCCCCTCGGCCTCGGAGAAAAAGCAAAGGCCCTTTTTCAACTGAAGCCCCAATTGTAATTCTCACTGCAGACAAGTGGCTTTGAAATCACGCACGTCCGATTCATGGCACACTTTCTGCCTTTCCAACACCCCGCTTTTCCTAAGAGTTTCTGGCTACGCGAAAGAGATCTCATCTTTCTGTAAAACTCCAACTCTTCCTGTGGGATGAGCACGGAGGCGGCCTCACCCC
The DNA here is from genome assembly GCF_000001405.40 of Homo sapiens. Lineage (NCBI taxonomy): Eukaryota > Metazoa > Chordata > Mammalia > Primates > Hominidae > Homo > Homo sapiens. The sequence goes on along the minus strand of NC_000024.10, from coordinate 627,430 downwards.
TCTCACCTAAAGACCTTTCCCTTCTCTGACCAGAGCTTTTACGTTCTCTCCCTGCCCTTCCCTTTAAAGACAGGCAGGAAACACCCAGCGTTTGAGTGCTTGATAACATGTTAGAAATCCAGACGAGAGCTTTTTCTACCCCACACGTTTTTCGTTGCCAATTCAAGACGCTGTCCGAGAGGCCGCAGCTCCAGTCTGCAGAGTGGGTGGACTGTATGAAATGTTTTGCATTGACATTTTACAGCAGGCGGCTGCAGGCAGAAAGCAGGGTCTGCACCTCTCTTGGCCTGGGCTGTGTACAAGGGGGTGCTTGTTGGAGGTTTTACTGATGCTTCCCTGAGACAGGGAGAGAGAGAAAAAGAGAGAGAGAGGAGAGAGGGAAAGAGTCACAGAGATAGAGAGACAGAAAGACAGAGAAAAAGAGACAGAGAGAGAGGAGAGAGAGAGAGACAGAGGTAGACAGAGATACAGACAGAGAGAGAAAAAGAGAGAGGAAAGAGAGACACAGGTAGAGACACAGAGAGAGACAGAGAAAAAGAGACAGAGAGGAGAGAGACAAAGAGAGACAGAGACAGACAGAGAGACAGAGACAGAAAAAGAGAGAGAGGAGAGAGAGAAAGAGAGACAGAGATAGAGATACAGAGACAGAGAAAAAGAGAGGAGAGAAAGAGAGACAGAGGTAGAGACACAGAGAGAGACAGAGAAAAAGAGACAGAGAGAGATGAGAGAGAGAAAGAGAGACAGAGATAGACAGAGATACAGAGACAGAGAAAAAGAGAGAGAGGAGAGAAAGAGAGACAGAGACAGAGATACAGAGAGAGGAGAGAAAGAGAGACAGAGACAGACAGAGATACAGACAGAGACAGAGAAAAAGAGGAGAGAGAGAGACAGAGGTAGAGACACAGAGAGAGACAGAGAAAAAGAGACAGAGAGAGAGGAGAGAGAGAAAGAGAGACAGAGATAGACAGAGATACAGAGAAAGAGAAAAAGAGAGAGAGGAACGAAGACAGAGAGAAAGAGAGACAGAGATAGAGATACAGACAGAGACAGAGAAAGAGAGAGAGGAGAGAGAGAGACAGAGATAGACAGAGATACAGACAGAGACAGAGAAAAAGAGAGGAGAGAGAGAGACAGAGGTAGAGACACAGAGAGAGACAGAGAAAAAGAGACAGAGAGAGAGGAGAGAGAGAAAGAGAGACAGAGATAGAGATACAGAGAAAGAGAAAAAGAGAGAGAGGAACGAAGACAGAGAGAAAGAGAGACAGAGATAGAGATACAGACAGAGACAGAGAAAGAGAGAGAGGAGAGAGAGAGACAGAGATAGACAGAGATACAGACAGAGACAGAGAAAAAGAGAGGAGAGAGAGAGACAGAGGTAGAGACACAGAGAGAGACAGAGAAAAAGAGACAGAGAGGAGAGAGAGAAAGAGAGACAGAGATAGACAGAGATACAGAGAAAGAGAAAAAGAGAGAGAGGAACGAAGACAGAGAGAAAGAGAGACAGAGATAGAGATACAGACAGAGACAGAGAAAGAGAGAGAGGAGAGAGAGAAAGAGAGACAGAGATAGACAGAGATACAGAGACAGAGAAAAAGAGAGGAGAGAAAGAGAGACAGAGACAGAGACACAGAGAGAGGAGAGAAAGAGAGACAGAGACAGACAGAGATACAGACAGAGACAGAGAAAAAGAGACAGAGAGAGAGGAGAGAGAGAGACAGAGATAGAAAGAGAGACAGAGGAAGAGAGAAAAAAAGAGAGAGAGGAACGAAGACAGAGAGAAAGAGAGACAGAGATAGAGATACAGACAGAGACAGAGAAAAAGAGAGAGAGGAGAGAGAGAAAGAGAGACAGAGATGGACAGAGATACAGAGAGACAGAGGAGAGAAAGAGAGAGACAGAGATACAGAGATAGACAGAGAAAAATAGCGACAGACAGGGGACAGAGAGACAGACAGAGAGAGACAGCGAGAGAGAGAAGAGAGCAGCACACCAAGCCGATGAGAAGAGACTTTTCACCGTGTCTTGTTAGCGTATGTGACCGCCTCCCTGTATGAAATGCCTTTTGCCAAGCGTCCCAAAAGAATCAGGTTTCAGAGAAGTTAGTGGATGGACAAAAACAACGACTGCGAATAAAAACGCAAAGGGGAAAGAGACAAATGGCAGAGGGAAGAGGAGGAAAAGGAGTAGAAGGAGGAGGAGGAGGGAGAAGGAGGAGGAGGAGGAGGAGAAGGAGGAGGAGGAGGGACGATGAAGGGGGAGGATGGGGGAAGGAAGAGGAAAGAAATGAAAGAGAAAGAAAAAAGAAAGAGAAAGAAAGAAAGAAGAAAGAAAGGGAAGGAGGGAGGGAGGGAGAGAAGGAGGGAGGGAGGGAGGAAGGAACAGAGGGAGGAAAGGAAAGGAGGGAGGGAGAGAAGGAAGGAAGGAGGGAAGGAAGGAAAAAGCTTTCTGGAAAAGAAAAGGAAAGCTCCAAAAGCAATCTTGCCAAGTGAAAGAAAGAAAAGAAAGAAAGAAAGAAAGAAAGGAAGAGAGAAAGAAAGAAAGAAAGAAAGAAAGAAAGAAAGAAAGAAAAGAAAGAAAGAGGAAGAGAGGAAGGAAGGAAGGAAAGAACGAAGGAAGGAAAGAAGGCAAAGCTTTCTGGAAAAGAAAAGGAAAGCTCCAAAACCAATCTTGCCAAGTGAAAGGAAGAAAGAAAAGAAAGAAAGAAAGAAAGAAAGAAAGAAAGAAAGAAAAGAAAGAGGAAGAGAGGAAGGAAGGAAGGAAGGAACGAAGAAAGGAAAGAAGGCAAAGCTTTCTGGAAAAGAAAAGGAAAGTTCCAAAACCGAGCTCACCAAGCTCTGAGCGCAGGCCCCGAGCGCGCCCCGGAGGTTCATTCGCGTCCTGGCGTCCCCAGCGCGGTCACCACCTCCCGCAAACCCTGTGCGGACTCGGGCTGCTGCGTCCTGGGCGTCTGATCCGCTCCTACCCGCCTGTCCACCCTCCCATTTCTGTTTGCAGTAGAAAGAGACGCGCGGAAACGAAATAAAACAAAACCAAAAAAAAAAAAAGTGTGGGGAGCCCCTGTTCTCAGGACCCGGGCAAAAGCAGGCGGCCGCAGGGTGACTCGAAGACCCCTATTGGCTCCTGGGGGCCCCCCAGGGACCTGCCCTGGTTGCATTGACCCCAATGCCCAGGGTGCTGACCCCTCGCGCGCGCGCGCCAGCCCCGCAGTCGCAAAGGAAAAGCGAATCTCCGGATCCGGGACAGCGCTCTCCGCGGTCCGCCCGCCGGGGCTGGGGGTCCCGCAGCAGACGAGCCAGGATCCCAGGGGCTTCTCCTCGCCTTTGCACCCCGTCATGCAGCCCACAGCAAGCCGGAGCCTCTTATCCCGGCCTGGTTCCCCCCTTCCCTGAATTCCTCCCCAACTCCCCGCAACAGGCCCGAAGCTGCGGGGAGCGCGGCAGGGCTGAGGCTGCAGAGGGTCCCGGAGTTCCTCGACCTGAACTCGGTCCCAGCAAGATTTGCTTCTTATTTCGCCCCTGGAGACGCAGGCGGGGCTGGGAAAAGCTCAGACACGCAGCTCAGGAGCTGCAGGACGCGGCCAGCCCCGGCCTCCCCGCCGTGCGTCTTGCTGGCTGGGAGCAGTTGCTGGTGGTGACGTTTCTCCCCTTCTCTTTTCTCTCCCCAGGGGCGGAAAAGAAACCAGAGAGGAGACTCAGTAGCTGCTGTATCTGTTGTAGGACCTTGGAGGCTGGAGGCTTGCGCTTGGGCGTCCAGGCGTCTCTCACTCCCGTCCCCAAGAAATCTATGGGGCAGCCATGCGTCCTGACCAGCGCTTTCTAGAACGCACCTGCTGGGGGGAAACTCGAGGAACGCGCTTAGGATGGCTGCGAAGAGGAAGGAACTCTGAGACTGGCCCACTTTATCAAATAATCTGGCTTTTTCTATGTGAATTAGGTACGTTTTAAGGAATAAGTCATTTGCTCTCTCTCTCTCTTCTCTCTGACTTTCTCTCTCTGTCTTTCTCTCGCTTTCTGTCTCTGTCTTCTCTCTCTCTTCTCTCTCTTTCTCTCTGTCTTCTCTCTGTCTTTTTCTCTCTCTCTGTCTTCTCTGTCTGTCTTTTTCTCTCTCTCTGTCTTCTCTGTCTGTCTTTTTCTCTCTCTCTGTCTTCTCTCTCTGACTTTTTCTCTCTCTCTGTCTTCTCTCTCTCTGTGTCTTTCTGTCTTCTCTCTCTCTTCTCTCTCTGTCTTCTCTCTCTTTCTCTCTCTCTCTGTCTTTCTCTCTCTCTTCTCGCTCTCTTTCTCTCTCTCTGTCTTCTCTCTCTCTGTCTTTCTCTCTCTCTTCTCGCTCTCTTTCTCTCTCTCTGTCTTCTCTCTCTCTGTCTTTCTCTCTCTCTTCTCTCTCTGTCTTTCTCTCGCTCTCTGTCTTTCTCTCTCTTCTCTCTCTGTCTTTCTCTCTCTCTCTTTCTCTCTCTTCTCTCTCTGTCTTTCTCTCTCTCTCTGTCTTCTCTGTCTCTCTTTCTATCTCTGTCCTCTCTCTCTCTGTCTTTCTCTTTCTCTCTCTCTTCTCTCTCTGTCTTCTCTCTCTCTCTTTCTCTCTCTCTCTGTCTTCTCTCTGTCTTTCTCTCTCTGTCTTCTCTCTGTCTTTCTCTCTCTTCTCTCTCTCTGTCTTTCTCTCTCTCTCTGTCTTCTCTGTCTTCTCTCTCTATCTTCTCTCTCTCTGTCTTTCTCTCTCTGTCTTCTCTCTGTCTTTCTCTCTCTCTCTGTCTTCTCTCTGTCTTTCTCTCTCTTCTCTCTCTCTGTCTTTCTCTCTCTCTCTCTGTCTTCTCTCTGTCTTCTCTCTCTCTATCTTCTCTTTCTCTGTCTTTCTCTCTCTCCTCTCTCTCTTTCTCTCTGTCTTCTCTCTTTCTCTCTCTTCTGTCTCTGTCTTTCTCTCTCTCCTCTCTCTCTTTCTCTCTGTCCTCTCTCTTCTCTCTCTTCTCTCTCTCTTTTCTCTCTCTTCTCTGTCTGTCTTCTCTCTCTCCTCTCTCTCTTCTCTCCTCTCTCTTTCTCTCTTCTCTCTCTCTGTCTTTCTGTCTTCTTTCTCTCTCTCTTCTCTTTTCTTTCTCTCTCTGTCTTCTCTCTCTCTCTCTGTCTTTCTCTCTCTCTCTTTCTCTCTGTCCTCTCTCTTCTCTCTGTCTTTTCTCTCTCTTCTCTGTCTCTGTCTTTCTGTCTTCTCTCTCTCTCTCTCTTCTCTTTTCTTTCTCTCTCTCCTTTCTCTCTCTCTGTCATTTGCAGCACCAAGGGGAATAGAAGCCGTGAACCTTCAAATACTGAACACTTGATTTCTTTAACTCCCGAAAAGTATGGCTTTGATTATATTTTTTCAGTTTTAGCTCCAACGAAGCTCCGCTCTCTGGAACCTGATGTATTTACTTTAAATCAAATTTCACGCCCAGAGCTCTTAATTGCAGAGAGGCATTTGTACGGGGCCCTCTGGGGCCTCCAGCCCTCCTGATGCAGAACCTAAGGCCCTCATCCCTTCCCCGCCCCCTACTCCACGCCCATCCCCACCGGAAAACTGGGACCTCCTCCTGGGTCCTCCAGCCAGGGAGGAAACACTTTTCTTTTTATTTTATTTATTTTATTTTATTTTATTTTATTTTATTTTATTTTATTTTATTTTATTTTATTTTATTAGACTTTAAGTTTTAGGGTACATGTGCACAACGTGCAGGTTAGTTACATACGTATACATGTGCCATGCTGGTCTGCTGCACCCAAGAACTCGTCATTGACGTTAGGTATATCTCCTACAGCTATTTCAAGAAATACCCCTTCCATGTGGCCCACTTTTTTTTTAAGCACATAATTCGAAAGGCCATTTCTATTCATGATAAGCACGGAAGGGTGGGTATTCATGGTCTCGGACCAAGGTTCGGCCCCTATAACAACCACCAACCCCTCCCCGCACATTAAATATGTATAAGGATGTATTTAGGGTTTCAGAATTTTACAGACGTCTCAACACGTTTCCTAGACGAACTCTTGTTGTTTTTTTTTTCCTTCCCCCTCCCCTTTTAAAGTCAGAAACCTGGATTTGTACTCCCTCCGACGCTGTTTATTGATTGACGCAAACATCCACGTTGCCCGCGTGAAGCTAATAGATTTTCATTAAAGTGAGGTTTGTCAGTCTGGCTCGTGAATGGCTGAGACTGATCCAGTGGACAAGGGCAACCTCTATAATATTTAAAAAGGGCACGTAGGCCCTGGTTGGTTTTTTCTTCTCTCTAGAGGCCTGGCTGACCATATGTGTCTAAGGACCTGCCTTGGGAATGTAGCTTTGTTTTTCTGTGGGGTTTTTTTTTTTCTATTTGTTTCATTTTATCTCGCTTTTTCTACAAGTCCTAGTACCTACGTGTGTGTGTGTGCAGGAGAGGGTGTCTCTAAAATACCCCACCATGCAAACTTGCAATTTTTAAAGTAAAACTTCCTAGGAGAAAACGTTGTTTGCTTTTTCTCAGGGACCTTCTGTGGAATTTGCTTCTCTCTCTCTCTCTCTCTCTCTCTCTCTCTCTCTCTCTTTTAAACCTTAGCATGTACTTTGCAACATATGGTGGGCATTAGACCTCTTTCCTTTCGGATTTAATCACAGGGCCTCTATGTTTTATTTAAGAAAACTCTTATTTGTTTAAGAAAAACGTTATGTTTTTCAGGGAGCAAAGGCCTTTGTCACGAAGAAGAAACCCAGCAAGGCCGTTTGCTGGAGGCCACCGCTGCACAAAGAAGGGGCGGCCCTCCCTCGCCAGGAATAAATTCAGCCCCCTTTCTGCGGTCATTCATGTTCTGAGGAACACATCTTGGAGGTGTATTTCGACTGTCATTTCCACTTCTGGCACGGGCCTCCGCAAGGGGACAGAAAAAGAACTGGTCCTTCCTTCCTCCTGCCCGTGCCCCAGACGCGGGATTCGCGTCCCCAGGACGCACCGGCTTAAGAAATTGGCAGGACTCCCAAACAGGCTCCCAGTCTTTGGCCACGTCTCTCCAACGTCAAAACGCAGATGAAAGGAACGAAGACCTCCACCGCGCAGAGCCAGGAAGAGGCACACTTTGCTTCCCAAGACTAGAAGCTTCGGCAGAACGCGAATGGCACCCAGGGGCGCGGCGGGGACACGGGGCCCCGAGCCTCCGGAGAGCGAGGAGCGCGCACAGGGCACCGTGCCTGGTTCACCGCCTTCCTCCCCGGCTGAGGCCTGAGGTGAGGACCTGACCCTTGGGTAGGGCCAGCCCTGGGGCGACCAGGCCTTGGACAGCCCAGAGCGCGCCTATCCACCTGCCCCAAGCCCCCAGAGGTTTCCCATCGCTCCCATCCCCCCAACTCCAAGGAACGGGAGGATTCCCTGAGGTGGGGACCTGACTCTTGGGTAGGGTCATCGCCGGGGAGACCAGGCCTTGGACAGCTCCGAGCGCGCGTGTCCACCTGCCCCGATCCCCCAGAGGTTTCTCATCGCCCCGACCCCTCCCACTCCAAGGAACGCGAGCATTGCCTGTCGGGTGGAATCAGCACCGCGCAGCCTCTCCATCCTTTCCCTTCCCCTTCCAGAAGCTGTGTCTTTGGAAACGTATTCCAGGACAGAAACTTTGCCTTCTCTAGGAGCAGGCAGGAATTAATGGCCTAATTTGTGCCGCAGACCTGGCCGCCTCCTCCCCATCCTCCTGCCTCCGGGGGCTGGCCTGGAACAGAACTTCCGCGGGGACAAGGCCCAAGTCCTGACCAAGCGCAGCTTCTGGAGAGACAGCTCGACCCCGCGGGTGAGCGCAGGGGTTCTGGGGCCCCCACGTGCCGGTCCTGGAACCCCCACCCCCACCCCTGCCCCAGGCTCCTGGGCGCTCCTGGACCAGCCCGCGAGGCCACGACCCTAGGGGTCCCCCACGGTGCCCGGACTGGGGGCGCTTATCCATGCTCAGGGCCTCGGTGGGTGGGTGGGTGGGGGCTCGCCTTGCGTCTCTCCGGGGAACCCTTCATCCCACCCTACTAATGAGGCGCCCGCGCTGACCGCCCAAGGCTGCCTGTTGGGGGGCCGGGGATGCGCCCCGGTCATGCCCTGCGCTCACTGGGGAACTTGACCCGCGGTGGCTGGGAAGGCGGGGAGCGCAGAGCGCGCGGGGTCTCCAGGCAGGAGCGTGCGGGGCAGGGATCTGGGGGAGGGATTTGGGGGAGGTCCGAGTGCAGCCGGGCTAATTGGGGAGCTCAGGCGCCGGCCCGGGCCGGAGTGCGGGGGAGGGGGCCCCGGGGCGAGGCAGGGGAGGGCGGTTTCCACCCGCAGCTCAGCCTCCTGGCCCGAGGCGAAGCTTGGGGCGAGAGACCTGAGCTCGACCGGGCTGGACTCTCGCCCGGAGCCCAGCTCTGCGCTCTGCGCACCGCCCCGCTCTTCTCCCCCGCAGCGCACGGGGCAGGGGGCGCACCCGGGGTAGGGGTGGGAGCAAGCGACAGCCCAGCCACCCCCACGCCCCCAGCCACGCAGGATAAACCACCCGGGCATGTCTGCTTCTGCAGGCGTGGGCAGGAGAGCTACTCTGTGCCACTGGCTGAGGGTCCCGGGGGATCTGAGCGGACAGCTGTCTGCACTGGTCACTCAGGGAGTCTAGCTCAGGGCACTTGTCCGCTCGCCGCAGCTAAGAAAGCCCTGAGGTGTGTGGGGAGATACTGCAGGCAGGGGACTGCCCTGGGTTCACTTCATTCCTTCATCCATTCATTCCTTCATCCATTCATCCATTCATCCATTCATCCATTCATCCATTCATCCATCCATTCATCCATTCATCCATTCATCCATCCATTCATCCATCCATTCATCCATTCATCCATCCATTCATCCATCCATCCATCCATTCATCCATCCATTCATCCATCCATCCATCCATTCATCCATCCATTCATCCATTCAGCCATCCATTCATCCATTCATCCATTCATTCATCCATTCATCCATCCATCCATCCATTCATCCATCCATTCATCCATTCATCCATCCATTCATCCATCCATTCATCCATTCAGCCATCCATTCATCCATTCATCCATTCATTCATTCATCCTTTCATCCATCCATTCATTCATTCATCCTTTCATCCATCCATTCATTCACCCATCCATTCATTCATTCATTATGCTGTGTGCCTGCTGGCCTCAGCTGTCATCCTACCACACCTGTTGAGGCTGCCTCCGTGACCCTGTAGCCCTGGGTCTGGCAGCGGGGAGGTGGGAGTGACTCCCACCCCTGTTTTCAGAGGAGTCACAGTTCCTGGGGTTTCAGGAGCTTGGCCAGGGGAGTTCTGAAACGCCCAGGGCCTTCCCAGCGGGTCTGGGGTCTGTGTGGGAGTCAGGAAGGCAGCTTTCCAGGTTGGGAGTGGGGCCCCTTGCACCAGGGCGCAGTAAGGTGTCTTTGGGGGACATGTTTTGGGGTCTCTAGGTCTCCGTGACTTCAGGGTGCAGCCAGGTTGGACCAGAAAGACTGGGGTCCCCCGTGTGGCCAGGTGATTTGGGGACTCTGGGTCTCCAAGGACGAGAGGTTCTTCTGCACACAGGCCACGATGCCCAGGGCTATGACAGCGTGGGTGTGTGGAGGGGACATGAGACATGAGAACGTAGGGGTCTGGAGGGGAGGTGACAACCTGGGGGTCCAGAGGGTACCTGACACCATTGCGGTCTGGAGGGAGACACCATCATTTTCACCCTCTGCAGCTTTTATTCTGCTCATTTGCTTTCCCAAAATCCTTTCTGCTGCAAAACGGGCTGCGGTGCTTTAGGAGGATCTGATCTCCCAGAGTGCTGGAGACATTCCTGTGTTCCCCGGAGGAAAAAGACTCACAGAGCTCTGAAGGCATCACTGCCCGCAGGCAGGCATCAGGATCAAGCCAGCTGTGAAAGGGTCCTGTTTGCAGATTCTGTGAGTGATTAAATAGTACCTGAGCCCTGTGGGGGATGGAATGACGCCAGCCCCCATCTCCCCACCCCCCTCAAAAAAAGAGATATCCAGACCCTCATCCCCGGAAGCTGTGACTGTCTTACTGTGGGGGCCAAGGGAGCTTTGCCCTTTGAAAGTTTGCTGAAAAATTAATTTGCAAAAGGCAGAAGAATAGGAGAGGTCAGGCGCGGTGGTTCACGCCTGCAATCCCAGCACTTTGGGAGGCCGAGGCGGGCGGATCACCTGAGGTCAGGAGTTCGAGACCAGCCTGGCCAACATGGTGAAACCCTGTCTCTACTAAAAATACAAAAATTAGCCAGGCGTGGTGGTGCGTGCCTGTAATCCCAGCTACTCGGAGGCTGAGGCAGTAGAATCACTTGAACCCGGGAGACAGACGTTGCAGTGAGCCAAGATCTCACCACTGCACTCCAGCCTGGGCGACAGAGCAAGACTCCGATTCAAAAAAAAAAAAAAAAAATAGAATAGGAGAAAACACATACACATTTATGTCACGTGTGTACACAGGAGGCTTCAAAAGGAAGACCCAAAGATAAAAGGGAAATTATCCATTTTTGTGCTTTGGTTTAACAAAGCCCTGTAGAAACAGGATTGCACAAAAAGGGCTTTGACCTAAGGCTAATGGACTAAGTGGGGAAACAGAGCCAGGCCTGTCTGTCTAGAATCTTCTCGGCCTCTCTGAGCGGCGTTCCTTTCTTTTAGGTGTGGGGCAGGGTCTTCTCTGAAATGGGGGTCGTAGGACCTTCAGTCAAACAATGTATGTCAGCGAATTTCCTTATGACCGGTTTTTATACAGATACGGTAGAGGGAAAGTTAGAGTCTTATTTTTGGGTTTTATGGCTGGTTTTGGGGAAAAGGGGCTCCTGTATCTAGGATCCATATGGGGGAAGAGGAATTCTTGTTTCTCTGGTGTCTTTGGGGGAAAACAGCTCCTGTTTCTTTCTTTTTTTTGAGACTGACTCTTGCTCAGTCGCCCAGGCTGGAGTGCAGTGGTGTGATCCTGGCTCACTGCAACCTCCGCCTCCCGGGTTCAAGCGATCCTCCTGCCTCAGCCTCCCGAGTAGCTGGGATTACAGGTGCTCACCAACACGCCTGGCTATTTTTTCTATTTTTGGTAGAGACGGGGTTTCACCATGTTGGCCAGTCTGGTCTCGACCTCGTGACCTCAGGTGATCTGCCCGCCTCAGCCTCCCAAAGTGCTGGGATTACAGGTGTGAGCCACCGCGCCCGGCTTGGGGGCTCCTGTTTCTAGGACCCATGTTGAGGAAGATGGATTCTAGTTTTTCTGATGTCTTTGGGGGAAAAGGGCTCCTGTTTCTTTTTCTTTCTTTCTTTCTCTTTTTTTTTTTTTTTTTTTTTTTTTTTTTTTTTTTGAGACTGAGTCTTGCTCTGTCACCCAGGCTGGAGTGCAGTGGCATGATCTTGGCTCACTGCAAACTCCGCCTCCCGAGTTCAAGCGATTCTCCTGCCTCAGCCTCCCCGGTAGCTGGGATGACAGGTGTCCGCCATCACGCCCGGGAGTTTTTGTATTTTTACTAGAGACAGGGTTTCAGCATGTTGGCCAGGCTGGTCTCGAACTCCTGACCTCAGGTGATCTGCCCTCCTTGGTCTGCCAAAGTGCTGGGATGACAGGTGTGAGCCACCGTGCCCGGCTTGGGGGCTCCTCTTTCTAGGACCCATGTTGGGGAAGAGGGATTCTAGTTTCTATGGTGTCTTTGGGGAAAAAGAGCTCCCGTTTCTTTTTTTTTTTGAGACTGAATCTTGCTGCATCACCCAGGCTGGAGAGCAGTGGCACAATCTCGGCTCACTGCAACCTCTGCCTTCCAAGTTCAAGCGATTCTCCTGCCTCAGCCTCCCCAGTAGCTGGGATGACAGGTGCCTGCCACCACGCCTGGGAGTTTTTGTATTTTTACTACAGACAGGGTTTCACAATGTTGACCAGGCTGGTCTTGAACTCCTGACCTCAGGTGATCCACCTGCCTTGGTCTGCCAAAGTGCTGGGATTACAGGTGTGAGCCACGGCGCCTGGCTTGGGGGCTCCTGTTTCTAGAACCCCTGTTGGGGAAGATGGATTCTAGTTTTTCTGGTGTCTTTGGGGAAAAAGGGCTCCTGTTTCTTTTTTTTCTTTCTTTCTTTCTCTTTTTTTTTTTTTTTTTTTTGAGACTGAGTCTTGCTCTGTCACCCAGGCTGGAGTGCAGTGGCACGATCTTGGCTCACTGCAAACTCTGCCTCCCGAGTTCAAGTGATTCTCCTGCCTCAGCCTCCCGAGTAGCTGGGATTACAGGCATGAGCCACCGTGCCCGGCTTGGGGGCTCCTGTTTCTAGGACCCATGTTGGGGAAGAGGGATTCTAGTTTCTATGATGTCTTTGGGGGAAAAGAGTTCCTGTTTCTTTTTTTTTTTTTTTTTTTTGGAGACTGAGTCTTGCTGCATCACCCAGGCTGGAGAGCAGTGGCACAATCTCGGCTCACTGCAACCTCCGCCTTCCAAGTTCAAGCGATTCTCCTGCCTCAGCCTCCCCGGTAGCTGGGATGACAGGTGCCTGCCACCACGCCTGGTAGTTTTTGTATTTTTACTAGAGACAGGGTTTCACCATGTTGACCAGGCTGGTCTCGAACTCCTGACCTCAGGTGATCCACCTGCCTTGGCCTCCCAAAGTGCTGGAATTACAGGTGTGAGCCACAGTGCCTGGCTTGGGGGGGTCCTGTTTCTAGGACCCGTGCTGGGGAAGAGGGATTCTAGTTTCTATGATGTCTTTGAGGAAAAGAAGTTCTGAATTCCAAGACCCATGTGGGGGGAAGAAAAATTCTAGTTTCTCTGGTGGTGTCTCAGAGGAGAATGGGACTGAGAGGCAGGAGGATAAGAGAAGGTCAAAGAGAGAAACATTTGCCTCTCAGGCTGCTGATAAAGCCTTCATTTAGGGTATCATTTTCTAAGCTTCAATATGACCTTGGATGGCAAAGGGGACTTTAAAGATGGGATTCAGTTTGCCAAACTTATCCAAGTGGGTCCAATCTAATCAGATGCGCTCTCCATAGCAAAGAACTTTCTGTGCCTGGAGTCAGAGAGACAAGGAGAAGACGGCATCAGGAGGGTTCCAAGCACAGAGAAACTCAGCCTGCCCTTGCTACAGGGGTCCCAGGTGGGGGCAGGAGAAGGACCATGAGCACCTCCAAGAGCAAAGCCAGGTCCTGCATTGGGAACCTCATTCCTGCAACCCCAAGGAACTGAGCTTGGGCAAATGACCTGCCTGAATGCGGACATGGACCATCTCTTAGGACCCTCAGTCAGAGCCTACTGCGTGGATCTCATAATTGTGGCCATAGAAGGCTCTGAGGAGGGGATGCAGCTGGCGACGCTGTGCCTGATGTCTGACTCACAGTGACCGTAGGATGATGAAGAGGTGCCGTTTGGAACCATTGCATTTAGGATCACTTTTTACAGCAGCAAGAAGAAACAGATCCACCCACTTAGACGAGCACCTGCTTGTCTTCCAGGCACACGAGAGGGAAATACAGAAGTACATTCTCTGTTCTCACCGAGTTCCCATCTTACTGGAGGACACAGCCAATCAGGAAATACATCAGTCGAAAATCAGATACAATCTCACAAGACGGTAAGTAGACTGAAAGGCTGGGAGTCTGACAGTGATTGGGGCTGGGTGAAGTGGCTCACGCCTGTAATCCCAGCACTTTGGGAGGCTGAGGTGGGAGGATCACTTGAGCCCAAGAGTTTAAGACCAGCCTATGCAATATAGTGGGACCCTCCTTCTCTACTAGAAATTAGCCAGGCATGGTGGTGTGCACCTGTGGCCCCAGATACTTGGAAGGCTGAGGTGGGAGGATTGCTTGAGCCCAGGAGTTTAAGACCAGCCTGGGCAACATAGGGAGACCCCCCCTTCTCTATTAAAAATTAACCAGGCTTGGTGGCATGCACCTGTGGTCCCAGCTACTCGGGAGGCTGAGGTGGGAGGATCACTTGAGCCCAAGAGTTTAAGACCAGCCTGTGCAATATAGTGAGACCCTCCCTCTCTACTAGAAATTAGCCAGGCATGGTGGTGTGCACCTGTGGTCCCAGCTACTTGGGAGGCTGAGGTGGGAAGATTGCTTGAGGCCAAGAGGTTGAGGCTTCAGTAAGCTGTGATTTCACCACTGCACACCAGCCTCGTTGACAGAGTGAGAGCCTGTCTCTAAATACAGAGAGAGAAAAAGTGAGAGAGAGAAAGAGAGATGGAGGGAGAGAGAAGGAGATGGGGTGCAGGAGCTGTTTAGAAGGAGCTGGGAGTCAAGGATATGATGGAATACTGCTCAGCCATAAAAAGGAACCAATTAATGGCATTTTTAGCAATCTGGATGGAACTGGAGACAATTATTCTAAGTAAAGTAACTCAGGAATGGAAAACCAAACATTGTACGTTTTCACTCATAAGTGGGCAAAGCATAAGAATGATACAATGGACTGGGCCGGGTGCAGTGGCTCATGCCTGTCATCTCAGTGCTTTGGGAGGCCAAGGTGGATGGATTATGGGGTCAGGAGATGGAGACCATCCTGGCTAACATGGTGAAACCCTGTCTCTACTAAAAATACAAAAAATTAGCCAGGCATGGTGGTGGGCACCTGTAATCCCAGCTACTCGGGAGGCTGAGGCAGGAGAATCACTTGAACCTGGCAGGTGGAGGTTGCAATGAGCCAAGATTGCACCACTGCACTCCAGCCTGGGCGACAGAGCGAGACTCTGTCTCAACAACAAAAGAATGATGCAATGGACTTTGGGGACTTGCAGTGAGCCAAGATCGCACCATTGCATTCCAGCCTGGGCAACAGATTGAGTGTCCATCTCAAAACAAAACAAAACAAAACAAGGATGCAATGGACTTTGGGGTCTTGGGGAAAAGAGTGGGAAGGGGGTGAGGGATAAAAGACTACAAATTGGGTTTGGTGTATACTGCTCAGGTGATGGGTGCCACAAAATCTCACCAGTCGCCACTAAAGAAATTACTCATGTCGGTATAAAATGAACAATCACTGCAACAGATTAATGAAAATGTGTTGAGAGGGTCATTTATTAAAAGATTCAAATATTCTACTAAAATATTACAAATGTGTTCATCTCACTAATAACCAAAGAAACAAATTCAAATGGAAAATCGTTTTACTTACTAAATTGATTATAGCTAAGTCATTAATGGTCCAGGCTCTCAAATTATACTGACTCACTTTTTGCTATGACTCAATGTCTTTATAGAGATGTACTGGGGAAATAATGCCAATAACATATAGTGTTTATGGAAGGACTTCATTAATATTTATGATGCCATTGTTGACTTGCCTTGGATATTATCTGGGTCAATAAATGCCAACTATTGTTAAAAAAAAAAAAAGACAACCACCACCACCAACAAAAAAAACACACACACACACAAACAAAAGAAAAAAAAAAGACCTTACTCATGTAACCAAACACCACCTGTTCACAACAACCTATGGAAATAATTTTTTTTATATAAAAAGAAAGAGTTGGAAGTTAAAGTGACATTTAGTGCAGAATCTTGGGGAAGTGAGGGAAGGGGTTATGAGACCCTGGAGGGAAGTGCATGATAAGCAGATAAAACAAGGACAGGAGAAATTCCAAACAAATCCGTAATGAGATACCATCGCACACCAGCAGAATAGCCATTATTAAAAAGTCAAACAACAACAGATGTTGGTGATGATATGGTGAGAGGGCAACGCTGTACACTGCCAGTGGGAATGTAAAGTATTACAACCTCTATGGAAAATAGTATGGAGATTTTTCAAACAACTAAGAGTAGAACTAGTGTTCCATCCAGCCATCCTCAGAAAGGGTTTCTACCCAAAGGAAAAGAAGTCATTATATGTACTTGGATGTTGACCACAGCACCGTTCACAACAGCAAGGGCATGGAATCAACCTCAGTGTACATCAATAATGTACAGGATTAAAAAAAAGTGGGCCAGGCATAGTGGCTCAAGCCTGTAATCCCAGCACTTTCAGAAGCCGAGGCGGGTGGATCACCTGAGGTCAGGAGTTTGAGACCAGCCTGGCCAACATGGTGAAACTCCATCTGTGTTAAAAATACAAAAATTAACTGGGCGTGGTGGCATGCACCTGTAATCCCAGCTACTCGGGAGGCTGAGGCAGGAGAATTGCTTGAAACTGGGAGACAGAAGTTGCAGTGGGCCAAGATGGCACTACTGCACTCCAGCCTGGGCAACAGGGTAACACTCTGTCTCAAGAAAAAAAGAAAAATGTGGTATCTATACACCATGGAATACTATGCAGGCATGAAAAAGGAATGGTATCAAGTCATTTGCAGAAACACAGATGCAGCTGGAGGCCCTCATCCATGCACCTGGAGATTTGTCTGGGAGCAGGCTCTTCATCACAGCCCCTAAGTACATTAGTGCAGAATCAGAAAACCAAAAACTGCATGTTTTCATGTGGAAGTGGGAGTTCAACCATGTGTGGATATGATCACAGAGAGTAGAATACTAGACATTAGAGACTTGGAAGGTCAAGAGGGCCTGAGGGTAGGAGAGGGGTTGAGGGTTGAAAAATTATCTGTTGGGTACAATGTTCACTATTGGGTGACAGTTACACTAAAAGCCCACACCTCACCGCTACACAACACGCCCATGTAACATAGTCACTTGTACCACCTAAATCTATGAAAATATATTTTTTTAATTTAAAAAAAAAAAAACAAGGAGAGACAGGAGGCTGGAA
Source organism: Homo sapiens (assembly GCF_000001405.40). NCBI lineage: Eukaryota > Metazoa > Chordata > Mammalia > Primates > Hominidae > Homo > Homo sapiens. Next base: position 610,744 of record NC_000024.10, on the reverse strand, counting down.
TAAACGTTTCACATTCAGAAGTAACCAAAGGGCTTCAGTGACCTACGTGCATGACCACATACAAAGTGGCACATTCACCAAAATGGCAGAGGATGTGAAGGGGAGTTTTAGGGGGATGAAAGGTGGCCTGTTTTGGGCTTGTTTTATTTGTGATGGTTACTGGACCTCTGAGATGTGGAGTCATTGGTTGGATTGCTGAGTGGGAGCTCCATGAGGAGACTGGGATGAGATAGACATGGATATATTTGGGAATTATTACATTGGATTGAATGAGATCCCCCAAGGCTTAAACATGCATAGGGAAGAGGAGAGGTCTGTCCACTGAGCCCTGGGCAGTGCAATGTTTATAGGGCGAGACAAAGGTTGGGATGCAGCAGGCTCAGAGGGGGTGGCCACGGATGTAGGAGAAAAACCAAGAGGGAAGTTATAAATGCCAACACTATTCAAAACATGACAAGAGAATTTCATCCACAACCTTATGGCGATGAATTTAACTGACGTGAAGCAGACAAATTCCTTGAATGACACAGGTCACCAAAGCTGACATCAGAAGAAGTAGAAAATGTGGATAGTCCTGTTTAGCATTTAAAAATCGGGGCTGTGATGAAGAGTCTGCTCCCAAAGAAATCTCCAGGCCCAGGTTGTCTAGTGAATTCTGTCTAAGGAAATACAGCAAACTTTCACAAACTTTTTCAGCAGTGGAGGGGTGGAGGCACTCCCTAAACCATTCTGGGAGGCCCGTAGGACCTCAACACTAAAACCACAAAAAAGCAAAGACACTGTGAAAAGAGATGGAGACCAGCATCAGCCACAAACACGGACACAGAAATCCTTCATAAAATGTTAACAAATTGGGTCACGTGTGCGTGTGTGTATGTGTGTGTGTGTGTGTGTGTGTGTGTGTGTGTGTGTGTGTCTTATCTATAAAGATACATCTAAAATGTTAGCAAATTGGATCACATATATATATGACATGATATATATAGGTATCTACATATATGACATATATACGATGATATATATATACACACACACACATATATATATTATATATATATATTTTTTTTTGAGAGATGGAGTCTCCCTCTGTCACCCAGGCTGGAGTGTAATGGCTCAATCTTGGCTCGCTGCAACCTCTGCCTCCCAGGTTCAAGCGATTCTCCTGCCTCAGCCTTCTGAGTAGCTGGGATTACAGGTGCATGCCACCACACCTGGATAATTTTTTGTATTTTTAGTAGAGACGGGGTTTCACTGTGTTAGCCAGGCTGGTCTCGAGCTCCTGACCTCGTGATCCACCCGCCTCAGCTTCCCAAAGTGCCAGCATTACAGACGTGAGCCACCGTGTCCCGCCTACATGATATATTAAGATATATCTAGATAGATGATAGATAAGATAGATAAAACAGATAGATAATATAGGTAGATAGATAGATGATATAGATAGATGGTAGATACATAGATAATATAGGTAGATAGATAAATAATATAGATAGATCTATAAAGCATATATAAATAATATAAGTAATATAGATACAGATAATATAGATATAGATAATATAATAGATATTATAGATAATAGATTATAATAACAGACAGATAATATAGATATAATATAATGTAAATATATCTATAATAGTTATAGATATAACATAATAATAGATCATAATATAGACAGTATAATATAGATAATATAGATAGATCCATAAAGGATAGATATCCTTTATATGTATTTTATATAATAATATAAAATAAATATATCTATGTCCTTTAGATATTTATCTCTTATATTTATATATTTTTATATATCTCCATTTTATATATATATATAGAGAGAGAGAGAGAGAGAGGGAGGGAGAGAGAGAGAGAGAGAGGGGAAATACATAAAGGACAGAGATATACATTTATTTTATTTTATTATTATTATTTTTTTAGACAGGGTCTTGCTCTGTCACCCAGGCTGGAGTGCCGTGGCATGATCATAGCTCACTGCAGGCTTGACCTCCCAGGCTCAAGTGATCCTCCCACCTCAGCCTCCCAAGTAGCTGGGACTACAGGTGTGGGCCACCATGCCCAGGTAATTTTTTGTATTTTTTTGTAGAGATAGACTCTTGCTATGTTGCCCAGGCTGTGAGCCGAGTTTGCACCACTGCACTCCAGCCTGGGCGACAAGAGCGAAACTCCATTGAAAAGAAAAGAAAAGAGAAGAGAAGAGAAAGAAGAGAAGAGAAGAGAAGAGAAGAGAAGAGAAGAAAAAGGAGAGAGGGAGGGGAGGGGGAGGGGAGGGGGAGGGGAGGGGGGGGAGGGGGAGGGGAGGGGAACGGGAGGGGAGGGGAGGGGGATGGGAGGGGAGGGGAGAGAAGGGAAGGGAAGGGAAGGGAAGGGAAGGGAAGGGAAGGGAAGGGAAGGGAAGGGAAGGGAAGGGGCTCTATTTGCCTTCAGTGCTCTCTGAGCTCAGGAAGATGTTGGTGCTATATGGACTTGGATGACCAAGATGACGTGGAGCAGCTCCAAGCCATTGCATGGCAGCTAGAGAGACAGAGCAAGACCCCATCTCTATAAAAGTTTCAAGCAGCCGGGTGCAGTGGCTAACACTTGTAATCCCAGCACTTTGGGAGGCTGAGGTGGGTGGATCACCTGAGGTCAGGAGTTTGAGACCAGCCTGGCCAACACAGTGAAACCCTGTCTCTACTAAAAATACAAAAATTAGCCGGGCGTGGTGGCAGGCACCTGTAATCCCAGCTACTCGGGAGACTGAGGCAAGAGAATCGCTTGAACCCAGGAGGTGGAGGCTGCAGTGAGCTGAGATTGCATCACTGCACTCCAGCCTCAGTAACAGAGTGAGACTCCGTGTCAAAATAACCCCAAAAAGCTACAAGCCAGGTATCTGCAAAATGCATACCTTTCCATTGATAAACAAAGATGATAACCAGGCCAGAGATAGTAATCCCAGCATCTTGGGAGGCTGAGGTAAGAGGATCGTTTAAGACCAGGAGTTTAAGACCACCCTGGGCAACATAGAGAGTCCCCATCTCTACAAAAAAAAACAAAACATTAGCTGGGTGTGGTGGTGGGCACCTGTGCTCCCAGCTACTCGGGAGGCTGAGGCAGGAGGATCGCATGAACCCAGAAAGTCGAGGCTGCAGTGAGCTATGATTGCACCACTGCACTGCAGCCTGGGCAACAGAGCCAGACCCTGTCTCTAAAACCATAAAAATTGAAAAGTAGTAATAAAACAAGAGTCTATTCACGAGACGCAGAAACAAGGTCTCCAAAGTGAGCCTTCTCTCCTTATTGAAAATCTCTCTTCCCCTCCCACCTGCCTGTACTGAAAACCTCCAAAACACTCATTTTTAGAGCAATCTATTTTTGTTTGCATGTGAAATTCTGTTTAAAAAAAAATGCCAGGGGCAGAAAATTTGGGCTCCTCTCGTTGTAGCTGGTGAATGACAACAGAAGGAACGCGACCTCGTTAAACTAGAAAATTACTGTAATTTCTTCATTTCGTTTCTGCCGACCGTGTGGCCCTGGGTTCTGGCGCTCCCAAGAGATTTTCACACACCGTCGTGGCATCCGAGGTGACAGCTTTGGATTAAGAAAGATGCTGCCTCCACAGCGTAAATCCCCCCACTTCGAGCCATGATCAAGTTTGGAAACACTGGGCATTAAATGGCTGTTTAATGAGCTGCTGCTGAGGGCTGTCCTCAGCTGCAAATGAGACTTCTCTTGGTCCCTTTCGTGCACTTCTGAAAGTGCATAAAAGTGCATGAAATCAGGCCTGAGATTGGGGACAGCAGCTGAAAAAGAAGATTCCAGAAAAAAAAAAAAACAGACAAACATTTCTGCAGAGGTTTGACCCAAGTCTTGGGAATCCGGAGAGATGCTCGCTGGCCTGTGGCTTCTGAGCTGGGCCGTCTTCCTGATCCTCTGGCAGAACTGCAGAGACCCTATAATATAGTTCAGCCCAGGCCAGGAGAGGCGGCTCACGCCTGTCATCCCAGCACTTTGGGAGGCCGAGGCGGGCGGATCACCTGAGGTCAGGAGTTCGAGACCAGCCTAGGCAACATGGTGAAACCCTGTCTCTACTAAAAATACAAAAATTAGCCAGGTGTGGTGGCGGGTGCCTGTAATCCCAGCTACTCGGAGGTGCTGAGGCAGGAGGATCACCTGAGCTTTGGGAGGTCGAGGCTGCAGAGAGCTGTGATTGTGGTATTGCACTCCAGCCTGGGGGACAGTGAGACCCTGTCTCAAATCACAGATAAATCTATATATATATGAAACATCTTCAGAGACTTGTCAGTAACCTGGGCGTCCTCAGATAATTGTCCTCTAGGCTGAAATATATACATATAAATACATATATAATAAATATATTTAATATGTAAATATATAAGATATGTTAGAAATTAAATATACTATATATTGTAAATTAAATATATTATATTACAAATTAAATAAATTATATGTTATAAATATATAATATGTAAATAAATTATATACTATAAATATATAATATATACATATATAAAATATTATATATCACAAATATATATTTCAGCCTAGAATATATATTATATATAGAAAAAACAGAACAAACATTTGTATATATTATACAAACATATATTAGTCTAGAATTATATATAATATATATAACATATATATTATGTATTAGCCTGGAATTACATATATAATATATGCTATATATTATATATAGTATATACTATATTATATATTATAATATATAGTATATACTACATTATATATTATAATATATATTATGTATAATATACTATATTATATAATTACTATACTATATATAATATACTATACTATATATTATATATTACATGTAGTATATATAGTATATATAGTATATATAATTATTCTATATAATATATACATAATGTAAGATAATATATAACATAACTATTATATCGTTTATATAATATATAGTATATATACTACATATAACATATTATATAGTGTAATATACTATACATAACATATAGTATATATACCGTATATTATGTGTGCATAATTGTGTGCATAATTATATATAATATATGCTATACGTATGCATATATTATGTGCATAATATATAAAATATATATTATGTGCATAATTATATATAATATATGCTATATATACTATATGTTATATATTACACTATATATAATTTATATATAAATTATATTATTATATATAATATATGCTATATATTACTATATATTATTTATAATTATATATATACACATATATACATTATGTATGTATGTGTATATACACACAATTATCTTAGGACACCCAGGCTACTGACAAGCTTCTAAGAATATTTCATTAAGAGCTTCCCTCCAAGCCCTAAGCCATTTCACTCCAGCCTGGGCAACAAGAGCAAAACTCTGTCTCAAAACAAACAAACAAAAAAAAAATGGTGAGGGTTTTATGTAGAATTCAGTCAGACCAGTAAGCATGTTGGAAAAAGGAAGGCTTCTGTCAGAAAAAGAAATCTAGGCTGCTCAAAGGAAACCAGATTTTCACTGAAGTGATTGTGGAATATCATCAGCTGGGTACATTTTATCTTTATTTTTATTATTTTTTTTTATAGAGACAGAGTCTTGCTCTGTTGCCCAGGATGGAGTGCAGTGGCCTGATCATCGTTCATAGCAGCCTCCAGCTCCTGGGCTCAAGTCATCCTCCTGCCTCAGCCTCCCAAGTAGCTGGGAATACAGGCATGCACCACCATACCTGTTTTTTTTTTATTTTTGTAGAGATGGGGTCTTGCTCTGTTGCCCAGGCTGGAGTGCAGTGACCTGATCATGGCTCACAGCAGCCTCCAACTCCTGGGCTCAAGAGATCCTCTTGCCTCAGCCTCCCAAGTAGCTGGGACTACAGGCATGCAGCACCATGCCTGGTTATTTATTTATTTATTTATTTATTTATTTATTTATTTATTTATTTTGTAGAGATGGAGTCTGTCTCTGTTGCCCAGGCTGGAGTGCAGTGGCCTGATCATGGCTCACTTGCAGCCTCCAACTCCTGGGCTCAAGTCATCTTCCTGCCTCAGCCTCCCAAGTAGCTGAAACTACAAGCATGCACCACCATGCCTTGATAACTTTTTTATTTTTGTGGAGATGGGATCTTGCTCTGTTGCCCAGGCTGGAGTGCCGTGGCCTGATCATGGCTCACAGCAGCCTCCAACTCCTGGGCTCAAGTCATCCTCCTGCGTCAGCCTCCCAAGTAGCTGGAACTACAGGCAAGCACCACCATGCCTGGTTATTTTTTTTATTTTTGTAGAGATGGGGTCTTGCTTCTGTTGCCCAGGCTGGAGTGCAGTGACCTGATCATGGCTCACGGCAGCCTGCAACTCCTGGGCTCAAGTCATCCTCCTGCCTCAGCCTCCCAAGTAGCTGAAACTACAGGCATGCACTACCATGCCTGGTTAAATTTTTATTTTTATTTTTTTGAGACAGAGTCTCTCTCTGTTGCCCAGGCTGGATTGCCGTGGCACAATCTTGGCTCACTGCAACCTCTGCCTCCTGGATTCAAGCAATTCTCTGCCTCAGCCTACTGAGTAGCTGGGATTACAGATGCATGCCACCGCGTCCGGCTAATTTTTGTATTTTTAGTAGAGACAGGGTTTCACCATGTTGGTCAGGCTGGTCTCAAAATCCTGACCTCGTGATCCACCCGCCTCGACCTCCCAAAGTGCTGGGATTACAGGCATGAGCCACTGCACCCGGCCTAAATTTTTTATTTTTGTAGAAATGGGATCTGACTCTGTTGCCCAGGCTGGAGTCCAGTGGCATGATTGTGGTTCACTGCAGGCTTGAACTCCTCGGCTTGAGCAGTCCCACTGCCTCAGCCTTCCGGGGAGCTGGGACTTCAGCCACACACCTGGCTAATGTTTTTGTTTACGTTTTGTAGAGATGAAGTCTTGCTATGTTGCCCAGGATGTTCTCAAACTCCTACGCTCAAGCAGTCCTCCTGGCTCAGTCTCCCAAAGTGCTGGGTTTAAACATATGCAACATTGCTCCCTGCAACTGGGTACATTTTGGAAATGTTTACACACTTCATTTTTTTTTTTTTTTTTTTTTTGAGACAGAGTCTCACTCTGTTGCCCAGGCTGGAGTGCAGTGGTGTGATCTCGGCTCATTGCAACCTCTGCTTCCCAGGTTCAAGCAATTCTCCTGCCTCAGCCTCCTGAGCACACTTCATTTTTTAACTGACAGAAGAAAATTGCATATGTTCAGGTGCACCACATAACTTTTTTTTTTGCTTTCTTGTTTTTTTGTTTTTTGAGATGGAGTCTCGCTTCTTTGCCCAGGCTGGAGTGCAGTGGCACGATCTCAGCTCACTGCAACCTCCACCTCCCGGGTTTAAGAGATTCTCCTGCCTCAGCCTCCCGAGTAGCTGGGGGTTACAGGTGCCCGCCACCATGCCCGGCTAATTTTTGTGTTTTTAGTAGTGACGAGGTTTCACTATGTTGACCAGGCTGGACTTGAACACCTGACCTCAGGTAATTCTCCCACTTCAGCCTCCCAAAGCGCTGGGATTGCAGGCATGAGCCACCATGCCTGGCCGCACGTAAAGTTTTGATGTGTATAAATATTGTGGAATGGATACATTGAGCTAATTAACATTGGCCTTTGCTCACATACTTACCATTTTCCTTTGTTGAGAACAGTTGACATCTATTGTTAGCAATTTTCAAGAATACAGTAAATGGTTATTAACTCTATTGCATATCTCTCTTTTTTTTTTTTTTTTTTTTTTTTTTGAGGGAGTCTCGCTCTGTCGCCCAGGCTGGAGTGCAGTGGTGCGATCTGGGCTCACTGCAAGCTCCACCTCCCGGGTTCACGCCATTCTCCTGCCTCAGCCTCCCAAGTAGCTGGGACTACAGGTTCCCGCCACCACACCCGGCTAATTTTTCTGTATTTTTAGTAGAGACGGGGTTTCACCGTGTTTTCCAGGATGGTCTCGATCTCCTGGAGTCATGATCCACCCGTCTCGGCCTCCCAAAGTGCTGGGATTACAGGCATGAGCCACTATGCCAGGCTGCACATCTCATTTTTAAACATTTGTAGATTAAATTAAGTGTGTGCCCGTGTTTAGAAAACTGGCACTCTTGGCCAGGCACAGTGGCTCACGCCTGTCATCTCAGCACTTTGGGAATTTGAGGTGGGCGAATCACGAGGTCAGGAATTCAAGACCAGCCTGGCCAACACGGTGAAACCCCATCTCTACTAAATATACAAAAATTAGCTGGGAGTGGTGGCGCATGCTTGTAATCCCAGCAACTTGGGAGGCTGAGGCAGGAGAATCGCTTGAACCCAGGAGGTGGAGGTTGCATTGAGCCGAGATGGCGCCTCTGCACTCCAGCCTGGTGACAGAGCAAGACTCTTAAAAAGAAAGGAAGGAAGGAAGGAAGAAGAGAGGGAGAGAGAGAGAGAGAGAAAGAAAGAAGGAAAGAAAGAAAGAAAGAAAGAAAGAAAGAAAGAAAGAAAGAAGGAAGGAAGGAAGGAAGGAAGGAAGGAAGGAAGGAAGGAAGGAAAGAGAGAGAGAAAGAAAGAGAAAGAAAGAAAGAAAAATGGAAGGAAAGAAGGAAGGAAGGAGAAAGAAGGAAGGAAGGAAGGAAAGAGAAAGAAAGAAAGAGAAGAAGAAAAAGGAAGGAGGGAAGGGAAGGAAGGAAGGAAAGAAGGAAGGAGAGGAAGAAAGAAAGAAAGAAAGATGGAAGGAAGGAAGCAAGGAAGGAAGGAAAGAAAGAAGAAAGGAAGGAAGGAAAGAAAGAAAGAAGAATGGAAGGAAGGAAGGAAGAAGAGAGAGAGAGAAAGAAAGAAAGAGAGAGAGAGAAAGAAAGAAAGAAAGAAAGAAAAATGGAAGGAAGGAAGGAGAAAGAAGGAAGGAAGGAAAGAAAAAGAAAGAAAGAAAGAGAAGAAGAAAAAGGAAGGAAGGAAGGGAAGGGAAGGAAGGAAGGAAAGAAGGAAGGAGAGAAAGAAAGAAAAAGAGAAAGAGAAAGATGGAAGGAAGGAAGCAAGGAAGGAAGGAAAGAAAGAAAAGAAAGGAAGGAAGGAAAGCAGGAAGGAAGGAAAGAAAGAAAGAAGAAAGGAAGGAAGGAAGGGAGGAAGGAAAGAAAGTAAGAAAGAAAGAAGGAAAAAAGAAAGAAAAGAAAACTGACATCCTTCATGCATTTGAATATCTACGCCTAAATATGCATGCAAACTAGCGCCTGCAGAATTCACCGTTGTGTCTAAAGCATCTTCTTGGAGACTGTCCCTGCACGGCTGGACAGTCCACAACCCCTTAATGTTAGTCCATCCCTCTTGGGTTTCTGAGGGATTCATCAGGTCCTGTGATTTCTAGTCACAGACTCGTTTGTAAAGCATGACTTTCTCCTTAACTGCCTGCTGTTAGTCATACGACAATCACCTCCATGGGGTTGGTACGTGGGTTGTAAGCAGGTTGACCTCAGTAAGTTACAGCTGCTGTCTGTGGCATGTCCAGAGGTTTGCAGAGAGGAGTCCAGAGTGGATATCAAAGATCAGCCCCTATGCATGCAAAGAACCCCAGAAACAAGAAAATGCCCACACACAATTGTCAGTTCCAGAAAGACTCGGAGCTTGTCTTGCCAAGCAAGAGACAGCAGCAAAGCTTAGCACCTCTTGACACCGTAGGCTTTTAACCTAGTGAAATGGTACCAGCCTACAACCTCTTGGAGAAAAGACTATAAATGAGACAAAAACAGACTGGATCTTGATCCCTAATTTGTCTTTTATTATTATTATTATTATTATTATTCGCCGTTATAGTCCTTGTTCCTTTCCATGCTGGAAACACCTGTCAAGTTTTAAATCCGTTTGCGTTCAGCCACGTTCACAGGCTCCCCAGTGACAGTCTGCGAATTTCAGGGGTGGTGGTTGAGAAGCGAGGAGATACGGTAACAAGTGAACGTCCTGTTCACTCTCTTGTCTCAGATGTTTGAATGATTCCAGCTGTCAGTAGAAGCATTCAGCTAATGATGCCAGGAAAAGCATCTGAAATGTTGTTTAAATAACCGGAAAAAATCTATGCTGACCCACAGCCAATATCCATTTGCTGAAATTAAAGGAATTCGGAAATCAAACATCGTCAGGTAGGGGCAGCATGGGCTGGGATTTTGGAAACTCACCTGTAATCTTCTCTATAAACATGGGACTGCAATGCAGAGAGTGTGTGTGGTGATGTGTGCAGGACAGCCTCAGGCTCCTTGGGGCGGGCCGCCGGGCGGACGCTCCCTCTCCTCACATCCCGGGGTATTCCTTGGGGTTCTCATTAGGACACAAGAAAATGTTTGCCAGCGAGGTGAAAGGGTGGGCTCTCTTTCCAAACAAGGTAAGCGATCCTTCTGCAGCGTCTTTTGCTGTCTTGTTGCAAGAAACAAGAGGCAACCTGGGTTGGTAGGGACCAACCTTTGGGGAGTGTCTCAGGACTCTGGTTTGCACAGGGCAATGAGCAGGCAGGGGGGACAGGTGAGCAGCTCTCCTGAGAGGCTGCAAAGCTCTTCCAAAGAACGCAGGTGGAGAATGCAGGTGATGCCTCATTCAGGAGGAGAGCTAGACAACACATTTGCAAGACAAGGACTCCCAGGGTTGCCCCACAAACCAGCAGGAGCTGGGGAAGAGGCAGGTGCCTTTTGGTTGGATACGTGTCTCTGGTTCCTGGTTCCTGGCAGGTTGCTATCATGTGACGTTGGTCAAAGAGAGTCAGTTCCTCCTTTTGGAGGCATCTCCCTCGACGCCTCCAGGAGGAATCAACCCTTCCATTCATGTGCCCAGCATGAGCCCTTGAAGCAGAAAAATCCCCTGCTGATGGAGTCCTGGAAGTAAGTCCCAACGGAGACTCATCAGTGAGTAAGCAGTGCCTGTCAGGCCTCTGAGCCCAAGCTAAGCCATCATATCCCCTGTGACCTGCACGTATACATCCAGGTGGCCTGAAGCAATTGAAGACCCACAAAAGAAGTGAAAATAGCCAGTTCCTGTCTTAACTGATGACATTCCACCATTGTGATTTGTTCCTGCCCAACCCTAACTGATCAATTGACTTTGTGACAATACACCCTCCCCGCCCTTGTGATAATGTACTTTCTGATAGTCCCCCACCCTTGTGAATGTATTTTGTACAACACACCCTCCCCACCCTTGAGAAGGTACTTTGTAATATCCTCCCCCGCCCTTAAGAAGGTACTTTGTAAAATCATCCCCACCCTTGAGAAGGTACTTTGTAATATCCTCCCCTGCCCTTAAGAAGGTACTTTGTAATATCCACCCCCACCCTTGAGAAGGTACTTTGTAATATCCTCCCCCGCCCTTAAGAAGGTACTTTGTAAAATCATCCCCACCCTTGAGAAGGTACTTTGTAATATCCACCCCCACCCTTGAGAAGGTACTTTGTAATATCATCCCCACCCTTGAGAAGGTACTTTCTAATATCCACCCCCACCCTTGAGAAGGTACTTTGTAATATCCTCCCCCGCCCTTAAGAAGGTACTTTGTAAAATCATCCCCACCCTTGAGAAGGTACTTTGTAATATCCTCCCCTGCCCTTAAGAAGGTACTTTGTAATATCCACCCCCACCCTTGAGAAGGTACTTTGTAATATCCTCCCCCACCCTTAAGAAGGTACTTTGTAAAATCATCCCCACCCTTGAGAATGTCCTTTGTAATATCCACCCCCACCCTTGAGAAGGTACTTTGTAATATCCTCCCCCACCCTTAAGAAGGTACTTTGTAAAATCATCCCCACCCTTGAGAAGGTACTTTGTAATATCCACCCCCACCCTTGAGAAGGTACTTTGTAATATCCTCCCCACCCTTGAGAAGGTACTTTCTAATATCCACCCCCACCCTTGAGAAGGTACTTTGTAATATCCTCCCCTGCCCTTAAGAAGGTACTTTGTAATATCCACCCCCACCCTTGAGAAGGTACTTTGTAATATCCTCCCCCGCCCTTAAGAAGGTACTTTGTAATATCCTCCCCACCCTTGAGAAGGTACTTTGGAATATCCTCCCCTGCCCTTAAGAAGGTACTTTGTAAAATCATCCCCACCCTTGAGAATGTCCTTTGTAATATCCACCCCCACACTTGAGAAGGTACTTTGTAATATCCTCCCCTGCCCTTAAGAAGGTACTTTGTAAAATCATCCCCACCCTTGAGAAGGTACTTTGTAATATCCACCCCCACCCTTGAGAAGGTACTTTGTAATATCCACCCTGCCCTTAAGAAGGTACTTTGTAAAATCATCCCCACCCTTGAGAAGGTACTTTGTAATATCCTCCCCCACCCTTGAGAAGGTACTTTGTAATATCCACCCCCACCCTTAAGAAGGTACTTTGTAAAATCATCCCCACCCTTGAGAAGGTACTTTGTAATATCCACCCCCACCCTTGAGAAGGTACTTTGTAATATCCTCCCCACCCTTGAGAAGGTACTTTCTAATATCCACCCCCACCCTTGAGAAGGTACTTTGTAATATCCTCCCCCGCCCTTAAGAAGGTACTTTGTAATATCCTCCCCACCCTTGAGAAGGTACTTTGGAATATCCTCCCCTGCCCTTAAGAAGGTACTTTGTAAAATCATCCCCACCCTTGAGAATGTCCTTTGTAATATCCACCCCCACACTTGAGAAGGTACTTTGTAATATCCTCCCCCGCCCTTAAGAAGGTACTTTGTAAAATCATCCCCACCCTTGAGAAGGTACTTTGTAATATCCACCCCCACCCTTGAGAAGGTACTTTGTAATATCCACCCTGCCCTTAAGAAGGTACTTTGTAAAATCATCCCCACCCTTGAGAAGGTACTTTGTAATATCCTCCCCCACCCTTGAGAAGGTACTTTGTAATATCCTCCCCCACCCTTGAGAAGGTACTTTGTAATATCCTCCCCCGCCCTTAAGAAGGTACTTTCTAATATCCACCCCCACCCTTGAGAAGGTACTTTGTAATATCCTCCCCCGCCCTTAAGAAGGTACTTTGTAAAATCATCCCCACCCTTGAGAAGGTACTTTGTAATATCCTCCCCCGCCCTTAAGAAGGTACTTTGTAAAATCATCCCCACCCTTGAGAATGTCCTTTGTAAGATCCACTCCCTGCCCACAAAAAATTGCTCCTAACTCCACCACCTATCCCGAACCTATAAGAACTAATGATAATCCCACCACTCTTTGCTGACTCTCTTTTCAGAATCAGCCCACCTGCACCCAGGTGATTAAAAAGCTTTATTGCTCACACAGAGCCTGTTGGTGGTCTCTTCACACGGATGCCTATGACAGTGCCCAGGTGTCAGTCCAGATCCAAAGATCTGGAACCAGGAAGGCAGGCAACAGTGTGGAGTGGAGAGTCAGGAAAGAAATTATGAATGTTTGAGGCTGCTTGCTGTCAAATGGCAGATAAGGGGATGTGGTTCACTTCTCCAAAACTTCTACTGCAGGTCAGCAATGCACATAGAGCAAATTTATGGAATGATGCTGGTGACAGAAGTGGAAATCAATTTCAAAGAAAATGTATGAGTCAGCTGTTGCTGTGTAACAAGTGACCCCCAAACTTAGCAGCTTAAAACAACATGCATTTATTATCTTATGGTTTCACTGGGTTGGGAGTCTGGGAGCAGCTTGGCTGGGTGCCTCTGGTTCACAGTTCCTAGCAGGTTACTGTCACTGTGTCATCCAGGGCTGGGATCTCATTTGAAGGCTCAACTGGTGAAAGGCACACTTCTAAACTCACTCATGTTGGCCAAAGATGGCCAGTTCCGTATCATGTGGACCTTTTTACAGGAGAACTTACAGCATAAGAACTTGCTTTCCCTAGAGCAAGGGCAGAGACAGACAGAAACAGAGAGAGTATGAGAGACAGGGAGACTACAAGAGAGATTGAGAGAGGGAGATTGAGAGACACAGACTGAGAGAGAGAAGTTGCAAAAGAGAAATTGAGGGAGAGAAGCTGAGAAAGAGATTGAGCAAAAGAGATTGAGAATGAGACTGAGAGAGATTGAGATTGAGAGAGAGGGAGGTTGATAGAGAGATTGAGGGAAAAGTTGATAGAGAGAGAGAAGAGAGAGAGAGGAAACCAGGAATCCACTGGTACCATTTAGGAAATGAGAAACCATCAATTTTGTTATCACTTCTATTGCTTGTAACCAGTAGAAAGAATGAGCCAGTCTACTCAGGAGAGAGAGAGAGCAAGAGAGCAAAGAAGTGCCACACTTTAAAACCATCATCTCTTCTGAGAATTGACTCATTTATCATGAGAACAGCATGACAAAAACTGCCCCTGTGATCCAATCACCTTCCACAAGCTCCCTCCCTGGACACATGGGAATTACAATTTGAGATGAGATTTGGGTGGGGACACAGAGCCTAACCGTATTAATCATTAAATCAATGATAGGCCAGGTTTGGTGGCTCATGCCTGTAATCCCAGCACTTTGGGAGGCCGAGGTGGGCAGATTTCCTGTCATTTGACCTAGGACCCACCCTACTCCAGGATGATCTCATCCCTAGATCCTTCACTTAATAACATTTGCAAAATTGCTTTTCCCAAATAAAGTTGCATTTGAAACTTCCAGGTGGACATAGATTTGTGGGGGGACACTTGGAGATGGCTCCAACTCCCATCCCTGCTGATTGGCAAGCAAGGCTTGTCCAAGACTCTGAGATCACAGATGATCAGACGTGTGATTTTTAGTTTTCCTACTCCTGCACTAGGAGAGATTATAGAGGGATGAAGAAGGAAGGTCAATGCTACTCCAACACCCCAGTTCTCTCTGCCTGTTCACCAGCCTTGTTTTACACCAGAGAAAAGAGGTGTAAGAGTTGACTCATTTATCTTGAGAACAGTATGGGGGAAACTGCCCCTGTGATCTGTCTCTCTGTCTCTGTCTCTCTCTGCAGTTCTTCTCTTCACTCAAGAGAAGAAGATGATCCAAGCATGAGATTACCAGGAAACGAGGACTATTGGGAGCTCTTCCAACATGGCTGCCTACCGCAAGAAGCCAGCTCGCTCCAACTGCTGCCAAGTCTACTGAAACCTGCCGGGAGTGAAGTCAGAGTCTGGCTGGGGTGTGTGGAAGCAGTCATTGGCCTCACCTCGTTAGACCCCGTGGATGTATGTGTCAAGACACACTTTGTGGATTTCCTCTGTTGTTGGGCCTGTCCAACCCTGTGCTGTAGCTGGAGCAGGTTGCTGAAGCTTGATATTAGAGAAGTGAAGGTGAGTTTTGTCCCCAGGGAGGCTTTCATCACCTCCAAGTCCCCAAGGAACCAAGGTACCTTCCAATCAAATCAAGGAGCATAGAATGTGTCTCAAACAACCTAACCCTACACAAGAGATGTATCATCATCATGGTTGTTTGCAGTAGCTGTCTTATACCCAGCATTGGCCATGGGCCAGCAATTGTGGTAAGCTCTTCCCTACAGTATTTAATCATTAGGTTATAATTTTTTTTTTTATGGAGTCTTGCTCTGTCACCCAGGCTGGAGCGCAGTGGCGTGATCTCAGCTCAGTGCAATCTCCACCTCCTGGGTTCAAGCGATTCTTCTGCCTCAGCCTCCCGAGTAGCTGGGATTACAGGCACCTGCCACCAGGTGAATTTCCTATTTTTAGTAGAGATGGGGTTTCACCACGTTGGCAGGCTGGTCTTGAACTCCTGATGTCAGGTGATCTGCTCACCTCGAGCTCCCAAAGTGCTGGGATGACAGGCGTGAGCCACTATGCCCGGCCAATGAATACACTTTTAAAACAATCACAAGTAGAGATTTTCTACCTTAGTTTTCCAAATATATGATATGTCCTCATAATTTTGTAGTCTCACATTAAAAAAAAAAAAAGTTGTATGGATGGGTACGGTGGTGACTCCCATCTGTGGTCCCAGCATTTTCGGAGGCTAAGGCTGGAGGATTGCTTGAGCCCATGAGTTTGAGACCAGCCCGGGCCACCTAGCTAGACACCCCCATCTCTACAAAAAATAAAAATAAATTTAAAAATCATTGTCATTTGCTTTGCTTCCATTTATTATGTGTATTTCACAATCTGCCTTCTTTTTCTTCAAAGCAGGTTTGTCGGGCTATAACTGACATATCGTACAATGCATCTATTTAAGGCACTCAGAGTCACTTTTAGGATATCTTTATCACCCCCCAAGGAAGCTGACTTGCCATCTTCAGATCCCTCCCTCCGTAGTTATCCCATCCTTGTTCCCCCAGTCCTAAGCAACTACTGATCCACCCTCTGCCCCAGTAGATTTTCCTATTCTGGACATGTGATTCGAATGGAATTGTACAATCTGTGGTCTCACTTTGCTCCTTTAATTTTGGAGAACACACACACATACCCCAGTCATGAAGATCAGCACCCCGGCACGTACAATCTGGCCTTATTCTATCATCTTCCAGAAAGCGCTGGCGATCAATTAAAAAGGCAGAACTGCAGAAACAGGGGTCTTACGTTGTGCCCTGGAGGTGACGGAACTGGATCTCTGTCAGATCCGGAGAAAATTTGCAGAGACCAACCACAGGCCACCCCGCCGCCTCCAGCATTTAGGTTTTTAGAATTGGCCTTTCTATACACCTTCGTTCCTTTTAATTTTGTCATTTTACCCTTTCTGAATATTCTTCGTGGCACCTTTTAGAGGATAATACAGTCTCCCCCGTCAACGAAAAGGCAGGGATGCTATATAATGTCATTCTTGGAAACAGGTCGTTTCTGTCCTTGTACGGTGCAGAGATGACAACACGATTTTTCTGTAATTCCGGTACGTTTTTTGACCTGTATTCCCCTGGGACTTGCAGATGTGGCTGGCTGCATGAGTTTACAATTCCGATGAGATCTCCACGAGCCATAATTTCCGGGGAATATCAGGTCCACTGAGGGTGATTAACTAGTTTCCGCTTGGACAACTGGGTCACTGGAGAAGCTGAAAATGGGCTCTCAGGTTTGGGGGGCAGCAAGGGAGACACAGGGACACAAGTGTTCAATTCAATTGCTATAGATCCACTCCTTCCATCCTGCAAAAGCTTGGACGTTTTGGTTTTCCGGAACATTCCGGTCATTCTCTCTTAAGAAAATGAAGCAACTTCATCTTGGCCTCGCGGGACAGGTGTCTGAGAGGAGGAAAGAAACAACTGCCTGTCTCGGGAAAATCATCTCAATTTCTCTGTTCTTGAAATCATCTTCCTCCTGCAAGAAAGATATCTCTGGTCTTACCACCTCCAAAGACATGAGACAACTTTTCTGGTTGAAAGAGGAGAGAAATTCTCTGTATTTCATGCTTTCTCAGCCCCTGAAGAGCCACTAAAACTGGGAAGATCAAGAATACAAATAGAATTTAAAAAATAAAGAGGATGGACCGGGGGCGGTGGCTCAAACCTGTCATCCCAGCACGTTGGGAGGCCGAGGCGGGCGGGTCACCTGAGGCTAGCAGTTCGAGACCAGCATGGCCAACATGGTGAAACCCTGTCTCTACTAAAAATACAAAAAAAAAAAAAAAAATTAGCTTGGTGTGGTCGCTCATGACTATAATCCTAGCTACTCAGGAGGCTGAGGCAGGAGAATTGCTTGAACCTGGAAGGCGGAGGTTGCAGTGAGCCAAGATTGCACCACTGCACTCCAGCCTGGGCGACAGAACGAGACTCTGTCTCCAATAAATAAATAAATAAATAGGAGCAGATATAAAGATAGCCAACCAGCAGCCCTAAGGGGTACTCTGCCTCTGGAGTAGCCATTCTTTTATTACTTCACTTTCTTAAAAAACTTGCTTTCACTTAAAAAGAAGGAAGAAAGAAAAGAGAGAAAGAAAGAAAGAAAGAAAGAAAGAAAGAAAGAAAGAAAGAAGAAAGAAAAGAAAGAAAAAGAGAGAAAGAAAGAAAGAAAGAAAGAGAGAAAGAAAGAAAGAAAGAAAGAAAGAAAGAAAGAAAGAAAAAGAAAGAAAGATGGAAGGAAGGAAGGAAGGGAAGGAGGGAGGGAGGGAGAGAGAGAGAGAAAGAAAGAAAAGAGAGAAAGAAAAAAGAAAGAAAGAAAGAAGGAAGGAAAGAAGAAAGAGAGAGAAAGAAAGAAAGGAAAAGAAAGAAAGGAAAAGAAAGAAAGAAAGAAAAAGAAAGAAAGAAAGAAAGAAAGAAAGAAAGAAAGAAAGAAAGAAAGAAAGAAAGAAAGAAAGAAAGAAAGAAAGGGGATCCACATGTTATAACAAACCAGCCAAATCTTACACTAAAATCCAGGCTCCTTCAACCAAAGGACTGCCAGGGATGAAGATCAATTTACAAAAGTCACCTCCAAACATTAGCCTCCATATTCTAAGCAATCTTATCTTTCAATATCACCTCAGCACCTGTTTTGTTTGGTTTGGTTTTTTGTGTAAATTGGGAAACAAAATAGCTTTGCTTTGTGTTTTAGCTGTTGTCATTATTTCCACATAAAATGTCACCCATCAAGACCCATGCATTTCTTTTCTTTTTGTTTGAGATGGAGTCTTGCTCTGTCATCCAGGCTGGAGTGCAGTGGTGCAATCTCAGCTCACTGCAACCTCCGCCTCCTGGGTTCAAGCGATTATCCTGCCTCAGCCTCCTGAGTATGTGGGATTACAGGTGCGCACCACTACGCTCAGCTAATTTTTGTATTGTTAGTAGAGACGGGGGTTTCACCATGTTGGCCAGGCTGGTCTCGAACTCCTGACCTCAGGCGATCCCCCTGCCTGGGCCTCCCAAAGTGCTGGGATTACAGGCGTGAGCCACCATGCCTGGCTAATGTTTGTACTTTCAATAGAGATGGAGTTTCACCATGTTGACCAGGCTGGTCTCGAACCCCTGACCTCAGTTGATCCGCCCCACGTCAGCCTCCCAAAGTGCTGGAATGACAGATGTGAGCCACCAAGCCTGGCTACTGTTTGTATTTTTAGTAGAGACGGGGTTTCACCATGTTGGCCAGGCTGGTCTCGAACTCCTGACCTCAGGTGATCCTCCCGCCTTGACCTCCCAAAGTGCTGGGATTACAGGCGTGAGCCACCGTGCCTGGCTAATTTTTGTATTTTTAGTAGAGCGGGGTTTCACTATGTTGGCCAGGCTGGTCTCAAACTCCTGACCTCAGTTGATCCGCCCGCCTCGGCCTCCCAAAGTGCTGGAATGAGAGACGTGAGCCACTGTTTCTTTCCTATGGCAACGATTTTCTTGGGACTCCCCTACTCAATAACTACAACCTCTACCTCTCCCTCGTCCTGGCTGCAGCCTGAAAAACGTGCATCCTTTGCAAGTCTTGGGAGGGGATAGTTTTATGTCCATCTATGCGTGTTGCCTGTGTGTGTAGACACAACCAGACTCCGTGCAGAGAAAAAGCTGCACCGTCCGGCTGCCAAACAAAAGGTCCCAAGTAAATAAATAAAAAATAAAACTTGTGAAAAAATCATCCTTGTCCACGTAGTTTTCCTAGGCCGGCTACAGCTGGGGGGCATGTTACCACGGCAACTGTGTTCACGAGCCGGGCTGTTTCTGCAGCCAGGGGTCTCGGGTGGACCAGCGAGCCTGTATTCTGCGTCTCCTGAAATGTGTCAGAAAACATCAGGAGGGGAAGGCCGGTGGTTGCGGATTGCCATAAATTTATAGCTAATCAGGTCCTTAGCGGCAGGCCTAATGGTAGGAAGGGGTGCAAGGCATGTGATTGGAGGTGGGCAGGGGTGGGAGGTGGGTCAGCGACCTGTACTTGGAGGGCAGAGCAGGATGCTGAGAATCCCAGAGACAGGGAAGGTGTATGGAGCTTTCAGCATTTTTACAGGCCACTCGAATGGGCCTTCCTCGCAGCCCCCTGCGTTCCCTTTGCCAGATGCATTGGATTGCATCACTGACAGAGATACACAGACGGTGCACCCGTGGCTGCTCTGTGGAACTAAAACAATTTCTGCCCTGGATCTCCTGGGTTTGGGTGACACTTTCAACTCAGAGCCAGCTGACCTACCTAACACGGTGCGTCTTCTCCTACAGCACCGGTGGATGCTTGGACGGCAAAATCATCTGTTCCAATCTGCAGAGGAAGACGAGTTATGTCCAGAAGGGTTGGGGCTGGAAATTTAAAAGCAAGAAAGTGGGCTCCTCCTTTTAAATAATCTCCTCCCATAGAAATGACATAATAAAATAAAATAGTAGGTTGCAAAGGCATCTGTTTAAGTAACGAAGGAAACCTTTCCCTGATATTCATTTTGAGTAATTCCCATGGAGTTTAGCAGTTTTGTTATTTTAAAACACACACACACACACACACACACACAGTGCAATTAAAAACATAATTTGTAGAACACAGTCTTTTCTGATATACTTGCTTTTCAGTATCATGGAGGGTTGGGGCTAGAAATTTCGTACGAAAAACGTGAGCTCCTCCTTTTAAATAATCTCCTCCCATAGAAATGACATAATAAAATAAAATAGTAGGTTGCAAAGGTACCTATTTAAGTATCGAAGGAAACCCTTCCCCGATATTCATTTTGACTAATTCCCATGGAGTTTAGCAGTTTTGTTATTTTAAAACACACACGCACACTGCAATTAAAAATATAATTTGTAGAAGACAGTCTTTTGTGATATACTTGCTTTTCAATATCACGAAGGTTTGGGGCTAGAAATTTAGGAGAGAAAACCTGGGGCCCCTTTTCTTCTTTTAAATAATCTCTTCCCATAGAAATGACATAATAAAATAAAATAGTAGGTTGCAAAGGCATCTGTTTAAGTAACGAAGGAAACCTTTCCCTGATATTCATTTTGAGTAATTCCCATGGAGTTTAGCAGTTTTGTTATTTTAAAACACACACACAGCCCCCACCGAGTACCATTAAAAAGAGTATTTGTACAACTGTGTTTTCTGATGCGCTGTTTCTGACTACAACAAAACAATGTATCAAAATACCCAAGCGATGTTTCAAACAGGGTGTACTGCACGTGAAATGCTTTCTCTCCAGCAAGAAACAGCCAGGAGGTGTCTTTGGGGTCCTGAGAGAAAGATGAAGATGTGGATCCTATTTAGAGAAGGCTGTCTTTCTGGTTTTTCAACACACGCCGAAGCTTGGGAGTTTGCGGTGGGGGTTAAGAAGCCGGTTCCAGGGTTTGTTATGGCTCATGACTTTTCTTTCAGCAAAGTTCCTCCAGGAAACGTCGCCTGCCTTTTCAGTTGATTTTGATTGTACGTGAAATGTCTACGGCTTGAGGATCCGTAATCTTGACGCTTTGGTGACCGATTCAAACAGTTGTCACCTGTAAACGGTCAAGGAGGTGAGGCCGGGCGCGGTGGCTCACGCCTGTAATCCCAGCCCTTTGGGAGACTGAGGCAGGCGGATCACGAGGTCAGGAGTTCAAGACCAACCTGGCCAACAGGGTGAAACCCCGTTTCTAGTAAAAATACAAAAATTAGCCAGGCGTGGTGGCGGGCACCTGTAATCCCACCTACTAGGGAGGCTGAGGCAGGAGAATCGCTTGAACCCGGGAGGCAGAGGTTGTGGTGAGCCGAGATCGTGCCACTGCACTCCGGCCTGGGCGACAGAGTGAGAGTCCGTCTCAAAAAAAAAAAAAAAAAAAAGTCCAGGAGCTGGACAGAAACGCAGACGACCAGGGCTTTCCGGCGTGTAAAGGTGACAGGAGTCAAAGGCAACGAGGATTCTACGCAGCCAGTCTCTCCGGTCGTCTGACGCAGGCTAATCTGTGCGCGTGGCAGCTTGGCGTCCACGTCTGAGTTTATTTTTATTATTCATTTATTTATTATTTATTTATTTATTTATTTATTTATTTATTTATTTATTTAAGATGGAGTCTTGCTCTGTCGCCCAGGCTGGAGTGCAGTGGCGCGATCTGGGCTCACTGCAAGCTCCACCTCCCGGGTTCGCACCATCCTCCTGCCTCAGCCTCCCGAGTAGCTGGCACTACAGGCGCCCGCCACCACGCCCGGCTAATTTTTTGTATTTTTAGTAGAGACGGGGTTGCACCGTGTTAGCCAGGATGGTCTCGATCTCCTGACCTCGTGACCCGCCCGCCTCAGCCTCCCAAAGTGCTGGGATGACAGGCGTGAGCCACCGCGCCCGGCCCCACGTCTGACTTTTACAGCAAAAAGCCATTGCTCAGACCCCTGAGGCTTGGATGATCACCTAAGGAAAGTTCTCACAGATTTTTATGTGCATAAGATACAGCAGGGCCAGGCACAGTGGCTCACACCTGTCATCCCAGCACGTTGGGAGGCCGAGGCGGGCGGATCATCTGAGGTCAGGAGTTCGAGACCAGCCTGGCCAACATGGCGAAATCCCATCTCTACTAAAAACACAAAACAATTAGCTGGACATGGTGGCACGCACCTGTAATCCCAGCTACTCGGGAGGCTGAGGCAGGGGAATTCCTTGAACCATGGAGGTGGAAGTTGCAGTGAACCAAGATTGCACCATTGTCCTCCAGCCTGGGCAACAGAGCAGGACTCCACCTCAAAAAAAAAAAAAAAAAAAAAAAGAGCAGGAGACAGAACAGCATCCTACATTTCTCTAACCAAGCACAGAAACATGTTAATCTCAATCACTGATAGTGAGGAAAACAAATCATCCTGCGTAGCAGGTGGAATAATATCTCCCCCACACAAATAATTTCATCTGGAACCCAGGACGGGTGACTTATTTGGAACTACGGTCTCTGCAGATATAGTTAGTTATAATGAGGTCATCCTGGTACTCCATTTAGGGCTGGGCCCTAAATACAATGACAGGTGTCCCTGTAAGAGACAGAAGAGGAGACGCAGACACAGAGGAGAAGGCCACGTGGAGATGGAGGCAGAGACTGGAGTGATGCGGCCACAAGCCCAGGGACACCTGGAGCCCCCAGGAGCTGGGAGAGGCAGGAAGGAGCCTCCCCTAGAGCTTCTGATGGGAGGAAGGTCCTCAGACAGCTGGATCACAGACTGCTGTTCTCCACAGCTGGGAGAGGATGAATCTCTGCTGTTTTGACCTTCCCACTCTGAGGTCATGGTCTTTTGTTCTGACAGCCTCAGGAACTCACACAATCTTCTCTCCACCATGGTTCTGAAGACAAACCATATCCCTGCCATTTCTTGCTTTTTCTTTTCTTTCTTTCTTTTTTTTTTTTTTTTTTTGAGACACAGTCTCACTCTGTCACCCAGGCTGGAGTGCAGTGGCACAATCTCAGCTCACTGCACCCTCCACCCCCTGGGTTCAAGCGATTCTCCTGCCTCAACCTCCCAAGTAGCTGGGATTACAGGCATGCGCCACCATGCCCGGCTAATTTTCGTATTTTTAATAGAGACGGGGTTTCACCGTGTTGGCCAGGCTGGTCTCGAACTGCTGACTTCGGGTGATCCACCCACTTCAGGCTCCCAACGTGCTGGGATGACAGGCATGAGCCACTGCACCCGGCCAGGCTGTTTGGACTCAGGTGTTTTTTGCACTTTAGCACGCGTTGGAGGCTTAGGGGAAGGAGAGGGAGAAGTCTAAAGACATAGTCTCACCCGTGCTCCAGCAATGAAAACGTCGCTACAGAGGTAGCAAAAAAATAAAAATAAATCAGAAAAAAACAGAAGTAGGAGGTGAGAGTCTCACTCTGAATGAATCTATCTCAACAAAAATGCCCTCAATTTTGAGCAGGAAGATTGTTTATTTTATTTTATTTATTTATTTACTTATATTTTTGAGACAGAGTCTCACTCTGTCACCCAGGCTGGAGTGCAGTGACACGATCTCGGCTCACTGCAACCTCCGCCTCCTGGGTTCAAGTGATTCTCCTGCCTCAGCCTCCTGTGTAGCTGGGATTACAGGCATCTGCCACCACATCCAGCCAATTTGTGTGTTTTTAGTAGACGGGAGTTTCACTAAGTTGGCCAGACTGGTCTTGAACTCCTAACCTCAGGTGATCGACCCGCCTCAGCCTCCCAAAGTGCTGGGTTGACAGGCGTGAGCCACTGTGCCCAGGCATCGTTTATTTTACTGTATAAAGTCAGTTTCGTTTTGTTTTATCTTATGTGTGATTTTATTTTTTGTTTAAAATAAATACACTTTAAAAATCTATTTGTATTTGACTCAGCGGCTTGCAGTCTCTGAGGCTGCATTTTTGAAACATGAACTACAGAACCAACGAATGGTAAGACCGAATACAAAAAAGCTCAGACCCAGATGAAGGAAGTGGCTTATAACCTCAGCAAAAATCCTGCCAACATGTTGCTAATTCCACATTTTTTCACAATTATTCTTCAGGGGTGGCGGGAGGCTGGTAACCTGTTTTGCCTTTTGCTGATGGGGCAGTGGAGGCTAATATTCAAAGGCAAATGCATAGATTCCTGGCTGGGCGCGGTGGCTCACGCCTGTCATCCCAGCACTTTGGGAGGCCAAGGCAGGCGGATCACCTGAGGTCAGGAGTTCGAGACCAGCCTGGCCAACATGGCGAAAACCCATCTCTGCTAAAAATACAAAAATTAACCGGGCATCATGGCGGGTGCCTGTCCTCCCAGCTACTTGGGAGGCTGAGGCCGGAGAATCGCTTGAACCTGGGAAGCGGAGGTTGCAGTGAACCGAGATGGCACCATTGTTGCCCAGATTAGAAAAAATACATTTTGGAGAGCATAGCTAGGTAAGATTGTCCACGCCAGGTGTTAGCTTTGTCATTTTACTGCAAACTGCAAGTAAACTTTCACACGCTGCCCGAGGTCCCACATATATGACAAGAGGTGTTCCTTTGTCTTATAGGCATGGATCTTATTAAGTACAGTTTTTTGGTTTTTTTTTTTTTTTTTGGTTTTTTTTTTTTTTAAGAAGAAAATGCATTTGGTTCTCTACGTATTCTTAATGTCAGAGAAAATTGTATCTGGGGCACAGTGGCCTGGAAAATCCATAAATCAGCATTCCAAAACAGGGTCATGTCCTGCCTTGGACATGGAACAGAAATCAAAACAGACAGGGTCCACCTCTGCAGGGCGGGTATACCTTCCCCAGTTACAGGCCCCTGAGCGCCCCGTCTTAATAGCCGGAGACAGGGATGGAGGAGGGAGGTGGGGAGGAGCTGGGGCGCCCGGTGCAGGGCAGAGTGTCAGCCCTGCAATTACTGTGGACTCCAGAATCCCCCTCGGAGGGAGCACGGATGACTCATTCTCCCTGCAAGGCAAAGACCTTCCTATTATCACCGAGACCTTGCAAAGCTCAAGGGGGCAGACGGCATGTTCCTGCTAGGGAGGGGTGCACAGAGGGGCCTGGGAGAACTCAAAGCCGGGGGCAGAACGATGGGCGTGTGGGAAGCAGGTCTCCGGGAGCACCTGCCCCTCATTGGGGTTTGCAGCTCAGCCTCCTGGCAGGTGCCACAGGTGGCCCAGGTGGGGGCCGGCGTGAGGAGAGCAGGCCCACAGGGAGGGCAACAGCAGAGGCATCTGGCTTACCTTGCGCTGCGCTGGATCCCAAGAGGGGCTGCGAAGTGTCTCTGGGGAAGGAGAAACACAGCTTGATGTTTTCTCAGCATAAAAAGGCGTCATGTCTTTATTACGGTGGGATGGGGGTGAGGGGGACCTGTTTTCCTGAGTCCCTCTCCACCCTCTGCCCCCCTCTTCCCTTTTCTCCCTCCTCCACCTTCTTCTCCTCCTCCTCTTCCTCCTCCTCCTTCCCCTCCTCCTCCCCCTTCTCCACCTCTCCCTCTTTCTCTTCCGCTTCCTTCTCCTCCTCTCATCTTTTCCTCCTCCCCTCTTCCCCCTTCTCTTGTTCCTCCTTCTCCCTCTCCTCTTCCTGTTCTTTCTCCTCCCCTCTCTCCTCCCCCTCCTTTTCTTTCGCTTCTTCCTCCTCTACCTTCTCCAACCTCTTCCTTCCCCTCCTCCCCCTCCTCCTCTTTCTCTTCCTCCTTCTCCTCTCCAGCCTCTTCCTCCTCTCCCTCCTCCTCTTTCTCTTCCTCCTCCTTCCCCTCATCCTCTCCCCTCTCCTCTTCCTCTTTCTCTTCTTCCTCCTCCATCTTCTCCAGCCTCTTCTTTCCCCTCCTCTTCCTTTTCTTCTTTCTCTTCCTCCTCCTCCAGGCTCTTCCTCCTCTCCCTTCTCCTCTTTCTCTTCCTCCTCCTCCTCTCCCTCCTCCTCCCCCTCCTCCTCTCCCTTCTCCTCTTTCTCTTCCTCCTCCTCTCCCTCCTCCTCTCCCTCCTCCTCTTTCTCTTCCTCCTCCTCCTCTCCCTGCTTCTCCCCCTCCTCCTCTTTCTCTTCCTCCTCCTTCCCCTCCTCCTCTCTTTCCTCCTCTCCCTCCTCCTCCCCTTTTTCCTCCTCTTCTTCCTGTTTCTCTTCTTCCTCCTCCACCTTCTCCAACCTCCTCCTTCCCCACTCTTCCTGCTTCTACTTCTCTCCCTCCCCCTTCCCCTCCTCCTCTCCCTCCTCCTTTTTCTCTTTCTCCTTTTCCTCCTCCTCCAGCCTCCTCCTCTTCCTCCCTCTCCTCCTCTTTCTCTCCCTCCCCCTTCCCCTCCTCCTCTCCCTCCTCCTTTTTCTCTTTCTCCTTTTCCTCCTCCTCCAGCCTCCTCCTCTTCCTCCCTCTCCTCCTCTTTCTCTCCCTCCTCCTTCCCCTCCTCCTCTCCCTCCTCCTTTTTCTCTTTCTCCTTTTTCTCCTCCTCCAGCCTCCTCCTCTTCCTCCCTCTCCTCCTCTTTCTCCTCCTTCCCCTCCTCCTCTTCTTCCTCCTCCCCCTCCTTCTTTTTCTCTTCCTCATCCTTCTCTTTCTCCTCCTCCAACCACTCCCTCCTCCTCCTCTGTCTCCCTCCTCCTCCACCTCCTCCTCTTTCTCTTCCTCCTCCTTCTCCTCCTCCAGCCTCCTCCTCCTCTTGTTTCTCCTCTTTCTCCCTCTATCTTTAATTTTTTTTTTTTTTTTGACACTGAGTCTCACTCTATCGCCCAGGCTGGAGTGCAGTGACCTCGGCTCTCTACAACCACCGCCTCCCAGGTTCAACAATTCTGCCTCAGCCCCCCGAGTAGCTGGGATGACAGGCACCTGTCACCACGCCTGACTAATTTTTGTATTTCTTTAGTAGAGACGGGGTTTCACCATGTTGGTCAGGCTGGTCTCGAACTCCTGACCTCAGATGATCCACCCACCTCGGTCCCCCAAAGTGCTGGGATTACAGGCACCTGCCACCACGCCTGGCTAATTTTTGTATTTTTAGTAGAGATGGGGTTTCACCGTGTTGGTCAGGCTGGTCTCGAACTCCTGACCTCAGGTGATCCACCCACCTCGGCCCCCCAAAGTGCTGGGATTACAGGCGTGAGCCACCACTCCCGGCCTTCTTTAAACTTCTTTATGAAGACCCAGAATGCAAGTTTATGCGTGATCTATACACACATATTTTATCTGGCACATGTATCTCTTTGATGGCCAGGACACAGCATGCTAGTGTGAACCATACTCCACACAGGATGACGGCTTCCTCACTGTAACATCATCTGCCAGCCAGAGCCCTGAAGCCATCGAGGATTTGGGTGGAAATTAGCTCCTGAAGGATCAAGAAGGTACTTTCTCCTAGAGGCAGGAAATTTAGGCAATTAAAATCCATTTTTGGCCGGGCGCGGTGGCCTCATGCCTGTAATCCCAGCACTTTGGGAGGCCGAGGTGGGCGGATCACGAGGTCAGGAGTTCAAGACCAGCCTGGCCAATGTGGTGAAACCCCGTCTCTACTAAAAATACAAAAATTAGCCGGGTGTAGTGGCAGGTGCCTGTAGTCCCAGCTACTCGGGAGGCTGAGGCAGGAGACTCACTTGAACCTGGGAGGTGGAGGTTCTTGAGGTCAGGAGTTCAAGACCAGCCTGGCCAACATGGTGAAACCCCAACTCTACTAAAAATACAAAAAATTAGCCGGGCGTGGTGGCGGGCACCTGTAGTCCCAGCTACTTGGGAGGCTGAGGCAGGAGAATGGTGTGAACCCAGGAGGCGGATCTTGCAGTGAGCCGAGATCGCACCACTGCATTCCAGCCTGGGTGACAGAGCGAGACTCCATCTCAAAAAAAAAAAAAAAAAAAAAAAGAGAGAGAGAGAGAGAGATACTTCTGAACAAAAACACCCACATCCCTACCTTCTTGAGCTCACTTTCTGGGCTGCGCCTTCAGTCAAATTTTGAGCAATTATTACTTGCATTCTGCAGTGTGTCAAAAACTAAATTTCAGTGTGGGATCGGTGGGATGAGTCACTCTGAGGAGTGGAGACGTTCCCATTTTATTTTATGTTATGTTATTTTTATTTAATTAATTTATTTATTTTTTGAAATGGAGTCTTGCTCTGTCACCCAGCCTGGGCAACATCTCGGCTCACTGCAACCTCTGCCTCCAGGTTCACGCCATTCTCCTGCCTCAGCCTCCCGAGTAGCTGGGACTACAGGCACCTGCCACCACTCCCAGATAATTTTTGTACTTTTAGTAGAGACGGGGTTTCACCCTGTTGGCCAGGCTGGTCTCGAACTCCTGACCTCATGATCCACCCGCCTCGGCCTCCCAAAGTGCTGGGATGACAGCCTTGAGCCACTGCACTGGCCTTATTTTTTATTTTTATTTTTATAAGAGTCAGGGTCTCGCTCTGTCGCTCAGGGTGGAGTGCAGTGGGATGATCATAGCTCACTACATCTGGTTTCAGTAGCATGCAGGGAAATCTTCAAATAACGCAAGTCACCAAACAGCCTTGGTCTGCTCCACCCAGAGATCTGTCTTCAGACAGGTTCAATGATCATCTCTAGCCAATAGCCATAATGTGTATGAAAAATCAATGCCTCGATTCCAGACGTGCAGAAAATGACCTCTCATGTCAAACATTACTCATTGTCTCTTTCCAGCTTGCTGTATGACCTCAGTGCTGGGTGGGTTTCCTCTCTGCTGTCTGATGACTCTCTGATGACTCTGTCTCTCTCTCTGTCTCTCTCTGTGTGTGTGTATTTATATATATATATAAACATATATATATATAAACATATATATATATTCCATTGCACATGCTGCAAAAGTTTTGTGTACATGCTTTTCCTCTGCTATTTAATGACCCCAAATCTCTCTCCTTCTTTCTCTCCCTTCCGTCACCCATTTCTCTCTCACCTATCTGTCATCTATTATCTATCTATCTATCCATCATTTATCTATCCATCTATCTACCCATCTGTCATTCATCTATTCATTTACTATTTATTGATCTATCTATTATTTATTTATCTATCTTTTATCTATCCATCGATCATTTATCTATCTGCCCAACTATCAGTTATCTGTCCATCTATTATTTATCTATTTATCTATCTATCCATCTAAATACCCATCTATCATTTATCTATCTTTCTATCCATCTATTATGTGTCTATCCATCATTTATCTATTCATCTATCATTTATCTATCCATCTATCAATCATTTATATGTTCATCTATCATTTATCTACCTATCATTTATATATCTATCTACCCATCTATCTATCCATCTATCATTTATCTATCTATCCATCAATCATCTATCTATCCATCTATCATTTATCTATCCACCAATCATTATCTATCTATCCGTCAATCATTATCTATCCATGTATCATTTATCCATCTATCCATCAATTATCTATCTATCCATCTATCATCTATTTATCCATCTATCATTTATCTATCCATCTATCATTTATCTATCCATCATTCATTATCTATCCATCTATCATTTATCCATCTATCCATCAATCATCTATCTATCCGTCTATCATCTATTTATCCATCTATCATTTATCTATCCATCTACCATTTATCTATCTATCCATCAATCATTATCTATATATCCATCAATCATTATCTATCCATCTATCATTTATCCATCTATCCATCAATCATCTATCTATCCGTCTATCATCTATTTATCCATCTATCATTTATCTATCCATCTACCATTTATCTATCTATCCATCAATCATTATCTATATATCCATCAATCATTATCTATCCATCTATCATTTATCCATCTATCCATCTATCATCTATCTATCCATCTATCATCTATTTATCCATCTATCATTTATCCATCTATCCATCAATCATCTATCTATCCATCTATCATCTATTTATCCATCTATCATTTATCTATCCATCATTTATCTATCCATCAATCATTATCTATATATCCATCAATCATTATCTATCCATCTATCATTTATCCATCTATCCATCAATCATCTATCTATCCATCTATCATCTATTTATCCCTCTATCATTTATCTATCCATCTATCATTTATCTATGTATCCATCAATCATCTATCTATCTATCCATCTATCATTAATCTATCTATCTAATAGGGTTTGGATCTGTGTCCCTGCCCAAATCGCATGCTGAATTGTAATCCCCAATGTTGGAGGTGGGGCCTGGTGAGAGGTGATTGGATCGTGGGGGTGGGCCCCTCAGGAGTGGTTTAGGCCTGGGGAGAGGTGATTGGATCGTGGGGGTGGGCCCCTCAAGAGTGGTTTAGGACCATCCCTTTGGCGCTGTTCTTCTGCTAGAGTTCTCACGCGATCTGGTTGATTACAAGTGTGTGGCACCTCCCCCGCCTCTCCTCTTACTCCAGCAATGTAAGACGTACCTGTTTCCCCTTTGCCTATAAGTTTCCTGAGGCCTCCTCAGAAGCCCAAGCCACTGGGCTTCTTGTACAGCCTGCAGAACCATGAGCCAATTCAACCTCTTTTCTTTATAAATTACCCAGGCTCAGGTATTGCTTTATAGCAATGCAAGAACAAATTGATATTCTATCTATCTGTCTATCTATCTATCTATCTATCTATCTATCTATCTATCTATCTATCATCTATCTAGCTATCTATATATGTCTATATATCTATCTATCATCTATCTATCATCTATCTATCTACCTATCATCTATCTAGCTATCTATCTATATATCTGTCTATATATCTATCTATTCTCTGTCTATCATCTATCTATCTATCATCTATCTAGCTATCTATCTATATATCTGTCTATATATCTATCATCTATCTATCTATCTATCATCTATCTAGCTATCTATCTATATATCTGTCTATATATCTATCTATCATCTGTCTATCATCTAGCTATTTGCCTATCTATCTATCATCTATCTAGCTATCTAGCTATCTATCATCTATCTAGCTATCTATATATCTGTCTATATATCTATCTATCATCTATCTGTCTATCATCTATCTGTCTACCATCTATCTATCTGCCTATCTATCTATCATCTATCTAGCTATCTATCATCTACCTATTATCTACCTATCATCTATCATCTACCTATTTAATCTATCATCTATCTATTATCTATCAATCATCTATTATCTACCTACCTATGATCTGTTTATCTACCTATCTATCTATTATCCATCAATCATCTATTATCTATCTACCTATTAGCTATCTATTTATCTACGTCTATGTACCTCATCTATCTATCCGTTATCTATCTCTATCTCTTTGTCTCTCTATCTAGCATTTATCTCTCTATCTCCTGTCTATCCATCATCTATCATCTATCTGCCTATCTATCTACATACTACCTATGTCTATCGTCTATCTCTGCATGTATACACACTGTAATGTGTATGGCTCTTTTATCCATGTATCTATCTCATCAATCAATCAATCAATCAATCAATCATCTATCTATGTATCCCTCTCTCTCTATCCATCATCTATCTCTCTATTCATCGTCTATCTCTCTCTCTATCCAGCATCTATTTATCTATCTGCCATTGATCTATTACCCATCTATCTGCCATCTATGTACATATGCATGTGCATACTTAACTGTCTACCTACCTACCTACCTTGTTTCATCCTTGATGCAATTAGTCATATGCTTCATGAATTAACAAGAACTGCTGCAAACATTCTCCTCCCTAAAGCAGAAGGAAGGATAAAGCGCATTATTCTGTTTGACTTTTGGGGTCATACGGTCACCACTGACAACCTCCTCAAACCCAGAACACCTTTAGGTGGGGAGGGCGACCGGTTCACACATACTTCTCCAAGGAAGCGCCTGTTCTGTTGCTGGCATATAAACCCTGCAACCCTCACCTCCAGACCCAGGTCTTTCTCGGGGGACCACCTGTTTAGCATCCAGCAACGAGTCATGCTGGAGCCTCTCCAGCAAGCTCTGAACACTAAACAGGTCCCCTCCCACGTTCTATGGGGACTCTCCTAACCTTCTGGGGCAAAAAAAGAAAAAAGAAAAAAAAATCCTAATTCGAAGCACATTGATCTCCAGGCATATGTTTTATATCAGGACCTATGAAACCAAGGTGAAAATGTGAAAATATGCTTGGAAATCTAGCATGTATCTGTCCATCTACCAGTTATCTATTCATCTGTTACTTATCTATTTATCTATCTAAATACCCATCTACCATTTATCTATCTATCCACCTATTGCTTATGTATCTCTCCATCATTTATCAGTCTATCTTTTATTATTCATCTATCATTAATCTGTCTATCCATCTGTCATTTATCTATCTACCCAGCTATCATTTATCTATTCATCTATCATTTATCTATTTATCCATCTATCATCTATCTGTCCATCATCTATCTTTTATCTATTCATCTATCATTTATCTATCTATCTATCCATCTGTCATTTATCTATTCATGTATTACTTATCTATTTATCTATCTATCCATCTAAATACCCATCTATCTATCTATCCATCCATCTATTGTTTATGTGTCTATCCATCATTTATCTATCAATGTGTCTTTTATCTATTCATCTACATTTATCTATCTATCCATCTGTCATTTATCTATCTTTCTATCATTTATCTATTCATCTATCATTTATCTATTTGTCCATCTATCATCTAGGTATCTGTCCATCGTCTATCTTTTATCTATTCATCTATTATTTATCTATCTATCCATCTGTCATTTATCTATCCATCTATCTTTTATCTATTCATCTATCATTTATCTATTTATCCATCTATCATCTATGTATCTGTCCATCATATATCATTTATCTATTCATCTATCATTTGTCTATCTACCCATCTATCTATATATCTACCCTTCTATCAATCTATCCATCTATCATCTACCTATATATCTGTCTACCCATCTATCAATCTCTCTATCCATCTATCATCTATCTATATATCTATCTACCCCTCTATCAATCTATCCATCTATCATCTGTATATCTATATATCTATCTACCCATCTATCTATCTCTATCATTTATCTATCTATCTATCAATCATACCCTCCCCTCGTCATTACCCCAGTTAGCTTGGGCTCTGGAGCTGGTCCAGTTGAAAAACAGCAAACAATCACCAGAGGAGAATCTCAGGCAGGACTTGCTGTACGTCAGAGGGAAGATGGAGGTTTCAAGGAGTCAACCATGTTGAATTCAACTCTGTGCCCTTCCTTCAGCAATAGCTGTGAGGTTTTCTAGTTACGAGACCTCCTTGCCCTCTGGAGTTGATGAACACTATTGGTGACCGCCATATTGCCAGCATTTCTTAATGTTATATTTCAGAGTAGGTTTGAAGTCAACCCAACTCCACCCATCACTGGGGCTGAGCAATAAGACTGACCATTCTTCAACCTCAGTTTCTCCATCTCTGAAGTGGGGATATGAAGTACCTCGAAGAGATAGTTCACAATGGATGACACAGCAAAAAGATCCTCACCAGACATAGCACCTCAACCTCAGACTTTCCAGCCCTCGGAACCATGAGACCAATGAACTCCCATTGTTTATAAATTACCTAATCAGTGGCACTCTTTTATAGAAGTACAAAATAAACTAAGATGAAGTCTGTCATCATTTTCGTTACAGCAGCCAGTGGAAGCTAATACCCTTTCTAATACCCTGCCTCTTCTGGGTGTCCATGAGTAACACAGGAAACATCTCATTTGTAATCAACACCTGCTCAATGTCAAGTTTGTTCAAAAGGGCTAACTCACTCAAGTATTACAATAAACCCAAGAGAGCCTCTACCTCCCCAGTTCCTCTTCATTCTTCTCCACTCTCTGCTTCAGGAGGCTGGAAAGTGTGGACTGTCTCAACAGCAACCATGAGCTCTGGTTTTCATTTGAGTTGTTGGGTTCAACATGCAAGAGATTAGAGGTAAGTTCTGAGCCTTCTCCTCAGATTCTGTCTCTGATAAGTCATCTTGCTCAAGTCCCTCCAGGACTTCCTCCCAGGCTGTTACACTGCTCAGTTTCTGCACAAACTCAGGGCTTGCACTGAGTCCTATGCCCATCTTTGAGCCAATTATGGTGCCAGGATGTTCACCTGCAGGAAACTGGTTGCTTAAACTGGAGGAGAGATAAAGGTTGTGCAGGTAGAGACAAACAATGGTCAGTGTAGGGTCCAAAGGAAGCAGCTGTCCTTACTCCTCACTGGCTAGAGCTATCCAGAGAATGTTCCAGAAGACACACATTTGGTTAAAGCACATTTATCTCCAGGCACATGTTTTCCATCAGGACCTTCAAAACCAATGTGAAAATATGCTTGGAAATCTGGCTTCACAAGAAAAACAGCAAATAAACACCAGAGGAGAATCTCAGACAGGACTTGTAAATCAGGAGGAAGACAGAGGTTTCAAGGAATGGAAGCCACATCCTGCTTTTCCTATGCTGGTGACATAGACTCCGTCTCCGAGCCTTTTCTTCAATCAGATGATTGATACGTAGACAGATGTACTGAGATAGATAGATATACAGATGTATAGATAGATACATGATAGATGATTGATACTTACAGATGTACTGATATAGATAGATGATTGATACATTGACAGATGTACTGATTGAGAGATAGATGATTGATACATAGATGTATTGATAGATAGATGGTAGATAGATGATAGATGATAGATAGATAGATAATAGATAGAGGAATAGATGACTGATATAGAGATGATATAGATAGATATATAGACAGAGCTAGAGAGATGATAGATGTAGGTAGGTAGATGATAGTCAGATGATGTTTGGATAGATAGAATACAGATAGCTTTAGGTAGTAGATAGATAGGGTAGATGGAAGATTGAAAGAGAGATGACAGAATATAAATAGATGACAGACGGATGATGGATAAATAAATAGATGGATAGATAGAGAAATAGATATAAAGAATGGATAGATGAATGGATAGATTGATAGATGAGTAGGTGAATGGAGAGATGATAGATGGATAGATGGAGAATGCATAGATGGATAGAGACATACACAATGATGCATCTATCAAACCAACGCCTGTTAGGTTTTCTGGTAAGGAGACCCGGTTGCTATCTGGAGTTGATGACACTCTTTGTGACCACCACCTTACCAGCATTTGTTAGTGCTATCTTTGGGAGCAGGTTTGGAGTCAGCCCAACTCCCCCCGTTACTACTGGTGCTGAGGAATGAGACTGACTCTTCTTCATCTTTAAAATGGGGAGATGATGTATCTGAAAGAGCCACAGTGAGCATTACATGGCCAGCCTCTCCATGGCAAGGGAGAGAGGCGCTTCCAGATGAGAGCAGAGCAAGAAGGCATCACTCTTACACTTTCTTGGGCCCGAATGGGTCATTGCCACCGGACAGATTCCTGGAGGTGTCCTTAAAATGCTTTACCTCTGCATCTGAGCACACAGGTGTAAGCCAGGAGTGTGCTGAAGAAAAGAACAAGCCCTGAGGTGGGGCATGAATGGTGCATCTGTTTGCAGGTGATCCAGATGGACTGGGATAACTTGACTGTTGGGTATTCACCTGAGAAAAGAACCACGCCCTGTACACCAGGCATCCGTGGCAACAGGCGTCGGTGGCAACCAGCTGTGAACACAGGAAATGCCTTTGACCCACCACCCCTGGGATCCAACTGAATCTTTTCACATCCTTCCAACCACCCACCTGCCTTCAGGAATCTCCCAGTGCCCACAGTCCCCTTGAGTCTGCAAACCAGGCTGTTACAGATTCTGAAGAATCCGCACACAGGTGTTCCCAGCTAGCCCCCGTCACCTTTCTGATTCTGCCACCGTTCTCCCAACATGGTGAGACCCCATGAATGTATGAAGCCTGTGCTTTGGGGAAAGATTTCTGAGACATTTTGTTTCCTGTGGAGACCAAAGGAAGCCACCTGGCTCTCACAGCAGAAAATTAGGCAGCAGGAGCTGAGGCATTTTGCAGAATGTGCCAGGGCTGTCAGCAAAGTGACAGACACATGTCACTCTCTGTCGGCACTGGCTTGTCACTCATCTGGGCTGTGACATGACACGGTGGATCATCTATTAACTGCCGCAGACCCTTAAAGACGCGAGGATTCATTTGCCTGTTGGTGAACGTGCAAAATTCCCGCGCGTGTTAGCAAGATCCGCAGGTGCACCTGGTTCCACGCAGGTAG
Organism: Homo sapiens; assembly: GCF_000001405.40. Classification (NCBI taxonomy): domain Eukaryota; kingdom Metazoa; phylum Chordata; class Mammalia; order Primates; family Hominidae; genus Homo; species Homo sapiens. The sequence continues at coordinate 574,389 of NC_000024.10, read as the reverse complement.
ACCTCAGACACCCCATTCTGCACATCCTCAGCAAAGGGGCTCATGCATGACAGCCCCAAATGGGATCTTATCTTGCTCCAACAGCCAATGAGAACGTCAAAGGAAATCCTCAACACGAAAACGTATGATGAGGTGTATAAAGAGTTAAACAAATTTATGAATAAAAATCCCACATGCCAAAAAAAGAGCTTATCTGGAATTCTGATGTATGGACTCTCTGGCATTCATTTTTATGTCATATTAAGATTTTTTATACAAACTCTTAGTGCTTGTTTTTCTTTTAAGAAGCAAGTCAAATAGTTTAGTTTTTTTAAAGAAACAAGTCAAGTATTAGCTTTGAAATTCTGAGAGCTGTCAGAATAAATTATTACTTAATAAATATTTTCATATTAATTGTAAAAATATAAAATTATTATATTTAATATAATAAATTTAATTTTAAATTATTAAAATTAAATAATTATAATAAATTATTTTAATAAATATTTTATATATTAATTATAAACATATAAAATCTTTAAAATACAATTATAATATATTTTCTAATATTTTAATATATGTGTTATATATTTATATTTTAACATATTTATTTTATTATATATTTATATTTATAATATATTTAATATATTTATTATAATATATTTATAAAATTATAAATATATTTAACATATTTGTTAATATATTATAAAATTAAAATATTTTTGTAATATTTTCAAAATATTAAAAATACAATTAATATTTTCAAAATTATTTATTAAAAATACAATAAGTATTTTTATATTAATTATAGAAATAAAAATTTTATGTCATATTAAAATTTTTATACAAACTTAGCACTTAATTTTTTAAAAAGTCAAATATTAGCTTTGAAATTCTGAGCGCTTTTAGAATAAATTATTATTTAATAAATATTTTATATTAATTATAAAAATATGAAGTTATTACATTTAATATAATAAATATAAATTTAAATTATGAAAATTTAAATTATTTTAATAAATTATTTTATACCAATATTTTATATATTAATTATAAATATATAAAATATGTATTTCTATAAATAAATAATATGTATTTTATATTTAAAAACATCTTTATTAAATATTTTAGTATATATTATATATTATATTTATTAGCTATATATTATGATATATAATATGTTATATGATATTATAATATATTTATTAGATATATTATAAAATTATAAATATATAATTTTATATATTTTATAAAATAGAAATATGTTTATTAATATATTTATAAAAACTATAAATATATTTATAAAATTAAAATAATTTTATATTTTAAAAATTATAAATATATAATTTTATATATTTTATAAAAATACAAATACGTTTAATATATTTATAAAATTAAAATAATTTCATAATATTTTTAAACTATTTAAAATATAATAAATATTTTTATATTCATTATAAAAATATAAAATTATATTTAATATAATAAACATAAATTTAAATTGTTAAAACGTAAACAACATTCATAAATCATGTTTCTTGCCTCCACTGAACCAAACGGCATCCGTTGCCCATTGTCTTGAGGACATGTGGTTGTATGGAGTGAAGTAGTCGGACGTCAGGAGGGTGGAATTAAAGAAGGGGAGGATGGGAGGCCCTTTCTGATACGAGGTGCAGTCCCATCATGGAACTGTCTGCCCACAGCTTGAGTGTACGTGGAGCCTCCATGACATATTTTTCAATGACCGTGGACCACAGTCCCGGGTAGACCAATCAGGAGCCGATTTGTAGACGGACAACCCTAGGGTGTCAGTCCTGACAGGCTGGGTTCTGTCCACCCTTGATGTCTGTCCAGCCACAGTCCTCTGAGCTCATGTATCTGCGGCTTGTCATTGCTAGTCAAATTCAAATACTTTCCCTTCCCTCATTTTCCTGGGTGTGTTTTGGGTGCCCAAGTTTCTTTTTCTGCATGATTGTAATCATTTTCATTCTTCTCAACGGTGTCTTCCCCATGCCTGAATGCAAGCTCTCATTGGATACCATCCTGGGTTCTGTAAACTATTGAAATAAAAGAGCATAAAAGCTGTTTCCAGTTTCCACTTTTTGTTTTGTTTTGTTTTGAGACAGAGTTTGTCATCATCCAGGCTGGAGTGCAGTGGCACAATCTCAGCTCACTGCAACCTCCGCCTCCCAGGATTCAAGCAATTCTCCTGCCTCAGCCTCCCGAGTAGCTGGGATGACAGGAACCCGCCCTAACTCCTGGCTAATTTTCGTATCCTTAGTAGAAAGAGGGTTTCACCATGTTGGCCAGGCTGGTCTCGAACACCTGACCTCAGGCGATCCTCCATCCTCGGCCTCCCAAAGTGCTGGGGTTACAGGCGTGAGCCACCGCGCCCGGCCTAGACTTTCTTAAGAAGACTCAAATATTAATGTATTTTTTTGTCCTGTATTCCATCCTGGGTTTCATCAGGACAAAACTCCCCATTTGAGTATCTTTCTGAACTTATGAGCCCCTAGAATACAACAGGAAGCTCGTGGACACAGCCCAGCTCAGACACAACATTGGTGGACAGTTACAGGGCTGCCCCAGAATGGAGCGTCAACCTCTCCACTTATATTTCGACCTTCTTGATTTCTCGACACATGTAAGATGTCAGGCATGAGGTCGAGAGATTGCCCATCATAACTAACCTGTCTTGGGGGGGTAGGATCCTAGAACCAGCTTTTGTATGCAAAATTAAGTCAGTTTCACTAAAATCAAACAAGAGATGACTGTAACACAGTAACCCACATAATTCAGACGAATAGCTGAATTACCTAGGGGAGGCCAATTTGGTTCCCACTGCTAAATAAATGCACACAAAATTAAGCATTATGATAGTTTATTCTTTCTCTGTTTTTTTGGGTTTCTTCCCCCCCAAGACAGGGTCTTGCTCTGTTCCTCGGGCTCGAGTACAGCGGCATGATCACACCTCACTGATGAAACCACAGGCATTCACCACCATGCTTGCTAATTTTTTTTTTTTTTTAGAGAGAGATAGGGGTCTTGCTGTGTTGCCCAGGCTGGTCTTGAGCTCCTGGACTCAAGTGATCCTCCTGCCTTGATTTTCCAGAGCCAGCTCATTCTCACCGTGTCTTAACAGCAGTTCGCGGCCGGGCACAGTGGCTCATGCCTGTCATCCCAGCACTTTGGGAGGCCAAGAAAGGTGGATCACTTGAGGTCAGGAGTTCAAGACCAGCCTGGCCAACATAGTGAAACCCGGTCTCTACTAAAAATATAAAAACTAGCCGGGCGTGGTGGTGGACGCCTGTCATCCCAGCTACTCGGGAGGCTGAGGCAGGAGAATTGCTTGAACCCAGGATATGGAGGTTGCAGTGAGCTGACACAGTGCCACTGCACTCCAGCCTCGGCAACAGAGTGAGACTCTGTCTCAAAAAACAAACAAACAAAACAAAACAAAACAAAACAGAAAAAAAACAGCCAGGCACAGTGGCTCAAGCCTGTAATCCCAGCACTTTGGGAGGCCAAGGCGGGTGGATGACCTGAGGTCGGGAGTTTGAGACCAGCCTGAACAACATGGAGAAACCCCATCTCTACTAAAAATACAAAAATTAGCCGGGCGTGGTGGTGCATGCCAGTAATCCCAGCTACTCAGGAGGCTGAGGCAGGAGAATCGCTTGAACCCAGGAGGCAGAGGTTGCAGTGAGCCAAGATCACGCCACTGCACTCCAGCCTCTGTGATGGGAGCAAGCCTCCATCTCAAAAAATATATATAGTGTGTATATATATATTTTATGTATACATCGTTTTATATATAATATATAATTATATATTTTTATATAATTATATATTATATCATATATTATATAATACACGATATAATATACTATATATTATATAATACACGATATAATATACTATATATTATATAATACACGATATAATATACTATATATTATATAATACACGATATAATATACTATATATTATATAATACACGATATAATATACTATATATTATATAATACACGATATAATATACTATATATTATATAATACACGATATAATATACTATATATTATATAATACACGATATAATATACTATGTATTATATAATACACGATACAATATACTATGTATTATATAATACACGATACAATATACTATATATTATATAATACACGATACAATATACTATATATTATATAATACACGATACAATATACTATATATTATATAATACACGATACAATATACTATATATTATATAATACACGATACAATATACTATATATTATATAATACATGATATAATATATAATGTGTATTATATAATACATGATATAATATATAATGTGTATTATATAATACATGATATAATATATAATGTGTATTATATTATACATGATATAATATATAATGTGTATTATATTATACATGATATAATATATTATATTATACATGATATAATATATTATATTATTACATGATATATTATATTATACATGATATAATATAATATATTATACATGATATATTATACATGATATAATACATTATATCATATATTATATTATACAATAGATATTATATATTATATTTTATATATGATATATGTAATTGATATATATGATATAGATGATAATATATGATATTATATATTATATAATATATTTGATAATATAAAATATGCTATATATTATATTTTATAATATATTTTGTAAGCATATATAATATATAATTATATATTATATTATATATCATATAATATATTATATATTTGATAACATAATATACTATATATTATATTTTATAAGCATGTATAATATATAATTATATATTATATATTATATATAATATTTTATATTATAAAAGATATAGTTATATAATATATTATAATTATATGTTATATATAATATATATTTTATATAAAAGATATATTATATGTAATTATATATTTTATATAATATATGTAATTATATATTATATAAAATATATGTAATTATATATTTATATAAAATATATGTAATTATATATTTTATATAAAATATATATTGTATGTAATTATATATTATCTATAATATATAATTATCATATATTATCTATAATATATAATTATCATATATTATCTATAATATATAATTATCATATATTATCTATAATATATAATTATTTTCATATATTATCTATAATATATAATTATCATATATTATCTATAATATAATTATTATATATTATCTATAATATGTAATTATTATATATTATCTATAATATAATTATTATATATTATCTATAATATGTAATTATTATATATTATCTATAATATTTATAATTATTATATATTATCTATAATATGTAATTATTATATATTATCTATAATATGTAATTATTGTATATTATCTATAATATGTAATTATTATATATTATCTATAATATTTATAATTATTATATATTATCTATAATATGTAATTATATATTATCTATAATATTTATAATTATTACATATTATCTATAATATGTAATTATTATATATTAGCTATAATATGTAATTATTGTATATTATCTATAATATGTAATTATTATATATTAGCTATAATATGTAATTATTGTATATTATCTATAATATGTAATTATTATATATTATCTATAATATTTATAATTATTATATATTATCTATATTTATAATTATTATATATTATCTATAATATATAATTTATTATATATTATGTAATTTTATATAGTTATATATAATTATATTATCTATAAAATATATATTATATATTTTTTATATCTGTATATGGCTGTGTAAAACACAATGTTAGCAGCACTATAGGGAGTGCAGGCAGCTGAGAGAGTCTTATGAGGCAGCAGAGACAAGACTGTCTCATTGCACATGGTAAGTATTCAATACATTGCAGTACTATCATCACAAGTAGCATTTCCTACACTGTTTCCCCTGTTAATTTCCTAACAGGAATGACTAGTAACACATGCCATTATTTGTCCTTTCTATGGCTGTTCTCTGCCTTTTCCTTTCTATAATAAATTTTTACAAGTTAAAAAGAAAAGAGCGTGTCATTGCTCAATTGCTTATAATAGCAAAAACATTGCAAAGTGTGATCGTGGCAAGTGGTTGCAGGATGTAAGGCAATTATCTCCTTATGTGGGATGGGAAATTGGAACCACAGATTGGAGGGAAAGTCAGTGCTGTCCACGACAATTAAGTGCAGGTTTTCTTCTGACCAGGCAATCCCACTTCTAAGTGTCTACCCTGGAGAAACTCTCATACTCAGGCACGACGTAGCATGGGGAAGCATGCTTGTTGCAGCAATGACTCTGATAGCAGAAAAACGGGCAGACTCTAATTGTTCGCCCAACGGGGGACTTGATGGATCCATACTGTGGATCACATCGAACAGATAAAATGAGAAAGTGGACCTCTGTGTGCTGGTGGGGAATATCTCCAACACAGGTTGTTGAGTGAGAAAAGTAACTTGGGGAATCTACAAGCAACAATACAACGTGACTCTATGAATGTTTTCACAAGTCACACACATGCAACAACAGGTCCAAATGTGTCTAAATGTGTGGAAAATGTTCTGGAAGGGTATTAAGTGACAATGGCAGTTATCTCGGGGGAGTGGATAAGAAATGAGTCTTCCTGGGACTGTAAACTAGTTCAACCATTGCGGAAGTCAGTGTGGCGATTCCTCAGGGATCTAGAACTAGAAATACCATTTGACCCAGCCATCCCATTACTGGATATATACCCAAAGGAGTATAAATCATGCTGCTATAAAGACACATGCACACGTATGTTTATTGAGGCACTATTCACAATAGCAAAGACTTGGAACCAACCCGAATGTCCAACAATGATAAACTGGATAAAGAAAATGTGGCACATATACACCATGGAATACTATGCAGCCATAAAAAATGATGATTTTATGTCCTTTGTAGGGAAATGGATGAAGCTGGAAACCATCATTCTCAGCAAACTATCACAAGGACTAAAAACCAAACACCGCATTTTCTCACTCATAGGTGGGAAATGAACAATGAGAACACATGGACACAGCGTGGGGAACATCACACACCAGGGCCTGTTGTGGGGTGTGGGGATGGGGGAGGGATAGCATTAGGAGAGATACCTAATGTTAAATGATGAGTTAATGGGTGCAGCACACCAACATGGCACATGTATACATATGTAACGAACCTGCACGTTGTGCACATGTACCCTAAAACTTAAAGTATAATAATAAAAAAAAAGACATGAGTCTTCTTTAGGAGGACTCTGCCTTTATTCAGAGTGTGTCTATGTTGTTCCCAAAGCACATTTCTAAAATAATTTCCTGAATATCTGCAAACCAATATATTGTCTTGGAAGACGACGAGGCAAAGGCAAAGTAAACAGGAACACATAGAGTAAAAATCATGTCTGGACTTATCTACTCATCTATCTCTCGTTCATCCACATACCCATCCACCTGTTCATTCATCCATTCACCTATGCATCCACCTATTCATTCATACAACCATCCACCCACCTACTTATCCATTCATCCATCTTTCCATTCACAAACACATCCGTCCATCCATACATCCATTTACTAATCGACCCATCCACTTATCTGTCCACCCATTCATCCATCCACTCATTTATCCACCCAGCCATCCACTCATTCACCTACCCACCTATCCATCCATCCACCTACCCACCCATCCATCCATCCACCCATCCATCCATGCATCCACCCATCTGTCCATCCATCTATCCACCCATTAACTCATCCATCATCCATCCATTTATCCATCCACCATCCATCCATCTACTCATATACCCATCCATCCATCCATGCATCCACCCACCCATCCATCTATCCAATCATTCATCATTCATCCATCTATCTACTCATACACCCATCCATCCACTCATCTAACCTTTCATCCACTCATCCACCTGCCCATTGATCCACTCATCCACCCATCCATCCACTCATTCACCCATTCATCCATCCACCCATCCACTCATTCATTATCCATCCATCATCCCATCCATCATCAATCCATTCCTCTACCCCTACACCCATCTATACACCTATCCACTCATCCATCTATCTGCCCATTGATCCACCCATCCACCCATCTATCATGTATCCATCTATCCACTCATCAATCTATCTACCACCCATCCATCCACCCATTCCCATTTATCATCTATCCACCCACCCATCTACCCATTCACTCATCCATCATCCATCATCCATTAATTCACCCATCCATCCACCCATCCAGCTATCCATCCACCCATCCATCCATCCATACACCCATCCACCCATCCATCCATCCAGTCATCTGCTTATCCATCATACATCCATCTACCCATCCAGCCATCTATACAACCATTAATCCACCCATCCATCCATCCACTCATCCAGCTATCCATCTATCCATCCATGCATACACCCATCCACCCATCATTCCATCCATCCACGCATCTGCTCATCCATCATGCATCCATCTATCCATCCAACCATCTATACAACCATTAATCTACCCACTCACTCATCCATCTGTCCACTCTTCCATCCATCCATCCACCCATCCATTCATCCGTCTATTCATCTACTCATCCATCATGCATCCATCTACCCATCCAGCCATCTATACAATCATTAATCCACCCACTCACCCATCCGTCTGTCCACACTTCCATCCATCTATCCATCCATCCATCCCTCCATCCATTCATCCATCCATTCATCCATCCACTCATCTGCTCATCCATCTGTCCATCTAGCCATCTATACAACCTTTAGTCCACCCACTCACCCATCCATCTGTCCACTCTTCCATCCACCCACCCACCCATCCATCCATTCACCCATTCATTCATCCATCCACTCATCTGCTTATCCATCATGCATCCGTCAGCCCATCCAGCCATCTATGTAACCATTAATCCACCCACTCACCCATCCATCTGTCCACTCTTCCATCCACCCATCCACTCATCCATTCATCCATCCATTCATCTGCTCATCCGTCTATCCATCCAACCATCTATCCATCTATACAACAATTAATCCACCCACTCACCCATCCATCATCCATCCATTTGTCCACTCTTCCATCCATCCATTCACTCATCCATCCACCCACCTACCTATCCTGTTTCATAGACGGCGACTTCTTGGTGTGTCCTCACACGGTGGAAGGGACAAGTGAGCTCTCTAGGATCCCTTTTATAAGGGCACTAATCCCATTCAGAAGGCTCCGCTCTCATGACCTCATCACCCCCCAAAGGCCCCACTTCTTAACGTCATCATCTTGGGGATGAAGAGTTCAACATAAGAATTTGGGAAAGAGCCCTACATTCAGACCACAATGGGGGCAGCTCCTACTCACCTGAGAGAGCAATATTAGGGATCCCATTGCATAGCAATTTTTTAGGGCCCTGTAGTCTTCATGGGTACAGTACTTCCTCATTGTGGACAGACTCTGTATTTGCAAATTTGCTTATTCACCAAAATTTATTGGTAATCTCAAAGTTAATACAAATTATGCCTTTGCTGTCTTCTCTGGACATGAGAAGAGTGGAGAAAAATTTGAGTCCGAGGCCGAGCGTGGTGACTCACGCCTGTAATCCCAGCACTTTGGGAGGCTGAGGTGGGCAGATCACGAGGTCAGGAGATCGAGACCACCCTGGTTAACAGGGTGAAACCCTGTCTCTTCTAAAAATACAAAAAATTAGCTGGGCATGGTGGCAGGCGCCTGTAAACCCAGCTACTCAGGAGGCTGAGGCAGGAGAATGTCATGAACCTGGGAGGCGGAGGTTGCAGTGAGCAGAGATTGTGCCACTGCACTCCAGCCTGGGTGACAGAGCAAGACTCTGCCTCAAAAATAATAATAATAATAATTTGAGTCGGAATTCTGCCCCATGGGGGACACTGTGCAATGACTGAAGACATTTCTGGTTATCACGACCAGGGAGGAGGTGACAGATACTACTAGCTTCTAGTGGGTAGAGCTCAGGGACGCTGCTGAGTATCCTACAGTATATAGGACAGCTCCCACCACGGAGAATTACCTGGCCCCCAATGTCAACAGTGCCTTAATTGAAAACACGTCATTCCAAGTTGCAGAATCAGTTACAGGAATATTGATTTTCACGAGGGCGTTGGCACAGTGCAGTCACAGACTCTGTATCACCTCATGTCACCGGGCTCTAACAGTCACATACCTAAAGCATCTTTCCTGGCTCATCACGCACGCTTCCTCCTCCCTCTCCTTTCAGTTTGATCCGTGTACATCCAACCCGTTGTAGAAAGAAAATGCCCGGAGAAAGGCTTGCAGGCACCAGTTGAAAGAAGCTTTGTAAAAACCGAGCAGGAATCTGGACAACCGTGAGACGCGATGGTTTATTTATTTGACATGAAAGGCGTCCTTTTGATCAAAACGCTGCCACTTGGCAAAAACCATGGAAGGATCACTGTGGATAAAAATCGCACTTAGCGGGGAAACAATGGTGGGGAGAGGGGAGTTTCAGGAAAGTTAATTTACAAATATACGTTTTGCATCTTTCGCTGAAGATGGAAAGAATGCATGCAGGTAACAAAAAAAAAATTCAATAAAATAGGCCTTGTAGACATTCACCTTCTGATGAATGCAGAATAAGACTTTACATTCTCGGGAAGTGTGTCCGTTATGTGGCATCTTGTTTAAAAGAGAGATTATGTTTCAGTAGGGTTGGAATAGGATTTAGGAATCTGCTTTTTTTGTTTTTTACATTTTCAAAAAAATTACATTTTAAATTATCATACTATAAAATTGATTTTCATGATATGCAGTTCGATGAACTTGAACACATTTTTGAAACATGTAAATGGCATCATGTTCGAGATACAGAATAGTTCTATCGCCTCCCCCAATTTTTCTCATTCTGTTTCTTTATAGTCACACGCACGTGCAGGCACACCAACGTCTAAGGGAATCTGCATTTTAAACACGAACCCTCGGTCGGGCGCGGTGGCTCATGCCTGTAATCCCAGCAATTTGGGAGGCCGAGGTGGGTGGATCACCTAAGGTCAGGAGTTTGAGACCAGCCTGGCCAACGTGGTGAAACCCCGTCTCTACTAAAAACACAAAAATTAGCCAGGCATGGTGGTGAGTTCCTGTAATCCCAGCTACTTGGGAGGCTGAAGCAGGAGAATTGCTTGAACCTGGGAGGTGGAAGTTGCATGAGCCGAGATCGCGCCACTGCACCCCAGCCTGCGGTGACAGAGTGAGACTCTGTCTCAAACAAACAAACAAACAAACACCCTCACATCATCCCTACTTGGTAAACCAATGGTGTAGTAAAGCTATCTTCATCCTCAGAAAGCTTCAAGACTGAACCAGGCTGAAGGGTTTATTGGCTAATGTGACTCTTGTCAAACCATTTATTTCTGAACATCACTTTGCAAAACAGGGATAATATCTATCTTTCAAAACAGGCATGAAGAAAAAGAAATAAGATAAGCAAAGGCTGGCATACAATAGGTGTTCATTAATAATGTCTATTATAATGTTTTTAGAAGTCAGAGTTTTAAACATAGAGTTTCAGATAGATAGGAAGACAAGTAGATAGACAGATAATAGATAGATAAGATAATAGATAGATAGATAGATAGATAGATAGATAGATAGATAGATAGAGAATATGGTTGATAGATAAGCTGATTGGTAGGTAGAGAGACAGGTAGATACAGAATACGATAGAGAAGATGATAGATAGGTAGATAGATAGATAGATAGATAGATAGATAATATGGTTGATAGATAAGCCGATTGGTAGGTAGAGAGACAGGTAGATACAGAATATGATAGAGAAGATGATAGATAGATAGGTAGATATAGATAGATAGATAGATAGATAGATAGATAGATAGATAGATAATAGATAATATGGTTGATAGATAAGCTGATTGGTAGGTAGAGAGATAGGTAGATAGAGAATAAGATAGAGAAGATGAGAGAAAATAGATAGATAGATAGATAGATGACAGATGATATATTGATACATGATAGATGATAGATAATATGATAGATAAAGATGATTGATACATAGATGGATAGATAAATAGGTAGACAGATAATATGATGGATAGATAAGATGACTGGTAGATAGATAGGTAGGTATATGATAGACAGGTAGATAGATAGATATAGAGAATATGATACATAGGTAGAAAGATTATTGGTAGGTAGGTAGATAGGTAGATGGATAATAGGTAGATAAGAGAATATGACAGATAAGATGATTGGAAGATAGTTAGCTAGGTAGGTAGATAGATACATAGATGAATAGATAGATAGATAATGTGATAGATAAAGATGATTGGTAGGTAGATGGATGGATGGATAGGTAGACAGAGAATATGGTAGAAAGATGGTTGTTAGGTAGGTAGATAGGTAGGTGGATAATAGGTAGATAGAGAATATGATAGATAAGATGACTGGTAGATAGGTCGGTAGGTAGGTAGATAGACCGAAAGATAGAATGGTAGATAGATAGATGCAGGCTTCTGGTTTTGACCAACATGAAGTAACAGAGATCAGAATTATCTTCCACTGGGCATAATACATGAAATGATGGCGTTCAAGACCCTGGACATGAAGCAATGAAAGACAATGATCTCTGAGAGATGGAAAAGTAATGCAGTGAGCCCTATGATCTCCCGGCTTACTGCCTGAGAGATTTTATAGGCGGCAGTACAAGGAGGCACAACACAGATGGAAACTGGAAGGCCTCTTGTGTTGAGAAGGTGGAGCTGAGAGTCTGGGGAGACCAAGGCAGGAAGAGTTCACAGGACAGAGTAGCAGATATGAGAGATCCACGTGGAGAAAGAAGCATAGAGACCTTCTGCAGAAGGTCCACCTAGAGAGCGTTGGGCTGAGAACTGATTGACATGTGTCTATGAGGAAATTATTCAAGGTGAGGGAAAGAACCAACAGAAATGACACATGGAAACAGGGAATAGTGACCAGCGTTCACACAATGTTCAAAAGGTGCCTGTTCTGACCTTCTAGATTGGAAAACTTCCATAGTTCATGGGGCGTTAGGTAGGATAGTGAGGAGGACCTTTCCTCAGTAGCTTGGACAAATTAATCCCGAATTAAACATTACTCTTCATTCCAACAGAATGAAACCAAGACCTGAAGGGTTCAAACTACCTCCAAGTGACTTCACAGAATCCCAGAACAAAGCTTCCACATAGTCAGAGGAATACGAAACTATTCAGAGCAAGGTAAAATTAAAAGTGGTATCCAGGCCAGGTCAACATGTTGAAACCCTGTGTCTACTAAAAATACAAAATTAGCCGGGCATGGTGGTGCATGCCTGTCATCCCAGCTAGTTGGGAGGCTGAGGCAGGAGAACCGCTTGAACCCGGGAGGCGGAGGTTGCAGTGAGCCGAGATTGCGCCACTGCACTCCAGCCTGGGCAACAAGAGCGAAATTCCATCTCAAAAAAAAAAAATGCAAATGAAAAGACAGCATAGGTCAGGCACGGTGGCTCACGCCTGGAATCTCACTTTGGGAGGCTGAGGTGGGTGGATCAACTGAGGTCAGGAGTTCAAGACCAGCCTGGCCAGCGTGGTGAAACCCCATCTCTACTAAAAATACAAAATCAGGCCGGGTGCGTTGGCTCACGCCTATAATCCCAGCACTTTGGGAGGCCGAGGCGGGTGGATCACCTGAGGTCAGGAGTTCAAGACCAGCCTGGCCAGCATGGTGAAACCCCATCTCTACTAAAACTAGAAAAATTAGCCGGGCTTGGTTGCTGGTGCCTGTAATCCCAGCTACTCAGGAGGCTGAAGCAGGAGAATGGCTTGAACCCGGAGGCGGAGGTTGCAGTGAGTTGACATCATGCCACTGCACTCCAGCCTGGGTAACAAGAGCAAAACTCTGTCTCTAAATAAATAAATAAGAGAGAGAGAGAGATGATAGATTACACAGATTGGCCGTGCACAGTGGCTCACGCGTATAATCCCAGCACTTTGGGAGACCGAGGCAGGTGGACCACCTGATGTCAGGAGTTTGAGACCAGCCTAATCAACATGGTGAAACCCCGTCTCTACTAAAAATACAAAAATTAGCTGGGCGTGGTGGCTGGCGCCTGTAATCCCAGCTACTCAGGAGGCTGAGGCAAGGAGAGTCGCTTGAACCCGGGAGGCGGAGGTTGCAGTGAGCTGACATCATGCCACTGCACTCCAGCCTGGCGACAGAGTGAGAAGTCTGTCTCAAAAATAAATAAATAAATAAGTAAAAATAAGCTCATTTGGGGGCAATATGGCAAGACTGTAGTGTGGCCGGCAGGCGTTTCCAAGGACTGGCCAGGAGCTGGATGAAAGAGGATGACAACCATTAAGATGCAGGGCTGTCTTCTCTGTGCGTTAGCAAGTCTGTAGTAGACAAGGAAGGCTGAGAGGATTTAAAGTGTCTTCTTATCTTCTGGGAGGGGACAAAGACCAGGGAAGGAAATCAGGAGCAATGCTGGCTTTATTTCCCCGTCTTTAAAAATACATATGATCAGCCAGGCACAGTGGCTCACGCCTGTCATCCCAGCACTTTGGGAGTCCGAGGCGGGTGGATCACCTGAGGTCAGAGGTTGGAGACCAGCCTGGCCAACATGGTGAAACCCCATCTCTACTAAAAATATAAAATTAGCTGGGTGTGGTGGCGGGTGCCTGTAATCCCAGCTACTCGAGAGGCTGAGGCAGGAGAGTCGCTTGAACCCGGGAGGCGGAGGTTGCACTGAGCCGAGATGATGCCACTGCACTCCAGCCTGGGTAATAAGAGCGAACTCCGTCTCAAAAAATAAAAATAAAATAAAGTGAAATAAAATAAAATAAAATAAAATAATAAAATAAAATAAAATAAAATAAAATAAAATAAAATAAAATAAAATAAAAAATAGATGTGATCCTTGAAGAATACACACATCAGCTCAACTTCTCAAGATGGATGTGGTAATGATTTTATCTTTGCCGCTCTTAATGAATCCTCTGTGTGTGTGTGTGTGTTTGTGTGTGTGTGACTTTTGTTCGTTTGATGGAAATAAATTTTGCAAGGTTAGGGCTATTGGACTAGGAACATAATTGATGATGATGACATTAAAATTATATCAGGAACGGGATGTCTCTTCAATAAAACTTCATTACTTGGGATCTCATAAATTCAGAATTTACGCAGAAATTTATCTTAGCACAGGCTATTAACCAAAGACTGAGTAAATTAACTGTGTAAAGATTTCAGGAGAGAAGCTGGAATTACTTAAGAAAGCAAGACTTTCCGTAGCTTAGAAGCACTTTTTTTTTTTTTGCATCTGAAAATGTGAGATTAATTGTGATTGTCTATCAAATAATCAGATTTTCCACCCAAGCACTATTCATCAAAACTTTGGAAGTATCCAATATCATACTCATGGAAAGTAAGCGTATTTTTGTAACGTTCTGTAATACCTGCTGTTCAGTCGTGGAGAATGGTGTTATTCATAGTTAATATAAATTAGTGACATTTTTGTTACAGCGCGTTTTATCTGAGTGCAGTGAGTTACTTTATAAAATTCTGTTTTATAGATTCTGCCTATCCCTTACTGCTACTAGTTGATGTTTTTTGCTGAGGGCCTCTTTCAGGACTGACTTCTAGTTCTGGCCTGCTGATGTCTGCTTTTTTTTATTTTTTTATTTTTTAGACAGAGTTTCGTACTCGTTGCCCAGGCTGGACCGCAATGGCGTGATCTCGCCTCACTGCAACCTCCGTCTGCCAGGTTCAAGCGACTCTCCTGCCTCAGCCTCCAGAGTAGCTGGGATTACAGGCACGAGCCACCACATCCTTCTAATTGTCTGCATTTTTAGTAGAGACGGGGTTTTGCCATGTGGTCCAGGCTGGAATTATTTTAACATGCTATGCTGTTTACGAATGGACTTCTAGTTCTGGCCTGCTGATGTCTGTTTTTTGTGGGTTTTTTTTTTTTTTTTTTTAAGAGGGAGTTTCGCCCTTATTTCTCAGGCTGGACTGCAATTGTGCGATCTCACCTCACTGCAACCTCCATCTCCCAGGTTCAAGCAACTCTCCTGCCCCAGCCTCCTGAGTAGCTGGGATTACAGGCGCCCGCCACCACGCCTGGCTAATTTTTGTATTTTTAGTAGAGATGCAGTTCCTCCATGTTGATTAGGCTGGTCTCCAACTCCTGACCTCAGGTGATCCACCCGCCTCGGCCTCCCAAAGTGCTGGGATGACAGGCGTGAGCCACCACGCCGGGCTAATTTTGTATTTTTAGTAGAGACAGGGTTTCACCATCTTGGCCAGGCTGGTCTTGAACTCCTGACCTTGTGATCCGCCTGCCTCAGCCTCCCAAAGTGCTGGGATTATAGGCTTGAGCCACCGCGCCCGGCCTCGACGTTAGGTTGTCAATACATGAGTCTTGTGAGGCGGGGGGCAGAATTCAGCCCATTGACTGTCCGTGAGTGTCTTCAAATGGAAACATTTTCATCCACACCTTCGTCCATACAGCAAACACCCTCGATCACCCCCACAAAGAGGGTGGCCTCCCATGACTGAGATTCTGCAAAATTTAAAACAATAGAAGGCGGCCGGGCGCGGTGGCTAACGCCTGGCATCCCAGCACTTTGGGAGGCCGAGGCTGGTGGATCATGAGGTCAGGAGATCGAGACCATCCCGGCTAACACGGTGAAACCCTGTCTCTACTAAAAATACAAACAATTAGCCGGGCGAGGTGGCGGGTGCCTGTAGTCCCAGCTACTCGGGATGCTGAGGCAGGAGAATGGTGTGAACCCCAGAGGCGGAGCTTGCAGTGAGCCGAGATGGTGCCACTGCACTCCGGCCTGGGCGACACAGCGAGACTCCGTCTTAAAAAAAACAACAAAAGGCAATCGTCTAATCTTTGAATCAGAGTTGGCCTAGGGTTCTGCTTCCCTAAAATTCAAACTCCTTCTGGATAAGCCACCCACAGAAGTCATTTTAAAACATCATCTGGGGCCGGGCATGGTGTCTCGTGCCCACCATCCCAACACTTTGGGAGGCTGAGGTGGGAGGATGGCTCGAGGCCAGGAGTTCAAGACCAGCCTGGGCAACACAGCAAGACCCCCATCTCTAGAAAAAATAAAAACAAAAGGAACAGGCCCAGCATGGTGGCTCATGCCTGTAATCCCAGCACTTTGGGAGGCCGAGGCGGGCGGATGACCTGAGGTCAGGAGATCGAGACCAGCCTGGCCAACACGGTGAAACCCCGTCTCTACTAAAAATACAAACATTAGCCGGGCGTGGTGGCGGGCACCTGTAGTCCCAGCTACTCGGGAGGCTGAGGCAGGAGAATGGCGTGAACCCGAGAGGCGGAGCTTGCAGTGAGCCGAGATCGCGCCACCGCACTCCAGCCTGGGCGACAGAGCGAGACTCCGTCTCAGAAAAAAAAATTAAATAAATAAATAAGTAAATAAGATAATAAATAAATAATCAAATAAATAATAAATCATATATAAATAAATAATAAATAAATAAAACAAAAAACCCAAAATCAGAAAACCAAATTATATATGCTTATAAAATATCGTATAACCAAAAGTAATCCTACACTGAGGTCCAAGCAGCCTCTCCGTGGCCGACGCCAGTTCGCAATCCATTTCTGTGCCATGGAGAGAGACGGTTACCTGTGAATTTCAGACCTCTGCAAACTTCCCCCTCCCCCCACCACCCCAAGAAGCATTTAAAGACAGGTGTGGTCAGGCCTACAGCTGTCCATCTGCAAGGTGCGACATGCAGCCGTGGTGACATTGGACGTCGTGAGGGGGGACATGCACCCTGTCCAGAGATGACTGTCCCCGGGGAAGACGGCTGGCTTTTTCCGGCGAGCCATAAAACAAGCTGAAAATAAAACACAGCAAACAAGACGTAGCTGAGCTCAGATCGGATGACGTGGCCTGTTTCTCTGTGTTGAACGTTGTGATTAAATCTGGTGAGGCTCCCCCCCACTCCAGGGGGAGAGAATTTTTGATTTGGAGGTTAAGCCAACATTAGCAAGAAAACATAAAATAAAGTGAGTGCAATTGCCGTAAGCAACAGAGGCACCCTTGATTCCAGGAATGTTTAGCTACAAAACGAGCATCCGCATAACGGTGTAAATGCAGCTAATGACGTGTGCAGAAGCCCTAGCTGGGCCACTGCCTGTAACTAATAAGAAATCAATTAGCTAATGAAGTGCCGATTACATGCAATGCTAATCTGAGCTGGGGTATTTTGGGTTTTTTCATGTTTCTCTCTTCCCTCCTTCTCTCCTTTATGAGGCTGTTTAATTGTGAGTGCCATACGGAGCGTGCAGTGTACAGCATGGCTAATGAAACATCATTATATGGTCGCTGCATTCTCCGAAGGGCTGAACGAGACCTGCTTGCCAATTATTTTTAATTGCCACGTATATCCTCACAACTGCGTCTTCCACGGCGCGCTTCAGAGGCCCGGCTGTCATGTCACACACACACACACACACACACACACAGAGCCAGCTTCTGTTTTTCTCTGCAGCCTCTGGACGTTCAGCTGTGGTCTCGGCCACGGTGCGTGACAGAGGACAGCGCGGCGAAGCGTAAACAGGGCCTGGGTGAAAATGCTTCTCCCTTCCTTGGATGGAGCCTGGTGTGGGACCTCTCCATAAATCCCCTCTCTCCATACATCCCCTCTCTCCATACATCCCCTCTCCAGAGCAGCCTCTCCATACGTCCCCTCTCCAGAACAGCCTCCCCATATATCCCCTCTCCAGAGCAGCCTCCCCATACGTCCCCTCTCCAGAGCAGCCTCCCCATACGTCCCCTCTCCAGAGCAGCCTCTCCATATGTCCCCTCTCCAGAGCAGCCTCTCCATACATGCCCTCTCCAGAGCAGCCTCTCCATATGTCCCCTCTCCAGAGCAGCCTCCCCATATATCCCCTCTCCAGAGCAGCCTCTCCATATGTCCCCTCTCCAGAGCAGCCTCCCCATACGTCCCCTCTCCAGAGCAGCTTCTCCATACGTCCCCTCTCCATACATCCCCTCTCCAGAGCAGCCTCTCCATATGTCCCCTCTCCAGAGCAGCCTCTCCATACATGCCCTCTCCAGAGCAGCCTCTCCATACGTCCCCTCTCCAGAGCAGCCTCCCCATATATCCCCTCTCCAGAGCAGCCTCTCCATACGTCCCCTCTCCAGAACAGCCTCCCCATATATCCCCTCTCCAGAGCAGCCTCCCCATACGTCCCCTCTCCAGAGCAGCCTCTCCATATGTCCCCTCTCCAGAGCAGCCTCTCCATATGTCCCCTCTCCAGAGCAGCCTCCCCATATATCCCCTCTCCAGAGCAGCCTCCCCATATATCCCCTCTCCAGAGCAGCCTCCCCATATGTCCCCTCTCCAGAGCAGCCTCTCCATATATCCCCTCTCTACAGCACCTTCTCCATACGTCCCCTCTCTAGAGCACCTTCTCCGTATGTCCCTCTCCAGAGCAGCCTCTCCATACATGCCCTCTCCAGAGCAGCCTCTCCATATGTCCCCTCTCCAGAGCAGCCTCCCCATATATCCCCTCTCCAGAGCAGCCTCTCCATATGTCCCCTCTCCAGAGCAGCCTCCCCATACGTCCCCTCTCCAGAGCAGCTTCTCCATACGTCCCCTCTCCATACATCCCCTCTCCAGAGCAGCCTCCCCATATATCCCCTCTCCAGAGCAGCTTCTCCATACGTCCCCTCTCCAGAGCAGACCCAAGCTGGCCAGTCCAAGCGGAGCTGGCTCCGGGGTGGGCGGAGACCTGGCATCCGATACGCGTGGGCTGTTCCCCCAGGGACACACCTGGCCCCCGACATACGTGTTTCCACCCCGGGACTCCAGCCTTTCCAACACGTCGGCACCTTGCATTTATGAAGTGGCTTAGACTGCGTAACTCTGCAAGTGACAAGCTGTCACCCCTGCAAACCGTGCTTCTGACCTGGCTGCGGTCCTCGTCCCTGAAATTGGCAGCCGAAGAGAAGGCAGAGGCTCCTGGTGCCCCGACAGTTTGATACGTTCCCAGGGAGATTATGTATCTGTATCTCGGTTGTGGGAAGCTCACACGGCATGACGGAACTTTCAATCTTCCATCTAAACGGGCTGTGGTTTCCCTGATGTTGACCAATCCGGGTCAGGACTCCTCCTTCTTGCCATCCAACATCTGGAATCTCACCATACAATGGCCCTTGGACATGTGCTTTAAAAAATAATAATAACAGCTTGGCATGGTGGTTCACGCCTGTCACCCTAGCACTTTGGGAGGCCAAGGCGGGAGGATCACCTGAGGTCAGGAGTTCGAGACCAGCCTGACCAACATGGTGAAACCCTGTCTCTACTAAAAATACAAACATTTGCCTGGCCTGGTGGCAGGCACCTGTAATCCCAGCTACTTGGGAGGCTGAGGCAGGAGAATCGATTCAACCTGGGAGGCAGAGGTTGCAGTGAGTTGAGATCACGCCACTGCACTCCAGCCTGAGGTCAGGAGTTCGAGACCAGCCTGACCAACACGGTGAAACGTCTCTACTAAAAATACAAGCATTTGCCTGGCCTGGTGGCGGGTGCCTGTAATCCCAGCTACTTGGGAGGCTGAGGCAGGAGAACCGATTCAACCTGGGAGGCAGAGATTGCGGTGAGTCGACATCATGCCACTGCACTCCAGCCTGAGATCAGGAGTTCGAGACCAGCCTGACCAACATGGTGAAACCCCGTCTCTACTAAAAATTCCAAAATTACCCAGGCATGGTGGCAGGAACCTGTCATCCCAGCTACTTGGGAAGCTGAGGCAGGAGAATCGCTTGAACCCGGGAGGCGGAGGTTGCAGTGAGCCGAGATTGCACCACTGCACTCCAGCCTGGGGGACAGAGGAAGTCTCCATCTGAAAAAAAAAAAACAATAGTAATAATAATAAGAGAATTTGTTCCGTCAGAGGAGGTGTGAGTCTTTGCTTTAACTTTTGAATCACATGCAAATTAAATTAGTTAATCCAGCTAGCCCCCCTCCACCTCCCCATTTCAGGAAACCCTGCCACCAGCAGCTGCCAGGGGTTCAGACGTCAGGGGAAGACAGATTTGATGTGACATTTTGTTCATTAAATAAACAAACCTGGTTCGGATAACAGCATTAGGTAGAAAGGCCCATCAATTCTCGTACCCTTAGTTCACGTAATGAGAAGTGACAATTTTTCTTTTACGTTCAGACACGCTCTATCGAGGAACAAAAGGGGGACAGGTGCCTGGCTACCACGGTCGGTATGAAAAAAAAAAGAAACAGAGAACAGCTGATGTATATTAATGAGAAACGTAACTTCTGGCCCAAGGCAACCTCAAGTCCATGGGGCTACTAACGACGTTACGGGGGAAAGAAAAAAAAATCGAACGACTATTTTTTTTTTAATTGTTTCATAATTTGGGGTTTTCTCCCCGGTTGACTTGGGACATTCGACAGAGTCACTGGCCGTGAAGAAGACAGTGGGGTTTCTACGTATGAGAACGAAAAAGGGAATCGCCAAAGACTTGTGCCTTTTTCCCATCGAAGATGAGGCATTGTCTTCAGCAGAGGCTCAGATCTGGGAGCAAAGGGAGTGGAAACCTGTCTGTAAAGAACCTCAACCCACAGGACACCTGAGCACGTGGGGACTTTAAAACTTTCATCGCCCTTGCAGATCCGAACGACAAACGCATTGAAATCTCAGGCAGTCGACCGTCCCGGCAGCAATGCCAGTATGTTTGGGTACATAAAAAATCACACCGCAGGCCGAGTGCGGTGGCTCACACCTGTCATCCCAGCACTTTGGGAGGCTGAGGCAGGTGGATCACCTGAGGTCAGGAGTTCGAGATCAGCCTGGCCAACATGGTGAAACCCCGTCTCTACTAAAAATACAAAAAACTAGCCGGGCATGGTGGTAGCTGCCTGTAATCCCAGCTACTCGGGAGGCTGAGGCAGGAGAATGGTGTGAACCCGGGAGGCAGAGGTTGCAGTAAGCTGACGTCGCACCATTGCACTACAGCCTGGGCAACAAGAGTGGAATTCCTTCTCAAAAAAAGAAAAAAAAAAATCACACCACAGGCCGGGTGTGGTGGCTCATGCCTGTCATCCCAGCACTTTGCGAGGCTGAGGCAGGCGGATCACCTGAGGTCTGGAGTTTGAGACCAGCCTGGCCAACAGGGCAAAACCCCATCTCTGCTAAAAATACAAAAAATTAGCTGGCCATGGCAGTAGCTGCCTGTAATATAGACAATATTTCCTCTGCACGTGTGTGTTTGTGTGTTTTTATGTGTTTGTGTGCATGTATTTGTGCTTTTTGTGTGTGTGTGTACGTGTATTTGTGCATTCATATGTGTGCATGTTCGTCTGTGTGTCTGTATGTTTATGTGTATTTGTGCATGTTTGTGTGCATGACTGTGTGTATCTGTGCATGTTTGTGAGTTTATTTGTGAATGTCTGTATCTGTGCATGGTTTTTTTTGTGTATCTGAGCATGTGTGTGTTTGTGCATGTTTGTCTGTGTGTATTTGTGCATGTATGTCTGTTTCCGCATGCTCATATGTGTGTCTGTGTGTGTCTGTTTGCATGATTGTGCATGCATGTGTGTTTCTGCACGTCTGTTTGTGTATATTTGTTTATATGTGTGTATTTGTGCACGTTTGTGTGTGTTTCTGTGTGTTTGTGCATGTTTTATGCCTGATTGTGTGTATGTGCAAGGAAGGAAGGAGGGAAAGGGAGAGAGAGACAGGAAAGAAGGAAAGAAGGAAAGGACGAGAGAAGAAAGAAAAAAAAAGAAAGAAAGAAAGAGAGAAAGAGAGAGAGAAAGAGAAAGAAAAAGAAAGAGAGAAAGAGAAAGAAGAAAGAAATAAAGAAAGAAAGAGAAAGAAGAAAGAAAGAAGGAAGAAAAGGAAGAGAGAAAAAGAAAAAAAGAAACAGAAAGAAAGAAAGAGTAAGAAAGAAGAAAGAAAGAAGGAAAGGAAGAGAGAAAAAGAAAGACAGAAACAGAAAGAAAGAAAGAGTAAGAAAGAAGAAAGAAAGAAAGAAAGAGAGAAAGAGAGAAAGAAAGAAAGGAGAGAGAGAGAGAGGAAGGAAGAAAGAAAGAAGAGAGAGAGAGAGGAAGGAAGAGAGAGAAGTATTCACCTAGAAGAGATCATGCAAAAACGCAAGAGTGTGGCTGTACCCTGGGAACAAATGGGAAGATTGTATGTTGGTGACCCTTGATCTTACTCTTTTATTTCAAAAAATTATAAGGTTTTTGCAGGAAGGGGCAGATAGTCTTCAACTTATTGAGGTGGCTGGATGAATGGATAGATGGATGATTGGATGGATGGATGCATGGATGGATAGATGAATGGGTAGGTGAATGGATCAATGGATGGATGGATGAGTGGATAGACGGATGGGTGGATGGATAGATCGATGGATGGGTGGGTGGATGGATGGATAGATAAGTAAATAGATGAGTGGCTGTGTGGATGAATGAATGGATGGATGGATGAATGGATGGATAGATGGGTGGGTGAATGGATGACTGAATAGATGAGTGGATGGATGGATGGATGAATGAATAGAAGAATGAAAAATGGATAGATGGAAGAATGAGTGGTTGGATTGATGGATGAATGGATATATGGATAGATGGGAGGGTGGATGGATGGATGGATGCATAGATAGATGGATGATTGGTAGGTTGGATAGATAACAGATGAATGGATGGATGATTGGGTAGGTAGATGGATGAATGGATGATTGGATGGATGCATGAGTGAATGGATGGACGGATAGATGGATGATTGGATGGATGGATGGATGGATGGATGGATAGATGGATGGGTGGGTTAATGGATGGATAGATAAATAAATACATGAGTGGGTGGATGGATGAATGGATGGAACGTTGGATGGATGGATGGATGGATGGATGGATGGATGGATGAATAGATAGATGGATGGGTGGGTTAATGGATGGATAGATAAATAAATACATGAGTGGGTGGATGGATGAATGGATGGAATGTTGGATGGATGGATGGATGGATGGATGGATGAACAAACAGATGAATGAATAATGGATAGATGAATGAATAAGTAGATGGATGGATGGATGGAAGGATGCATAGATAGACGGATGATTGGAAGGTTGGATGGATAATGGATAAATGGATGGATGAGTGGGTAGGTGGATGGATGGATGGATGAGTGGGTGGATGGATGGATGGATGGAAGGATGGATGGATGGGAAGATGGGTAGATAAATGGGCAGATGGGTGAGTGGGTGGGTGGATGGATGGATGGATGGATGGATTGATAGATAAATAGATGAGTGGCTGGGTGGATGAATGAATCGATGGGTAGATGGGTGGGTGGATGGATGGAAGAAGGGATGGAAGGCTGGATGGATGAGTGGACGGATGGATAGATAGATGAATGAATAATGGATAGATGAATGAATGAGTGGATGGATGGATGGATGGATGCATAGATAGATGGATGATTGGAAGGTTGGATGCATAATGGATGAATGGATGGATGAGTGGGTAGGTCGATGGATGGATGGATGGAGGGATGGATGGATGGATGCATGCATGCATGGATGGATGGATGCATGGATGGATAGATGGGTAGATAAATGGGAAGATGGGTGAATGGTTGGATGGATGGATGGATGGACAGATGGATGGGTGGGTGAATGGATGGATAGATGAATAAACAGATGAGTGGCTGGGTGGATGAATGAATCGATGGGTAGATGGGTGGGTGGATGGATGGATGAAGGGAAGGAAGGTTGGATGGATGGGTGGGTGGATGGATAGATGAATGAACAGATGAATGAATCATGGATAAATGAATGAATGAGTAGATGGATGGGTGGATGGAAGGTTGAATGCATAATGGATAAATGGATGGATGTTCTCAGTAGGTGGATGGATGGATGGATGGATGGATGGATGGATGAAAGTTTGGATGGATGGGTGGATGGATGGATAGATAGATTAATGAACAGATGAATGAATAATGGATAAATGAATGAATGAGTAGATGGATGGATGGATGGGTGGATGGAAGGATGCATGGATAGATGATTGGAAGGTTGGATGGATAATGGATAAATGGATGGATGAGTGGGTAGGTGGATGGATGGATGGATGGATATATAGATGGGTAGATAAATGAGCAGATGGGTGAGTGGGTGGATGGATGGGTGAATGGATGAATGGGTGGGTGGAATGATGTATGGAAAGATTAATGGACGAAGAGATAGATGGGCAGATGAATGGGCAGATACGTAAGAAAAAAACCTGTCATTGAATATGTGTGTCTAGATTGTGCCTATCTAGTTTTTAAAAGGCTTGGATTCCTCACCAAATTTCTTTAGGGCCATCCAAGAATTCCATATTTCCTGGTTTATGGAGCGATAGGGCAAGCTATTTTTAAGCCATACAAAGTTTAACTGTGTATTTTGTCATATAGGGAATTTTTAAACAGGAGAAAACTCTTCTTGTCTTATTTATCATTAAAAGTAGGGTAAGTATTTTCTCTTAAAAAGCTTACATTTTCTTTGCCTGAGGAAATAAATAAGAATGGCTGAAATCTGTTCGGAAAACTAGTCAGCTGATGCAGCCAGGGAAACCTCTATATAAGCAGAAAATAATCTCGGACACAAGCAACAGCCACCTAATTAATGGACTGATCTGCGCAGGCTCTGGTGGTGAGTGAGAACACTCCTGTCTGTCGTACGGTGAAGGTAGAGCATTTAATCCTGCTAGCTGCACATTTTATAGACATCTATGGAAGTTATGAACAGCTGATTAGTGCAGTTCAGAGATACAGAAAGCCTTCAGGCAGGTCTGTCCTCTAAACTGGGGCACGGACATTAAGAGCAGGGACGAAAGAAATACGTGATCAGGAAATTAATGAATCCAGGATCCCCAGGAAGGGAGATGGACAGCTACCCTCTTCGACAAAACGGCGCATCCCATCACGGAGATCAAAATGACAAAGCCACATGGGATGAGTTTCCATCCACCCCAAGAATTCACCTCATTCATTGGATCTGCTTACATTTTGTTGTAGGGATAGGTGAGCAAACACTTTCCCTGGGGGAAAAGATAGCCATACAAATAAACCAGTTTACCTGAGTCATTTAATCCCAAAAAGTCAGCTCCAAAAGTCAAGTCTCATAACTACGTAGATGTTTTGGGTTTTCTTTGTTTTTTTTGTTTGTTTGTTTCTGATGGAGGCTTATAACTATGTAGATCTTGTTTTTCTGTTGTTGTTTGTTTTCGTTTTTGTTTTTTGAGATGGAGTCTCACTCTGTCACCCAGGCTGGAGTGCAGTGGCACAATCTCAGCTCACTGCAACCTCCGCCTCCCTGGTTCAAGCAATTCTCCTGCCTCAGCCTCCTGAGTTTCTGGGGCTACAGGGACCTGCCACCATGCCCGGCTGAATTTTTGTATTTTTAGTAGAGACGGGGTTTCATCATGTTGGCCAGGATGGTCTCGATCTCCTGACCTCGCGATCCGCCCACCCCAGCCTCCCAAAGTGCTGGGATTACAGGCATGAGACACTGCTCCTGGCCTACTATGTAGATCTTGAATCAGCATTGAGTCTCAACATCCTTCCTCATTTGAGACATTAAAACCACAAGATACCACTACATATCCACAGGAATGGCTACAAAAAAAAAAAGATGTTATTAAGTATTTGTGAGAACCACTGTGTGTAGAAATGTCAACTGATATAGTCACTTTGGAAAACACATTGACAGTTTCTTAAAAAGTGGAACACACACACCTGTCATCCCAGCACTTTGGGAGGCCGAGGCAGGTGGATCACCTGAGGTCGGGAGTTCGAGACCAGCCTGACCAACATGGAGAAACCCCGTCTTTACTAAAAATACAAAAATTAGCCGGGTGTGGTGGTGGGCGCCTGTAATCCCAGCTACTCGGGAGGATGAGGCAGGAGAATCGCTTGAACCCTGGAGGCGGAGGTTGTGTTGAGCTGAGATCGAGCCACTGCACTCCAGCCTGGGCGACAGAGTGAGACCCCATCAAAAAAAAAAAAAAAAGTTGAACACAAACTCACCATTCAATCCAGCAATTCCTCCTGTGGGCGTCTACCCAAGAGAAATGAAAACTTATGTTTACTCAAAGACTTGTAGGTAAATATTCCTAGCAGCATGATTTGTAACAGCCAAGACGTGTAAACAGCCTATGTCTTTTCAGCAGGTGAACAGATAAAGACACTGTGGTCTTTCCCTGCAATGGAATATTATTCAGCCAATGACATACCGATATATGGTCCAACACGGATGCACCTCAAAAACATAACGCTAAGTAGAAGTCTGGGATAAAAGACTCCATATTGTGTAATTCGATGCAAAGAAATTGCGCAGAAAAGGAAAATCCATAGAGGCAGAATAGAGATGAGTGGTTGCCTGAGGCTCTGGGCAGAAATGGGATAAGGGAAGACAAGTGAGTGACAATAGCTATGCAATTTCTTTTCTGGGGTGATAAAAATATTCCAGAATTAGATTTGGTGATGGTCGTGCAACTCTACAAATTTACTAAGAGGCATTGAACTGTATAGTCAAAATGAATGCATTTCGTGGTATGTCAATTAAACCTCAATACAGTTGTTTTTTTGTTTGTTTTTTGTTTTGTTTTGTTTTGTTGCTTTGTTTTTTGAGACGAAGTCTCGCTCTTGTCGTCCAGGCTGGAGTGCAATGGGGTGATCTCAGTTCACTGCAACCTCCGCCTCCCAGGTTCAAGCGATTCTCCTGCCTCAGCCTCCCAAGTAGCTGGGATTATAGGCGTCCACCAACAGGCCCTGCTAATTTTTGTATTTTTAGTAGAGATGGGGTTTCACCATGTTGGCCAGGCTGGTCTCGAACTCCTAACCTCAGGTGATCTGCCTGCCTCGGCCTCCCAATATGCTGGGATTACAGGCATGAGCCACTGCGCCCAGCCCCTTCTCTCTCTCTCTCTATTTTTTTTTTTTGTTGTTGTTTGTTTGTTTTTACAGAGTTTTGCTCTTGTTGCCCAGGCTGGAGTGCAATGACACGATCTTGGCTCTCTGCAACCTCAGCCTCCCGGGTTCATGCGATTCTCCTGCCTCAGCCTCCCGAGTCGCTTGGATTACGGGCACCGGCCACCATGCTCGGCTAATTTGGTATTTTCAGTAGAGACGGGGTTTCACCATGTTGGCCAGGCTGGTCTCAAACTCCTGACCTCAGGCGATCCACCCGCCTCAGCCTCCCAAAGTGCTGCGATTACAGGTGTGAGCCACTGCACCTGGCCGAAATAATGACATTCTTATCAGGCATGACATCCTAAGTCCTTCAGAGTGACCTCCCAGAGCTCAAAGGCAAAATCCAGATCTGTTTGGGGGCAAGCTTATATCTTTACTACACATTCACCGAAGGAAAAAAAAAAAAAAGTATGTTTTCTAGATGCCAAGACCTCTGCTAAAATTAGTTACAGCTATAAACAAGTGGTCACATTTTGTACTTTTCATGTCTCTGTGAGTCACGGTCACTGCCCACGTCAGACGCTTCCTTTTCCAGCAGGGTCCAGGAATTCACGATGCTCACAGCCCAGCCATTTCCATGGCCCGGCCAGGCCCTGAACGCAGAAGCTTGCTCTGCAAATGGGATGCAGGCGGGCCAGCCAGCACCGTCGCGCTCGGGGACCCCTGCCTCCCAAGCCAGCCGGCGACATCCCCTTTCTTGGGAGATTAAGACCCCATTTGTTGTCATGATCTGCAGGTTCATCCCTAATGATCCACGTCCCCGCTCCAAAGCCGTCTTGCTGACAGCAAGTGCCACGTGTGATTAGAGGCCCTGAGAGAGTTGATCCCCGCCACCCTCCACGTGCCTGCAATCTAATCACTTCTCAGACAGACAGTGAGGTTCTAGGGACAGGCAGCGACCTGCGCTCTCCCCACCCTCTCCCCCGAATGCCTGCAAACGCTAACTGGGGCTTGGTCTTCTCTGTTAGAGTCTTGGTGATGCCCTGGACAGCAGCAACTCCACGCAAACTATCCAAAAGACCCCCACCCTCCGGATAGTGGATGGCAAAGTGGTGTCTGAGACCAACGACACCACAGTTCTGAGGCATGAAGCCAGCAGAAGCAGGGTGTGTACCCTTTGGGGAGCAGGAGGCCCATAAACAGTTCAGAGTTCATTGGATGTTACAGCTGCTAAATAAAGAAAAGGTGTCTAGGCATCAAAGCCTGCTTACACCCTGCCACACACAGATCACAGATGCCCACGCCCAGGTCAGCTGGAAACTACGGACTGTCTGCAGCTCCTCATGCTTTCGAGGTACCCCTGGACAGCAGCTCCCCAGGTTACGCAGAGACCTCCTTTGCAACCTGTTACTATTTGTCGTTTTCTTTACCGAGTGTCTCCAAGGAACCCTTCACACAAATCTCATTAAAAACCTCATCAATACTTGGAAGGCCGACGCAGGTGGATCAAGAGGTCAGGAGATCGAGACCATCCTGGCTAACACGGTGAAACCCCGTCTCTACTAAAAATACAAAAAAATTAGCCGGGCGTGCTGGTAGGCGCCTGTAGTCCCAGCTACTCAGGAGGCTGAGGCAGGAGAATGGCGTGAATCCA
This sequence comes from Homo sapiens, assembly GCF_000001405.40. Lineage (NCBI taxonomy): Eukaryota > Metazoa > Chordata > Mammalia > Primates > Hominidae > Homo > Homo sapiens. The sequence continues at coordinate 544,729 of NC_000024.10, read as the reverse complement.
GGAGGCGGAATTTGCAGTGAGCTGAGATCGCGCCACTGCACTCCAGCCTGGGTGACAGAGCGAGACCCCATCTCAAAAAAACAAAACAAAACAAAACAAAAAACCTCCTCATCACACTTAAGAAACAAGGTTCTCTCTTCCCCCGTGGTCAATGGGGAAGTACCTGTTGGACTTGCCCCAGTCACCTGCTCCAGCCTCTGGTGCATATCAAAACATCTCTGTCTGTTTCTCAAATGATTGGGGTGAGGTATGAGGGGCCGGGCATGGCGGCTCACACCTGTAATCCCAGCACTTTGGGAGGCCGAGGTGGGCGGATCCCCTGAGGTCAGGAGTTCGAGACCAGCCTGACCAACATGCTGAAACCTCGTCTCTACTAAATATACACAAATTAGCCAGATGTGGTGGCGGGCACCTGTCATCCCAGCTACTCGGGAGGCTGAGGCAAGAGAGTCGCTTGAACCCAGGAGGTGGAGGTTGCAGTGAGCCGAGATCACACCACTGCACTCCAGCCTGGGCGACAGAGTGAGACTCCGTTTCGAACGAAAGAAAGAAAAAGAAGAAAGAAAGAAAGACAGAAAGAAAGAAAGACAGAAAGAAAGAAAGAAAGAAAGAAAGAAAGAAAGAAAGAAAGAAAGAAAGAAAGAAAGAAAGAAAGACGGAAGGACGGAAGGAAGGAAGGAGGAAGGAAGGAAAGAAATGAAGGAAGGGAGGAAGGGAAGGAAGGAAGGAAGAAAGAAAAGGGCTTTTCTTTTCTTTTTTTTTTTTTCTGGAAGGCTTTTAAGCCAAAGTGTTGAGAAGTAAATTGAACCCACACGCGTCTGATTCATTTAGCCCTTAACTCATCGAAAAGTCATTGGGTCAGAATGGCTTGATTTCAGAAAGCATTACAAAATGTCACTCCCTTTGAGCGAGGGAGAAGTACTCTGTTAGGAAATTTCTCTCATTATCCCAGAGAGAGGGTTGACGTCTCTGGAAAATACACACACACACACACACACACATACACACACACCCATAAAAAGGCCTTGAAGACTGGATGGGGTTAATATTGATTCAATGTTTCCACTTAGCCCTGGTCATGGAAGCAGAGAAAACACTCTCACCCTTTTCAAGAGGAACTTCACACTTCCTTGGGGGATGGCTCCCCACCAGCAAAGCCACTTTCTGCAGAAGAAAATAAAATCTGGCCGGGCGCAGTGGTTCACGCCTGTCATCCCAGCACTTTCCTAGGCCGAGGCAGACAGATCACGAGGTCAGGAGATCAAGACCAGCCTGGTTAACACGGTGAAACCCCGACTCTACTAAAAATACAAAAAATTAGCCGGGCGTGTTGGCGGGTGCCTGTAATCACAGCTACTCGGGAGGCTGAGGCAGGAGAATCGCCTGAACGCGGGAGGTTGAGGTTGCAGTGAGCCGAGATTGCGCCACTGCCCTCCAGCCTGGGAGACAGAGCAAGCTTCTGTCTCAAAAAAGAAAAAAATAAAAAGAAAAAATGAAATCTTCTGGCTGGGCGCGGTGGCTCATGCCTGTCATCCCAGCACTTTCGGAGGCCGAGGCGGGCAGATCACGAGGTCAGGAGATGAAGACCAGCCTGGTTAACATGGTGAAACCCCATCTCTACTAAAAATACAAAAAATTATCCGGGCGTGGTGGCGGGCACCTGTAATCCCAGCTACTCGAGAGGCTGAGGCAGGAGAATCGCCTGAACCCGGGAGGTGGAGGTTGCAGTGAGCTGAGATTGTGCCATTGCACTAGAGCCTGGGTGACAGAGCGAGACTCCATCTCAAAAAATAAAACAACAGAAAAAAAATGAAATCTTATGGCCAGGTGCAGTGGCTCACGCCTGTAATCCCAGCACTTTGGGAGGCTGAGGCGGGAGGATCATGAGGTCAGGAGATCGAGACCATCCTGGCTAACATGGTGAAACCCTGTCTCTACTAAAAATACAAAAAATTAGCCGGGCATGGTGGCAGGTGCCTGTAGTCCCAGCTACTCGGGAGGCTGAAGCAGGAGAATCACTTGAACCCGGGAGGCGGAGGTTGTAGTGAGCCGAGATCGCGCCACTGCACTCCAGCCTGGGTGACAGAGAGAGATTCCGTTTCCAAAAAAAAAAAAAACAAAAAACAAAAACAGAAATCTTCACACCGTGGCAATATCAAAGCCGACATGGTCTTGGGATGGTCAACATTCTACGGCCACCATATTGGGTGTGTAATGCATGGAAATGTCAACATCCTACGGCCACCATATTGGGTGTGGAATGCATGGAAATGTCAACATCCCACGGACACCATATTGGGTGTGGAATGCATGGAAATGTCAACATCCTACGGACACCATATTGGGTGTGGAATGCATGGAAATGTCAACGATTGGGTGTGTAATGCATGGAAATGTCAACATCCTATGGACACCATATTAGGTGTGGAATGCAAGGAAATGTCAACATTCTATGGCCACCATATTGGGTGTGCAATGTGTGCAAATGTCAACGTCCTACGGACACCATATTGGGTGTGGAATGCGTGGACATGTTGGGGAGAGAAAGATGGGGCAGGCAAGAGCTCCTTACAGCCCCTTCTGAAACAAACGCAATCACGTAGGGCAGGTTGAGAACCAGCAAATATCCCCTCTGGTGTTTGCCCTCCTTTTGGAGTCTGGGTTTCCAAACATGAACAACCAAACATCAGGTTGACGAAGCAATCACCATATAACAATGTTCAATCCCTAACATTGACAGAAATGAAAATCACCAGTGCAGCATCTACAAAAGTCTCCTTTTATCCATGAAGGATGCATTTCAAGACCCCACGGGGATGCCGGAAACATCCAGTAGCAGCAAGACCTGTATATGCTGTGCTTCCTCCTAGACGCACATACCTATTCTAAAGTTTAGTTTGTAAGTTAGGCAGAGCCAAAGACAAACAACAATAACTAATAGTAAGATAGAACCATTATAGAAATACTCAAGCATCACTCCTCTTGCACGCCGGGGCCATTTTTTAAGTCAAGTAAAGGTTCTTCAACACAAGCATTAAGATACCACAACACTCGCTCTGATCACTGAAGCGGTTGCTAAGTGACTAATGGACGGATTGTGTCTACAGCATGGTGGGGGCACCAGACAGAAAGATGAGTCATATCCCATGCGAGACACATCAGAATAGCACACAATTAAAAAACCACATAAATCGTTGCTTTCTGGAAAAAAAATTTTTTTTTAGATGGAGTCTCGCTCTGTTGCCCAGGCTGGAGTGCAGTGGCGTGTTCTTGACTCACTGCAACCTCTGCCTCCTGGGTTCAAGCAATTCTCCTGCCTCAGCCTCCCGAGTAGCTTGGATTACAGGCATGTGCCACCACACCTGGCTAAATTTTGTATTTTTAGTGGAGACGGGGTCTCATCATGTTGTCCAGGCTGGTCTCGAATTCCTGACCTCAAGTGATCCACCTGCCTCAGCCTCCCAAAGTGCTGGGATTGCAAGCATTAGCCACCACGCCCGGCTGCAAATCTTAGGTAGGAATTTGTTTTGTTTTGATTTGTTTTTTTGAGCCGGAATTTCACTCTTGTTTCCCAGGCTGGAGTGCAATGGCGCAATCTCGGCTCACCACAACCTCTGCCTCCCGGGTTCAAGTGATTCTCCTGCCTCAGCCTCCTAAGTAGCTGGGATGACAGGTATGTGCCACCACGCCCAGCTAATTTTGTATTTTTAGTAGAGATGGGGTTTCACCCTGTTGCCAGGCTGGTCTGGAACTCCTGACCTCAGGTGATCTGCCTGCCTCAGCCTCCCAAAGTGCTGGGATTACAGGTGTGAGCCACTGCAGCTGGCCAGGTAGGATCTTTATAGCAGTGTGAGTACGAACTGATACACATACACATCCAAATCTCGGGAACTTGTGGATGCAGTAGGCTGTCTGGCAAAAGGAACTTTGCTGATCCCATTCAGATAAGGGGTCTTGAAATGGGGGATTATGCTGGGTTATCTGGCTGGGCCTTAAAGGTAAACACAAGAGACCACGAGCCAGGGAGGCAGAGGGAGTTTCCATAGAGAGGTAGAGGAGATAGAAGGTGATGGGATGTATGGTCACAGGTCAACGAATGCAGGAGGCCCCAGACGACAAGAAAACAGGTTCTCAGCACGTATTAAAAGACCTGCATGGGCCAGGCACAGTGGCTGATGCCTGTAATCCCAGCACTTTGGGAGGCTGAGGTGGGTGGATCACGAGGTCAAGAGATCAAGACCAGCCTGGCCAACGTGGTGAAACCCTGTCTCTATTTTAAAAATACAAAAATTAGCCAGGCGTGGTGGTATGCTCCTGTAGTCCCACCTACTCAGGAGGCTGAGGCAGGAGAATCGCTTGAAACCAGGGGGCGGAGGTTGCAGGGAGCCGAGATTGCGCCATTGCACTCCAGCCTGCTGACAGAGTGAGATTCCGTCTCAGAAAAAAAAAAAAAAAAAAAAAAAAGACCTGCATGTATTAAAAGACCTGAATGTTGTCTTTGAAAGATGTCCAGCCAGGTGTGGTGGCTCATGCCTGTAATGTTAGCACTTCGGGAGGCCGAGGCAGGCGGATCACTGGAGGTCAGGAGTTCGAGACCAGCCTGGCCAACATGGTGAAACCCCGTCTCTACTAAAAATACAAAAAAAAAAAAAATTAGCCAGATGCACTGGTGCACGCCTGTAATCCCAGCACTTTGGGAGGCCCAGGCAGGTGGACTACTTGATGTCAGGAGTTCAAGACCAGCCTGACCAACACGGTGAAACCCCGTCTCTACTAAAAATACAAAAATTAGCTGGGCGTGGTGGCGGGTGCCTGTAGTCCCAGCTACTTGGGAGGCTGAGGCAAGAGAATCGCTTGAACCTGGGAGGCAGAGGTTGTAGTGAGCCGAGATCACGCCACTGCACTCCAGCGTGGGCAACAGAGCAAGACTCCATCTCAAAATACTAACAATCCGTGGATATCCAATGATTCTAGTATCGAAAAGAAATTCTAAATTGCTCCTTTAGCCTGAGTTCCTGTTCTCCTTTAATTTTTTGCTCTCCCTTGAAGGGTAATTATTTAAAAGAATTATCTTTTGGTTGGCAATCATCTCATTTTTAACACTTACTGTCGTATCTCAGAAAAAAATGAGGTCGGAGGGATCCTATTTGCTCAGAAATACCCCTCCTGTAATAACAGAACTTTGCCAATGTTCTCCGCAGTTACTTGGTTTTAGTTTTAATTTATATTTTATCCAGGAAAAGAACACAGACGAATATAAATAAAACGTTCGGTGTCCGCCCCCAGTAACCAGTTTTCCAAAACTTTTCTCTTTTGAATTTTCTTATTTATTTATTTACTCATTTATTTTTTTGAGACAGAGTTACACTCCTGTTGCCCAGGCTGGAGTGCAACGGCATGGTCTCGGCTCACGGCAACCTCTGCCTCCCGGGTTCAAGAGATTCTCCGGCCTCAGCCTCCCGAGTAGCTGGGATTACAGGCGCCCGCCATCACACCCAGGTAATTTTTGTATTTTTAGTAGAGACGGGGTTTCACCATGTTGGCCAGGCTGGTCTCGAACTCCTGACCTCAGGTGATCCACCCACCTTGCCTTCCCAAAGTGATGGGATTACAGGTGTGAGCCACTGCGCCCAGTCTGTGGTGTGATTTTTTTTTTTTCTTTTTTTGAGACAGAATTTCGCTCTTGTTGACCAGGCTGGAGTGCAGTGGCGTGATCTCAGCTCACTACAACCTCTGCCTCCCGGGTTCAAGGGATTCTGTTGCCTCAGCCTCCCCAGTAGCTGGGATTACAAGTGTACACCACCATGTCCGGCTAATTTTTGTATTTTTAGTAAAGACAGGGTTTCTCCATGTTGGTCAGGCTGGTCTCGAACTGCCGACCTCAAGTGATCCTCCCACCTCAGCCTCCCAAAGTGCTGGAATTACAGGGGTGAGCCACCACGCTCGGCCCCCAGTAACCAGTTTTTTTCCTATATGTCTTGCTACATTTATCTCAGCCAGAAGCAAAAATGCACAATAATCTCATCCTTATGGACAGAAAGGACCATTGTCTTTCATAAAACCAGCTCGTCTTTCCAAACAGTTTAAGTGCCTGGTTGTAGTTTCAATAGGACTGATTTCTCCCACGAAGAGGTTGGAAGATCTGATGTCACAACCTCCACCGACCAGACCAGCCCGGGCAGTTTTCCACGGACACATTTGCTTCCCTTTGACTCATGACTGCACTTTTGTTCTAGATTTCCGGTTTCCGATGGCCCTGGCATCCAGCATCTAGAAGGCCAGGCTTGGTGGCTCACACCTGTGATTCGAGCACTTTGGGAGACCAAGACAGGAGGATCGCTTGGGGCCAAGAGTTCGAGACCGGCCTGGGCAACATAGTGAGACCCTGTCTTTACAAAAATAAAAATTAGCTGGGCATGGTGGCACATGCGTGTTGTGTAATCCCAGCTACTCAGGAGGCTGAGGTAGGAGGCTCACTTGAGCCTGGGAGCTGGAAGATGTAGTGAGCCGAGATCACACCACTGCACCCCAGTCTGAGCGACAGGGTGAGACCCTGTCTCAAAAAAAAAAATGTTTTAAATGAGAACAAAAGTAGGCTACATCTGTAGGTGTTAACACCTTGATTTGTGTTCTAATGGAAACCCTCTGCTTGTTAATCCAAGCCAAGGATTTTTAAAAAATTCTTTAAATAACCTGTTACAGGCGTTGCTGCCTCCATTTTTCTGAGCCCATTCCTGGCTCCATTTTTCCCTCCAATATCCCGCCAGCTTTGTCCCGAATTACAGACACTTCCAAACAGACACAGGCCCAGAGGAATCTTCCACAATTTCCCTAGACCCACGGGGCAGTAGGTTGTGCACTTCTGACTGGGCGCAGTGGCTCACGCCTGTCATCCCAGCACTTTGGGAGGCCGAGGCAGGTGGATCGCCTGAGGTCAGGAGTTCGAGACCAGCCTGGCCAACATGGTGAAACTCGGTCTCTAGTAAAAATACAAAAATTACCCAGGCATGGTGGCGGGCGTCTGTCATCCCAGCTACTCAGGAGGCTGAGGCAGGAGAATCGCTTGAACCCGGGAGGCGGAGGTTGCAGTGAGCCGAGATCACGCCACTGCATTGCAGCCTGGGCCACAGAGCGAGACTCCGTCTCAAAAAAGAAGATGCGTTTCAGACCCGTCTCTGGGAGGACAGTGCATGGGGCTGAAAACCACTGATGGCTTTGGCTGGAAAGTTTGCAACGCCACAAATTTTGCTGAGGAATGTTCCCCGCGGTTTCCCGAAAAAAAGCATCACGGATGTTCAGGAGGAGAACCGCCCTCCATAAAGCTGGCTGCAAAACCCACAGGACATAACGGAGCGTCTTTAGTGAGCGCAGCGCTTCCGCTGGCTTGGGCCCTGAGGCTGGACACCACCCTGCCTGGGAACGTGGACCCTGCCACGTTGACTCACGGGGTGGAACATCTCCTTTATTTTCTGCAGGCCCTGCCCCACCAGAATGGTGGGTGGTTCCCATTTCTCTTCGGTCTGGTCGTGTTTTTTAACTACTGACGCTTTGCACGTCCAATCCTGGGGATGAGAGGGGACACGGCAAAGTCACCAGGGTAACTAGTGCCAGCCCTCTGCACCCTGGGACGCCCACACTCGTGTGCCTTTCTTTGGCATCAGGCGTGTTCTTTTTAAGGAATACGTTTCGTTTTCATCGACCGGGACATAAATGAAAAGAAAACAAGTCGTGAGCGTAAAATACGGTGAACGGTGGCCTCACCGCATTTGTGACACACTCGTTGCTTTCCCCAGCGTCCTCGCGTCATAAATATGGAACTGCGGTGAGCAGTGGACCTGCCCCTTCTTTGCTTCCTACCTACAAATCCAGAGGGGTCCACCTCCAGCCCCTGGCTATGTCCACACCACCAGGAGATTTACAACAGCGGCCGGCCTAGGCGGGGTCTCGTTAAAGGAGGGTTCTTCTTTGGAAAACACACCACGAGCCATACTTATAATTTAGGTGGACTATTTTAAAACAGGCCTGGGTTCCCCGCCTTCCCGGTTTTGCAAAAATCGCAGAGCTTTTTTTTTTTTTTTTTTTTTTTTTTTTTTTTCTGGAATGTCGTCCCTGTCACCCAGGCTGGAGTGCAATGGATGGATCTCGGCTCACTGCAACCTCCGCCTCCCGGGTTCAAGCGATTCTCCTGCCTCAGCCTCCTGAGTAGCTGGCACCAGCCACCAAGCCCAGCTAATTTTTTTTGCATTTTTAGTAGAGACGGGGTTTCACTATGCTGGCCAGGCTGGTCTCGAACTCCTGACCTCAGGCAATCCACCCGTCTCGGCCTCCCAAAGTGCTGTGATGACGGGCCTGAGCCACCGTGCCCGGCCAATCACAGAGCTTTCAACGGCCCTCTTTCCTCACAAATTGACCCTGTTTGTTGAGGGACACTCTGAGCCTCCCCCACAGGGGCTGGGATGTGTGTCTTCCCATCCATGACATTCAGGAAGCAGAATGTCTCCCCTTATCCTCCACCTACGGACGTTTCCAGGTACCTGCCTCTCGCACGGTCAAATATGTAAACAGCCACCTACGTTCCGAGTTCCTGTCTGGGAATAGAAGGCAGGTGCAGCACGTTGGCCCTGGATGTCTGAAAAATGCAAATTGATGTTTTGCCAACAGTTGGACGCTTTGATATAAGCCTGTAACCTGGGATGAGGGGAGCCGGGAAGAGGGAGAACATGGTAAAAGTCATTTAGACTTGCTACGGGCTGCAGGATGCCTCCGAATTCTAGGACAAGACCAGGCACGTTGGCTCACACCTGTAATCCCATCACTCTGGGAGGCCGCCGTGGGAGGATTGCTTGAGGCTAGGAGTTCAAGACCAGCCTGGGCAACATACCATGACCCTGTGTCTACAAAAATTAAAATGAAAATTATTCAAGCGTGGTGGCACACGCACCTGTATTTCCAGCTACTCAGGAGGCTGAGCTGAAAGGATAGCTTAAGCCCAAGAGTTTGAGGCTGCAGTGACCTATGACTGGACTACGGCACTCCAGCCTGGGCAACAGAGCAAGACCCTGTATCTATTGAAAAAAAAAAAAAAAAAAAAAAAGCCAGGTGCCGTGGCTCACACTTGTAATCCCAACACTTCGGGAGGCCAAAGCAAGCAGATCTCTTCAGGTCAGGAGTTCGAGACCAGCCTGGCCAACATGGTGAAACCCCTTGTCTACTAAAAATACAAAAAGAGCCAGGCGTGGTGGTGGGCACCTGTTATCCCAGCTACTCGGGAGGCCGAGGCAGGAGAATGACGTGAACCCGGGAGGCGGAGGTGAGCTGAGATCGCACCACTGCACTCCACTTTGTCTCCAAAAATAAAACACAAAGACTCTTTCTCTCTTATCCTGGCACAGTCTGGGAGTGTCTTGCCGCTTGCCAGCTTGGGATCTTTCTTTCTTTCTTCCTTTCTTTCTTTCTTTCTTTCTTTCTTTCTTTCTTTCTTTCTTTCTTTCTTTCTTTCTTTCTCTTTCTTTCTTTCTTTCTTTCTCTTTCCTCTCTCTTTTTGTTTCTTTCTTTCCTCTCTCTCTTTTCTTTCTTTTTTCTTCTTCCTTCCTTTCTCTTTCTTTCTTTCTTTTCTTTCTTTCTTTCTTTTCTTTCTTTCTTTTTGTTTCTTTCTTTCTCTTTCTTTCTTTCTTTCTCTTTCCTCTCTCTTTTTGTTTCTTTCTTTCCTCTCTCTTTTCTTTCTTTTTTCTTCTTCCTTCCTTTCTTTCTTTCTTCTTTCTTTCTCTTTCCCCTTTCTGTTTCTTTCTTTCCTCTCTCTCTTTTCTTTCTTTCTTTCTTTCTCTTTCCTCTCTCTCTTTCTCTTTCTTTCCTTTCTCTCTCTTTCTTTCTTTCCTTCCTTCTTTCTTTCTTCAAGACCAACCTGGACAGCATAGCAAGACCCTATCTCTACAAAAAGTTTAAAAATTACCTGGGCATGCTGGTGCATGCGTGTAGTCCCAGCTACTCGGGAGGTTGAGGTGGATCGCTTGAACCCGGGAAGTTGAGGCTGCAGAGCAAGACTCTGTCTCTTAGAGGAAAAAAAATCTTCTGATGTGTGAAAATAATACTGTATTATGAAAGAAGACTTATTTTCAGAATATGAGTGCTACTGTAGGGTGGGTAAAATGTTGTATATACAACTTACTTAGAAAACCTGTTTTTGGCCGGGCACGGTGGCTCATGCCTGTAATCCCAGCACTTTGGGAGGCCGAGGTGGGTGGATCACCTGAGGTCAGGAGTTCGAGACCAGCCTGGCCAACACGGTGAAACCCAGTCTCTACTAAAAATACAAAAATTGGCTGGGCTTGGTCGCGTGCACCTGTAATCCCAGCTACTCAGGAGGCTGAGGCAGGAGAATCGCTTGAACCCGGGAGGTGGAGGTTGCAGTGAGCTGAGATCACGCCACTGCACTCCAGCCTGGGTGACAGAGTGAGACTCCATAAAAGAAAGAAAGAAAGAAAGAAAGAAAGAAAGAAAGAAAGAAAGAAAGAAAGAAAGAAAGAAAGAAAGAGAAAGAAAGGAAAGAGAGAGAAGGAGAGAAAGAGAAAAAAGAAAGAAAGAGAAAGAAAAGAAATATGTTTTTTTAAAAAATATTTGTTTAATATATGTCTCTTATTCATGTATATAGATAGGTATATTTAATATCATTTCAATGGGTAAATAAATTAGTTGTTTATATATTTAGCTCATTTATTTATATGGGCATATAGGTGGATACACACACAACATATATATATATATAAATGGCACAATGCTGGCCAGGGACAGTGGCTCACATCTGTAATCCCAGCACATTGGGAGGCCGAGGCGGTAGGATCAACTGAGGTCAGGAGTTCGAGACCAGCCTGGCCAACATGGAGAAACCCCGTCTCTACTAAAAATACAAAAATTAGCCAGGCACGGTGCCAGGTGCCTGTAATCCCAGCTAGTAGGGAGGCTGAGGCAGGAGAATCACTTGAACCTGGGAGGTGGAGGCAGGAGAATCAGTTGAACCCTGGAGGTGGAGGTTGCAGTGAGCCGGGATCGTGCCACTGAACTCCAGTCTGGGCAACAAAGCAAGACTCCACCTCAAAAAAAAAAAAAGGCACAATGCTAGCCAGGCACAGTGGCTCATGTCTGTAATCCCAGCATGTTGGGAGGCTGAGGCAGGAGGATCCCTTGAGCCCAGGGGTTCGAGACCAGCCTGGGCAACATGGTGGAAACCTGTCTTAAAATGACAATAAAAAAACAGAATAAACTGGCAAAATGCTGATTATTGATGCCAAGTGGTGGGTTTATGGGAGTTCTTGTTAGCATTCTTTTGGCTTTTATATATGGCCGGGTGGTTTTTAAAAATAATACCAATTTCGGCCGGGCATGGCGGCTCACGCCTGTAATCCCAGCATTTTGGGAGGCCGAGGTGGGTGGATCACCGGAGGTCAGGAGTTCGAGACCAGCCTTGCCAATGTGGTGAAACCCCGGCTCTACTAAAAATACTGAATAATAAAAATACTAAGAATACTAAAAAATAAAAATACTAAATAATAAAAATTAGCCGGGCATGGTGGCGGGCGTCTGTAGTCTCAGCTACTCGGGAAGCTGAGGCAGGAGAATCGCTTGAACCTGGGAGGTGGAGGTTGCAGTGAGCCGAGATCGCACCGTTGCACTCCAGCCTGGGTGACAAGAGTGAAACTCCATCTCAAATAATAATAATAATAATAATGCCAATTGAAAGTTAAAAGGCTCTGGAGGCTGAGGCAGGAGAATCTCTTGATCCTGGGAGGCAGAGGTTGCAGTGAGCCAACATTGTGCCATTGCACTCCAGCCTGGGTGACAAGAGTGAAACTCCATCTCAAATAATAATAATAATAATAATAATAATAATAATAATAATAATACCAATTGAAAGTTAAAAGTTTCTGGAGGCTGAGGCAGGAGAATCGCTTGAATGAGGGAGGCAGAGGTTGCAGCGAGCTAACATTGTGCCATTGCACTCCAGCCTGAGTGACAAGAGTGAAACTCCGTCTCAAATAACAATAATAATAATAATAATAATAATAATAATACCAATTGAAAGTTAAAAGGCTCTGGAGGCTGAGGCAGGAGAATCTCTTGATCCCGGGAGGCAGAGGTTGCAGCGAGCCAACATTGTGCCATTGCACTCCAGCCTGGGCAACAAGATTGAAACTCCATCTCAAATAATAATAATAATAATAATATCAATTGAAAGTTAAAAGTTTCTGGAGGCTGAGGCAGGAGAATCTCTTGAACCTGGGAGGTGGAGGTTGCAGTGAGCCGAGATCACGCCATTGCAATGAGTCAAAATTGTGCCATTGCAACCAGCCTGGGTGACAAGAGTGAAACTCTGTCTCAAATAATAATAATAATAATAATAATAATAATAATATCAATTGAAAGTTAAAAGTTTCTGGAGGCTGAGGCAGGAGAATCGCTTGAATGAGGGAGGCAGAGGTTGCAGCGAGCCAACATTGTGCCATTGCACTCCAGCCTGGGTGACAAGAGGGAAACTCCGTCTCAAATAATAAGAATACCAATTTAAAGTTAAAAGAATCAGAGCTAATTCTGATACTCAGACAAGTTAAGGGCAAACACTGACAGCAAAAGCATGCTGGGGACACATTCCTGCTAGTCCCAGGTCCACCAGGCACTTGTACAAGTGGGGGACAGTGGGGTGGGGGGCCAGAGGGGGTCTCACCTGCGTCAGCCCTACCCCGGTGTCTCGTCCAAGAACGCTTGCCTGGTACACAACCCCCATCTTCCCCACTGTCATTTATGTCATGACTCTGTTCTAAATTTAATTTAATTTTCATTTCTTGCCCTCAGAGGAGCTGAGAGCAGCTGGTCCCATTGAGCTGTTGGTCCTGAAGCCCTCAGGACTGTTATTAAATTGCAAATCACACCCCAATTGCTATGCAAACAGCCTGGGTGCCCCTCGCTGTGTTACACACCTGGGCAGAGGCCTGGGGGCAGAAACCCAGTCTCCAGGGCTCCCTGCAGAGCCACACTCACGGCCGCCTTTTCACCCCGGGAGGGAAACTGCCCGTGATTCCAGCTGTAAATGCCAGTGGAAAAGGAATGCAGCATCACGAGAGACTGTGGAATCAAAATGCCTCTTAAAGAAATCAAAAAGTGGCCACTGGAGGATGGTCATCTTGGAGGGCTTTTAAAAGTCCTGCCTCTCACAGTGACGACACTTTGCTGCTACAAGATCCATGGGAGAGCCTCAGCCAGGTCCTGACGGAGAGGCAATACTCACACCCGGGGGAGGCTCACGCCAGCAAAACCGAAGGCGCGGGCAAAAGTAAGAGGAGTCAGACAGCTTAAAAAAGGAGGGAATAAAATTAAACGTGAGAATGCCACTAGAAGGCAAAGGACTGCTGAAAGTTATCTCCGTATACATGCGCACACACACCCACTAACACACATGCACACACACATTGCACACACGTGCACACACATATACATACCCACAGATATGCACACATAACATATGCATAAGGACTGCTGAAAATTATCTCGGTATACATGCAAACACACACACATATATATACACACATGCACACACACATATACACACGTGCACACACACATTGCACACAATGCACACACTTATATACATACACACAAATATGCACACACATATACATACATATGCACACATGACATATGCATAAGGACTGCTGAAAGTTATCTCAGTATACACGCACACACACACATATATACACACATGCACACACATATACACACGTGCACACACATACACATACACACATGCACACACATATACACACGTGCACACACATACACATACACACATGCACACACACATATACACACGTACACACACATATATACACACATGCACACACACATACATACACACAGATATGCACACATAACATGCATAAGGACTGCTGAAAGTTATCTCGGTATACACACACACTATACACACATGCACACACACACATATACACATACGTGCACACACATACATACACACGGATATGCACACATGACATATGCATAAGGACTGCTGAAAGCTATCTCGGTATACACACACACTATACACACATGCACACACACACATACACATACGTGCACACACACTATACACACATGCACACACATACACACATGCATACACATATACATACACACAGATATGCACACACATACACATACACACATATGCACACATAACATGCATAAGGACTGCTGAAAGTTATCTTGGTATACATGCAAACACACACACTATACACACATGCACACACACATATTTACACAATGCACACACATATATACATACACACAGATATGCACACATAACATATGCATATACATACGTTATAACACATACATACATATATACACACATACACACATATACACACATTATACACACATGCACACATATACATACACAGATATGCATGCATAACAAATATATGCAGAAACACATATACATACACACGTTATAAATGCATACACATACATACACACATATACACATACATGCACACATATACACATACATACAGACATATACACATGCACACACAAATACATACATGTGCACACATATATACGCGCATAGGCCTATACACATACATGCATATTCACACATATATACACATACATACGTACACCTACAGACACATATAGGCGCATGCCTGCACACATACATGTACATTCACACACATATATGTCAGGCCTCTGAGCCCAAGCGAAGCCATCATATGCCCTGTGACCTGCACATATACATCCAGATGGCCTGAAGTAACCGAAAAATCACGAAAGAAGTGAAAATGGCTTGTTCCTGCCTTAAGCGATGACTTTACCTTGTGAAATTCCCTCTCCTGGCTCATCCTGGCTCAATGAGCACCTTGTGTCACCTGCCCCCTGCCAGCCAGAGAACAACCCCCTTTGATTGTAATTTTCCACTATGTACCCAAATCCTATAAAACGGCCCCGCCCGTATCTCCCTGCAGTGACTCTCTTTTCGGACTCAGCCCGCCTGCACCCAGGTGATTAAAAAGTTTTATTGCTCACATGAAGTCTGTTTCGTGGTCTCTTCACACGGACACGTGTGACAATATACACATGAGATGGCTTCTCTACCCATTACGCTTTCATTAAACACCTGGCACTTACAAATATTTAGGAACACCTGTAATCTCAGCACCTTGGGAGGGCGAGGTGGGTGGATCACGAGGTCAGGAGATCGAGACCAGCCTGGCTAACACGGTGAAACCCCGTCTCTACTAAAAATACCAAAAAATTAGCCGGGCGTGGTGGCGGGCGCCTGTAGTCCCAGCTACTCGGGAGGCTGAGGCAGGAGAATGGCGTGAACCCGGGAGACAGAGCTTGCAGTGAGCCGAGATGGCACCAACTGCACTCCAGCCTGGGCAACAGAGCGAGACTCCGTCTCAAAAAAAAAAAAAAAAAATTAAGAATAATCATTGTGAGCTGCTGAGAACCCTGGTTCAGCTCGATGAAGACAGAAGCCTTGGCAAGTTTGCAAGACACGTCCAGGCGCAAACAAAAACATCTCCATCCAGGTTGGGTGCAGTGACTCACACCTGAAATCCCAGCACTTCAGGAGGCCAAGGCAGGAGAATCGCTTGAGCCCAGGACTTTGAGACCAGAGTGGGTCACACGGTGAAAGCTTGTCTCTACAAAAACAAAGAAAAAAAAAAATTAGCCGGGCATGGTGGTGCACTCCTGTAGTCCCAGCTACTCAGGAGGCTGAGGTGGGAGGATTGCTAGAGCCCAGGAGGTTGAGGCTGCAGTGAGCTGTGATTGCACCACTGCACTCCAGTCTGGGTGACAGAGTGAGACCCTGTCTCCAAAAAAAAAAAAAAAAAAAACAGAGAAAGAGAGAGAAGAAAGGACAGAGACAGAGGGAAGGAAGGAAAGAAGGAAGGAAGGGAGGGAGGGAAAGAAGGAAGGAAGAAATGAAGGAACGAAAGAAGGAAGGAAGGGGAAGGAAAGGGAAGGGAAGGAAGAGAAAGAAGGAAAGAAGGAAAGGGAAGGGAGGGAAGGGAAGGAAGAGGGAAGGAAGGAAGGGAAGGAAGGGAGGGAGGGAGGGAGGAAGAGAGAAAGGAAAGAAAGAAAGAAAGAAAGAAAGAAAGAAAGAAAGAAAGAAGAAAGAAGAGAAGGAAAGAAGAGAAAAAGGAAGGAAGGATGGAGGGAGGGAGGGAAGGAAGAAAAGGAATAAGGAAGGAAAGAGAGAGAAGAAAGAAAAAGAGAAAGGAAGGAAAGAGGAAGGAAGATGAGGAATAAGGAAGGAAAGAGAGAGAGAAGAAAGAAAAAGAGAAAGAAAGGAAAGAGGAAGGAAGATGAGGAATAAGGAAGGAAAGAGAGAGAGAAGAAAGAAAAAGAGAAAGGAAGGAAAGAGGAAGGAAGATGAGGAATAAGGAAGGAAAGAGAGAGAGAAGAAAGAAAAAGAGAAAGAAAGGAAAGAGGAAGGAAGATGAGGAATAAGGAAGGAAAGAGAGAGAGAAGAAAGAAAAAGAGAAAGGAAGGAAAGAGGAAGGAAAGAAAAAGAGAAAGGAAGGAAAGAGGAAGGAAGATGAGGAATAAGGAAGGAAAGAGAGAGAGAAGAAAGAAAAAGAGAAAGGAAGGAAAGAGGAAGGAAGATGAGGAATAAGGAAGGAAAGAGAGAGAGAAGAAAGAAAAAGAGAAAGGAAGGAAAGAGGAAGGAAGATGAGGAATAAGGAAGGAAAGAGAGAGAGAAGAAAGAAAAAGAGAAAGGAAGGAAAGAGGAAGGAAGATGAGGAATAAGGAAGGAAAGAGAGAGAGAAGAAAGAAAAAGAGAAAGGAAGGAAAGAGGAAGGAAGATGAGGAATAAGGAAGGAAAGAGAGAGAGAAGAAAGAAAAAGAGAAAGGAAGGAAAGAGGAAGGAAGATGAGGAATAAGGAAGGAAAGAGAGAGAGAAGAAAGAAAAAGAGAAAGGAAGGAAAGAGGAAGGAAGATGAGGAATAAGGAAGGAAAGAGAGAGAGAAGAAAGAAAAAGAGAAAGGAAGGAAAGAGGAAGGAAGATGAGGAATAAGGAAGGAAAGAGAGAGAGAAGAAAGAAAAAGAGAAAGGAAGGAAAGAGGAAGGAAGATGAGGAATAAGGAAGGAAAGAGAGAGAAGAAAGAAAAAGAGAAAGAAAGGAAAGAGGAAGGAAGATGAGGAATAAGGAAGGAAAGAGAGAGAAGAAAGAAAAAGAGAAAGAAAGGAAAGAGAAAGGAAGATGAGGAATAAGGAAGGAAAGAGAGAGAAGAAAGAAAAAGAGAAAGAAAGGAAAGAGGAAGGAAGATGAGGAATAAGGAAGGAAAGAGAGAGAAGAAAGAAAAAGAGAAAGAAAGGAAAGAGGAAGGAAGATGAGGAATAAGGAAGGAAAGAGAGAGAGAAGAAAGAAAAAGAGAAAGGAAGGAAAGAGGAAGGAAGGAAGGGAAGGAAGGAAAGAAGGAAAGGGAAGGGAGGGAAGGGAAGGAAGAAAAGGAATAAGGAAGGAGAGAGATAAGAAAGAAAGAAAGAAGAAAGAAAAAGAAGAAGGAAAGAAAGAAAGGAAGAAAGAAGGAAAGAAAGAAAGAAAGAGGGAGGGAGGAAGGAAGGAATTCATTCTCCATATAGTCTCCACAGTATCCAGGAGAAGCGTTTCTCCAGCAGCCAGCTGGGCTAAACTTGCTCCAGTGAAATTTTGGAATTTCTCTCCGCCACTGAGCACACCTTCGTTTTCTCTCCCATCGCTCTCCTTCCTGCACCTCTCTGCGGCTGCCCCAGCTGCAAGGTCAAGCTGCAGACACACCTGTTACCCATCATGACAAGTCGCAGAGTGTGGTCGGCGCCAGAGGGACAGTATCCCATTGCCTGAGGGGATGCTCTCCGTTTTCTGCAAAGATGTCAGACAAAAATCAGGACTATCAACGCGTGCTCCGAAGCCCTGGGTTGCACTGTGGCCTGCAGGACAGAAGGAACCACACCTACTGGGGAAAGAGACCCAGGAAGGTGGCAAGTGGACAGAAGGGAGCAGGGCTGTTCCTCCTGGAAAGCCAAGAATCCCAGCCCTCGTCCCCAGTCCTCTCTGCACTCCCCAGCCCTCTGCGGCCCAACGCCAGTTCAAACCAACTGTCACCTCTCTTATGAAGATACAAGCTGGCTCGCCTTCCTCACCGAGCCGACACGGCCTCGTAGACTTTGATCTAATTCTGTTTGCTGTCTTATGATGCATGAACGCTGTCAGATAAAGAGATGTTGAAAAAGGCCCTCCTGAGCTGTCAGGGCTGACAATGCCGCGTGATGGATGATGATGCAGAAAACAAACAAACAGTCCTTCCCTGACGGGGAAAAGGGTGCAGGCCACACACGAGGCCGATCCCACGGCCCGTACTGCAGTCCGAGTTTTTTGCAAGGACCAGGTCCCCTTGCCTGTTGAGCCCTCTTCTGATCAAAGACTCCGCCGTCCCCCCACCCCTGCTGTCTTACCGGTGAAGGCTTCAGAGTTGAGTAAGTGTCTGGGGAGGCAGCACCTGTGGACGTGAACATCAGCCTCCAAGGTGGACATTCCCTATTTTGGTTTATTTTTGTCTCTTCCTTCCTTCCTTCCTCTTTCCTTCCTTCCTTCTTTCCTTCCTTCCTTCGTTCCTTTTCTTTCTTTAAGTTTTTTATTTAGATATAATTGACATAGCATAAAATTCCCCATCTGAGGCCAGGAGTGGTGGCTCACGCCTGTAATCCCAGCACTTTGGGAGGCCGAGGCGGGTGGATCATCTGAGGTCAGGAGTTCGAGACCAGCCCGGCCAACATGGTGAAACCCCGTCTCTACTAAAAACACAAAAATTAGCTGGGTGTGGTGGTGGGCGCCTCTAATCCCAGCTACTAGGGAGGCTGAGGCAGGAAAATCACTTCAACTCGGGAGGTGGAGGTTGCAGTGAGCTCAGATCGCTCCCCTGCACTCCAGCCTGGGCAACAAGAGTGAAACTCCGTCTCAAAAAAAAAAAAAAATAATAACCCCATTTGAATGATTTTTAATGCTCTGCAATCACCGCCTCTATTTAGTTCCAGAACATTTTTATCACTCCAAAAAGAGACCCTGTATGCAGGCAGCAGTGAGTCCCCAGCCCCTCCCCGGCCCCTGGTAACCACAAATCCACTTTCTGTCTCTGTGGGTTTGCCTGTTCTGGGCATTTTATATAAATGGAATCCTGCGTGATATGGCCTTTTGTGTCTGGCTTCTCTCACTGAGCGTGATGTCCTTGAGGTCCACCCACACTGCAGCCTGTCTCAGAGTTAGCTTCCTTCCTTTTCATGGGTGTATAATATTCCACTGCATGGATGGACCACATTGCATTTATATAACGGAATCCTACACAACGTGGCCTTTTGTGTCTGGCTTCTGTCACTGAGCGTGATGTCTTCCAGGTCCATCCACACTGCAGCCTGTGTCAGAGCTAGCTTCTTTCCTTTTCGTGGGTGTATAATATTCCACTGCATGGATGGACCACATTGCGTTTATCCATCAACAGACCCTTGGTTTTTTTCCATCTTTTGGCTACCGTCAAACTTGCTGCTGTGAACACTGTCCTACAGTCCTTGTTTGACTCTCCTTTGGTTTTTTTTTTTGAGATGGAGTCTCGCTCTGTCGCCCAGGCTGGAGGGCAGTGGCACACCCTCAGCTCACTGCAACCTCCGCCTCCCGGGTTCATGCTATTCTCCTGCCTCAGCCTCCCGAGTAGCTGGGACTACAGGCGCCCACCACCGTGCCCGGCTAATTTTTTGTATTTTTAGTAGAGACAGGGTTTCTCCATGTTAGCCAGGATGGTCTCGATCTCCTGACCTCGTGATCCACCCGTCTCGGCCTCCCAAAGTGCTGGGATCACAGGCGTGAAACACCGCGCCCGGCCTTGAGTCCCTTTTAAAAATTCTTTTGGGTACACATGTAAGAGTGGCATTCTGGTGATACGGCACCCGTACGTTAAAACTTTAGCAAATCCCGTAAGTTCTTCCTCATTTTTGTCTGTGTTTGTGGATTGGTTTCCACAGACACGTTCCAATTCTAAATGGAGGTACGATCATGGACGCAAACTGGAAAATGCAGAAATGCATAAAACAAAGATGATCGGCCGGGCACGGTGGCTCACACCTGTCATCCCAGCACTTTGGGAGGCCGAGGCGGGTGGATCACCTGAGGTCAGGAGTTCGAGACCAGCCTGGCCAACATGGAGAAACCTCGTCTCTACTAAAAAAAAAAATACAAAATTAGCTGGGCGTGGTGGTGCACACCTGCAATCCCAGCTACTCGGGAGGCTGAAGCAGGAGAATCGCTTGAACCCGAGAGGCGGAGGTGGCAGTGAGCCGAGATTGTGCCATTGCACTCCAGCCTGGGTGACAAGAGCGAAACTCTGTCTCGAAAAAAAAAGAAAAAAAAAACAAACAAAGATGATCTTCATTGTGACCCTCATGGAAAGAATCATGATCACCCCATATTATCTCTGCATGGATGCACCCAGCATGGACCCCTTCCCCTGCCCCAGGCTGCACCCTCCCTTCAGGTCAGGGCCAACCCACCTTTCTCCAGGAAGCCTCATCCATCTCTCCGAGACCCCCGCCCTTCTAAGGAATTGGCCCCCATCCAACAGCCGGAAGGAAGATGGCACCTGGTGGACAGCAAACGCTTTGATGAATACGTGAAGGAACTAGGAGTCTGAATCGCTTTGGGAAAAACGGACTCAATGGCCGAACCAGATTGTATCGTGACTTGTGATGGCAAAAGTCTCACCAGAAAAACTGAGGGCACTTTGAGAAGACAGTGTTCCTGTACCCTGGGAGAGAAGTTTGAAGAAACCACAAGTGAGGACAGAAAAACTCAGACTAACAAGAAAACCAAAAGATGGGAAATTAGTGTCGGACTGTGTGATGAGCAAAGTCACCTCTACTCACATCTATGAACAAGTAGAATCAAAATCCCAGCATCATGGTCAGGTGCGGTGGCTCAGGCCTGTCATCCCAGCACTTTGGGAGGCTGAGGTGGGCAAATCATGAGATCAGGAGTTTGAGAGCAGCCTGACCAACATGGTGAAACCCCGTCTCTGCTAAGAATACAAAAATGAGCCGGGTGTGGTGGCGGGCGCCTGTAGTCCCAGCTACTCGGGAGGCTGAGGCAGGAGAGGTGGAGGTTGCAGTGAGCCGAGATCCTGCCATTGCACTCCAGCCTGGGCAACAGAGTGAGACTCCATCTCAAAAAAATAAATAAATAAAATAAAATAAAATAAATAAAAATCGCATCATTACTTTGGACAGGAATTAACTACGAGAATAAACATGCTCAGTCCAATGAAGCAAATCTGCATAGTGCTTCTTTTTTCATTACTGTGTTCAATTATCTTTATCACAACCATTTTCCATGCAGCTATTTCAAAGTGTTGGATTAATTAGGATCATCCCTTTGGTTAATAAATAAATGTGTGGCCAGGCACGGTGGCTCACGCCTGTAATCCCAGCACTTTGGGAGGCCAAGGCTGGAGAATCACGAGATCAGGAGTTCGAGACCAGCCTGACCAAGATGGTGAGACCCCGTCTCTACTAAAAATACAAAAGTTAGCCAGGTGTGGTGGTGCATACCTGTAATCCCAGCTACTCGGGAGGCTGAGGCAGGAGAATCGCTTGAACCCGGGACACAGAGGTTGCAGTGAGCTGAGATCGTGCCACTGCACTCCAGCCTGGGGACAGAGCGAGATTCATCTCAAAAATAATTATTTACTTATTTACAAAAATAAGTAAATAATAAATAAATGTGTTTATTTATTATTAAAAGTAAATAAATAAATGTGTTTGTGCCAAAAAGAAGAGAAAGAAAACAGAAAGGAAGGAAGGAAGGAAAGAAAGAAAGAAAGTTTTTCTGAAAGAAAGAAAGAAAGAAAGAAAGAAGAAAGAAAGAAGGGAAGAAAGAAGGGAAGAAAGGAAGGAAGGAAAAAAGAAAGGAAGGAAGAAAGGAAAAAGAAAGAAAAGAAAGAAAGAAAGAGAAAGCAAGCAAGCAAGAAAGAAAGAAAGAAAAAAGAGAAAGAAAGAAAGAAGGGAAGAAAGGAAGGAAGGAAAAAAGGAAGGAAGAAAGGAAAAAGAAAGAAAGAGAAAGAAAGAAAAGAAAGAGAAAGCAAGCAAGAAAGAAAGAAAGAAAAAAGAGAAAGAAAGGAAAGAAAGAAAGAAAGAAAGAAAGGAAAGAAAGAAAGAGAAAGAAAGAGAAAGCAAGCAAGAAAGAAAGAAAAAAGAGAAAGAAAGAAAGAAAGAAAAGAAAGAAAGAGAAAGAAAGAAAAGAAAGAAAGAGAAAGAAAAGAAAGAAAAAGAAAGAAAGAGAAAGCAAGAAAGAAAGAAAGAAAGAAAAAAGAGAAAGAAAGGAAAGAAAGAAAGAAAGAAAGAAAGAAAGAGAAAGAAAGAAAAGAAAGAAAGAGAAAGAAAGAAAAGAAAGAAAGAGAAAGAAAGAAAGAAAGAAAGAAAGAAAGAAAGAAAGAAAGAAAGAAAGAAAGAAAGGAAAGAAGGAAAAGAAAAGAAAGAAAGACAGACTTTTGCTAAGCCTGGCTGTTTGGATCCAGGTGTTCAACCTGCTCCTTCCCCAGATCTCACTGAGATGGGAGCAAAGAAATGAACCCACCAGGACCAGAGGAGCTGCAGAGAATAAAACAGCCAAGCAGGCTGTGCAGTGGTGCGATCTCTGCTAACTGCAACCTCCACCTCCTGGGCTCAAGCAATTCACATGCCTCAGCCTCCTGAGTAGCTGGGATTACAGGCATGCACCACCACACCTGGCTGATGTTTTGTATTTTAGTAGAGATGGGGTTTCACCATGTTGCCCAGACTGGTCTACAACCCCTGAACACTCATCTCAGCCTCCCAAAGTGCTGGGATGACAGGCATGAGCCATCAAGCTCGACCTAAAATGACTTTCTCCTATGGAATGAGGGTGATTATCCCTGGAGGTATGTTTTCTTTTCCTCTTATGGCAAAATAGAACCTCACTCACAATCCTACTTTGCTCTCTCATTCAAAATAAAAAATTGAGCTGGGTGTGATGGCTGATGCCTGTCATCCCAGCACTTTAGGAGGCCGAGGCAGGCGGATCATGAGGTCAGGAGATCGAGACCATCCTGGCTAACACAGTGAAACCCCGTCTCTACTAAAAATACAAAAAATTAGTCAGGCGTGGTGGTGGGTGCCTGTGGTCCCAGCTACTTGGGAGGCTGAGGCAGGAGGATTCCCTTGAGCCCAGGGGGTTGAGGCTGCCATGAGCTTTGATTGTACCACTGCACTCCAGCCTGAGAAACAGAGCAAGACTTTGTCTCTAAAAAATAAATAAATAGTCCATGAAATAAAATAAAAAACTCATAATTTCTCTATGTCTAGTTGCCCAGGCATGTCTGTTCTGGATAAGAATGGCCCCAGAGCTCCACTGCCAAAGAGGGCTTGTTCCTGGAAGAGAGAATTCTTGCAGAAAGATGAGGAAAAAAATGCAACAGAAAGGGAAGGTGCTCTGCCAGTTGGAGAAGAAAGGACAGTTGATAAATTTATTTTTATTTATTTTTTAAATTATACTTTACGTTCTGGGTACATGTGGAGAACGGGCAGGTTTGTTACGTAGGTGTACACGTGCCATGGTGGTTTGCTGCACCCATCAACCCGTCATCTACATTAGGTATTTGTCCTAATGCTCTCCCTCCCCTAGCTCCCCCAGCCCCCGACAGGCCCTGGTGTGTGATGTTCCCCTCCCTGTGTCCATGTGTTCTCATTGTTCAACTCCCACTTATGAAGGAGAACATGCAGTGTTTGGTTTTCTGTCCTTGCGACAGTTTGCTGACAATGGTGGTTTCCAGCTTCATCCATGTCCCTGCAAAGGACATGAACTCATCCTTTTTGATGGCTGCATAGTATTCCATGGTGTGTATGTGCCACATTTTCTTCATCCAGTCTATCGCTGATGGACATTTGGGTTGGTTCCAAGTCTTTGCTATTGTGAATAGTGCTGCAATAAACATACGTGTGCATGTGTCTTTATAGCAGCATGATTTATACTCCTTTGGGTATATACCCAGTAATGGGATGGCTGGGTCAAATGGTATTTCTGGTTCTAGATCCCTGAGGAATCGCCACACTGTCTTCCACAATGGTTGAACTAGTTTACAGTCCCACCAACGGTGTAAAAGCGTTCCTATTTCTCCACATCCTCTCCAGCACCTGTTGTTTCCCCACTTTTTACTGATCGTATTCTAACTGGCGTGAGATGGTATCTCATCGTGGTTTTGATTTGCATTTCTCTGATGGCCAGTGATGGTGAGCATTTTTTTTATAGGTTTGTTGGCTGCATAAATGTCTTCTTTTGAGAAGTGTCTGTTCATATCCTTTGCCCACTTTTTGATGGGTTGTTTTTTTTCTTGTCAATTTGTTTAAGTTCTTTAAGTTTAAGATATTTCTACTTATTTGTGTTTAGACTCTCATTGTCAATCACAGCCACACTGAGATAAATTCTGTCCAGAAAAATCCAGGTCCGCAAATGTCCCATAATATCGGGGGAGGCCTGAGGAAAGGTACTCCTAAAGAAAAAGAAACCTCCCATACTTCGTCAACCAGGGAAGACACTGACTTCCTTTTCCCTTCCCTTTGAGCTCTGGAAATGCCTCATTTTCAGAAGAGCGATTCCTTTCTCAGCCCACCGTCTCTGGTTCATGTCAGCTGAGGTGAAATCAAAACCTCCAGATCCCAAGGCTAAACCCACAAGTCAAAACATCCTGTGTGTGGGTGCGTGTCCAAGCTATTCATCAAGCCAATTTGAGGACTTTGCACAGAGTTTAAAAGGTGTCCTGCTTTTGATAAGGCAGAATTGTTTGCACGTCGTACCAATTCCTCAGCGGCAAAAAAGTGCAAATTGGCTGGCCGGAGCCGGGGGCTTCAGGGAGGCATATGATACCACTTAGGTTGGCATGAAAGCCATCTGTGTTCATATCACATGTTTTTGAGCAAAGAATGTGAGGTTACCAAAGGTCAGAGTCACGCTGGCTTTAAAAAAAAAAAGGGGGGGCGGGTAGGGAGGTGTAGCCTGGAATACATAGAAACACTCACCAAGAATTTTTCTAATTTATTTTCTAATAACAGAACGTGGCTGGAAAGTCATCTTCCAAGGTGTTACAAGAATGCATGAGATAGTTCAGTCTTTGTGCCTAAAAAAAAAAAATTATTCAGCTTTTCCAACACCATTGGAGTTTCACCCTCCTGAGCTGCCGGCCATCCAGACTGGGTAGATTTCTCAGGATTCTTGTTCAAAAGTGGCCAGGTGACCCTTCTGAATCCCTCTGTCACCTGCAAATAAGAATCTTTTTTTTTTTTTTTTTTTTTTTTGAGACAGAGTCTCGCACTGTCACCCAGGCTGGAGTGCAGTGGCACGATCTCGGCTCACCGCAAGCTCCGCCTCCC
The DNA here is from genome assembly GCF_000001405.40 of Homo sapiens. NCBI lineage: Eukaryota > Metazoa > Chordata > Mammalia > Primates > Hominidae > Homo > Homo sapiens. The sequence goes on along the minus strand of NC_000024.10, from coordinate 519,268 downwards.
GGGTTCAAGTGATCCTCCTGCCTCAGCCTCCCGAATACCTGGGACTACAGGCGCCCGCCACCACCACGCCCGGCTAATTTTTGTATTTTTAGTAGAGACGGGGTTTCACCGTGTGAGCCAGGATGGTCTCGATCTCCTGACCTCGTGATCCACCCGCCTCAGCCTCCCAAAGTGCTGGGATAACAGGCGTGAGTTCAAGAGCAGCCTGGCCAACATAGTGAAACCCTGTCTCCACTGAAAATACAACAATTAGCCGGGCATGGTGGCGGGCACCTGTAATCTCAGCTACTAATGTAGATGACGGGTGGATGGGTGCAGCCAACCACCGTGGCACGTGTATATACCTATGTAACAAACCTGCACGTTCTGCATATGTATCCCAGAACTTAAAGTAAAATTAAAAAAAAAAAAAAGAAACAAAAACTAATAACATACCAGGGAAAAACGAATAAAGGGAGTGTGGTCCTTTCTCTAAGAGAGTATTACCATGTTACAAAAAACACATGGCACATGTATACATATGTAAGAAACCTGCACGTTGTGCACATGTACCCTAAAACTTAAAATATAATAATAATAAAATTTAAAAAAAATGATCAAGTTTATATTCCAAAAAAAAAAAAAAAGCCTTCTTCTATTTATGGCATTGTAATTCTCCCTTATCTGATATTATTCCTTGTCTCTGGCCAGGATCGTTTGCATAATGGACCATCGTTGAAAAACGCAGGAGAGGAAGACAGATGGGCCCGTCGGCCACAGATATTGTGACTCGCCCGTCCCTGGGGAGGTCCCGGGACTCCGCCATGGAGACAGAAAAATGGAAAAGGGAGAATCAAACTTAAAAAAATACAACGAAACACCAAAGCACCTTATATCGAACAAAATACATTGTTAGAGGTGAACAAAGACAGCAAGATGGAGAAAGCGTACATACATCAAAACTTTAAAAGAGATAAACCCCAAAGAGAGAAACTCATGTTACCTTAGAAGAATAAAATAATATTATACAGGCTGAGGTGGAGGATGGAGGGTTAAGCCCCTTCACCTCCCACCCCAACTGGTCCCTGATGTCAATCACTCACCCACTTATTCATTTATCCATCTTTCAATCCAGCCGCCTACCTGAAATCCAGCATTGGCTGATACAGGACACGACTTAAAGGGAAAAATTCAAGCTGGGAACTGTCTCAGACAACCCTGTCTCCTATTTGACTCCTAAAAAAAAAAGATAGCTACCAGGAGAAAAGAGCCACAGTCTTCCCTCACAATCTATCCACAGAAATTCCTCGTGGACAAGGGACAAGACAGAACTCAAGAGCTGAAAGCATCCCTCTACTCACTGAGATAAATGCATATCTCATGGTCTCCTTTGGAAAGGCTAATTAGAAACTCAACAGGACCGGGCGCGGTGGCTCACGCCTGTCATCCCAGCACTTTGGGAGGCTGAGGTGGGCGGATCATGAGGTCAGGAGTTCAAGACCAGCCTGACGAAGATGGTGAAACCCCGTCTCTACTAAAAATACAAAAACTAGCCAGGCATGGTGGCAGGCACCTGTAGTCCCAGCTACTCGGGAGGCTGAGGCAGGAGAATCACTTGAACCTGGGAGGTGGAGGTTGCAGTGAGCCGAGATCCCACCACTGCACTCCAGCCTGGGTGACAGAGCGAGACGGGCGCAGTGACTCACGCCTGTCATCCCAGCACTTTGGGAGGCCGAGGCGGGCGGATCATGAGGTCAGGAGTTCAAGACCAGCCTGACCAAGATGGTGAAACCCGATCTCTACTAAAAATACAAAGAATAGCCAGGTGTGGGGGCGGGTGCCTGTCATCCCAGCTACTCAGGAGGCTGAGGCAGGAGAATCACTTGAACCCGGGAGGTGGAGGTTGCAGTGAGCCGAGATCCCACCACTGCACTCCAGCCTGGGCAACAGAGCAAGACTCCATCTCAAAAAAAAAATAAAAATAAAAATAAAAATTCTCATTTTCAGGTGACAGAGTGAGACTCATCTCAAAAAAAAAAAAAAAACAAAAAGAAAGAAACTCAACAGAACACAAGTGTTTGTCTCTTGCCTACCTGTGATCTGGAAACCCTCTTCCCGCCTCATATTGTCCTGCTTTTCCAAACCAAACCAACACAGAGCAAGCTGTGCCCTGACCACCTTGGGACACGTCGTCAGAGCCTCCTAAGATGGTGTGACGGACGCTGTCTTCTTAACCTTGGCAGAAGAAACTTCCTGACTTGCTGGAGATCTGTCTCAGATATTTGGGGTTCACAGGCGTCTTATCCCGGGAGGTGACCGTGTATGAGAGATTTAATGAGGGTAGGAAGACACTTCAGAGATACTCTCTTAAATATGTTTTAGGGGCAACCTCACGGACCAGGGGCCATGAGGACAGCAAAGATCCAGCACCCACATGCACAGTATTTTTTCTTACCATCTAGTCCTTTATTTAAAATAATAATGATAATAATAAAAGATTGGCTGAGCCCTGCTCCCGGGTGAAAACACAGACGTAGGAATTGAGATGGTGGATGAGATTATAGGTGTGGATGAAGTCCCTGGGAGAACCTAGAGTGAGAAGGAAAGAGCCAGGAGTAGAATGTAGGACCCTCCAGGAGAGGAGGAGGCGAAGGAGGGCGAGAGGACGGCCAGGAAAGGATTGGGATGCAGTGAGAGGAGGGGGGAGAAGGGAGAGGGAGAGAAGAGAGAGAAAAGAGAGGAATGAAACAGAGAAAGGAAAGAGGAGAGGGGAGAGAGAGAGAAGAGAGAGGGAGAGGAAGAAAGAGAGGGGAGGGACAGAGGCAGACGGAGAGGAAGAGAAGAGAGAAGGGGAGAGAAAAAGAGGAAAAAAACAGAGAGAAGAGAGAAAGAGAGGGGCAGAAACACAGACAGAGAGGGGGAGAGAGACAGGGAGAGGAAGAGGAGAGAGACAGGCACAGAGAGAAAAAAGGAATGAAACAGACAGAAGAGAGACAGAGAGAAAGAGGGGGAGAAACACGGAGACGTGAGAGAGAGAGAGAGAGGAAGAGGAGAGACGGGGAGAGAAAAAAAGAGGAAAAAAACAGAGAGAAGAGAAAGAAAGAGAGAGAAGCGAGGGAAAATGCAGAGAAGAGAAAAAGAGAGAGAGAGAGGCACAGTCCAGTCTGCAGCCCCCACAGAACCTGCAACCTCTGCCCCTGCTAAAAGCCAGAGTGGAGACCCTTCATCTCTTCAGTGGAGGAAGGAGCTCCTGCTCCCACAGGGAAAGGGGATGCAGGGAGAGGGAAGGAGCTCCTGCTCCCACAGGGAAAGGGGATGCAGGGAGAGGGAAGGAGCTCTCACTCCCACAGGGAAAGGGGCTGCAGGGAGAGGGAAGGAGCTCTCACTCCCACAGGGAAAGGGGATGCAGGGAGAGGGAAGGAGCTCTCACTCCCACAGGGAAAGGGGATGCAGGGAGAGGGAAGGAGCTCCTGCTCCCACAGGGAAAGGGGCTGCAGGGAGAGGGAAGGAGCTCTCACTCCCACAGGGAAAGGGGATGCAGGGAGAGGGAAGGAGCTCTCACTCCCACAGGGAAAGGGGATGCAGGGAGAGGGAAGGAGCTCCTGCTCCCACAGGGAAAGGGGCTGCAGGGAGAGGGAAGGAGCTCTCACTCCCACAGGGAAAGGGGATGCAGGGAGAGGGAAGGAGCTCTCACTCCCACAGGGAAAGGGGCTGCAGGGAGAGGGAAGGAGCTCTCACTCCCACAGGGAAAGGGGATGCAGGGAGAGGGAAGGAGCTCTCACTCCCACAGGGAAAGGGGATGCAGGGAGAGGGAAGGAGCTCCTGCTCCCACAGGGAAAGGGGCTGCAGGGAGAGGGAAGGAGCTCTCACTCCCACAGGGAAAGGGGATGCAGGGAGAGGGAAGGAGCTCTCACTCCCACAGGGAAAGGGGATGCAGGGAGAGGGAAGGAGCTCCTGCTCCCACAGGGAAAGGGGCTGCAGGGAGAGGGAAGGAGCTCCTGCTCCCACAGGGAAAGGGGATGCAGGGAGAGGGAAGGAGCTCTCACTCCCACAGGGAAAGGGGCTGCAGGGAGAGGGAAGGAGCTCTCACTCCCACAGGGAAAGGGGATGCAGGGAGAGGGAAGGAGCTCCTGCTCCCACAGGGAAAGGGGCTGCAGGGAGAGGGAAGGAGCTCTCACTCCCACAGGGAAAGGGGATGCAGGGAGAGGGAAGGAGCTCTCACTCCCACAGGGAAAGGGGATGCAGGGAGAGGGAAGGAGCTCCTGCTCCCACAGGGAAAGGGGCTGCAGGGAGAGGGAAGGAGCTCTCACTCCCACAGGGAAAGGGGATGCAGGGAGAGGGAAGGAGCTCTCACTCCCACAGGGAAAGGGGCTGCAGGGAGAGGGAAGGAGCTCTCACTCCCACAGGGAAAGGGGATGCAGGGAGAGGGAAGGAGCTCTCACTCCCACAGGGAAAGGGGCTGCAGGGAGAGGGAAGGAGCTCCTGCTCCCACAGGGAAAGGGGCTGCAGGGAGAGGGAAGGAGCTCTCACTCCCACAGGGAAAGGGGATGCAGGGAGAGGGAAGGAGCTCTCACTCCCACAGGGAAAGGGGATGCAGGGAGAGGGAAGGAGCTCTCACTCCCACAGGGAAAGGGGCTGCAGGGAGAGGGAAGGAGCTCTCACTCCCACAGGGAAAGGGGCTGCAGGGAGAGGGAAGGAGCTCTCACTCCCACAGGGAAAGGGGATGCAGGGAGAGGGAAGGAGCTCTCACTCCCACAGGGAAAGGGGATTCAGGGAGAGGGAAGGAGCTCCTGCTCCCACAGGGAAAGGGGATGCAGGGAGAGGGAAGGAGCTCTCACTCCCACAGGGAAAGGGGATGCAGGGAGAGGGAAGGAGCTCCTGCTCCCACAGGGAAAGGGGCTGCAGGGAGAGGGAAGGAGCTCTCACTCCCACAGGGAAAGGGGATGCAGGGAGAGGGAAGGAGCTCTCACTCCCACAGGGAAAGGGGATGCAGGGAGAGGGAAGGAGCTCTCACTCCCACAGGGAAAGGGGATGCAGGGAGAGGGAAGGAGCTCCTGCTCCCACAGGGAAAGGGGATGCAGGGAGAGGGAAGGAGCTCTCACTCCCACAGGGAAAGGGGATGCAGGGAGAGGGAAGGAGCTCTCACTCCCACAGGGAAAGGGGATGCAGGGAGAGGGAAGGAGCTCTCACTCCCACAGGGAAAGGGGATGCAGGGAGAGGGAAGGAGCTCTCACTCCCACAGGGAAAGGGGATGCAGGGAGAGGGAAGGAGCTCCTGCTCCCACAGGGAAAGGGGATGCAGGGAGAGGGAAGGAGCTCTCACTCCCACAGGGAAAGGGGCTGCAGGGAGAGGGAAGGAGCTCTCACTCCCACAGGGAAAGGGGATGCAGGGAGAGGGAAGGAGCTCTCACTCCCACAGGGAAAGGGGATGCAGGGAGAGGGAAGGAGCTCTCACTCCCACAGGGAAAGGGGCTGCAGGGAGAGGGAAGGAGCTCCTGCTCCCACAGGGAAAGGGGATGCAGGGAGAGGGAAGGAGCTCCTGCTCCCACAGGGAAAGGGGCTGCAGGGAGAGGGAAGGAGCTCTCACTCCCACAGGGAAAGGGGATGCAGGGAGAGGGAAGGAGCTCTCACTCCCACAGGGAAAGGGGATGCAGGGAGAGGGAAGGAGCTCCTGCTCCCACAGGGAAAGGGGATGCAGGGAGAGGGAAGGAGCTCCTGCTCCCACAGGGAAAGGGGATGCAGGGAGAGGGAAGGAGCTCCTGCTCCCACAGGGAAAGGGGCTGCAGGGAGAGGGAAGGAGCTCTCACTCCCACAGGGAAAGGGGATGCAGGGAGAGGGAAGGAGCTCCTGCTCCCACAGGGAAAGGGGATGCAGGGAGAGGGAAGGAGCTCCTGCTCCCACAGGGAAAGGGGATGCAGGGAGAGGGAAGGAGCTCTCACTCCCACAGGGAAAGGGGATGCAGGGAGAGGGAAGGAGCTCTCACTCCCACAGGGAAAGGGGATGCAGGGAGAGGGAAGGAGCTCTCACTCCCACAGGGAAAGGGGATGCAGGGAGAGGGAAGGAGCTCTCACTCCCACAGGGAAAGGGGATGCAGGGAGAGGGAAGGAGCTCCTGCTCCCACAGGGAAAGGGGATGCAGGGAGAGGGAAGGAGCTCTCACTCCCACAGGGAAAGGGGATGCAGGGAGAGGGAAGGAGCTCTCACTCCCACAGGGAAAGGGGATGCAGGGAGAGGGAAGGAGCTCCTGCTCCCACAGGGAAAGGGGATGCAGGGAGAGGGAAGGAGCTCTCACTCCCACAGGGAAAGGGGATGCAGGGAGAGGGAAGGAGCTCTCACTCCCACAGGGAAAGGGGCTGCAGGGAGAGGGAAGGAGCTCTCACTCCCACAGGGAAAGGGGATGCAGGCAGAGGGAAGGAGCTCCTGCTCCCACAGGGAAAGGGGCTGCAGGGAGAGGGAAGGAGCTCTCACTCCCACAGGGAAAGGGGATGCAGGGAGAGGGAAGGAGCTCCTGCTCCCACAGGGAAAGGGGATGCAGGGAGAGGGAAGGAGCTCTCACTCCCACAGGGAAAGGGGATGCAGGGAGAGGGAAGGAGCTCTCACTCCCACAGGGAAAGGGGATGCAGGGAGAGGGAAGGAGCTCTCACTCCCACAGGGAAAGGGGATGCAGGGAGAGGGAAGGAGCTCCTGCTCCCACAGGGAAAGGGGCTGCAGGGAGAGGGAAGGAGCTCCTGCTCCCACAGGGAAAGGGGATGCAGGGAGAGGGAAGGAGCTCCTGCTCCCACAGGGAAAGGGGATGCAGGGAGAGGGAAGGAGCTCTCACTCCCACAGGGAAAGGGGCTGCAGGGAGAGGGAAGGAGCTCTCACTCCCACAGGGAAAGGGGCTGCAGGGAGAGGGAAGGAGCTCCTGCTCCCACAGGGAAAGGGGATGCAGGGAGAGGGAAGGAGCTCCTGCTCCCACAGGGAAAGGGGCTGCAGGGAGAGGGAAGGAGCTCCTGCTCCCACAGGGAAAGGGGATGCAGGGAGAGGGAAGGAGCTCCTGCTCCCACAGGGAAAGGGGATGCAGGGAGAGGGAAGGAGCTCTCACTCCCACAGGGAAAGGGGATGCAGGGAGAGGGAAGGAGCTCTCACTCCCACAGGGAAAGGGGATGCAGGGAGAGGGAAGGAGCTCTCACTCCCACAGGGAAAGGGGATGCAGGGAGAGGGAAGGAGCTCCTGCTCCCACAGGGAAAGGGGCTGCAGGGAGAGGGAAGGAGCTCCTGCTCCCACAGGGAAAGGGGTTGCAGGGAGAGGGGCCACAGGTGGTCTCTTATCTCTCTTACCCCAGCCGGCTGGGGCTGCGGCTATCCCAGAACAGAACACAGGGGCTAACTTAGAAACCGCAGACATTTACCGCTCAGAGCTCTGGAGGCTGGAAGACAAAGATCCAGGTGTGGTGGGTTCTGTGTGTATGGAAAGGCCTCCTGCTTCATAGACAGCGCCTTCTCTCTGTGCCCTCACGTGGTGGAAGGGGCCTCCCCGGCGACCCTTTTATAAGGGCAGTCATCCCAGCCATGAGCCTCCAACCCTATGACCTCCTCACCTCCCAAAGACCCCACCTCCCAATATCATCAACTTTGGAGAGAGGATTTCTTTCCTTTTTTTTTTTTTTATTATACTTTAAGTTCTGGGGTACATGTGCAGAACGTGCAGGTTGGTTACATAGGTATACACGTGCCATGGTGGTTTTCTGCACCCATCAACCCGTCGTCTACATTAGGTGTTTCTCCTAATGCTCTCCCTCACCTTCCCCCAACCCCCTGACAGGCCCTGGTGTGTGATGTTCCCCTTCCTGTGTCCATGTGTTCTCATTGTTCAGCTCCCACTTATGGGTGAGAACATGCGGTGTTTGGTTTTCTGTTCCTGTGTGAATTTGCTGAGAATGATGGTTTCCAGCTTCATCCATGTCCCTGCAAAGGACATGAACTCATCCTTTTTCATGGCTGCATAGTATTCCATGGTGTGTATGTGCCACATTTTCTTCATCCAGTCTGTCATTGATGCGCATTTGGATTGGTTCCAAGTCTTTGCTATTGTGAACAGTGCCGCAAAAACATACGTGCACATGTGTCTTTATAGGAGAATGATTTACAATCCTTTGGGTATATACCCAGTAATGAAATTGCTGGGTCAAATGATATTTCTGGTTGTAGATCCTTGAGGAATCACCACACTGTCTTCCACAATGGTTGAACTAAGGATGGGGAGACAATTTCAACACAGGAATTTGGGTAACACAGACATTCAGGCCACAGCTGAGCACGGGACAAGCATCACTGCTGAGCTGGCCGCCCCGTGGACACCACCTACCTGCACGCCCGCTTGCCTGTCAAAGATCAAATGCCAAGGACGGTCAAAAAACCCAACGTTTATCAAGCTCTCTCTGGGTGCCACGTCCTTCTGCGCAACTGGGCTTATTAAGACACAGATAGAAACAGCGTTCGTTGGAATCTGAACACTGAGATACTGTAAATATCCTGCCAAAAGGAAGGAATCTCTGAAAACATTGTCATGACAATCATATTAACAGATATTTCATCTTCTCCGCCTTGGGTAGGGCTTTGCAAGGTCTTTGTAGAGAATTTCCGTTCAAGCCTCCGAGAATCCTCAAGGGCCCTCTGCCTCCGGAAGGATTTGAAGGTCTTGGTGGAGACAGCGTTGAAGAAATATCATTAAAAGCAAAATCTGCCAACCCCGGGGACCTCACCACGAAGGTAAAAGAGAAAAGAAAATGATTTTATTGTGGAACCAGCATCAAACCAGAATGCCAAGCCTATCACAAGCAATTCACTAAAGAGGTTGTAATGACACGAAGCAATCTCACCCTTCGCTAGATGTAAGTGTGTACAGCCCATTGCCTTAGCTGGCTTTTGCAATCTCGAGTCAGGTGACAACTTAGACCCTTCTCGTCCGCAGACACTGGAGCTAGGGGCGTTTTCCTCCTTCATGATCTCATTTGAAAAGAGGTGGCTCCCAGGTCCTTGGGGAAACGTTCCTGGGTTATGAGACAGGCAAGTGGATTATTTAGACTTGAAAAAGATTTATACCCCTTTGCCGGGCGCGGTGGCTCACGCCTGTCATCCCAGCACTTTGGGAGGCCGAGGCGGGCGGATCACGAGGTCAAGAGATGGAGACTATACTGGCTAACACGGTGAAACCCCGTCTCTACTAAAAATACAAAAAAAATTAGCCGGGCGTGGTGGCGGGCGCCTGTAGTCCCAGCTACTTGGGAGGCTGAGGCAGGAGAAAGGCGTGAACCCGGGAGGTGGAGCTTGCAGTGAGCCTTGTCACGCCACTGCACTCCAGCCTGGGCGACAGAGCGAGATTCCATCTCAAAAAAAAAAAAAAAAAAAAAAAAGAGCAAGCACATACATGGGACACTGTTTATCTTTGAAAGAGGAGGCTGAGGTTATTCTGTCTGATTATGTCCAGTGTCTCCTTTTTATTCTTTTTTTTGCATAAATAAAATACGTTAATTATAGAATTAGAAAAGAATACACTTTGAGAAGGGAGAATGCTGTTGATGGAAAGAAAAGGGTCATGGTAAAACACTATCTCTACTAAAAATACAAAATTAGCCGGGTGTGGTGGTGCATGCCTGTAATCCCAGCTACTCGGTGGGCTGAGGCAGGAGAATTGCTTCAACCCAGGAGGCGGAGGTTGCAGTGAGCTGAGATTGTGCCATTAAACTCCAGCCTGGGCAACAGAGCGAGACTCCATCTCAAATAATAATAAGAAGAAGAAGATATCTTGGTCCTAATATCTAAACATATCAAAAAGTTGGCCAAACAAACATGTGAAAAAAAAGCTCATCATCACTGGTCATCAGAGAAATGCAAATCAAAACCACAATGAGATACCACCTCACACCAGTTAGAAGGGCGATCATTAAAAAGTCAGGAAACAACAGGTGCTGGAGAGGATGTGGAGAAATAGGAACACTTTTACACTGTTGGTGGGACTGTAAACTAGTTCAACCATTATGGAAGACAGTGTGGCGATTCCTCAGGGATCTAGAACCAGAAATACCATTTGACCCAGCCATCCCATCACTGGGTATATACCCAAAGGATTATAAATCATCCTGCTATAAAGACACATGCACACGTATGTTTATTGCGGCACTATTCACAACAGCAAAGATTTGGAACCAACCCAAATGCCCATCAATAATAGACTGGAGAAAGAAAACGTGGCACAGAGACACCATGGAATACTATGCAGCCATCAAAAAGGAGGAGTTCATGTCCTTTGCAGGGACATGGATGAAGCTGGAAACCATCATTCTCAGCAAACTAACACAGAAACAGAAAACCAAACACCGCATGTTGTCACTCATAAGTGGGAGTCGAACAATGAGAACACATGGACACAGGGAGGGGAACATCACACACCAGGGCCTGTCAGGGGGTGGGGGGATAGGGGAGGGAGAGCATTAGGAAAAATACCTAATGTAGATGATGGGTTGATGGGTGCAGAAAACCACCATGGCATGTGTATACGTATGTAACAAACCTGCCCGTTCTGCACACATACCCCAGAACTTAAAGTAAAATAAAACAAACACACAAACAAAAACTGAAAAAAAGAAAGTTGGCCAAAATATATGAACAGGACTTGGACGCTGGCTCATTTCTACGTTGGTATCTTAAGTAGTGATATTTTGTAAAAATCTGACCCAGACACGCTACTGTCTCTCTCTCTCTCTCTTTCTCTCTAATCCAAAATCATCTTTGGAAAGAAACACAACTCTTGTAAAAAATAAAACACGAGGCACCTGACTCACAAGACGGCAGCCTCAAGTTACACCACAAGTAACCGAGGTCCTTTCTGTTCACCACCACGTGGCCTCAAGGTTGCAAGGAGGCTGCTGCTGATCCGGGCATCACAGCCACACTCAGAGACAGGAGCGGAGTAGAGGTGGAGGGGCCGTGCTAGCCACACCTCCTCTTGTATATTTACCTTCCGTTCCATTGGCTGAGATTGGACCCCAGGGCCACCCCTAGGTAAAGAGAAGCAAAAGGTTGTCTTTGGCAGGTAATTCAACTGCTGGTTGTTCACACAACACCTCTTTTCAAAATTGGTTTTATAGCCCGAGTGGTGGCTCATGCCTGTCATCCCAACACTTTGGGAGGCTGAGGCAGGCAGATCACTTGAGGTCAGGAGTTCAAAACCAGCTTCAGCAACAAGGCAAGACTGTCTCTAAAAAAAATAAATAAATAAAACAAAAAAATTGCCAGGCATGGTGGTGCACACCTGTGGTCCCAGCTACTCTGGAGGCTGAGGTGGGAGGATCACTTGAGCCCAGGAGTTCGAAGTTCCAACGAGCCATGATTGCACCACTGTGCTCCAGCGTGGGCAGCGGAGTGAGACCGTGTCTTGCAAAAAAACCCAAAAAACAAAAACAACAGTTTTCTATGACTAGAGGGAAGTCACTCAGTTGTAGCATCATTTCCGAAGGTCCCTCCTTCTCTGAGCTTGGAATAACCGGGAAAATTGGATAAGGTTAGAGAAAACAAGGGGAGTAATGACCTAGTTCCCAACAGACCATCGGCTCCAAGCTCTTCCTATGTTGAGTATTAGAGTTTTGGAGTAAGTTCCATGGATGAGGTGGCTTCCATTTCCTAATCAACCTCAGAGAAAACAAATCATGTGTAAAGGTTGCCGACATTCCCAGTTAAACACAGAAGGAGGGGACCTTTTAGCCTCCGTAGCTGTTGCTTTTTTTTTTTTCTTTTTTTGAGACAGAGTCTCGCTCTGTCACCCAGGCTGGAGTGCAATGGCGTGATCTCGGCTCACTGCAACCTCCACCTCCCAGGTTCAAACAATCCTCTCCCTCAGCCTCCCGAGTAGCTGGGATTACAGATGCCTGCCACCACGCCTGGTTAATTTTTTGGTATTTTTAGTAGAGACAGGGTTTCACCATCTTGGCCAGGCTGGTCTTGAACTCCTGACCTCCTGATCCACCTGCCTCGGCCTCCCAAAGTGCTGGGATTATAGCCATGAGCCACCCCACCTGGCCCCTGCAATATATATATATGTATTTTTTTTTTTTTGGTGGCATATTCTGAAGCTCTTCAGGGTCTCCCAGGCTAATTCTTGAGACAGTCACCATTTTCCCTCCAGTGGAAACTCGGAGCTTCACCGGGAAATCGTTCATTTCAATCAGGATGTAGGGGACCTCACCCCATAGAACCATCACGCTATTAGGGCAGGAAAAGCAAAAAACTGTAAAAAAGCTGACACGTTTGTTTTTTTAATACAGGACGTAACTTAATTAATTAACTCTAAAATCCAGCATATAAAGTAGATCACTGGCCACTAGAAGAAGAGTAATTGATTTTTTTTTCTACCCAATACAGTTGCATAATTTATTCTTATTATTCATTTATATGGCATCTCTCTTTTGAGAAGTGCATAATGGTTTTGCAACTTTGGTGTCTTATTAAACATTCATCATCGCCCTCAGAGGACGGCAAGAGGCAAATATTATTACATTATCCAACAATTTCTCCATGAAAACCTATAATTGGAATGAAAAGCCATTTCAAGGAATGAAATAATGCCAGTGAAAGGTAACGCTGAGATAATTGAATGATCGGCTTTTCTGATATTCAGCACAAAAGAGCCGTAAATTGACTCTCTTGTCCAGCCCAGGTACCACATTGCTAACGGTGACATGACCACAGACCCCAGGAATGCAGCTTCCTACGGGTGGGTGTCTGCCCCTTGGGGCAAAGGATCGGGAGGGAGTCACTTCCTGCTGCGTTCTGCCTGCTTTTGGCAAGGTTGAGAGAGAGAGAGAGTGAAATATGTGTGGGAGCACGGATATTGATAATCCAGTTGGATGATAGATAGATGGATAGATAGATAATAGACAGATACATACATACATAGATAGATGGATAGATAGATGATAGATAGATATAATACATAGATACATAGATGAGAGATGATAGATATAATAGATGATAGATAAGATAGATGATAGATATAATAGATACATAGATGATAGATATAAATAGATATAATAGATAGATAATAGATGCAATAGATAGATGATAGATAAGATAGATAATAGATATAATAAATACATGATAAGATAGATGATACATACATACATAGATACATAGATAAATATAATAGATACATAGAATATAGATACATAGATATAATAGATACAAAGAATAAATAGATATAGATAAATAGATAAAATAGATACATAGAATACATAAATAGATATGGATACATAGATATAATAGATACATAGAATAGATATAGATAAATAGATACATAGAATACATAAATAGATATACATAGATATAATAGATACATAGAATAAATAGATATAGATACATACATAAAATAGATACATAGAATACATAAATAGATATAGATACATAGATATAATAGATACATACAATAGATATAGATACATAGATAAAATAGATACATAGAATACATAAATAGATATAGATACATAGATATAATAGATACATACAATAGATATAGATAAATAGATAAAATAGATACATAGAATACATAAATAGATATGGATACATAGATATAATAGATACATAGAATAGATATAGATAAATAGATACATAGAATACATAAATAGATATAGATACACAGATATAATAGATACATAGAATAAATATAGATACATAGATAAAATAGATACATAGAATACATAAATAGATATAGATACATAGATATAATAGATACATACAATAGATATAGATAAATAGATAAAATAGATACATAGAATACATAAATAGATATAGATACATAGATATAATAGATACATACAATAGATATAGATAAATAGATAAAATAGATACATAGAATACATAAATAGATATGGATACATAGATATAATAGATACATAGAATAGATATAGATAAATAGATACATAGAATACATAAATAGATATAGATACACAGATATAATAGATACATAGAATAAATAGATATAGATACATAGATAAAATAGATACATAGAATACATAAATAGATATAGATACATAGATATAATAGATACATACAATAGATATAGATAAATAGATAAAATAGATACATAGAATACATAAATAGATATAGATACATAGATATAATAGATACATCGATAGGTAAGATATATAGATAGATTAATAGATAGAGAAAGAGAGAGAGATGATAGCTGATCATCTCTCTTCTAGGTCTATATGGGCTACATTCACGGCGCCCCTTTCCCTGTGGGAAAGAAAAAGAAAGAAAGAGAGAAAGAAGAAAAGAAAGAAATGAAGGAAGGAAGGAGGGAAGGAAGGAAGGACAGGAAGGAAGGAAGGAAGAAGGGAAGGAGGGAAGGACAGGAAGGAGGGAGGCAGGCAAGAAAGGGAATACTTTTTGCTGTTGTTGACCAAATGATTACCTTTAGAAATCCTTAAATGATGAGTTTAATTTCAAATGCTGAAGTGGTTACAAACAGGCTTTTCTCACCACCATTTATGAGCTATTGAAACAGTCGCTTGATTCTCAACTGTGTTTGTTGTGAGACGTGTGTGGTAGCACCCAAAACCAGTCCAGTTTTTCAACTATGGAAGTGTAGGTTTGTTTTTTTTGGTTTTGTTTTGTTTTTAAGAGGCCAAGACACATAGATTTAGCGTTAACTTCTGAAAAAAAAGTGCAAGAAGCATGAACATCTCTTTCTGTACATTAGAAATGTGTCTCAGAATGCAATATATTGGATAAAAAGGGGAAAAACACCACAGAGAGGTGACATAATCTCACGGTGGCCCCTGGGCTTTGTTTAAAGAAAATAAATCAGTCTGGGAGTGGTGGCTCACGCCTGTCATCCCAGCACTTTGGGGAGGCTGAGGCAGGTGAATCACCTGAGGTCAGGAGTTCGAGACCAGCCTGGCCAACATGGAGAAACCCCATCTCTAGTAAAAATACAAAAATTAGCCGGGCGTGGTGGTGGGCACCTGTAGTCCCAGGTACTCGGGAGACTGAGGCAGGAGAATGGTGTGAACCCAGGAGGCGGAGGTTGCAGTGAGCCGAGACCACAGCACTGCACTCCAGCCTGGGTGACGAGGGCGCAACTCCATGTCAACAAAAAGAACAGAATTCGGCCGGGCACGGTGTTTCATGCCTGTAATTACAGCACTTTGGGAGGCCAAGGCAGGTGGATCACCTGAGGTCAGGAGATCGAGACCATCCTGGCCAACATGGTGAAACCCTATCTCAACTAAAAATACAAAAATTAGCCGGGCGTGGCGGAGGGCACCTGTCATCCCAGCTACTCGGGAGGCTGAGGCAGGAGAATCGCTTGAACCCAGGAGGCGGAGGTTGCAATGAGCTGAGATCGAGCCACTGCACTCCAGCCTGGGTGACAAGAGCGAGACTCCATCTCAAAAAAAAAAAAAAAAGAACAGAAGTCAGATGTCCTCAGGAACCCTGATGTTATCCTAGGGGGATATCCTAAGAAGTATCAAGACCCCATAGCCACCAGCAGCAAGCACAGCAGTGGCCAAACTTTGAAATTCTTTTCTATGTATAAGCAAGTCTATTAAAAAATAAACGCAGAACAGACAAATTCGTTGAGACAGAAAGGAGCTTTGTGACTGCCAGGGGCTGAGAGAGAGGGATTGGGGCTGTGACTGTTTGATAGGTTTCCTTCTGGAAAATTCTATTCCTAGAATATTTTGCTCCCCCAGAAGGAACCCTATGAAACAGACACACCCCCAATCCCTCTCATTGTAAATGTACAGCAACATTGTAAATGCACACACACGTCCCTGAACTGTTCACTTTTGAAAGGATTGCTTGCGTGCCATGCAAACTTAATCTCAGTTTTAAAAAATTGAGAAGCTGGGTGTGGTAGCTCACGCCTGTAATCCCAGCGCTTTGGGAGGCCAAGGAGGGCGGATCACGAGGTCAAGAGATCGAGACCATCCTGGCCAACACGGTGAAACCCCGTCTGTACCAAAAATACAAAAAATTAGCCGGGCTTCGTGGTGGGCGCCCCTTCGTCCGGCCTGAAGTCTCTTTTATAAGGGATGAATCCCATTCATGAGGATCCAACCCTCCTGACCACCACGCGCCTCGGCCTCCCAAAGTGCTGGGATTACAGGCGTGAGCCACCGCGCCCGGCCAGATGTCCACATCTTAATTCATCGTAAGTTCCTTCAAATCAACCGTTGTTGAGGCAGAAATCAACTGGCTCTTGGGGCTCATGATGTGGGGGTGACCTACCACATTTGTGTGTGTGTGTGTTTAGTGTGGTGTCTGTCCTGTGCAGAGTGTGTGTGTTTAGCGACGTCTGCGTCTGTTGCGTGTAATTGTAGATTATGTGTTATGTGTGTGTATTCAGTGTGACGTCTGTCCTGTGCAGAGTGTATGTGTTTAGTGTGGTTTGTGTGTGTTGTGTGTAGTGTGTATTTTCTGTGTTGTAAGTGTGTGGTGTCTGGTATCTGTATTGTGCATAGTGTGTGTTTAGTGTGGTTTGCATGTGTTGTGTGCAATGTGTATTTTGTGGGTGCAGTGTGTGTTTAGTGTGGTTTGTGTTGTGTGTAGTATGTATTTGTGTGTTTTGTGTGTGTATTGTGTGGCATCTGTGTTGTGCATAACGTCTGTGTTTAGTGTTGTGTATATGTAGTAGGTATTTTGTGTGTTGCATGTGTGTGTTTTATGTGGCATCTGTTTTGCGCACAGAATATGTGTTTAGTGTGGTTTGTGTGTATTTTGTGTGTTGTATGTGTGTGTGTTGTGTGGCATCTGTTGTGCACAGTGTATGTGTTTACTGTGGTTTGTGTGTGTTGTGTGTAGTGTGTATTTTGTGTGTTGTAAGTGTCTGTTGTCTGGTATCTGTATTGTGCATAGTGTGTGTTTACTGTGGTTTGTGTGTGTTGTGTGTAGTGTGTATTTTGTGTGTTGGGTGTGTGCGTGTTGTGTGGCATCTGTGTTGTGCATATGTGTTTAGTGTGGTTTGTGTGTGCTGTGTGTAGTGTGTATTTTGTGTGTTATATGTGTGTGTGTGGTGTGGCATCTGTGTTGTGCATAGTGTGTGTGGTTTGTGAGGCCAGTCTGTGTTTTTCTATGTATTTTGTGTGTCATATGTATTTTGTGTATATGTGTATTTAGTGTGGTGTTTGTACTGTGCAGAGTGTGTGTGTTTAGTGTGGTTTGTGTGGTTTGTGTGTAGTGTGCATTTGTGTGTGCAGTGTGTGGTTTGTGCTGTGTTGTGTATAGTATGTATTTGCGTGTTTTATGTGTGTGTGTTCTGTGGCATCTGTGTTGTGCATATGTGTTTAGTGTGGTTTGTGTGTGTTGTGTATATTTTGTGTGTTCTATGTGTGTGTGTTGTGTGGCATCTTTGTTGTGCATAGCATATGTGTTTAGTGTGGTTTGTGTGTGCTGTGTGTAGTGTGTATTCTGTGTGTTGTGTGCAGTAGGTGTTTTGTGTGTAGTGTGTATTTTATGTGTTGTGTGTGTGTGGTGTGGCATCTGTGTTGTGCATAGTGTATGTGTTTACTGTGGTTTGTGTGTGTTGGGACTGGGACCTAATGGCTGTCTACACAGCAGGCTCCTATGCAGCTCCATCCTGGGACTGGGACCTAATGGCCGTCTATGCAGCAGACTAGGATGTACCTGCATCCTGGGACCTAATGGCCGTCTACACAGCAGGCTTGACTCCAGCTCCATCCTGGGACTGGGACCTAATGGCTGTCTACACAGCAGGCTCGACTCCAGCTCCATCCTGGGACTGGGACCTAATGGCTGTCTACACAGCAGGCTCCTATGCAGCTCTATCCTGGGACTAGGACCTAATGGTCATCTACGCAGCAGACTCAAATCCAGCTCCATCCTGGGACCTAATGGCCATCTATGCAGCAGACTTGGATCCACCTGCGTCCCGGGACCTAATGGCCGTCTATGCAGCAGACTTGAATCCAGCTCCGTCTCAGGACCTAATGGATGTCTACACAGCAGGCTCGAATCCAGCTCCGTCCTGGGACCTCATGGCCATCTATGCAGCAGACTCAAATCCAGCTCCGTCCCGGGACCTAATGGCTGTCTACACAGCAGGCTCGAATCCAACTCCATCCCAGGACCTAATGGCTGTCTACACAGCAGGCTCGAATCCAGCTCCATCCCGGGACCTAATGGCCATCTATGCAGCAGACTCGAATCCAGCTCTGTCCCGGGACCTAATGGCTGTCTACACAGCAGGCTCGAATCCAGCTCCATCCCGGGACATAATGGCCGTCTATGCAGCAGACTCGAATCCAGCTCTGTCCCAGGACCTAATGGCTGTCTACACAGCAGGCTCGAATCCAACTCCATCCCAGGACCTAATGGCTGTCTACACAGCAGGCTCGAATCCAGCTCCGTCCCGGGACCTAATGGCCGTCTATGCAGCAGACTCGAATCCAGCTCCGTCCCAGGACCTAATGGGTGTCTACACAGCAGGCTCGAATCCAGCTCCATCCTGGGACCTGATGGCCGTCTATGCAGCAGGGTTGGCCGCCCACCCCGAGTTTATTCAGCTGCGGCCGCGCCGTCATGCCGTGGAGACTGTCGGCTTTTTCCGGGATCTTTTTTATCATTGCCTTTGCAAAGGTTCCGTCGAGTTTTATGCTGAGCTATGAAATTAGACCGATCGATTTTCTTCCTGCGTACAGAGGCAGAGGGGGAGCGACCTGGCTTTATGAAGTTGTAACGAACTGAATACCGAGGCTTGGCTCTGATCTCGTCTGCAGCAGTGGACGACTAATCCGTGTCCACACTCCACCGAGGATCTGAACAGTCCTGGGCAGGAGGAGGAATCTTCAGACTCGACCCCATCCAGAGGGACGGGGGTTCGAGGCCTGGCTGGTCCCGTCCTGCACTCCCCGGACGCTCCGGCCGTAGGATTTGCAGCTGATTTTAATTGCTTGTCGCCTCTGCTGGCTCACGATGGCTCCGGGAACCCAGCACAGAGACGTAGCACAATGCCAGGCCTGATTTTAATTTCTCGTCGCCTGTGCTGGCTCAGATGGCTCCGGGAACCCAGCACAGAGACAGGCCGGCTCGCAGAAGAGATGCTTCCCGGGAGCGTCTGGGAGGGAGCCTGGCTCTGGCAAGCCGGGGAGGGCTTTGGGGACCGGATTTGCGCTGGGGATGGCCATTCTGCCTGGGATTAACAGGATTAAAAAGCATTAAATGAGCGTCCTCCAACTCCCCACAGCAGACTTGCTTTCCGAAAGGATCCTCCTAGAGGCTCTGAGCACCCGGGGTGACCACAGAAAATAAAGGTTCCCCTTTAGCATGACAAAGGAGGGCTGCACGCATCCAGGGGTACAAATGCTCTGCCATATCCTCAATCCCATTGTTCCCCGCTCCGACACGGGGCCCCCTTCCTCCCCTTTCCCTTTCCCTTTTTTGTTTTTTTTTTTTTTAATTTCTCCGTGCAGAGCTCAAGGTGTCATATTAATTATTTAAATCTCGGGAAGATTTCAGCAGTGATCCACCAAAGGCCCTCTTCGGAGCCAGAAGGCCTTGGCTCTGTGTTAGTTTTTCTTAATTAGAGCTGAAATGAGAACTTTGATCTCCGGGCACAGAATGGCCAAAGAGGAGGCGGGGAAACTTCCCATGCGATTTTTTTTTTTTTTTTTTTTTTTAGTTTTTTTCTTTTCTGCCATACCTATCGTCTGTCTGGGCTGTTACTGTATGACACTTTGATCCACCTCGTTCTGGGGAAACAATTCAAGTACAAGAGGAACTTAAACAACTCAAAGGGCCGGCCGGGATGAGAGCCCAGTGGTTCGTCTGTCGGTCACCGCCTGCCAACACAGTTTTGTTATTTATTTTGGCCGTCTACACAGCAGGCTCAGATGCAGCCACATCCTGGGACCTAATGGCTGTCTACACAGCAGGGTCCAATGCAGCTCCGTCCCAGGATCTAATGGCCATCTATGCAGCAGACTCAGATGCAGCTGCATCCCGGGACCTAATGGCTGTCTACACAGCAGGGTCCAATGCAGCTCCATCCCAGGACCTAATGGCCGTCCATGCAGCAGGCTCAGATGTAGCTGCATCCCGGGACCTAATAGCTGTCTACACAGCAGGGTCCAATGCAGCTCCGTCCCAGGACTTAATGGCCGTCTATGCAGCAGGCTCAGATGTAGCTGCATCCCGGGACCTAATAGCCATCTACATAGCAGGCTCGAATCCAGCTCCATCCTGGGACTGGGACCTAATGGCCGTCTACACAGCAGGCTCGACTCCAGCTCCATCCTGGGACTGGGACCTAATGGCCGTCTACACAGCAGGCTCGAATCCAGCTCCATCCTGGGACTGGGACCTAATGGCCATCTATGCAGCAGACTCGGATGCAGCTACATCCTGGGACCTAATGGCTGTCTACACAGCAGGGTCCAATGCAGCTCTGTCCCAGGACCTAATGGCCGTCTATGCAGCAGGCTCAGATGTAGCTGCATCCCGAGACCTAATAGCCATCTACATAGCAGGCTCGAATCCAGCTCCATCCTGGGACCTAATGGCCATCTATGCAGCAGACTCGGATCCACCTGCGTCCTGGGACCTAATAGCCATCTACATAGCAGGCTCCACTCCAGCTCCATCCTGGGACTGGGACCTAATGGCCGTCTACACAGCAGGCTCGAATCCAGCTCCATCCTGGGACCTAATGGCCATCTATGCAGCAGACTCGGATCCACCTGCGTCCTGGGACCTAATAGCCATCTACATAGCAGGCTCAACTCCAGCTCCATCCTGGGACTGGGACCTAATGGCCGTCTACACAGCAGACTCGGATGCAGCTACATCCCAGGACCTAATGGCTCTCTACACAGCAGGGTCCAATGCAGCTCCGTCCCAGGACCTAATGGCCATCTATGCAGCAGGCTCAGATGTAGCTGCATCCTGGGACCTAATGGCTGTCTACACAGCAGGGTCCAATGCAGCTCCATCCCAGGACCTAATGGCCATCTATGCAGCAGGCTCAGATGTAGCTGCATCCCGGGACCTAATGGCTGTCTACACAGCAGGCTCGAATCCAGCTCCATCCTGGGACCTAATGGCCTTCTATGCAGCAGACTCAGATCCACCTGCATCCTGGGACCTAATAGCCATCTACATAGCAGGCTTGAATCCGGCTCCATCCTGGGACTGGGACCTAATGGCCGTCTACACAGCAGGCTCGAATCCAGCTCCATCCTGGGACCTAATGGCCGTCTATGCAGCAGACTCGGATCCACCTGCGTCCTGGGATGCAGACATGGGGGACAGAGAAGGGATCCTCATCCCAGGCCTCCAACGTGGGGACATGGGGACTAGTCTTGCCTCATTAACGCCTCTGTGTCTGCAGGAGCAGCGGCCGCAGCAAAGGCCCTGATTAAACAGCAGGCCTGAGTTTTCTCTGCAAAAAAAAAAAAAAACGTTTTCCTCTCTCATCGTGGTTTTGCAGACCGGAGCTTCCCCAGAAAGAGGTCACCTCCGAGGGCTCGCCTCGTTAGAATGCCTGGCTCATTTGCATTTGTCTTATGGAAAAAGCACAGGGTGACATCAAGCAATCGGGGGAAAAAATATATATATATATATCAAAAAGTGAGCCACAGTTCACGGAAGATGAAATCTGTGAATTTCACCCAACGCCTCGGAGAGACTACGGTACGGCTTCCTAACGACAAAATCAAAAAGACATCCCCAGCCTCCACCAGCAGGCCCGGCCCCGGGGCCCCGAGCCCACCCTGTGTCCGCCGAGCCCACTTCGCTGAGCTTTGCCTACGAGCCTTCGTTAGCGACCAACGCAGATCAATCCGGCCCCCGGTTCCCTTTGGAATGATTCAGCTGCGTGTCACCCCGTGGGTCAGCGGCGGTTTCCCCCCACTTGCAGAGAACGGGAAGAGGAGCATTTGCTGAGATATCCCTCCAAGATTGAAAGAGCCGGTCTCACAATATCAAGCCGAAGACTCATCCGGAGGTTCTGAGGTTTAGGGCTCTAAATTATAGCAACACGACTGCAATCTTTGAGGGTTTTTTTTTTCTTTCTCTTTTTTTAAATAAGCATGCATATTTTAGAGTGCATTTTCTGCCTCAGAAATAATTGGGATTTACAGCTGTTAAGATAATGACATGCTGTCTCTGTCAGACTCTCGGAGACAGAAGGAGGATTTCTCCCTGGCCTATGGATCCCAGAAGACTGGGGTGTGGACAGACTTTTCCCTGTACCCCCATAATCCAGCACCTCTGGGGCCCAGGGGCAAATGCATATGCTTTGTGATAACGTGTGCGCCTTCCCTTAAGACTCCAAGGCGACAGGACGGCCAGGAAGAGGCTCACAGTTGCTATAATTCCAGCAAAGACACTCCCATGTCTCAGGGCAGGGAATGGGAGAAAACACCTGTTATTTGTCCTGGGAAACAGTCCAAGCCAAGACTTACCTGGTCAGGTGAGCAACGTGGCTTTGACAGCCCCAGACAGCAGCTCAGGAATGTAACGCGCTCAAAAAAAATTTAAAAAAACTGAATTTCTCTAAAACGGTTGTCTGCTGGCAGAGACGGTTAAAAAAAGTCACTTTGGGCTGCGCATGGTGGCTCATGCCTGTCATCCCAGCACTTTGGGAGGCCGAGGCGGGTGGATCCCCTGAGGCCAGGAGCTCCAGACCATCCTGGCCAACATGGTGAAACCCCGTCTCTACTAAAAATACAAAAATGAGCCAGGCGTGGTGGCGGGCGCCTGTAATTCCAGCTACTCGGGAGGCTGAGGCAGGAGAATCGCCTGAACCCGGGAGGCGGAGGTTGCAGTGAACCGAGATCTCACCACTGCACTCCAGCCTGGGCAACAAGAGCGAAACTCCATCAAAAAAAACAAAAAAACAAAAAAACACCGAATTTCTCTAAAACGGTTGTCTGCTGGCAGAGACAGTTAAAAAAAAAATCACTTTGGGCTGGGCACGGTGGCTCACGCCTGTAATCCCAGCACTTTGGGAGGCTGAGGCGGGTGGATCCCCTGAGGTCAGGAGTTCGAGACCAGCCTGGCCAACATGGTGAAACCCCATCTCTACTAAAAATACAAAAATGAGTTGGGCGTGGTGGCGGGCGCCTGTAATCCCAGCTACTGGGGAGGCTGAGGCAAGAGAATCACTCGAACCTGCAGTTCCAGCTATATATTTTTTATATATAAAATCTCTAACCTGGGAGGTGGAGGTTGCAGTGAACCAAGACCACGCCATTGCACTCCAGCCTGGGTGACAGAGGGAGTCTCCATCTGAAAAAAATATATATATATATAAATATATATTTGTAGGTTTATATATAATATAAAAATATATATAAATATGTTTATATATTAATATAAATATAGGTTTATATATTATATATAAATATAGGTTTATATATATTATAAATATAGGTTTATATATAAAAATATAATATGAAAATATATATTGCATATATTACATGTATATAAATATTGCATATATTACATATATTAGATATTACATGTATATTATATTGCATATTATATATGTGTTATATATGTGATATGTAAGTTATGTATGTGTACATTATATATTTTATATTTTATATATGTAATATATTACATATTATGTGTAGTATAATGTATATTATATATGCAATATAATGTATATGGTATATTATGTATGTAATATAACATATATATCTGTAGTATATATAATATGTGTCATATATAATATGTATGTAATATATAAAATATATACATATTAGCCAGGTGTGGTGGCGTGCCCCTGCAGTTCCAGCTACTTGGGAGGCCAAGGTGAGATGATCTCTTAAGCCCAGGAGTTTGAGACCAGCCTGTGCCACGTAGCAAGATCCCATCTGCATTTTAAGAAAAAAAAACAGTTGGGGAGTGAACACCTTTATAGAGAGAGAAAATAAATATCTCTGGGTTCACTTAGGTGAGATGGAGGAATTGCTTGATTAACTATCCTTCCAATCGTTTACATACCAGCCAAGCTCAAAAGGGAGGTGTGGTTTGGAGCACGCCTCCAAGGCTGGGCACCCAGCTCCCAGCTCCCAGCTCTCCGGCATCGTTCGTGTCAGTTACGGAGCGGTAACCGGGACGGTGTGACAGGTGCCCATTCACAATGGGGAAGTGTTTCCTACGCAGGCAGCACACGCAGACCCCAGAGTGGTTTGTTTGTTTGAGATGGAGTCTCGCCCTGTCACCCAGGCTGGAGTGCAGTGGTGAGATCTCGGCTCACTGCATTGTCCACCTCCCAGGTTCAAGCGATTCTCCTGCCTCGGCCTCCCGAGTAGCTGGGATTACAGGCACCCACCACCACACCCAGCTAATTTTTGTATTTTTAGTAGAGACGGGGTTTCACCGTATTAGCCAGGATGGTCTCGATCTCCTGACCTCATGATCCGCCCGCCTCCGCCTCCCAAAGCTCTGGGATGACAGGCGTGAGTGGTATTTACTATCTAGGTGGGAATCATGAGTCGGCTCCTTGCGAGGGGATGTCCCACGACGGGGAATGTCACCTTTTTTCCTTGCAGGCTTTGAAAATCGAGACATCCTTGCGACCTCCTGTTTTGGGGAGAAACAATCCTGTTTCTTCATGACACTCATTACGTCCATTTCATCAGGTGCAATTTCCACGGCTATCAAGTCCTGGCCGCTTGATGGCCATGGACAGGAGGAGAGAAGGGTGCTGGCCAGACGGAGAGAAGGGTGCTGGCCAGACAAAGCCAAGGGTGCTGGCCAGACAAAGCTAAGGGGTTACGAGAGCCAGCCCACCTTCGTCCCCAAAGGAGACAGAGTGGCTCCGAGGCCATCGATGTCCGGCCGGCCGGGGCCTGCTCTCTTCTGGAAAATGAGTTTTTTGCCGTTGGTGAGTGCCAGGGTCCCTCTCAGAGCCCGTCTCTGCAAGGGGATCTTTTAATTACCTCTTTCCCCCAGTGACTTCTTTCGCCCCTGGAGGGGTGGCAAAGCTTTCATACTGTATCCTATTTTAATCTGTCATGACTGAGGAAGCCAGATGGCTCTTGATGACAAGCTCTCCCTCAAAACAGCCCGAACTTTCTATCAGAGGATTTGTAAGATGACGGTTTAAAAAGAGAGAGGCTGGGGGGTGCGTTTGCCTCCCACAAAATAACCTGAATTTTAATTGGACATCATAGTTTGGCAGTGATTTCCACGTGATTACCATTTCTGGTTAAGGAGCAGGTGGATTAGACGCGTAACCAAAATGGTATTAAAAGTTCCCAGAAAGGAGATTTACTTTTAAAATACGGAATCACGAAGAAAAGTTGTCAGGACCCTCATGTGTGGGACTCAGGGCTTCTAACAACTTCCCCTTGCCCAGCGCGTCCCTTTTTTCTTTTTCTTTCTTTTTTTTTTTCTTTGAGACGGAGTCTCGCTTTGTCGCCCAGGCTTGAGTGCAGTGGTGTGATCTCAGCTCACTGCAACCTCCACCTCCTGGGTTCAAGCGTTTCTCCTGTTTCAGCCTCCTGAGTAGCTGGGATGACAGGTGCACGCCAACGCACCTGGCTAACTTTTGTATTTTTTGTAGAGGCAGGTTTTGCCGTGTTGGCCAGACTGGTCTCCAACTCCTGGCCTCAGGTGATCTGTGTGCGACTGTTAATGTGTGTGAGTCTGTGTGTGCTCATGCGCACTGATCCGTGTGTGTCTGTGTATGTGTGTGAGTCTGTATCTATACTCACATGCACTGATCTGTGTGTGACTGTTGCCATGAAAATAGATGTGTGTGGGTGCACGTTTCTACCTGTGGGTGTGTGCACATGTGTGTGACTGTGTATGTGTGTGTCTGTGTACTCATGCGCACTGATCCCTGTGCGACTGTGTATGTGTGTGTCTGCAGACTCACACACATAAACAGTAACACAGATCAGTGCGCACAACACACAGACACACACATACACAGTCACACATGGATCAGGGCGCATGAGCACATGCAGACACACATACACAGTGAATGCACAAAACTAGGAGTGTGTGCTTTGCATTGTGCGTGTATGTGCATGTGCATTTGCATGTGAGGGCTCATGGCTGTGTGTGCTTGCCTTCTGTACACGTATATGCATATGGGCTTGTGTGCATGTGTGAGGCTTGCAAGAATGCGTGCATGCACCTGCACGTGAGGGCTCATGACTGTGAATGTGTGCTTGCCTTCTGTACACATATATGCATATGGGCTTGTGTGCATGTGTGGGGTTTGCAAGAATGCGTGCATGCACCTGCACGTGAGGGCTCATGACTGAATGTGTGCTTGCCTTCTGTACACCTCTGTGCAGAGATACTTGTGTGCATCTGTGCATGTGGGAGCTTGAATGAATGCATGCATGCAGTTGTATGTGAGCGCTCATGACTATCAGTGTGTGCTTGACTTCTGTACAAATATATGCATATGGGCTTGTGTGCATGTGTGGGGTTTGCAAGAATGCATGCATGCACCTGCACGTGAGGGCTCATGGCTGTGTGTGCTTGCCTTCTGTACATGTATATGCATATGTGCTTGTGTGCATGTGTGGGGCTTGCAAGAATGCGTGCATGCGCCTGCATGTGAGGGCTCATGACTGTGAATGTGTGCTTGCCTTCTGTACACGTATATGCATATGTGCTTGTGTGCATGTGTGAGGCTTGCAAGAATGCGTGCATGCACCTGCACATGAGGGCTCATGACTGTGAATGTGTGCTTGCCTTCTGTACACATATATGCATATGGGCTTGGGTGCATGTGTGAGGTTTGCAAGAATGCATGCATGCACCTGCACGTGAGGGCTCATGGCTGTGGGTGTGTGCTTGCCTTCTGTACACGTATATGCATATGAGCTTGTGTGCATGTGTGGGGTTTGCAAGAATGCGTGCATGCACCTGCACGTGAGGGCTCATGACTGTGAATGTGTGCTTGCCTTCTGTACACCTCTGTGCAGAGATACCTGTGTGCATCTGTGCATGTGGGGGCTTGAATGAATGCATGCATGCAGTTGTATGTGAGCGCTCATGACTATCAGTGTGTGCTTGCCTTCTGTACACATATATGCATATGGGCTTGTGTGCATGTGTGGGGCTTGCAAGAATGCGTGCATGCACCTGCACGTGAGGGCTCATGACTGTGAATGTGTGCTTGCCTTCTGTACACATATATGCATATGGGCTTGTGTGCATGTGGAGGCTTGAATGAATGCATGCATGCACCTGCACGTGAGGGCTCATGGCTGTGGGTGTGTGCTTGCCTTCTGTACACATATATGCATATGGGCTTGTGTGCATGTGTGGGGTTTGCAAGAATGCGTGCATGCACCTGCACGTGAGGGCTCATGACTGAATGTGTGCTTGCCTTCTGTACACCTCTGTGCAGAGATACCTGTGTGCATCTGTGCATGTGGGAGCTTGAATGAATGCATGCATGCAGTTGTATGTGAGCGCTCATGACTATCAGTGTGTGCTTGACTTCTGTACACATATATGCATATGGGCTTGTGTGCATGTGTGGGGTTTGCAAGAATGCATGCATGCACCTGCACGTGAGGGCTCATGGCTGTGTGTGCTTGCCTTCTGTACATGTATATGCATATGCACTTGTGTGCATGTGTGGGGCTTGCAAGAATGCGTGCATGCACCTGCACGTGAGGGCTCATGACTGTGAATGTGTGCTTGCCTTCTGTACACATATATGCATATGGGCTTGTGTGCATGTGTGGGGTTTGCAAGAATGCGTGCATGCACCTGCACGTGAGGGCTCATGACGGTGGGTGTGTGCTTGCCTTCCGGACATGTGCGCATGTGTGTGGGGGCACGCACTTAATACCGTCCCCTGTTCATCTCTCAGATTGCCCTTTTCTTCTACGTTCTACCCCCAACAGGCCAGGCCTGTTCTCCCACCTCCCTCGCTGAAACCCCATCTCCTCCGTCCTTCTCTCTGGTCCTGTGTGTTTGTGAGCTTGGAGGACAGTGCCTTCATCCAAAATTATATCAACCAGCAAGATTACACCCTCTTTCTTCTGAAGCTCCCAAAGGCATCTCTATAAATCCCTTGTTCTTCCTTCCTTCGGAGGTGGAGATTTGTACAAGGCAGGACTAATCCCAGGGCCAGAAAGCCACCTCTCTTCACCTTCAGGTGGGCCAGAGCTGAGCCACAGTCCACTGCCCACTCATAAGACACCTCGGGCCGGGCGCAGTGACTCACGCTTGTAATCCCAGCACTTTGGGAGGCCAAGGCAGGTGCATCACCTGAGGTCAAGAGTTCAAGACCAGCCTGGCCAATATGGAGAAACCCTGTCTTTACTAAAAAAAAAAAAAAAAAAAAAAAAAAGTCGGGCACGGTGGCTCACGCCTGTAGTCCCAGCACTCTGAGAGGCCGAGGCGGGCGGATCACGAGGTCAGGAGATCGAGACCATCCTGGCTAACACGGTGAAACCCCGTCTCTTCTAAAAATACAAAAAATTAGCCGGGTGCAGTGGCGGGTACCTGTAGTCCCAGCGACTCGGGAGGCTGAGGCAGGAGAATGGTGTGAACCCGGGAGGCAGAGGTTGCAGTTAGCCGAGATCGCGCCACTGCACTCCAGCCTGGGCGACAGAGCGAGACTCCATCTCAAAAAAAAAAGAAAGAAAGAAAGAAAAATACAAAATACAAAATTAGTTGGGCATGGTGGCACATGCTTGTAATCCCAGCTACTTGGGAGGCTGAGGCAAGAGAATCGCTTGAACCCGGGAGGCAGAGGTTGCTGTGAGCCGAGATCACGCCAGTGAACTCCAGCTTGGACAACAAGAGTGAAACTCCATCTCAAAAAAAAAAAAAAAAAGAGAGAGAGAGAGAGAGAGACCTCAGCCACCACTGCTCACATAATCCTTCTCCCCTCGTTAGATGTTATCTGCAGGCTGCACTGTCAGAAAAGTATCATCCCAGAGACAAACCATTCATCTGTCAAATACACACAGTTTGCACGGAAGGCGTGGAGACACCCACGTTATGGGTGCATTCGCCCAGGTTTAAGGTCTAGTTAGCACTGGGCTTGGCAAAGAGCATGACTTTTCCTCCTTCTGCGTCCGGTCTTCTGAGCCATGTGCTAATATCCTGGGACTCTGTCTGGTTTTGTTTTTTTTTTTTAACATTGCCTAAATCATATTTTCCATTTAAAGAAATTTCTAAAGAACAGTTGGCAAGTATTCAGGTCACCTTCTCCCCAGGGCTCACTTAGCACCTGCATGTAGATGGAGTGTTCCGCGCCGGCCGTCAACACCAATCGCGGCTGCATCACTCACGCAGTCAGCGTCCTGCTGCTGGCCGGCTCCAGCTGGACATCCTGTCTGCCGCTCTGAAAAGCAATCACATCATACTGGAACACCAGAGTGTCCAAAGCACACCTCAGCCTCTGCAGTGCCCATCTCACAGTCTCTAAAGCACACCTCAGAGTCTGCAATGCACACCTCAGAGTCTCCCGTACCCATCTCAGTCTCCAGTGCCCACGTCAGAGTGTCCAATGCACACCTCAGTGTCTGCAGTGCACACCTCAGGGTCTCCAATGCACATATCGGAATCTCCAAAGCACATCTCAGAGTCTCCAATGCCCATCTCAGTCTCCAATGCCCACGTCAGAGTCTCCAATGCACACCTCAGGGTCTCCAATGCCCATCTCAGAGTCTCCAAAGCACACGTCAGAGTCTCCAGTGCCCATCTCAGAGTCTCCAATGCACATCTCAGAGTCTCCAGTGCCCATCTCAGAGTCTCCAAAGCACAGCTCAGAATCTCCAATGCCCATCTCAGAGTCTCCAATGCACATCTGAGAGTCTCCAATGGACACCTCAGAGTCTCCAAAGCACATCTCAGAGTCTCCAAAGCACACCTCAGAGTCTCCAATGCACATCTTAGTCTCCAGTGCCCATCTCAGAGTCTCCAATGCACATCTCAGAATCTCCAGTGCCCATCTCAGAGTCTCCAAAGCACAGCTCAGAATCTCCAATGCCCATCTCAGAGTCTCCAATGCACATCTGAGAGTCTCCAATGGACACCTCAGAGTCTCCAAAGCACATCTCAGAGTCTCCAAAGCACATCTCAGAGTCTCCAAAGCACACCTCAGAGTCTCCAATGCACATCTTAGTCTCCAGTGCCCATCTCAGAGTCTCCAATGCACATCTCAGAATCTCCAAAGCACAGCTCAGAGTCTCCAATGCACATCTCAGAATCTCCAAAGCACAGCTCAGAGCCTCCAGTGTCCATCTCAGAGTCTCCAATGCACACCTCAGAGTCTCCAATGCGCATCTCAGAATCTCCAAAGCACAGCTCAGAGCCTCCAGTGTCCATCTCAGAGTCTCCAATGCCCATTCAGAATCTCCAGTGCACATCTCAGAGTCTGCAATGCTCATCTCAGAGTCTCCAGTGCATGTGGGTGTACCAGCACCTGCCTCTAAGAATGCTTCAGCTCATGTTGAACGAACATGTCTTCAGCACCCCTGTACTGGGTGTTTTACAGGCATTGTTTCTGCACATCAAAAAAATTCCAGACTCAAATGCTTGCAGGAGGAGGCAGGTCAGGTCAGTAAGGCAGGCCTGATGTGAGAGAGACATCGGGGAGCAGTGGAGACTGCGGCGAACATCCCATCCAGCCCACTGGTGTTGGGCAAGAATGAAGGCACGGGTTGGCCGCCCCTTCCAAAAATATTTCAAGGAACCCAGGAATTGGGTGTTCATGATCAGTGGGCCAGTGTTTAAAATATTAGCATTAATTTAAGGATACTGTCTCTTCCAAGAAAAATACGATGGCCAGCTACTTTACAATGTCGTCTCTGTTTTCTTGCGTTCATTCTGCAAGTCACAAATTACCAGATAAAAATGTGAGTTTAGGCAAGTTTTATAAATTGTCTGAGGACTGAGCAGGAAAGGGTAGGACCTGGAATTTCAACTCAGAGGCCAGTTTCAAAGACAATCTAAGCTCCCCACGGCATGAGGCCCCCCAAAAGTGTCATTCATTTCAGAATTGGATTCCTCTTCAAAGAGGCGAGGCTTAAGGAACCAAGCTTAGATTTCATGGGTAACTTAATCCAGTATGAGGCATCATTGCTTTTCCTTTCTTACAGCCTTTTTGTCTCTCTTTTCTCTTTCTTTTCTTTCATTTCTTTTTCCTTCCTTCCTTCCTTTCTTCCTTTCTGTCTTTGTCTTTCTTTTCTTTCTTCCTTCCTTCCTTTCTTCCTTTCCCTTCGTTTCTTTTTCTTGTCTTTCTTTTTTCCTTCTTTCCTTCCTTTCTTCCTGTCTCTTTCTTTCTTTTTTCCTTCCTTCCTTTCTTCCTCTTTCTTTCTTTTCTTTCTCTTACTTTCTTTTTTCTTCTTTCATTCCTTTCTTCCCCTCTGTCTCTTTCTTTTTCCTTCCTTCCTTTTCTTCTTTCTTTCTTTCTTTCTTCTTTTTCCTTCCTTCCTTCCTTCCTTCCTTCCTTCCTTCCTTCCTTCCTTCCATCCTGTCTCTTTCTTCTCTTTCTCTTTGTGTTTCTTACAGGGTCTCTGTCTGCTGCCCAGGCTGGAGGGCGGTGGTGCAATCTTGGCTCATTGCAGCCTCCAACTCCTGGGCTCAAGCAATCCTCCCACTTCAGCCTCCCTGAGTAGCTGAGACCACAGACAAGCTGAGACCACAGCTCACTGCAACCTCTGCCTCCCTGAGTAGCTGAGACCACAGACAAGGGACACCACACCTGGCTACTTTTTTTATTTTTATTTTTTGTAAAGATAGGGTCTCCCTAAGTTGCCCAGGCTGGTCTTGAATGCCTGGCCTCTGGCAATCCTCCTGCCTTGGCCTCCCAAAGTGCTGGGATTACAGGCATGAGCCACCATGCCTGGCCAATTACTGTGTTTTAAAAGTACATGGCCAGACACAGTGGCTCATGCCTGTAATCCCAGCACACAGTGGCTCATGCCTGTAATCCCAGCGCTTTGGGAAGCTGAGACAGGTGGATCACGAGGTCAGGAGATTGAGACCATCCTGGCTAATGCGGTGAAACCCCGTCTCTACTAAATAATACAAAAAATTATCTGGACGTGGTGGTGGGCGCCTGTAGTCCCAGCTACTCAGGAGACTGAGGCAGGAGAATGGCGTGAACCAGGGAGGCAGAGGTTGCAGTGAGCCGAGATTGTACCACTGCACTTCAGCCTGGACAACAGAGCCAGACTCCATCTCAAAATAAATAAATAAAAATTAAGTCATGAAATGTAGCTTCAAATGTACATGAAGGGCCGGGCGCGGTGGCTCATGCCTGTAATCCCAGCACTTTGGGAGGCCGAGGCAGGCAAATCACCTGAGGTCAGCAGTTCGAGACCAGCCTGACCAACATGGTGAAACCCCATCTTTACTAAAAATACAAAAATTAGCTGGGCATGATGGTGCATGCCTGTAATTCCAGCTACTTGGGAGGCTGAGGCAAGGCTTGAACCCGGGAGGCAGAGGTTGCAGTGAGCCAAGATCACGCCACTGCACTCCAGCCTGGGTGACAGAGCAAGACCCTGTCCCAAAAAAAACAAAAAAAATGTAGGTGAATATTACATCTCTACATTCAGAAGTACTTTCCAAGAATAAAAACAATGGAAGAAATTATATGAACAAGACTGATCAATTTGACTACATTCAATTTTAAAACTCTTTAGGTTTAAAAAACAATTTCAAGTAGCATAAAAGAAGTTGAAAAATATTGATAAAATATGCCAATGATAAAAGAGCCTGTGTCCTTAATATATAAAGAGCTCTTACAAATCAACAAGAATGATTGCTATTTATTGAATGCTTTCTGTGCATTAAAATTCTGTGCTACTCAATGTACATATATTATCTGGTTTAAATGTCATAAAAACTCTAGGCAATTTGCTACAGACGGAGAAAGTGAAAATTAAAGGCATAAATTAACTTCTCCGGAGAAACGGAGCTAGTAAATTGTCGTGTTGTGTTTGGATTCAAACCCAGTTCTGTGTGACTCTGAAGTTCAGGGCCCTAAGAACTGGTAAACACTGGAAAAATAAGCAAACATCTCAAGTAATTTACAAAAGAGAAACACACATGGCTTGTAAACATGAAAAAGAATTGTCCCCCACTAAAAAGTCGTCTTTAAATGCCAAGTCAAAACAATGGATGCCGTTTTGAAACTATGAAATTTGCAGAATTCCTCATTTTCTTTTTAAAATGAACCTCAATGTTCATCACAGCGTAAGTCCCGGGCGACCTCTTGCTCTGCCGGCAGGAACGTAAATTAGAACAGCTTTTCCCGCAAGCCGTTTGAGACTATGAATAGTGCCTTTTAGCAGTTGGTATATGAAATCCAATAATTTTACCTGAAGGAGTCAATCTTAACAATCCACGTTTTATGAGCTAGAAGGTTTAGGGAATCATCTACATTCTCTTAAATAACAGCCTGGTCAAATAGCTGCCGGCGGACCTAGAAGGATCCGTGTCACGTAGGAATCCAAAATCTTGTTTTTGAGAAAGACGTAATAACATTAAGACATGCTCCTGATACAAGGTTCCTAAAATGTGGTCATCTGCAGGTTCGGGGACCCACGGGGGAGAGGGACGCGGTGTCACCGTATTCTAGGTCTTCCCGGGCCATCCTTTATCAGAAACGGGATGAGTTTCCACCAAGAAATTGGGCCCCACCGAGGCCTTCATTGATCTTCACCTAGAAGCTACGTCAAAGCCAGTGTCACTCAGGCCCAGGCGGAAAAACGTCCCACGCAGAATTTCAGGGAATGAGGAACCAGGATGTCTGCAGACCAGGAGTCCAAGGAATACTGCCTGTTGAGGTGAGCATTACAGGCCTGCTGTATACACACCAGGCAGGAAGGCCACAGGCCGACTGTATACATCCCACTCCTGGGAGGGAGACCACAGGCCAACTGTATACATATCACTCTAGGGAGGGAGACCACAGGCCGACTGTATACATATCACTCTAGGGAGGGAGACCACAGGCCGGCTGTATACATCCCACTCCTGGGAGGGAGACCACAGGCCAACTGTATACATATCACTCCTGGGAGGGAGACCGCAGGCTGCTGTATACATCCTTCTCTAGAAAGAGAGACCACAGGCCGACTGTATACATCCCACTCCTGGGAGGGAGACCACAGGCCGACTGTATACATCCCACTCCTGGGAGGGAGACTGCAGGCTGCTGTATACATCCTTCTCTAGAAAGAGAGACCACAGGCCGGCTGTATACATTCCACTCCTGGGAGGGAGACCACAGGCCGGCTGTATACATCCCACTCCTGGGAGGGAGACCACAGGCTGACTGTATACATCCCACTCCTGGGAGGGAGACTGCAGGCTGCTGTATACATCCTTCTCTAGAAAGAGAGACCACAGGCCGGCTGTATACATTCCACTCCTGGGAGGGAGACCACAGGCTGCTGTATACATCCCACTCCTGGGAGGGAGACCACAGGCCGGCTGTATACATCCTTCTCTAGAAAGAGAGACCACAGGCCGGCTGTATACATTCCACTCCTGGGAGGGAGACCGCAGGCCGACTGTATACATCCCACTCCTGGGAGGGAGACCACAGGCCGGCTGTATACATCCTTCTCTAGAAAGAGAGACCACAGGCCGGCTGTATACATCCCACTCCTGGGAGGGAGACCACAGGCCAACTGTATACATATCACTCTAGGGAGGGAGACCACAGGCCGGCTGTATACATATCACTCCTAGGAGGGAGAGCACAGGCCGGCTGTATACATTCCACTCCTGGGAGGGAGACTGCAGGCTGCTGTATACATCCTTCTCTAGAAAGAGAGACCACAGGCCGGCTGTATACATCCCACCCCTGGGAGGGAGACCGCAGGCCGACTGTATACATTCCACTCCTGGGAGGGAGACCACAGGCCGGCTGTATACATCCTTCTCTAGAAAGAGAGACCACAGGCCGGCTGTATACATTCCACTCTAGGGAGGAAGAGACCACAGACCAACTGTATACATCCCACTCTAGAGAGGGAGGCCACAGGCCAGCTGTATACATCCCACACTAGAGAGACAGACCATAGGCCGGCTGTATACATCCCACACTAGGAAGAAAGAAACCACGGGCTGACTATATACATCCCCCTCTAGGGAGAAACACCACAGGCCAACTGTATACATCCCACACTAGAGAGACAGACCACAGGCCGGCTGTATACATCCCACTCTAGGAAGAAAGAAACCGCAGGCCGGCTGTATACATCCCACTCTACAGAGGGAGACAACAGACCAGCTGTATACATCCCACACTAGAAAGACAGACTGCAGGCCAACCGTATACATCTCACTCTAGGGAGGGAGAGACCACAGGCCAGCTGTATACATCCCATTCTAGGAAGGCATATATACACACAATCGCATTGAAACATTTAGAACTAACTCAGATTCAGTGTGCCACCAGTGGATATTGGGAAAGTGGGAAAGTGGCTTTATAATTTAAGAAGCAATGTGTCAGAGATGGTTAAATTAAGTTTCTGTCTGTAACAAAATCCATACATCTATGTACGTATGTGTGATAAATATAGATGTATGCATATATATGGTCAGGTATGTGTGTATATAAACGTGTGTGTAGAGGCCGGATGCGGTGGCTCACGCCTGTCATCCCAGCACTTTGGGAGGCCGAAGTGGGTGGATCACGAGGTCAGGAGTTTCAGACCAGCCTGGCCAACGGGGTGAAATCCCGTCTCTACTAAAAATACAAACATTAGCCGGGCGTGGTGGCGGGCGCCTGTAGTCCCAGCTACCTGGGAGGCTGAGGCAGGAGAATCGCTTGAACCCGGGAGGCGGAGGTTGCAGTGAGCCGAGATCGCGCCACTGCACTCCGGCCTGGTGACAGAGCGAGACTCCATCTCAAAAAAAATGAAATAAAATAAAATGACAGTAAAACAAAATAACATGACACACCGAATATCAGGTTAAAACTAGAAAGTTGGGGCAACGATTCAGGTGCTTGGCCTCTGTCTCCAAATCTGGTTGCAGCTATAGACAACGTCTAAATTTTTTTGCCTGTGTTTTCAGCCAGACAAACGTTTGCCTTCCTGTTCCCTCCAGGGGGAGAGCGCTCGATTGACTTTATTTTCATCTCGATGAATGATTGCATGTATTCTGCACCTCCCTTCCCGCCCAGACCTACCTTATCATAGACGGTGTGCGTGACTGAACACGATCATTTCAGCTCCTAGCCTTGAAATAAAACGCCGCTTGCCGACGGACGTCTGCAATGATGATGTAATTTCAGCCTTGTTGTTCCAGGAAAGCTTTGTCCCTGAATCACCTAAAACAAACAAACAAAAAAAGGTGGGTTGTCGGGGAAGGAGACCCGTGGTGTCTACATTCATATCTATCTCACTCTATCTACCAGGCGGATTTGCATTTGGGGACATTTGCCCCCACCCCGAGTCCCCGGTTCACAAAGGCAACGGTACGTGTAATCTTCTGAGTTGACAATGATGTATGGCTCCGGAGAAACGCACTATTCAGAAATTATCATGGAACAGACACTCCCCCACCCTCTACATTACTTCTTACGTCAACAAATGCACCGCCGTTTCTCCAGAGGCCGCCAAACTTGCGGCCACCTCGTTCTACAAGGAGGCGAGCCAGCCAGACTCATGGTGGCGAGCGAGAAAACGCCGTTCCCGGGGGCTTAGAGGTTCTCCTTTGCACAAAGCCTGGGAGTTTTGTTAGTGACTTCAGAGTCAGGTCCCGTACCAACAACACCGTCCGATCTAGACGGCATCCTCCTGGTGGGAAATTGCCTTATTTCTCCCTCTTAAGCAAGTGATTTGAATTAGGATTTGTTTTTCTTTCTGTCTTTCTTTCTTTCTTTCTTTCTTTCTTTCTCTCTCTCTTTCTCTCTTCTTTTCCTTTCTTTCTCTTTCCTTCTTTCTTTCTTCCTGATCTCTCCCTCTTAAGCAACTGATTTGAATTAGAATTGGTTTTTTCTTTTCTTCTTTCTCTTTCCTTTCTTCCTTCTCTCTCTCTCTTTCTTTCTTTCCTCCTTCTTTCTTTGTGCATTTGCAGTTGGCTACTTGTTACTACTTGTCCAAACAGCTGGGGAACCTGGCCGGGCATGGTGGCTCACACCTGTCACCCCAGCACTTTAGTTGGGAACTTCCTGATCTCTCCCTCTTAAGCAACTGATTTGAATTAGAATCTTCCTTCCTTCTTTCTTTCCTCCCTCCCTTCCCTCCTTCCTTCCTCCCTCCCTCTCCTTCCTTCCTCCCTCCCTTCCCTCCTTCCTTCCTCCCTCTCCTTCCTTCCTCCATCTCCTTCCTTCCTCTCCTTCCTCCCTCCCTCTCCTTCCTCCCTCTCCTTCCTCCGTCTCCTTCCTTCCTTCCTCCCTCCCTCTCCTTCCTTCCTCCCTCTCCTTCCTCCCTGTCTCCTTCCTTCTTTCCTTCCTCCCTCTCCTTCCTTCCTCCCTCTCCTTCCTTCCTCCGTCTCCTTCCTCCCTCCCTCTCCTTCCTCCCTCCCTCTCCTTCCTCCCTCCCTCTCCTTCCTTCCTCCCTCTCCTTCCTCCCTGTCTCCTTCCTCCCTCTCCTTCCTTCCTCCCTCTCCTTCCTTCCTCCCTCTCCTTCCTCCGTCTCCTTCCTTCCTTCCTCCCTCCCTCTCCTTCCTCCCTCCCTCTCCTTCCTCCGTCTCCTTCCTTCCTTCCTCCCTCCCTCTCCTTCCTCCCTCCCTCTCCTTCCTCCGTCTCCTTCCTTCCTTCCTCCCTCCCTCTCCTTCCTTCCTCCCTCTCCTTCCTCCCTCTGTCTCCTTCCTTCTTTCCTTCCTCCCTCTCCTTCCTTCCTCCCTCTCCTTCCTCCGTCTCCTTCCTTCTTTCCTTCCTCCCTCTCCTTCCTTCCTTCTTTCCTTCCTTCCTTCCCTCCCTCCCTCTCCTTCCTTCCTCCCTCCCTCCCTCCTTCTCTCTCTCTCTTTCTCTCTTTCTTTTTTTTTTCTTTCTGCAGTTGCAGTAAGCTTTTCTGGATTTGCAGAAACTATAGGCCGGCCGTATGCATCCGGCATACAGCTTATGTTATGGACAGTATGTTAGCACTTGTCCAACCTGGCCGGGCACGGTGGCTCACAGCTGTCACCACAGCACTTTGGAAGCTGGGAAGAGTGCTTGAGCCTAGGGGTTCCCAACCAGGCCAGGCAACATAGTGAGACTCCCCTTCTAGGCAAAAAATTAAAAAATTAGCTGGGCATGGTGGTGTACACCGGTAGTCCCAGTGACTCAGGAGGCTAAAACGGGAGGATTGCTTGAGCCTGAGAGGTTGAGGCTGCAGTGAGCTATGATCCTGCCACTGCACTCCAGCCTGGGCAATAGAGCAAGACCCTGTCTCTTAATAATAATAATCATTAGTATTATACTTCCCAGGGAGTATATTATTACTACTATATTATAAAATAGATACCATATTATAATGTATAATATAATACATAAATATATATTATTATGTATTAAATATTATATATCATTATATATTAAATACAATACATAAATGTTATATAATATAATGTAAATGTTATATAAAATATAATAAATATATTAATATATTAATATAATTACATATTAATCATATAATGTTTTATATTATATATTAACATAGTAAAATATGTAATTATATTATATATAATATATTAATTATAATATATTAATTAATAATATGCGATTATTATTATATATTGGCCAAACGCAGTGGCTAACACCTGTAATCTCAGCACTTTGGGAGGCTGAGGCAGGCGGATCACCTGAGGTCAGGAGTTTGAGACCAGCCTGACCAACATGGAGAAACTCTGTCTCTACTAAAAATACAAAATTAGCCGGGTGTGATGGCGCATGCCTGTCATCCCAGCTACTCCGGAGGCTGAGGCAGGAGAATCGCTTGAACCCGGGAAGCAGAGGTTGTGGTGAGCTGAGATCGCTCCCCTGCACTCCAACCTGGGCAACAAGAGCGAAACTCCGTCTCAAAAAACATATATATACATAATTATATATTAATATAATTATTATTGTAGTAATATCACATAATATATAATTATTTTATTATTATAGAATTTTTATTACAAATTATATTATAAAATTATTTTATTAATTATATTATTACATAATTATTTTATTAATTATTATGGAATTTTTATTACAAGTTATATTTATTATAAAATTATTTATTATAAAATTTATAAAATTTATTATAAATTATTTTATTAATTATATTATTATATAATTATTTTATTACTATAGAATATTTTGTTATACGTTATATTTATACAATTATTTTATTAATTATTAAAAATAATATTTTATTAATTATTAAAATATTTTATTTATTATAAAGCAATATTTTATTATTATAAAATAGTATTTATTATTATAAAATAATATTTTATTAATTATAAAATATAATTATATTATTATTATACAAAATAGCAGGGGAAGGCAAGGATATTTAAGGGTGTTTTATGTGGTACAATGAGTCTCCAAAACACACAGCCACCTCCAGGATACGAAGCTCCCACCTCCAGCCCCCCGGAGTGCCCAGAGCCGCCCTCTTCCCGGACAATTGTCCCACAGACGCCATGAGAGAGACGGCACCAGCTTCTCCGGATCAAGGCGCCTTAACTTTCTATAACTCTCTAATCATTCGGAAGATTCCCAAACAGCAGTGTCAGAGGTGTTGGAAGTAAAGCAACTCCACTTTCAACAGGGGCTGGGTAAAATGAGGCTGAGACCTTCTGGGCTGCATTCTCAGAAGGTTCAGATTTTTTTTTTTCTTTTTTTTAAGACAGAGTCTCGCTCTCTCACCCAGGCTAGAGTGCAGTGGTGCAATCTCAGCTCCACTGCAAGCTCCGCCTCCCGGGTTCAAGCGATTCTCCTGCCTCAGCCTCCTGAGTAGCTGGGATTACAGGCACGCGCCACCACACGCCCGGCTAATTTTTGTATTTTTATTACAGACGGGGTTTCACCGTGCTGGCCAGGCTGGTCTTGAACTCCTGACCTCGTGATCCACCCACCTTGGCCTCCCAAAGTTCTGGGATTGCAGGTGCGAGCCTCCACGCCCGGCTAATTTTGTATTTTTAGTAGAGACGGGGTTTCGCCATGTTGGTCAGGCTGGTCTCAAACTCCCGACCTCAGGTGATCCGCCCGCCTTGGCCTCCGAAAGTTCTGGGATTACAGGCATGCACCTCCACGCCTGGCTAATTTTGTATTTTTAGTAGAGACGGGGTCTCGCTATGTTGGTCAGGCTGATCTGGAACTCCCAACCTCAGGTGATCCACCTGCCTCGGCCTCCCCAGGTTAAGGCATTCTAACCTACAGGTTGAGATAGGAGGTTGGCACAAGACAGAGGTCATAAAGAGTTGCTGATAAAACAGCTCGCAGTGAAGAAGCCGGCCAAATCCCGCCAAAACCAAGATGGCAACGAAAGTGACCTCAGGTTGTCCTCACCGCACTAATTGTACCTTACACTAACTGTAATTCATTTGCTGCTAAAAGACACTCCCACCAGCACCAGGACCATTTACAGATGTCATAGCCACGCAGGAAGTTACCCTGTATGTCCTAAAAACAGGAGGCATGAGGCCGGGCGCGGTGGCTCACGCCTGTCATCCCAGGCTGGTCTCGAACTCCTGACCTCAGGTCATCCACCCTCTTCAGCCTCCCAAATACCTTGTTTATTAAAAGGCATCTTTGGGCCGGGCACGGTGGCTCACGCTTGTCATCCCAGCACTTTAGGAGGCCGAGGCGGGCGGATCACGAGGTCAGGAGATCGAGACCATCCTGGCTAACACGGTGAAACCCCGTCTCTACTAAAAATACAAAAAATTAGCCGGGCGTGGTGGTGGGTGCCTGCAGTCCCAGCTACTCGGGAGGCTGAGGCAGGAGAATCGCTTGAACCCGAGAGGCGGAGGTTGCAGTGAGCCAAGATCGCACCATTGCACTCCAGCCTGGGTGACAGAGCAAGACTCTGTCTCAAAAAAAATAAATAAATAAAATAAAATTTAAGAAGCAGATAAATAAGTGACTAGAGCCCCGCCTGGTTTCAGCTCATCTCCAAAGATGACCAAAGGAGGGATGAGTTATTTTCCCAGCATGGTCCTCAGAGACCCCTCTCCTGCACCCCAGGGACTCGAGAAGTCAAGGCTTGGTTTCCCGCTGTTCTCACCAAAAATAACCCGATCCCCTAACCTCCCTTTGAAATACCGGAAAAAAAAAATCAGGACGGCTCACGGAGGCAACACTGCTACACAGATACCTTCTTTGGAGCGAGGATGAATTTTAAATGATCACAAGAAAAAGAGATGTTTCATGAGAGAGATGCCAGGCACAGCCCGTGGCCCCCTGGGATCACCAAAAATCTGGTACTGGGGGATCGCCACCGTCTCAGGAAGGGGGCTGCAAGCATCCCAGGCAGGAGGGGACGGAGAGTGATGAGCTTTGCACCGATGGAAATAAAAATAGAACACTGTGTTATGGAGAGAATGACAAGTTAAATGACAAGCATTTAACCGTCTCTGTGCGCAGAAATGCGGACGGCTGCAGAAATGCAATAGAGGATTTTCTCCTGTTGCTTCCAAGTGAATGAGGGCCTGGGGACCATCCTGTACCCGTCTGCCTGTGCTCCGGAAGGCTGGATGCTTCGGGAAGGAGGCCAGGAGGCAGGACCAGCCGGAGACCGGGTCTGCACCTGTCACGGGTGAGCAGCGTTTGCTGGCTCGGGCAGACGGGGTTTCACCTGTAATGCCCAACCTCCTTTTTACTAACCCTGTTTTTAGACTCTCCCTTTTCCTTCAATCACCTAGCCTTGTTTCCACCTGAATGGACTCACCCTTAGCTAAGAGAACCAGACAGACTCCATCATGGCTCTTTCACTGGCAGCCCCTTCCTCAAGGACTGAACTCGTGCAAGCTGACTCCCAGCACATCCAAGAATGCAATTAACTGATAAGATACTGTGGCGAGCTATATCCGCAATTCCCAGGAATTCGTCTGATTACTAACGCCCGAAGCCCTGCGTCTATCACCTTGTAATAGTCTTAAAGGCCCTGCACCTGTTTACTTCCCTGTAACCATTTATCCTTTTAACTTTTTTGCCTACTTTATTTCTGTAAAATGGTTTTCGCTAGATCCCCCTCCCCTTTCTAAACCAAAGTATAAAAAAAAAATCTAGCCCCTTCTTCGGGGCCGAGAGAACTTTGAGCGTTAGCCGTCTCTTGGCCGCCGGCTAAATAAACGGACTCTTAATTCGTCTCAAAGTGTGGCGTTTTCTCTAACTCGCTCCAGGTACAACACGGGAACATCCTTTACCCAACTGATGCCTGTGCAGACGTCGCTAACAAATGCTGCTCACCTGTGACAGGTGCAGACCGGTGTCCGGCTGGCTGGACGTCTGGACATCTGGACGTCTGGAGGGCGGCCGGCCGGTCCTGCCTCCTGACCTCCTTCCCCAAGCATCCAGCCTTCCGGAGCTTCTCCGTGCCCTCCCCTTCCTTCTTTCTTTCCTCCTGTACATTGCCTAGAAATCGCCAGAAAGCTGCCACCGCGTCTACAGAAACAAAAACATTATCTTCGGGAGCACGCTGGGTGCATTTAAACCGACCCCACTGCCTTCTTCTAAACTGGGATCTGGAAGGAATGCTGAAGGATCTGGAAGGAATGCTGAAGGATCTGGAAGGAATGCTGAAGGATCTGGAAGGAATGCTGAAGGATCTGGAAGGAATGCTGAAGGATCTGGAAGGAATGCTCAGCATCCTATGGATTTTTTTTTTTTTTTTGGCTCTTTTTCCTTCTAAGATGACAGTGAGGCTGTTAAGCATAATAATTGTCCCTGAGTGAGTCACCCTCGCTGTTCCGCTTTTGCCTCCAAGGCAGGCTCTCCGCCCCCCGCAGAGGTCAGGGGTCACGTCTGCTAAATCACGCAATATCCCCGAATCCCAGGCGAATGAGGCCCTTCACAAACTGCTGCTGGTGATTAAACCAGCCCGGCATGAAACGCGGGCTCTAAATTGCGATTATTTGAATGATGGATGGCGTGTCTAACGAGACCATTATTGCCACGAGTGACCTTCTGGGCTGAAGACGGTTTCGATATAAGCAACACTCTCACGCGGCCGGGGTGATGGCCGTGTGCACCTGTGTGTGCGTGCCCGCGTGTGCACGTGTGTGTGTGTGATGCGTGCACCTGTGTGTGTCCTCGCTCTCTCTAGAGCTTGTCTCCGATTCTTTGAACTGCCACACAGGCAATGCCACCCTCACTGGATGTGTCATCCGAGCAGTCCCCTTAATGAGACCATTTTCATACACCTGGGCTGAAAGTGCCCCACGCCTAAAATACTCACGGGGTGAAACTTGAGTTCCCGTGCGTGCGTGTCCTCGTCCTCCATGGTAGGGAAAAAGAAAAAGGAATGGGAGAGAAAAGGGGTGTCTCCGGGAAGCCACTCACACATGCAGATGTAATTAAGTTGAGGATCTTGAGGTGAGATCATCCTGGATTAGGTGAGCTCTAAATGCAATGACAGGTGTCCTTGTAAGAGACAGAAGAGGACACACAGACACAGAGGAGAAGTCCACGTGGAGACGGAGGCAGAGACTGGAGTGATGCGGCCACAAGCCCAGGGACACCTGGAGCCCCCAGGAGCTGGGAGAGGCAGGAAGGATCCTGCCCTAGAACCTCTACAAGGAAGTGGATACAATTGTAATGGATTGAACAGTGGCCCCCAGAAAGATCTGTCCACATCCTAAAGCCCAGAACCTAGAATGAGATATCGTTTGGAAATAGGGTCTCTGCAAATGTGATTAAGTGAAGGATCTTGAGATGAGATGATCATGAATGAGGGTGGACCCTAAATGCAATGACAGGTGACTTTCTAAGAGACAGAAGAGGAGACACAGACACAGAGGAGAAGTCCACGTGGAGACGGAGGCAGAGACTGGAGTGAGGCGGCCACAAGCCCAGGGATGCCTGGAGCCCCCAGGAGCTGGGAGAGGCAGGAAGGACCCTCCCCTAGAACCTCCAGAAGGAACTGGATACAATCGGAATGGGTTGAACCATAGTCTCCCCGAAAAGCTATGTCTACATCCTAACTCCCTCAACCCATGAATGGAATCTTATTCGGATATGAGGTCTTTACAGATGTAACTAAGTCAAGGATTTCGAAATGAGATGATCCTGGATTAGGTGAGTCCTAAATCCATTGACAGGTGTCCTTCTAAGAGACAGAAGAGGAGACACAGACACAGAGGAGAAGGCCACGTGGAGAACAGAGGCAGAGACTGGAGTGATGCGGCCACAAGCCCAGGAAGCCTGGAGCCCCCAGGAGCTGGGAGAGGCAGGAAGGACCCTCCCCTAGGGCCTCTGGAGGGAGCTCAGCCCTGAGACCGCTTCATCTCAGACTCCTGGTCTGCAGGACTGGGAGAGGATAAATTTCTGTTGTTTTAAGCTCCCAGTATCTGTGAATGAGAACTTATTTGAAAATAGGGTCTTTGCAGACACAGTTAACTCAAGAAGTTTGAGATGAGGTCATCCTGGAGTAGGCTGGGCCCTAAATGCAATGGCAGGTGTCCTTGTAAGAGACAGAAGAGAAGACACAGACACAGAGAAGAAGGCCACGTGGAGAACGGAGGCAGAGACTGGAGTGACGCGGCCACAAGCCCAGGAAGCCTGGAGCCCCCGGGAGCTGGGAGAGGCAGGAAGGACCCTCCCCTAGAACCTCTGGAGGGACTGTGGTCCTGCCTACACCTTGATCTCAGACTCCTGGACACCGGGACTGGGAGAAAACAAGTTGCTGTTGTTAGAAGCCCAGAAACTCCT
Source organism: Homo sapiens (assembly GCF_000001405.40). NCBI lineage: Eukaryota > Metazoa > Chordata > Mammalia > Primates > Hominidae > Homo > Homo sapiens. Next base: position 474,480 of record NC_000024.10, on the reverse strand, counting down.
ACAATACAGGGCCCAAGACCACTCCTTTCCTTCCCCCTCTTCCCCAGGAGCCTGTCCCTACCAAAAAAAAAAAAAAAAAAAAATTAGCCAGGCGTGGTGGTGCATGCCTGTGCTCCCAGCTACTCGGGAGGCTGAGGCAGGAGGATTGCTTGAGCCCAGGAGTTGGAGTCTCACTGGGTGACAGAGCAAGACTTCGTGTCTACAAAAATAAAAATAAATCAATGAAACACACAAGAGGACAGAAACACAGGAAACGCGTGACGTAGAAAGCACGTAGAAAATAAATAACAAACTGGGAGACTGAAGTCCCTCCTAAAATCCTCATAAGCCAGCCAAAAGGAAGAAAATTTGGCGCTTGCTACAACAAACGTGAGTCTTGGAGCAGTGACGAAGCCAGACACAGAAAGATAAACACTGTGGGGCCGGGCGCCGTGGCTCACGCCTGTAATCCCAGCACTTTGGGAGGCCGAGGCAGGCGGATCATGAGGTCAGGAGATCGAGACCATCTCGGCTAACACGGTGAAAGCCCGTCTCTACTAAAAATACAAAAAAATTAACCAGATGTGGTGGCGGGCGCCTGTAGTCCCAGCTACTCGGGAGGCTGAGGCAGGAGAATGGCGTGAACCCGGGAGGCGGAGCTTGCAGTGAGCCGAGATCGCGCCACTGCACTCCAGCCTGGGCGACAGAGCAAGACTCCATCTCAAAAAAAAAAAAAAAAAAAAAAAAAAAGATACACACTGTGGGATTCCATTTACAGGAGGTCCCTGGAGTCCTCAGAGTCATGGAGATGGAGAGGAGGTTGATGGCAGCCGGGGAAAGGGAGTGAGTGTGTAAGGGGAACAGGGTTTCTGTTTGGGAAGATGAGAAACTTCTGGAGATACGGATGGTGGTGATGGCTGCAGAAGCCAACTGCAGTTCAAACTGCTGTGTACATTTACACACGGTGAATGCCGGCCGGGCACGGTGGCTCACGCCTGTCATCCCAGCACTTTGGGAGGCTGAGGCAGGTGGATCACCTGAGGTCAGGAGTTCAAGACCAGCCTCACCAACATGGGGAAACCCGGTCTCTACTAAAAATACAAAAAATTAGCCGGGCGTGGTGGCGGGCGCCTGTAATCTCAGCTACTCGGGAGACTGAGGCAGGAGAATCGCTTGAACCCAAGAGGCAGAGTTTGCAGTGAGCCGAGATCATGCCATTGCACTCCAACCTGGGCGACAAGAGTGAAACTCTGTCTTAAAACAAAATACATGGTTAATGCTCTAGACTTTGTGTTATGTGCGTTTTACCACAATTTGAAAAACACTGGAGGCCGGGCACAGTGGCTCACGCCTGTCATCCCAGCACTTTGGGAGGCTGAAGCAGGCGGATCACCTGAAGTCACCCATCGAAGACCAGCCTGGCCAACATGGTGAAACTCCATCTGTACTAAAACACTGGGGGGAAAGTGTCAGGAAGCGGCAGGTTAAGGAAAGGAAATGGTACGATTTTCTGGCCGGAAACGGGGAAAGGGGTCGGGAAGCGGCAGTCGAAGGAAAGGAAATGGTACGATTTTCTGGCTGGAAATGGGGGTGCTGTGTAGCTGTCACCTCTGGGTAAACAGCTCCTGACACGTGTTCAATAGGATTACGTTAAAACAAGTGGGTCGTGATTGATAACCTAATATCCAGACCGTGCGGATCATCTATCACCAGGAGTATATTAATTATTCAGAGGAGGTCCCTTATCTAGGTGTTAAGCCCTGGATGGATTAGATATTTGTTAGCATTAGGATAGCATCCTAATGCAATCCCACTCCTTGGCCCGCAACCCACTGACAGGCCCCGGTGTGTGATGTTCCCCTCCCTGCGTCCCTGTGTTCTCATCGTTCAGCTCCCACTTAGGAGTGAGAACATGCGGTGTGTGGTTTTCTGTTCCTGTGCGAGTTTGCTGAGAATGATGGTTTCCAGCTTCATCCATGTCCCTGCAAAGGACATGAACCCATCCTTTTTCGTGGCTGCATAGTATTCCATGGTGTCTGTGTGCCACATTCTCTGTATCCAGTCTATCATTGATGGGCATTTGGGTTGGTTCCAAGTCTTTGCTGTTGTGAACAGTGCCTCAATAAACATACGTGTGCATGTGTCTTTATGGTAGAGTGATTTATAATCCTTTGGGTATATACCCAGTAACGGGATGGCTGGGTCAAACGGTATTTCTAGTTCTACATCCTTGAGGAATCGCCACGCTGTCTTCCACAATGGTTGAACTAATTTATTTACACGTACTCCGATTTGCCTTAGATAAAGCTACAGGATAGCCAGGCAGGAAAAAGCACATACACATCAGCCCAGAAGGACTCGCCTAGATCGTTTTTATGTTAAACAAAGCAAAAGTAATAATAATAATAAAATTAAAATAATAAAGGAGACAGACTTTGTGGTTGCAAATCTGTCTGAATGTTTCTTGGGTGTTATTTTTTCCCCATCCCCGCCCCCCTCCAATTTATTGCTGAAATCAGCCGGTTAAATGGTGGCTCAAGAAGTCAGGCTCTCTCTGGTATCCAATTATCTCCTCCTTTCCTAACCAGAAACAACAGGTGTCCACCAGGTCTGCAAACAGCGTAGAAAAAAAAAAATACATATCCAGTCGTTTAAAAATTGTAAATCTATGCCGTATGAATTTAAACCAGACGTGCTTCAGCTGAGGGGCAGGCTGAGTTCCAGCCAACGGTTTCGAGCAGGAAGGGCAAGAAATAGCTCTCATTATATTTCCTTAGCTGACTGTTATTCCAGGAAACCTTTGCTTAAAGGTGCCGGTGCCCAGTTAATGATAGTTGCCTTCCCCAAAGTCAAAGCTATTTTGTGAAAAGGAGTGTATGACACTATTTGCTAGCATTTAGGAGACCTGCATTATTTAGAATTGAATCTTCAAGAGAGGAACAGACTGCAGACATAAACATCCTCATTATTTTGAATCCGAGTCATCTTCCACAGCCACAAAAAAAAAAAAAAAAAAATTATTAAAGCAAACCTTTTAGGGATCGTTGGTCTGTGATTCATTTGGATTATTATTTTTTTTTCCAGCTTCCTTTCTTTTCCTTAAAATCTCACAGACACTCGGAGCTCTGGATAAACGCCGGCTTACGGGTGGCGCACGGTATTTTAGCTGCATTGGACATTATTTATTTTCCGTGAAAACCCTGTGCTTTCAACACAGTTCACCGAATATGCAGCTCTCCTCATTCCATCCGCTGCCAGTGCTTATCCTAGTTTCTGAGAACATTAAAATGAATGCAAACCTCTCTGCCCCTGCCATCTGGGCCCATTCAGCCCTCACCGGGGCCCGTGTGTTCATCACACCTGCTGCCCATAGCTGGAAAGTTGGCGGTAGGTCTTCTGAAATACGTGTGTCAGGATTAAAGTTATCCATTCAACCCCACTGCCGCCCTCTGGAAGGGAAGATGCCTCTTTCACGCCCCCACTCACCTCCAGCTCTGGGCTAAGGGGGTGACCCTATGAGGCAAGGAAGCCACTTTGGGGATGCTCTGAGCCCTGGTCCCCCTCATTCCCCGAATGCCACCTCCCGGGTACCTGGTGGAGACGTTCGCATGATGTGGGACTTTCCAGGTACCGCATAAGAGAAGGTGCTGGCCAGGAGCGGCGGCTCACACCTGTAATCCCAGCATTTTGGGGAGGCTGAGACAGGAGGATCGCTGGAGACCAGGAGGTCGAAGCAACCGTGAGCTGTGATCACACCAGGGTACTCCAGCCCAGGTGACAGAGCAAGACCCTGTTTAAAAATATATATATTTATATATTTGTATGTATATATAACATTAAAACATTATATGTATATAGCATTAAAATGTTATATATGTCATATATAAATATAAAACATTTATATATAACATTAAAACCTTATATATATAACATTAAAACCATATATATATATATATTTTTTTTTTTACAGATAGTTGTTATTTCAGACCTTGTCTCAAAAACAAAAAAAGAGGCCAGGCATGGTGGCTCACGCCTGTAATCTCAGCACTTTGGGAGGCCGAGGAGTGAGGATCACTTGAGCCCAGGAATTCAAGACCAGCCTGGGCAACATAGTGAGACCCTGTATGTACCAAAAGAAATCAAAAACTTAGCTGGGCGTGATGGTGCATGTCTGTAATCCCACATACTTAGAAGGCTGAGGTGGGAGGATCGCTTGAGCCTGGGAAGTTGAGGCTGCAGTGAGCTATGATTACACCACTGCACTCCAGCCTGGGCAACATAGTGAGGCCTGATCTCCACAAAAGATCAAAAACTTAGCCGGGCGTGGTGGCGCACACATGTAGTCCCAGCTACTTGGGAGGCTGAGGCAGGAGGATCGCTTGAGCCTGGGAAGTTGAGGCTGCAGTGAGCTATGATTACACTGATGCACTCCAGCCTGGGCAACATAGTGAGGTCTCATCTATACAAAAGATCAAAAAATTAGCCAGGCATGGTGGTGCACACATGTAATCCCAGCTCCTTGGGAGGCTGAGGCAGGAGGATCGCTTGAGCCTGGGAAGTTGAGGCTGCAGTGAGCTATGATTACACTGTTGCACTCCAGCCTGGGCAACACAGTGAGATCCTATCTCAAAAAAAAGAAAAAAGACAAAACAAAAAACACAACATTTTTTAAAAGAGAAGATGCTGTTTCAGGACACGGTAGTCTCCGCTCACTTAGGCATATCTGGGACCGGGTATATCTGTGAGCAGGTTTGTGTGAAGTCATTTTCCAAAGACAATACACCAATTTCCGAAAGGAAGCAGTGAGCCGTAGCAGCTCAGGAACCCCAGACTGGGTTCACCTTCCTATATAGCTCCGTGGGGAGGGATCCCGTCTAGCGTCCTAGGCGTTCGTAGGGTACAGACCGCAGACACAGAGGGAAGGCGGGGGCCGTAGGAGGGCCGGGATTGTGTTGTTTTTCACTGCAATGACATAAAACGTATTATATGAAATTCACCATAAATTTCACAACATAAAACTCACCACTTTAACCGCCGTGAAAATCTCAGTGGCATTGAGAACATCACTGCGCCGTGTAACCACCCCCTCTGTCTACTTCCAGAACATCCTTCTCCCCATAAAAGGAGACCCCCTCCCCAGGAAGCAGTTCCTCCTCATTCCCTCCCCACAGCCTGTGGCAACCACTCATCTGAGCTCTCTCTCTGTGCATTGGCCGCTTCCGGACAGTTGACGTAAGGGGATTGTACAATAAGCCAAAGGAAATATCGCTGAGTGTGACTTCTTCAGGGTGTATCCACGTTGCAGCCTAGGTCACAGCCTCATTCTTTTTCATGGCTGTATAGTACTCCACTGGGTGGGCACAAAGTGAGTGAACCACTGTTTGTTTATCGATTCATCCACTGAGGGACACCTGGATGGTTTCCATGTGTGTGCTCCTACAAACGTGAGCGAGCAGATATCTCTTCCAGTCCCTCTTTCTTTTTTTTGAGACGGAGTTTCACTCTTGTTGCCCAGGATGGAGTGAAATGGCGCCATCTCGGCTCACCACAACGTCCGCCTCCCGGGTTCAAGGGATTCTCTTGCCTCAGCCTCCTCAGTAGCTGAAATTACAGGCAGGCACCTCCACGCCCTTGGCTAATTTTGTATGTTTAGTAGAGACGGGGTTTCTCCATGTTGGTCAGGCTGGTCTCCAACTCCCGACCTGAGGTGATCCACCTGCCTCGGCCTCCCAAAGTGCTGGGATTACAGGCGTGAGTCACTGTTCCCGGCCCCTCCTTTCTATTCTTTTAGGTACATACTTAGCTGGGGTATTACTGGGTTCTATGGAAATTCTCTGTTTCACACTTTCAGGAGCCCCTGTGGTCCCATGAAAGCCAGATAAGAATCAACAGGCCCGGCACAGCGGCTCACGCCTGTAATCCCAGCACTTTGGGAGGCCAAGGCAGGTGGATCACCTGAGGTCAGGAGTTCGAGACCAGCCTGGCCAACAGGGTGAAACCCCATCTCTACTAAAAATACAAAATTTACAAGTGGTGGCGGGTGCCTGTAATCCCAGCTACTCCGGAGGCTGAGGCAGGAGAATGGCTTGAACCTGGGAGGCGGAGGTTGTGGTGAGCAGAGATCGCGCCATTGCTGTCCAGCCTAAGGGACAAGAGCGAAACTCCATCTCAAAAAAAAAAAAAGAAAAAATCTACATCCACAGGACCCCGGCACTGGGGCAGGGCAGGAAGGAGGGGCAACAGCAGGTCTTGGCGGGGCTCCTGGCTGCTCACATGTGGTGAGCCGGTCTCAAGGCCAGGCTGGAGGCTCTGAAGGAGGTTTCAGCTGACCTCAAGGACTAGCAGCTCCTTCCCCTCTTACTAACACACAGGCATTCATTTACCAGAATGAATACTGGAGATAAATTTTCCAGCCTGGGGGGTGGAGGGAACAGCTGTTTTTTGCTGCCCCATTTCACATAAAGCAAAACACTACATGAGGCCCACGCTATTCCCACGAGCCTCTCCCCATTTGCTTTCTGATGGCCTAACTTTCCATCCAGCCTTGGTGTCTGGGGAGCTTCAAGATTCCAGAACCCGGCTGGGCGCGGAGGCTCACGCCTGTAACCCCAACACTTTGGGAGACCGAGGCGGGAAGATCACCTGAGGTCGCGAGTTCGAGACCAGCCTGGCCAACGTGGTGAAATCCCGTCTCTACTAAAAATACAAACATTAGCCGGGTGTGGTGGCTCATGCCTGTAATTCCAGCTACTCGGGAGGCTGAGGCAGGAGAATGGCTTGAACCCGGGAGGTGGAGGTTGGAGTGAGCTGAGTTGGCACCATTGCACTCCAGCCTGGGCAACAAGAGCAAAATTCCATCTAAAAAAAAAAAAAAAAAGGATTCCAGAACCTTCCTCCCAAACAAGGAAGGTGGGAAAGAAACCCAGGCCGTCCCTGACAACTTTCTGAGCATGAACAAGTCAGAAACAGAACTTGGGGGGGCTGAGGTCTATGGAGCCTGGAGGAGGGCTACACCCCAATTCCCGATCCTACCCCAAAGGTCACCCCAGCAGCCACATCATTTTTAGCCCTAGGTTTGAATAACTACATAAATATGGTTTGTAAAAATGAATAGGTGTTATTTGTGATAATAATCCCAGGCAGGGCACGGTGGCTCATGCCTGTCATCCCAGCAGTTTGGGAGGCCAAGGCAGGTGGATCACTAGAGGTCAGGAGTTCGAGACCAGCCAGACCAACATGGTGAAATTCCATCTCTACTCAAAATACAAAAGTAGCCAGGTGCGGTGGCTCACACCTCTCATCCCAGCACTTCGGGAGGCTGAGGTGGGTGGATCATGAGATCAGGAGTTCGAGACCAGCCTGACCAACATGGAGAAACCCCGTCTCTACTAAAAATACAAAATTAGCCGGGCGTGGTGGCGGGCGCCTGTAATCCCAGCTCCTCGGGAGGCTGAGGCAGGAGGATCGCTTGAACCCGGGAGGCGGAGTTTGCGGTGAGCCGAGCTCATGCCACTGCACTCCAGCCTGGGCGACAGCGCGAGACTCCATCTCAAAAGTAGATAAATATATAATCCCAGCACTTTGGGAGGCTGATGTGGGAGGATCACTTGAGCCCAAGGGTTTGAGACCAGCCTGGTTTGCAATATAGTGAGACCCCCATCTCTACAAAACATTAAAATATATATATATATATATATATATATATATATATATATATAGCCAGGTATGGGCCCGGCGTGGTGGCTCACGCCTATAATCCCAGCACTTTGGGAGGCCGAGGCAGGTGGATCACCTGAGGTCAGGAGTTCGAGTCCAGCGTGGCCAGCTTGGTGAAACCCTGTCTCTACTGAAAATACAAAAATTAGCCAGACGTGGTGGCGGGTGCCTGTCATCCCAGCTACTCGGGAGGCTGACACAGGAGAATCGCTTGAACCTGGGAGGCGGAGGTTGTGGTAAGCCAAGATCACACCGCTGCTCTCCAGCCTGGGTGACTGACCCTGCCTCCAAAAAAAAAAAAATAGACAGGCATGGTGGCATGCACCTGTAGTCCCAGCTAGTTGGGAGGCTGAGGAGGGAAGATTTCTTGAGCCTGGAAGATCAAGGCTGCAGTGAGCTATGATTGCACCACTGCCCTCCAGCATGGGCGACAGACCAAGAAGCTGTCTCAAATAAATAAAATCATAAAATGAAAATAAATATTGCTAATACATAATGCAATGGTCCACAAGGTCGCTGGCCTGTGGATTGTGAGCAGAACGGCCTGTCTTTGCGTTCAGAACCTCACACTTACACACCCCTGCTCCCGGCCTCTGTGTCCCTCTGTCTCTGACACACACAGACACACACACACACACACACACACAAAGTATGTGATACTTTCTCCTGTCAATCTCAGAGAACTCCAATGAGACTGTAGGAAACGTGAACACATACGTGATCAATTCTGACAGTTCTTGGCAGCCGGGCAGCTGAGCCCTGGCTAGCATCTCTCTCTCCCCATCCAAGATTGAGTTTGGACGGAAACTCAGTCCTCATTTAAGAAGCAATTAAAGGGCCTTATAGACTGCTGGAGAATGAAGTGATTAATGCAAAGAGTCTCGTTTAATAGGGATATTAAGTAAACTGCTGCTTAAAACGCCCATTTATCATCCACGGATTCCTATTTGCCTTCCCGTTCCGCCAGCATGAGCATTTTCAGGAGGCAGGAGGTTTCCTGAGCGCGGCCGTTGCAAATGCCAGAAATCAAGCCGGTGGGTTTTTAGCTAATTCTGAGGGAGGCTAAACGGAACCCATAGCACGAGAAGGGGGTTGCCATGAGAGTTCGTGACAACTTCGAGATGCAGAGAACACACAGGATGTCGGCAAGGGAGTCCGGCCCCAGCTGCCCGCCGGGGAACACAGGGCGTACCACACCCCCAAATCCCTTTCCCCAAACACTGTGGGGACCCAGACGGGTGGCTGCTAATTCTGAAAATCGCGTGAATGTTGGCCGGTGTGGTGGCTCACGTCCGCGATCCCAGCACTTTGGGAGGCCGAGGCGGGAGGATCACTTGAGGTCAGGAGTTGGAGACCAGCCTGACTCACATGGTGAAACCCCACCTCTACTGAAAATACAAAAAAAAATTAGGCAGGTGTGGTGGCGGGGGCCTGTCATCCCAGCTGCTCGGGAGGCTGAGGCAGGAGAATCGCTTGAATCCAGGAGGTGGAGGTTGCGGTGAGCCGAGATCGTGCCATTGCACTCCAGCCTGGGCGACAGAGTAAGACTCAGTCTCAGAAAAAAAAAAAGGCCAGGTGTGGAGGCTCATGCCTGTAATCCCAGCACTTTGGGAGGCCAAGGCAGGCGGATCACCAGGTCAGGAGTTTGAGACCATCCTGGCCAACATGGTGAAACCCTGTCTCTACTAAAAACACAAAAATTAGGCAGGCGTGGTGGTGGGTGCCTGCAATCCCAGCTACTCGGGAGGCTGAGGCAGGAGAATCACTTGAACTCAGGAGGCGGAGGTTGCAGTGAGCCGAGATTGCACCACTGCACTCCAGCCTGGGCGACAGAGCAAGACTCCATCTCAAAAAAAAAGACCTTCAGAGAAAATCCAACACCACCAAATGTCAGATGTGGCAACTTATAAACAACAGACAAATGCTGCGCGCAGTGGCTCCCACCTGTAATCCCAGCAGTTTGGGAGGCCAAGGCAGGTGGATCACCTGAGGTCGGGAGTTCGAGACCAGCCTGGCCAATATGGAGAAACCCCGTCTCTACTAAAAATACAAAAATTAGTCAGGCATGGTGGCAGGCGCCTGTCTTCCCAGCTACTCGGGAGGCTGAGGCAGGAGAATTGCTTGAACCCAGGAGGTGGAGGTTGCAGTGAGCTGAGATCACGCCACTGCACTCCAGCCTGGGTGACACAGCGAGACTCTGTCTCAAAAAATAAAAACACATATTTCAATCATCATCTTTATTTCTTTTTTAAATCATGGCAACTTTTATTTCGGATTCAGGAGGCTCATGTGCACATTTGTTGCTTGAGTATAATGTGTGATGCTGAAGTTTGGGGCATGAAGGATTGTGCCATCCAAGTACTGAGCATGGGACCCAACGTATGATTTTTCCGCCTTTGCCTCCATCCTTCCCTCCCCCGTCTAGCAGACGCCAGCATCTATTGTTCCCATTTCTATGACTATTTGTACCCAATTTTAGCTCCCTCTTATGTGGGCCTCCACTGAGGCAAGAGAATGGCGTGAACCAAGGAGGCGGAGCTTGCAGTGAGCCGAGACCGCGCCACTGCACTCCAGCCTGGGCGACAGAGTGAGAATCCGTCTAAAAAAAAAAAAAAAAAAGAAGAAGAAGAAGCGCCTCCAGCTGCATCCGTATTTCTGCAAAGGACATGATTTGATTCTTTTTCATGGCTGTGTAGCATTCAATGTTACAGATGGATCATATTTTCTTTTTTTTTTTTCCGAGACAGAATCTTGCAACCTCTGCCTCCCAGGCGCGACCTCAGCTCGCTGCAACCTCCGCCTCCCGGGTTCAAACGATTCTCCCGCCTCAGCCTCCGAAGTAGCCAGGGTTCCAGGTGTTCACCACCAGGCTTGGCTACTATTTGTATTTTTTTTTCTTTTTTTGAGCCGTAGTCTCACTTTTGTCACCCAGGCTGGAGTGCAATGGCATGATCTTGGCTCACTGCAACCTCCACCTCCCGGGTTTAAGTGATTCTCCTGCCTCAGCATCTCAAGCAGCTGGGATTACAGGCACCTGCCACCACGCCTGGCTAACTTTTTTTTTTTTTTTGAGATGGAGTCTCACACTGTCACCCAGGCTGGAGTACATTGGTGCGATCTCGGCTCACTGCAACCTCCACCTCCCAGGTTTAAGTGATTCTCCTGCCTCAGCCTCCCGACTAGCTGGAACTACAGGTGCCCACCACCATACCTGGCTGATTTTTTTGTATTTTTAGTAGAGATGGGGTTTCACCATGTTGGTCAGGCTGGTCTCGAACTGCTGACCTCGTGATCCACCCGCCTCAGCCTCCCAAAGTGCTGGGATTGCAGGCGTGAGCCACCACGTCCGGCCTCAAGACTCTTTCTAATCCCCACCTCCTCCTAAAGCACCAGCCATCCTGCATAGAACCAAGAAACCCCAACAGGTTTCCTAACGAAATTGCCTGAGCTGTAACTTCTGCCAAATAAAATAAGCGTGTGGCAGACGGCGACCGAGGACTTTGCGTGAGCACGGACGGAGATTAGGAAGCAGCCGACTTTCCTGAGCAGCCTCTGCCTTCAGGAGCGTCTCGGCACGGCGGGCACGCACCTCACCCACCCTCCCCGGGGAGTCCTCCTTTGGCACATCCCTGGGGTGCCCTGGGGAAGTCACCGGGCCAGGGCCAGGGCTGGAGATGGCCGGTACCACAGTCTCAGAAGAGAGCAGTGAGGGCCCACAGGTGCCCAAGGGTCTCTCTCTCCAACAGAGCCTCCTCCTCGGGGAAAGGACTTCTGAGAGCAGGTGCAAACGTGTGCACGGCCCACCACGGCGTGTCTGCTCCTGACAGACTCATCCCGCAAGCCCAGGACGAACAAGGATGGGAGGATCCTGCGGAGCCGACAGTGACGTCACTCCCGAGACGCAAAACAAAGCAAAGGGGGGCTGGAGGTGGCACTTCCTTCAGGCAAGAGGGGCTCTGAGGAGAGGCCGCCAACGTTCACTGACATGCATGCACACACACAGACATGCAGGCGAATGCACACACAGGTACACAGATACACAGAAACATGTACACACATACGTACAAGGCACACCCACATTCACACAGACACACACATACAGACACATTTGCACACACACACACATATACAGGCAGATGCACGCACAGACACACAGATACACAGAAACGTACACACGTACGTACATAGGCATATGTACACTCACACAGACACACATATATGAACACATGTGCACACAGACACATATACAGGCATATGCATGCACAGACATACAGAAACATGTACACATATACGTGCATAGGCATGCCCACCTCACGCAAATACACACACATGAATGCCACTCACACGCATACACACAGAGACACACAGGCATATGCATGCACAGACATGCAGAAACATGTACACACATGTCCATAGGCACATTCACACACTCAAGACACAGGCGTATACGCAGACACACAGAAACATGCACACACACACGTGCATAGGCATGCCCACACTCACACACACATCCACTCACATGCACGCACACACACATGCAAGCATATGCACACAGAAACATGTGCACACATATGTGCATAGGCATGTCCACACTGAGACACGCACATACACTCCCACGCATGCACTCAGACACGCATACAGGTGCATGCATGCACAGACATGCAGAAACACATACACACATAGGTGCATAGGCACACGTCCACCCTCACACTAACATACACACACACTCACACGCATGCACACAGAGACACACAGGCATATGCATGCACAGACATGCAGAAACATGTATACACATGTCCATAGGCACATTCACACACTCAAGACACAGGCGTATACAGACACACAGAAACATGCACACACACACGTGCATAGGCATGCCCACACTCACACACACATCCACTCACATGCATGCACACACACATGCAAGCATATGCACACAGAAACATGTGCACACATATGTGCATAGGCATGCCCACACTGAGACACGCACATACACTCCCACGCATGCACTCAGACACGCATACAGGTGCATGCATGCACAGACATGCAGAAACACATACACACATAGGTGCATAGGCACACGTCCACCCTCACACTAACATACACACACACGCATGCACACAGACACACATGGGCGTATGCACACACAGAAACATGCACACACACACGTGCATAGGCACGCTCACACTCAGACACACACACATACACTCACATGCATGCACACAGACACACATACAGGTGCATGCATGCACACATACATACACACATGGACACACATAGACACATGCTGACGCCACACACAGATGCACACACACGGGCGCGTGCGCACACACGGACACACACAGAGGCACGCAGACACCACACACACATGTGGACACACGTGCACACACACACGCGGACACGCTCACGCTGCATGGAGGCCGTCCAGCCTGCCCTTCCCGCAAACACCTGACATGCCCTTGCTGGAGTAAAAAATACAGATGCAAATGACTCTTTTACAGGGGGGTTAGCGCATCATTTCTCCCCACTCTGCATCTTGCGTGTGTGACGGGGCACGGGGCGGCAGCCGGGGCCGGGGGTCGGCCAGGACGGTGCTGGGTGAACCAGGGCTCCCCCCACCGCAGCCTCCGTGTGGACCGGTCGTCGACATGATGTGTCATAATTTGGCCTCCGAAGCTGACAGGCCCGGCTGACTGGGGGCATTAAATCATTGCCCCGAGGGACTCTCACTCTGGCAACGCGCGCTGGTACGGCTGTCATCTCCTCCCACACAGTACCTATCATTTTTGACATGATTGGATCAAAATTAGTCAGTGCATTTAGATGTAAATTACACACATCCAAGAATCGTAATGAGCACGAAAAAAAAAAAGAAATACAGCCCTGTAGAGTTGACACGGCCCACGGCTTCCATCCGTCCTGCACCGCGTCCCCGGCTGATGAGCCCCCTGATAATGAAACTGGCGTATCAAAAAAAAGTCAGGAAACTTTTTTGAGGGGCATATTTAACCGAGCCTTAAATTCCCATATAAGTCTGTAATGTTGGCTCACCCAGAAGTCCCCGCTTTACCCAACGGCTCCCAACACAGAGAGAGACATAGCTGGTCTCTCCTGAAGCGTGGCTCAGCCCTGGCACGGCTCTCACCTCTGCTCACGTATCTCGGGCCTTTTCTCCCCATTCCCCCTGGATTCCTTCCTAATGCAGAATTCTCTTCCGAGGCACAAGGAGACACTGTCCACCTGGGCTTGTGACCCGGGCATTCTCGGGGTCAGCTTTGCCGGGATAGGGCAGGGGGCCACTGCTATCTTTCTCTGCAGGCTGGACGGCTTCAATGGGGGAGCTGAAATTATCTACTCAATGCCTACTTCCTCCTGGAATTGGGACTCAGCTGCCAGAAAACCTTCCCGAAACAGTCCCTCTAACGCTGAGGACCTTCCAGGTCCAGCCAGCCTCATACTCCAGGCCAAATGTCTCCCGCCGGCTCCAGATACACACAGGTTTGGGGTCAGGACCTCGTACTAACCCTCCTCAGCCAACCCACAGCTTTGAGAGCTGGTTTCTAACAACTGCATTATTTAAGCCGGCTCATGAACGACGGCGTTATTTCAGCACCAAACTAGCCTACTTTGCCTGTAACTGGTTTTACATTTGTTTTTTTTAAACATGGCCACACACACACACAAAAGAAGGGGAGAAACGCTTCTGAACACATACCTTTAAATATTCCTTAATCAGACACGCTTGATAAAACTGACAGGGCTGTCCAGAGGGCAGACACAAAACTCTTTCTCCTGCAAACCGTGGAAATCTTGGTGCGTAGAAACAGCTCTCCCCGCTCATGCGGGAAAACCTCACTTCAATTTGACATCCGGAGGTAACGACGGGGCACCTGCGTGCATCCCCAGCTCAGCCTTTCCACGGGGCCAGGCGGGCTTGAATTGAGTTAGGTAATTAGTGTGTGTTTGGCCTGTCACCCGTGTTTAGGGCAATAGCCTGGTGCATGAAGCCGTCATTAAACATCTCGGGCTGTGATGACCGCGTGTGTGGGGAAATTCTGGGGCCGGCAGGCGGAGAGGGGTGTCCCAAGGCAGGCCAGGGCTGGAGGGTATATAGAACCACCGTGGCAGCCAGGCTCTGGGAGCTCTCCGAGGTCTCTGAGACAAGATGATTACCGGAGCCAGAAGGTTAAACTGTCTTCACGCTTCCCCCAGCAGGTTGACAGCGTAAGGTAAAATACTTGTGTTTCACTGGAGCAATTCAAAACTCCGTCTACGATACACAGACAGAGCCCCCAACATCCAGGTTTTCACAGCAACGTAAAGAAATCCTGAAATAAAGCAAAAATGTACCTGAGCATTTTTTTTCTTTTCTTTTCTTGAGACGGAGTTTCGCTCTTGCTGCCCAGGCTGGGGTGCAATGGCGCAGTCTCGGCTCACTGAAACCTCCGCCTCCCGGGTTCAAGCCATTCTCCTGCCTCAGCCTCCCGAGTAGCTGGGATTACAGGCACCTGCCACCACGCCCAGCTGATTTTAGTATTTTTAGTAGAGACGGGGGTTCACCGTGTTAGCCAGGCTGGTCTTGAACTCCCGACCTCAGGTGATCTGCCCACCTCTGCCTCCCAAAGTCCTGGGATTACAGGCATGAGCCAACGCGCCTGGCCTATTTTTTGAATTATTATTTTATTTTTAAGACAGGGTCTGGCTCTGTTGCCCAGGCTGGAGTGCAGTAGCTCAATCATGGCTCACTGCAGCCTCGGACGCCTGGACTCAGGCGATCCTCCCTCCTCGGACTTCCCAGTGTCTGGGACTACAGACGTGAGCCACCACGCCTGACTAATTTTTTTTTTATTTTGTGTAGAAATCGGGGTCTTGCTATGTTGCCCAGGCTGGTCTTAAACTCCTTGGCGTCAAGCAATCCTCCCACCTTGGCCTCTCAAAATGCTAGGATTGCAGGATTGCAGGCGTGAGCCACCGGCCCGGCCGCCCTTGGCCATTTCTGACCTCCGAGCTGAAGGACTCAGTATATTTGAAATGCGGTGTTTGCGGCCAGGCGTGGTGGCTCGGGCAGGTAACCTGCGGTCAGGAGTTCGAGACCAGCCTGGCCAGCATGGTGCACAGATATGGCGTGCACCTGTAACCCCAGCTACTTTGGAGGTTGAGGCATGAGAATCACTTGAACCTGGGAGGCGGAGGTTGCAGTGAGCCGAGATAGTACCATTGCACTCCAGCCTGGGGGTACAAGAGCAAGACTCCTTCTCAAAAAAAAAAAAGAAAGAAAAGAAAACAGAAAGCAAAACCAGTGTCTTATTTTCTCCATGAAGGAATCCCGTACTTCCATATCAGTGCTAAAATCATAGGGGGCTTAAACCTATCGATGCCTAGCATTCCATTATTGGAACGCTAAGCATCTGGCAGTTATTTACCGCCTATTGTCAAAGTCATTGCCAAGGTCTGGTTTTTCACACATATCTGCAAATACAAGAAACTGCCACCTCCAGCATAAAACAGGACATCTTTGGGAAGCACGATGCCGGCCCTTCAGTTTCAACTCAGGACAAAATGAAGATTTTATTTTTTATTTTTAATTTTTGAGACGAATTTTCACACTTGTTGCCCAGGCTGGAGTGCAAAATCTCGGCTCACTGCAACCTCCGCCTCCCAGGTTCAAGCAACTATCCTGCCTCAGCCTCCCGAGTAGCTGGGATTACAGGCACCCGCCACCACGCCCAGCTAGTTTTTGTATTTTTAGTAGAGACGGGGTTTCACCATGTTGGCCAGGCTGGCCTCGAACTCCAGACCTCAGGTGATCGGTCCGCCTTGGCCTCCCACAGTGCTGGGATTACAGGTGTGAGCCACCGTGCCCAGCCCAAAACAAAGTTTTGAGACCTCTTCTCAGAAAAAGAAAATCATCCTGTTTGCAAACCATTGAATAGACAGGTAGATAACTGACTGATGGACAATTGATAGATATGATGAAAGATGATACATAGTTGATTTGATAGGTAAATAGATGATTGATAATTGATACAGATGATTGATGATTGATGCATAAATGATATAGATCAAGGATTGATGATTGATAGCTGATTGATAGGTATGATGGATAATTGATATAGATAGATGATTGATGATAGTTGATAGGTATGATGCATAATTGATATAGATGATAATTGATAAATAGTTGATTGATAGGTGTGATGGATAATTGATATAGATTGATAGGTAGTTGATTGATAGGTATGATGGATAATTCATATAGATAGATGATTGATGATAGTTGATAGGTATGATGCATAATTGATATAGATGATTGATAATTGACAAATAGTTGATTGATAGGTTTGATGGATAATTGATATAGATGATTGATGATTGATAGATAGCTGATCGAAAGGTGTGACGGATAATTGATATAGATTGATGATAGGTAGTTGATTGATAGATATGATGGATAATTCATATAGATAGATGGTTGATTGATAAGTATGATGGATAATTGATATAGATAGATGATTGATGATTGATAGGTATGACAGATAATTGATATAGATTGATGATTGATAGATGGTTGATTGATAGGTATGATGGATAATTGATATATGATTGACGATTGATAGCTGATTGATAGGTATGATGGATAATTCACACAGATAGATGATTGATGATATATGATTGATAGGTTTGATGGATAATTGATATAGATGCTTGATGATTGATGATTGTTAGTTGATTGATATGTATGATGGATAATTAGTATAGATAGATGATTGATGATAGATAGTTGATTGATAGGTATGATGGATAATTGATATAGACAGATGATTAATGATAGCTGATTGATAGGTATGACAGATAATTGATATAGACAGTTAATAGGTAGATAATTGACTGATAGATCACTGATAGGTGATAGATAGACAAACAGAGATTGTCTCAGCCTCAGGCAGTGTCTTTCAGCCCTGGTACTTCCGACACATGGGACTGGACGATTCTCTCTGGTGGGGCTGATCTGTGCACTGTAGGGTGTTGAGCAGTGTCCCTGGGCTTCACCCACCAGCGACCAGAAGCACCCTCACTCCACAATCCAGACAACCAAAAGTGTCCCCAGAGACTGACAAAGTGTCCTCAGAGGAGACAATCGGCAGCAGCTGAAAAGCACAGATTAGATAGATAGGTAGATAGATGATAGATAGATAATGGGTCAATAAATAGATCTGTAGATAGATGATAGATAGATAATAAAGATTGATGATAGATAATAGATAAAGGTAGATAGGCAGATCTAGATAAATAGGTAGATTGGTGGATGATAGATGATAGATTGATTGATTTATATATGATAGAGATAGATAGGTAATGGATGGGTAGATGATAGATGAATGATAGATGGATAGATAGATGATAGATAATAAAGATGGGTGATGGATGGATGAATGACAGATGATGGATAAATTGATTTATAGATGATAGAGATGATAGATGATGGATGGATGAATAGATAGATGTATGATAGATAATGGATAGATGGATAGATGGATGGATGGATGGATAGATGGATGGTTGGGAGAGAGAGAGATTATAGATAGATGATAGGTGGATAGATAGATAATAGATACATAGATAGATACATAGATAGATGATAGATAGATGATAGGTAGATAGATACATAGATACATAGATACATAGATAAATGATAGATGATAGGTGGGTAGATAGATAGATAGATAGATAGATAGATGCATAATAGATTGAGAGATTGATTGATTGATTGACAGATGATAGAGTCCCTCAGATAGTGTCTCTCAGCCTCACCTCTGCTGACATTTGGGGCTGGAGGATTCTCTGTGGTCACTGTAAGGTGGTGAGCAGCATCCCCGGGCTCCACAAACCAGGTGCCAGGAGCACCCCCCTCCCAGTTACCACACCCAGAACCGCCCCAGACAGTGCCGAGTGTCCGTCGGGGTGCATGTTCATCCCCAGTTGAGAACGGTCGCTCCCCAGTTCCCCCGGAAGCCATCCTCATTTCTAAAGTTCCAAGAACCTGGCCAGGCCGTTTCACCTCTCCACAAACATCTGACTTCTGCTCTGCTATATATTTAGAATCCTCTCCATTCATATTTATACCCACAGAGTCCTCTGCTGGCTGAACCCCTGGGCTCAATTTTTCAGCACGAAAAGAGCCTTTTTATTCCCATGGATTTTCACATGAAAACAGAGTGCATCGGATGGAGACGCACAATCCAAGAGGCAGCTCCACCGGCAAAAGGCCTGGAGAAAGTGCAGCTCCTGTGGGCTCCTGGGAACTCAAGGGCAGCAGGATGATGGGTGGGTACCACCGAGAGGAAAACTTCAGAGCAGGTGCAGAGGCTGACAGACGGCAGGTGCAGAGGCTGACAGACGGCAGCCTCCACCACAAACCAGAGCAGCATAAACAGACACAGTCTCAAGCCACAGCATGAGACATAAATAATGGCATTGCTTCCTTACCACAACACTCAGAGGCAGGCGCTATTTTCAGGTACATTTTTCCCGATGAGGAAATGAGGGGTTCATAGATGGTGAGAATTTCTCCTAATGCAATCCCTTCCACAGCCCCACAGCCCTCGACAGGCCCGGGTGTGTGATGTTCCCCTTCCTGTGTCCATGTGTTCTCATTGTTCAACTCCCACTTAGGAGTGAGAACATGCAGTGTTTGGTTTTCTGTTCCTGTGTGAGTTTGCTGAGAATGATGGATTCCAGATTCATCCATGTCCCTGCGAACGACATGAACTCATCCTTTTTGATGGCTGCATAGTATTCCATGGTGTCTATGTGCCACATTTTCTTTATCCAGTCTATCATTGATGGGTTGACTTGCTTAGAAAAACTTCCCTGTTGCCAAATACTGAGTGATGAAGAAAAACTCTGGGACTCATCTAGAAAGACGGTGAATTCAGAGAGCCGACATCATGGTGCACGCTAAGCAAAGACGACGGGCTTTGAAAACCTGCTGGGAATAGCAAAAGACTTGGGACCAACCCAAATGCCCATCAATGATAGACTGGATAAAGAAAATGTGGCACACAGACACCATGGAATACTATGCAGCCATGAAAAAGGGTGAGCTCCTGTCATTTGCAGGGACATGGACGAAGCTGGAAACCATCATTCTCAGCAAACTCACACAGGAACAGAAAACCAAACACCGCAAGTTCTTACTCCTAAGTGGGAGTTGAACAATGAGAGTATTTTTTTTAATCTTTATTTTTGCAGAGATGAGAAGCTAACTCTATTGCCCAGACTGGAGAGCTGTGGTACGATCTTGGCTCACTGCAGCCTCGACGTCCTGGGCTCAAGGAATGCTCCCACCTTAGTCTCCCCAGGAGCTGGGACTACAGGTGGAAACCACCACATCTACCTGATTTTTTTTTTTTTTTTTTTGAGACAGAGTCTCACTCTGTCGCCCAGGCTGGAGTGCAGTGGCGTGATCTCGGCTCACTGCAAGCTCTGCCTCCCGGGTTCACGCCACTCTCCTGCCTCAGCCTCCCGAGTAGCTGGGACTACAGGCGCCCGCCACCGCGCCCAGCTAATTTTTTGTATTTTTAGTAGAGACGGGGTTTCACCGTGTCAGCCAGGATGGTCTCGATCTCCTGACCTCATGATCTGCCCGCCTCGGCCTCCCAAGATATTTTTTTTATAGAGCTGGGGTCTTGCTATGTTGCCCAGACTGGTCTCAAACTCCTGGCTCCAGCGATCCTCCCACCTCAGCCTCCCAAAGTGCTGGGATTGCAGGCGTGAGCCACTGCACCCGGCCCCAAAGCACTTTTGGAAGGAATTTGAGGAGCAGATGCAGTAAGTGTCTCATGCATTATTTATTTTGCTTAGGAAGCATTTAAAATAATCCCCCTGCCAGGCACAGTGGCTCCCACTTGTAATCCCAGCACTTTAGGAGGCCGAGAAGGGAGGGAGGATCCCTTGAGCCCAGAAGTTTGAGATCAGTCTGAGCAACCTCATGACACCCCATCTCTACAATAAATTAATTAAATTAAATTAAATAATTCCCCAAGGTCCTCAGAACCACATTCAGTGATACACTTCCAAATACAACACATATAACTATGTATTTCTGTTATACATATAATAAAAGATATAACAAAGTCACATACAGTTGGTGCGGTTTGATCTAAACTATTCAAAGAAAAGTGACGTCACTGGGCACGGTGGCTCATGCCTGTAATCCCAGCACTTTGGGAGGCCGAGGCAGACAGATCACCTGTGGTCACTAGTTCAAGACCAGCCTGGCCAACACGGTGAGACCCCATCTCTACTAAAAATACAAAAATTAGCCAGGCGTGGTGGTGAGCACCTGTAGTCCCAGCTCCTCAAGAGGCGGAGGCAGGAGAATCACTTGAACCCAGGAGGTGGAGGTTGCAGTGAGCTGAGATCGTGCCACTGCACTCCAGCCTGGGTGACAGAGTGAGATTCCATCTTGAAAAAAAAAAAACCAGAAAAGTGACATCCTCACAATCTGTTGCTTCATTGGTGCAACCTCACCAGAGAGTTCTGAGGCCAGTGTGGACGCGGCTGCCATTTTTCTCTATATGATAGAGATAGACAGGGAATGGATGGATGGAGGGATGGATGGATGGATAAATACATACAGGATAGATAGATAAATAGACAGGTGATAGATAATAAAGATAGATGTGGGTGATTGATAGATGATGGATAAACTGATTGACTTACAGATGATAGAGATGATAAATAGAGGAGGGATGGTTGAGTAGATGCATGGATGGATAAATACATACAAGATGGATGAATAGATGGATAGATACATAGAAGACAGATAGATGATAGAATAGATGGATGGATGGATGGATAGATAAATACATGCAGGATAGATAGATGGATGAATAGATGATAGATAGATAATAGAATAGATGGATGGATGGATGAATACATACAAGATAGATGGATGAATAGGTGGATAGATACATAGATGATAGATAGATGATAGAATAGATGGATGGATGGATAGATAAATACATGCAGGATAGATGGATGAATAGATGGATAGATACATAGATGATAGATGATAGAATAGATGGATGATGGATAGATAAATACATGCAGGATAGATGGATGAATAGATGGATAGATACATAGATGAAGATAGATGATAGAATAGATGGATGGATGGATGGACAAATACATACAGGATAGATGGATGAATAGATGGATAGATACATAGATGACAGATAGATAGATAGATAGATAGATAGATAGATAGATAGATACATAGATAGATACATAGATAGATACATAGATAGATACATAGAATGGATAAATACACACAGGATAGATAGATGGATGACTAGATGGATAGATACATAGATGACAGATAGAATAGACGATGGATGGACGGATGAGAGAGAGATAGATGATAGATAGATAGATGATAGGTGGATAAATAGATAGATAATGGATAGACAGATAGATGATTGATTGATTGATTGACAGATGATAGATAGAGTCCCTCAGTCAGTGTCTCTCAGCCTCAGCTCTGCTGACATTTGGGGCTAGAGGATTCTCTGTGGCCAAACAGACCCCAGAGTGGTGTGTGGTGTGGTGTGGTTTAGACAAACGAGGCAGATGTTTTGAAATGCCAGCTTCCCTTGGTGCTC
Organism: Homo sapiens; assembly: GCF_000001405.40. NCBI lineage: Eukaryota > Metazoa > Chordata > Mammalia > Primates > Hominidae > Homo > Homo sapiens. Next base: position 452,119 of record NC_000024.10, on the reverse strand, counting down.
TGTGGACCCTCCATGGGCTTGTATTTAGTCCCAAATGGAGATCACGCCTGTCCCATTGAAGTGGCCTGTTCACATCACAGCTCCCCACCCTTCAGGAGGAATCAGACGCCCACCTTCGACCCATGGTGGGTACAATGTGAACTCCGTGTGCCTTGGGCCACCTTGTGGGCTGAGGTTGACGTGCACCTGTCATCCCAGCTACTCCGGAGGCTGAGGCAGGAGAATCACTTGAACTCGGGAGGCGGAGGTTGTAGTGAGCCGAGATCGTGCCACTGTACTCCAGCCTGGGCGACACAGCGAGACTCTGTCTCAAAAAAATGAAAAAAAAAATAAATAAAATAAAATGTCTATCCTAAATGAAATTTGCTGTGAGTATGGTGGGTACAGCTTGGGAAAATGAGTAGGTGTTTGGTGAAAAGGGAGGGGGGGAGGTCTCCCCTTTCTCTCAGCTGAGTGAAATCGAAGAGGAAAAAAATCTTAAAAGAAGGGGGAGGACTTGTAGGCTTATGCTAAAGTCCTGGAGTTGTAAAAGATAAAGGAAAGGGGACAGACAGGGTGGCTCACGCCTGTCATCCCAGCACTTTGGGAGGCCGAGGCAGGTGGATCACATGAGGTCAGGAGTTCGAGACCAGCCTGGCCAACATGGTGAAACCCCATCTCTACTAAAAATGCAAAATTAGCCAGGCGTGGTGGCAGGTGCCTGTACTCCCAGCTACTCAGGAGGCTGAGGCAGGAGAATCTCTTGAACCCGGGAGGCAGAAAATGCAGTGAGCCGAGATCACGCCATTGCACTCCACCCTGGGCAACAAGAGGAAAACTGTCTCAAAAAAAAAGAGTGGGCAGGACTTCTTGTTTTTTCGGGGGGCTTCTTGTTCTTGTTGTTTTCTGTTTTGAGACAGAGTCTCGCCCTGTCGCCCAGGCTGGAGTGCAGTGGTGCAATCCTAGCTCAGTACGGCCTCGGACTCCCGGGCTCAAAGGATCCTCCTGCCTCAGCCTCCCGAGTAGCTGGGACTACAGACCACCCCCCCCCCCCATCTACACCCGGCTAATTATTTTTTTTTTTATTTTTCTAGAAACAAAGTATCACTACGTCACTCTGTTGCTCAGGCTATAGTCTCAAACTTCTGGTCTCAAGCAATCCTCCGACCTCAGCCTCCCAAAGTGGTAGGATTACAGGCATGAGCCACCACGCCTGGCCAAATGTGTGTTTTTTTGAGCCACTCTGTGAACGGCCATTTGTTACACCTGCTGAAACAGCTTCGTAAGGGTGAGGCTTGTATTTCCAGAACACTATCTTGCTTGATCCTTGTAGCAAACCTACTACGGTATAGATGCCTTAGGCATATTTACAGATGTGTTGGCTGAGTGCAGTGGCTCACCCCCCTAATCCCAGCACTTCAGGAGTCTGAGGCGGGAGGATCAGTTGAGCCCAGGAGTTCGAGGCTGCAGTGAGCTATGATGACACCACAGAGCTTCAGCCTGGGAGACATAGCGAGACCCCATCTCTATCTGTTGGCTGAGTGCAGTGGCTCACCCCCCTAATCCCAGCACTTCAGGAGGCTGAGGTGGGAGGATCAGTTGAGCTCAGGAGTTCGAGGCTGCAGTGAGCTATGATGACACCACAGAGCTTCAGCCTGGGAGACATAGCGAGACCCCATCTCTATCTGTTGGCTGAGTGCAGTGGCTCACCCCCCTAATCCCAGCACTTCAGGAGGCTGAGGCGGGAGGATCAGTTGAGCCCAGGAGTTCGAGGCTACAGTGAGCTATGATGACACCACAGAGCTTCAGCCTGGGAGACATAGCGAGACCCCATCTCTATCTGTTGGCTGAGTGCAGTGGCTCACCCCCCTAACCCCAGCACTTCAGGAGGCTGAGGTGGGAGGATCAGTTGAGCCCAGGAGTTCGAGGCTACAGTGAGCTATGATGACACCACAGAGCTTCAGCCTGGGAGACATAGCGAGACCCCATCTCTATCTGTTGGCTGAGTGCAGTGGCTCACCCCCCTAATCCCAGCACTTCAGGAGGCTGAGGTGGGAGGATCAGTTGAGCTCAGGAGTTCGAGGCTGCAGTGAGCTATGATCACACCACAGAGCTTCAGCCTGGGAGACATAGTGAGACCCCATCTCTACCAAAAAAAATCATTTAGAAAAAAACAGCCAGGCATACTGGCACACACCTGTAGTCCAGCTACTCAGGAGGCTGAGGCAGGAGTATGGCTTGAGCCCAGGAGGCTGAGGCTGCAGTGAGCTGGGATCACATCCCTGCAGTCCATCCTGAGCGACAGAGCAAGACCCTGTCTCAAAACAAAAAATGCAAGGACCCTGATCACGTCACTGCACTTCAGCCTGGGCAACAGAGAAAAGCCTCATCTGTACTAAAAATAAAAATAACGGGCCGGGCGTGGCGGCTCACACCTGTCATCCCAGCACTTTGGGAGGCCGAGGTGGGTGGATCACAAGGTCAGGAGATCGAGACCATCCTGGCCAACACGGTGAAACCCCGTCTCTACTACTAAAAATACAAAAAATTAGCCGGGCGTGGTGGCGGGCGCCTGTAGTCCCAGCTACTCTGGAGGCCGAGGCAGGAGAATGGCGTGAACCCGGGAGGCGGAGCTTGCAGTGAGCCGAGATTGCGCCACTGCACTCCAGCCTGGGCGACAGAGAGAGACTCTGTCTCGAAAATAAATTAATTAATTAATTAAAATTAAAATTAAAATTAAAATTAAATTAAATTAAAATTAAATTAAATTAAAATTAAATTAAAATTAAATTAAAATTAAATTAAATTAAATTAAAATTTAAAAAGCCAGACATCTTGTCTTGGGCCACCTGTCTGAGCTTGGAACCCAGGAGGGATACTCCCCACGGTGTACACCCGTGAAGCCCCCTCTCAACACCGATCCCTTTGCTGAATACAAAAGGCTCTTCATTTCCAGAGTATAAAGTAGATCTCTCTTGAATTTCTAGATATCCTCAGACAATAACAACCAATCATTAGAGGTGGCCCCACAGCCTTGCTCCCCAGTAGGGTGGAAGGCAGAGGCGCTCAGAGGCACCCCCAGCTCGGGGGCGAGTCACCTATGACCACAATTGCCATCATTAGTGAGCTGGGCTCAGCTCCTCAGAAGCTGGAAAGCACGCTCGCAAACACCCTTTGATCATTTCTATTTCTAGGCCTTGAGTGATTCAATAAAACATACCTCTAAATTCAGATCCTTTCTGCGATGCCCTGTTTCGACTTTGAAGTTAAATTATCTAAAAGGAGTAACTGCCTAAGTTTTCTAGGCAAACTTCTCCATACTCGCGGCTTTTTCGTGGGAACTGCACTCACTGAAAGCAAGGTAATGTTCCTGCAAAATAGTATAAAGAGGCCGGTCGGGTGCTACGGTTCGTGCCTGTAATCCCAGCACTTTGGGAGGCTGAGGTGGAAGGATTGCTTGAGCCCAGCAATTGGAGAGCACCCGGAGCAACATAGCAAAACCCCAGGTCTATAAAAAATAATTTTTTGGCCAGGAGCAGTGGCTCACACCTGTAATCCCAGCACTTTGGGAGGCTGAGGCGGGTGGATCACCTGAGGTCAGGAGTTCGAGACCAGCCTGGCCAACATGGAGAAACCCCATCTCTACTAAAAACACAAAAATTAGCTGAGCGTGGTGATGGGTGCCTGTCATCCCAGCTATTCAGGAGGCTAAGGCAGCAGAATCGCTTGAACCCAGGAGGCAGAGGTTGCACTGAGCCAAGATTATGCCATTGCACTCCAGCCTGTGCAACAGAGTAAGATTCTGTCTCAAAAAAAAAAAAAAAAAAAAAACCAGAAAGAAAATTAGCTGGGCATGGTGGCGGGCACCTGTAATCCCAGCTACTCAGGAGGCAGAGGCAGGAGAATCACTTAAACCCAGGAGGCAGAGGTTGCAGTGAGCTGAGATCACACCACTGCACTCCAGCCTGGGCGACAGAGCAAGACTCCATCTCAAAAAAAAAAAAAAAGAAAAAAGAAAAAAGAAAATTAGTCTGGCATGGTGGGCACCTGTAATCTCAGCTACTCAGGAGGCTGAGGCAGGAGAATCACTTAAACCCAGGAGGTGGAGGTTGCAGTGAGCCGAGATCTCACCATTGCACTCCAGCCTGGGCGACAGAGCAAGACTCCATCTCAAAAAAAGAAAATTAGCCTGGCATGGTGGGCACCTGTAATCTCAGCTACTTGGGAGGCTGAGGCAGGAGAATCACTTGACCTCAGGAGGCGGAGATTGCAGTGAGCTGAGATCGTGCCACTGCACTCCAGCCTGGGCAACAGAGCGAGACTCCATCTCAAAAAAAAGAAAGAAAGAAAGAAAAAAGAAAAGAAAATTAGCTGAGTGTGGTGGGGGGTGCCCGTAATCCCAGCTACTCAGGAGGCTGAGGCAGGAGAATCGCTTGAACCCAGGAGGTGGAGGTTGCACTGAGCCGAGATTACACCGTTGCACTCCAGGCTGGCTGACAGAGCGAGACTCTTTCTAAAAAAAAAAAAAAAAAAAAAAAAGCCTATTCCCATCATATACGAAATGTGTAGAACAGGCAAACCCATAGAGACAGAAGGAAGATTTTGAGTTGCCTGGGAATGGGGAGGGAAAATGGGCAGTTCTTCTCCTGGCTCTGTTTTTGAGGGATGACAATATTCTGGTATTATGTAGATGATATGCTACCACAACAAGGTGAATTCAGTAAATACCAACAAATCCTTCTGCTTGAAAGGGTTGCTGGCTGCGTTGCCTCACCTGTGTAATTGCAGCACTTTGGGAGGCCGAGGCAGGAGGATCGCTTGAGACCAGGAGTACAAGATGGGCCTGGGCAACACAGTGAGACCCTGTCTCTACCAAGAAAATAGTAATAATACAAAAATTAGCCAGGCATGGTGGGGCATGCCCACGGTCTCACCTACTCAGGAGGCTGAGGCAGGAGGATCACCTGAGCCCAGGACATTGAGGCTGCAGTGAGCTGTGATTGCACCAGTGCACCCTAGCCTGGGCAGCAGAGCGAGACCCTGTCTCAAAATAAATACATAAGTAATAAAAATAAAATGGTTGATTGCATGTTTCGTGAAACTCACCTCAATTAAAAAAAAAAAAAAACTTAAAACAGAGTTCAGAGGCCAGGCATGGTGTCTCACGCCTATAATCCCAGCACTTTAGGAGGCCGAGGCAGGTGGATCACCTGAGATCAGGAGATCGAGACCAGCCTGGCCAACACGGCAAAACCACATCTCTATTTAAAAAATAAAAAAAATTAGCCAGGCGTGGTGGCCGGTGCCTGTAGTCTCAGCTACTCGGGAGGCTGAGGCAGTAGAATCGAACCCAGGAGTCGGAGGTTGCAGTGAGCCTAGGGTGCACCACTGCACTCCAGCCTGGACGACAGAGCGAGACTCCCTGTCAAAAAAAAAAAACAAAAAACAAAAAAACAAACAAACAAAAAAACCGAAAAACCCAGAGTCCACCGTGACTCTCACAGTCAGGACTGAGCCAGGAAGAATGGGATCAGGGTGTGGTATTCCTAGCCCTCGCCAGGCCATCCCCAAGGCTGCTGTCTGCAGAAATGGAAGTCACCCCCCGTAGCGCGTGAACTCAGAGCACTTTCAGCCAACAGCGCAGAAATCGCGGAAACAAAGGGAAAAAGAAAAGCCCTTTTTGAATATTTTGAATAAACAAAGGGAAAAAGAAAAGCCCCTTTTGGATATTTTGAATACAACTTGGGGTCTCCTGCTGCCTCGGCCATGCTGTGAACATAAATAAATCAACGCGGGGGTGTGTTGCATCCATTGGGATTGTCCCAAAAGCACAGAAAGAATCAGAAGACAGTGGCCTTTCTCAAGCATTAATATTTCACCAGGCTCAGGACCTCCCTGGATTACAAATTAACAGTAATCAGGTCCCAGGAGCTCTGCCCTCTCCCCACCCAAATCCATCATCGTTTTCCTGAAAAGCGTTTTTGTTTTGTTTTCTTTTTGCTGATTTGCTGATTTCACACCACCCTATCCCATGTAAAACTCCCTTCTTTTCTGAAAATGAGATTTTTATAATATAAATCAGAAGTGCTCGGTAAAAGAGGGTGTGAGCCCCACGCTGAGTCCCTGACTCCCCCAGCTACTCCCTCTCCAAACAGAGCCATTGATGGGGAAGCTTTGCCCTTTGACGCCCTTGAGATCATCGTGCTGTCCTGAGCGTCTGTCAACCCCAAATCCGGGGGAGGGCTCCAGCTAATTACAGATAGGCCCATCAAGGGTCGGGGCCCAGGTCTTCACATCCTCCACATTAATGCCCTCTTCTGACCTCCTTCCAACTCTGACAAAATATCTTCTCTGGCTGGAAAGTTCTGGGGCTTTCTATCAGGCTGCGAAGTTTGAAGCAAATTGGACAAGCCATTTTTGACTTACGAGGCCGTGAAAAATTAATATGTTTCTGAGTTCTGCGAAAGTGTCCAAACTTTTTCTGCTCATAACTCAAAAAAAAAAAAAAAAAAAGGAGGAGAAACTCATCTTTGGGGAGTTTTCTAACTTGCCCTGCACTCAGTCAAAAGAAAAGGGTTTTATTCCGTTTGCGTTGTGTTGTTTTGCTGTTTTGTTATTTTGCAGAGTTGGAAGGTATATCACGGAGATCCTGGTGGTGGGAATATTCTATGGTAAGGGTGTTCTCCCATAATGATATTAATTATAATTTAGCAGGTGTTTGAAGAACAACGGTCAGTATACACTGAATGTCGTGTTCCCCCGACAAATTGCTATGTTGAATCCCTAACCGCTAAGGTGATGGTGTTAGGAAGTAGAGTTTTGGAAGGTGATGAGATTGTGAGGATGAAGCCTCATGAATGGGATTAGTGCCTTTATAAAAATTACAGACCCCAGGCCTGTAATCCCAGCACTTTGGGAGGCCGAGGCTGGCAGATCACAAAGTCAAGAGATCGAGACCAGCCTGGCCAACAATGGTGAAACCCTGTCTCTCCTAAAAATACAAAAATTAGCCAGGCGTGGTGGTGGACACCTGTAATCCCAGCTACTTGGGAGGCTGAGGCAGGAGAATCCCTTGAATGCGGGTGGCAGAGGTTGCAGTGAGCTGAGATCGCACCACTGCACTCCAGCCTGGCAACAGAGCAAAATTCCATCTAAAAAAGGAAAAAAAAAAAAAAAAGGAGTGGGGGACCCCAGGCCAGGCACGGTGGCTCATGCCTGTAATCCCAGCATTTTGGGAGGCCAAGGCAGGAGGATCACCTGAGGTCAGGAGTTCGAGACCAGCTTGGCCAACATGGTGAAACCCCATATGTACTAAAAATACAAGAATTAGCCAGGCTTGGTGGTGGACACCTATAATCCCAGCTACTTGGGAGGCTGAGGCGGGAGAGTCAGTTGAACCCAGGAGGCAGAGGTTGCAGCGAGCCAAGATCGTGCCATCGCACTCCAGCCTGGGGTACAAGAGCATAACTCCATCTCAAAAAAAGGGGGGACCTCAGAGAGCTCCCTCACCCCTTTCACCATATGAGGACACAGCCTGATGGCACCGTCTATGAATGAGCAAACAGGTCCCCATCAAACACAAAATCTACCACGCCTTGATCTGGGACTTTCCCCACCAAACACCAAATCTACCACGCGTTGATCTGAGACTTCCCAGCCTCTAGAGCTGTGAGCAGTAAATTCTTATTGTTTCTAAGCCATGCAGTCTATGGCATTCTGCCATATCAACACCAAGGGAGTAAGACAGCTGCCACCAGGTCTATGAGATTCTAGCTTCTATTTAGCAAAGGCTCAATGAAACCAGAAGAGAGGAAGATGTGTCCTGCTTTTCAATCCATGCCCCCTGCACTGTGAACCCAGTCACAATTCTTTCCTCTTACCCACACGTGGCCAATAGTTGGTCCTCTCTGTGGCTGTCCTGCCTCTGATTTGTGTCCACAGTGAACCCACCTCAAGGTTGCAACAAATCTCCTCTTCCTCTCCCACTGGCTGATCCTGTTGGTCATCGTGAAATGTTTCCTGAGGTTCCCAAAGCTCGCCCCACCCCAAACCGAGGGCACTTTCTTCCTGATGCCTGAGTTCCTCATGCTCCTTCCATGAACACGTGAGATGGGGAAGCTGAATCATCGTGCTGGGACTCGGAGCCTTGTCATTTTGGGGTCATTCCTGCCTCACACGTCTCAGTGGGAACCAGCGTCACCTCCCTCTTTGGCATCCTGGAGCCTCATACATTCTCTATCCCCCCCATCCTGGCATCCAGGGAGCTGGACTTTCTGCCCAGCACTTGGAACCTTGAGAGAATAAAGGAAATCAGCTGCAGGACAGAAATTCCTCATGACCACAGCAACATCTCCAGAGCCCAGAGGCAGCTTGGAGAGTCCTCCCCGACCACCTTCCTCCCTTGGGTTCTGCCCTGTTGTCTGAGTCTCCATCTTTGGGTTCCCTGCCAAGACTATAAATTCCCCTAATGTTTTTCCCATGAATTCCTTCCCTGGCTAAGCTATTGAGGTCTTCTCTGATCCTCTCATGTCCTTTTCCTTGTTCTCCTTAGACCTCGTCCACCTCCACTCCTTCTATATCCCACCCGTGTGTGGAGCATCTGCAGGGACACTCCGACTCCTAGGTTGCTTCCTCTGCAAGATCTGGGGTGATATTTTCAGCTGCCTGAATAACTCCTCCACGTGCAGCCTTGATGATTGAAGATAAGGTTATGCCACCTCCCAAAGAACAGGTCAAAGACTTGGTAGGACATTCAGATTGTCTCGTTATCTGCTGCACTTCTAATTACAAATCAGAGACCGATCCATCTTATCTGCAGGTTTAAAATGAAGCTACTTCTGCACATCACTTTGTGGTCAGACGGAGGGGAACTCTCCACTTTTAAATTCAAAGTTGAATTGAATGAACGAATGAATGAATGAATGAATGAGTACTTGATGGAGACTTTCTCACCTCCCTGGCTGAGAAAAACTCCAACATCCACTCCAAACATGCAAGCAACTAAGTAAATAAGTACATTTCTGGTGGGGCTATCTGTTTGCTCTCCAAAGAAAGCAAACTCAGCCGAGCATGGTGGCTCATGCCTGTCATCTCAGCATTTTGGGAGGCCAAGGCGGGAGGATCACCTGAGGTCAGGGGTTCAAGACCAGCCTGGCCAACATGGTAAAAACCCGTCTCTACTAAAAATACAAAAATCAGCCGGGTGTGGTGGCAGACACCTGTAGTCCCAGCTATTCAGGAGGCTGAGGCAGGAGAATCACTTGAACCCAGAAGGCAGAGGTTGCAGTGTGGTGTGGTGGCGGGTGTCTGTAATCCCAGCTACTTGGGAGACTGAGGCAGGAGAATCGCTTGAACCCCAGAGGTGGAGGTTGCAGTGAGCCGAGATTGCGCCATTGCACGCCAGCCTGAGCGACAAGGGTGAAACTCTATCTGAAAAATAAAATAAAATAAAATGGAAAGCAAACTCTCCCTTCTCTGCATGGAAATAAACTTATCTTCTCCTTTTTGTTGCTTCTGAAAAATGAGACAAAATGAAGAGAAGAGAATGATATATTGTGATGTGAAAACACACACACACACATACACAAATGTCTCTCTTTGCTCTGCACCAATTACTAAATGAAAGCCAGTTTAGTGAATGTTTAAACTTCTCCACCCTAGAGGTTGAGCTCTCTGGGTATAGAAACCTCTCACTATGTTTCAGCTCCTCTGTCTCAAAAAAAACCCAAAAGATAGATGGATAGATAGATGATAGATGGATGGATGGATTAGATGGATGGATGGATAGACAGATAGATAGATAGACAGACAAACAGACAGACAGACAGACAGACAGACAGATAGATAGAATTGCCGGGCACGGTGGCTCATGCCTATAATCCCAGCACTTGGGCAGGTTGACGCGGGTGGATCACGAGGTCAGGAGATTGAGACCATCCTGGCCAACATGGTGAAACCCCGTCTCTACTAAAAATATAAAAATCAGCCAGGTGTGGTGGCAGGTGCCTGTAGTCCCAGCTACTCAGGAGGCTGAGGCAGGAGAATCACTTGAACCCAGAAGGCAGAGGTTGCAGTGAGCCAAGATCACACCACTGCACTCCAGCCTGGGCGACAGAGTGAGACTCAGTCTCAAAAAGAAAGAAAGAAAGAAAGAAAATCTACAGCAAAGTACCACAAACCACAGGGCTTAAACAACAGACATTGATTTCTCACACACATGAAGACTGGAGGTCCAAGATCAAAGTAGCAACATCTCAGCTCCTGGTGAGGACTCCCTTCCTGGCTTGCAGACGGCAACCTTCTTGCTGTGTCATTCCATGGTGCGGGGTGGAGAGAAAGAGACAGAGAGAGAGACAGAGAGAGAGGAAGCTCTGGTGTCCCTTTTATGGGGATACTAATCCCATTCGTGAGACTCTACCATCACGACCTCCTCACCTCCCAAAGACCCCCCACTAGTAACACTCTGACCTTGGGGTTCAGGGTTTCAACGTAGGACTTGGCAGGACAAAGCATTCATTCGGTCTGCAGAAAAAGATCCACAAAGCCCCTTTGGAACCTGGACTGGGACACAGCCGTGCATCTGGGGAGGCTCCACCTCCCAGGTTCAAGCGATTCTCCTGCCTCAGCCTCCCAAGTAGGTGGGACTACAGGTGCCCGCCACCATACCCCGCTAATTTTTTGTATTCTTAGTAGAGATGGAGTTTTACCACGTTGGCCAAGATGGTCTCGATCTCCTGACCTCATGATCCACTCACCTCGGCCTCCCAAAGTGCTGGGATGCCAGGCGTGAGCCACCGCGCCCGGCCAACCACAGATTTTTTCCAAAGACTGAAACCAACAAACAAAAAAAATCACCAAAATTCACAAAAGTATGTCTGTTACAACTTCACACTCACCTTTCATACTTTTCATTTTCATTATAAAACATTGACGAGTCGCTTTTTCTGCCTCCAACAAGCAGTAGAAACACAACAAAATACCACGAAAAGTCCACATGCGTCTACTATGAAAGCAGGAACATCTAACAACCTAAGGGCCCCTTTGTACACGAAAAAAGGCAAAAATTAACATTTCACGCTAGACCAGGACAGCACAAAGGGAATATGGCCTGGGGCCTTCATCTCTTCATCCTCACGAATTACCATGTGTGGTTGGAGACATATGTGTGGTTTGTCTGCCTCACGTGGGTGTCTGTAAAGAAACGTCTGTCCCTGCGTCCAGGGCCCCTTTGAGCCTCACGCCTCTCCCCCCTGCACAGGTAGCTCCACGGAGCCTTGTGGAATCAGCCGAGGCCGGACGTGTGGTTTATGAGGCCTCCAGGGCCCTCAGGGTCGGCCTGCAGCCTGGGCTGGACGATCGCTGAGTAACATTTGCAGCAGCAGCAGCAGCCTGAGGAAGGGGTCAATGTTTGCCACGCAGATGTGTATGTCTGTGTGTGGGTGTGTGTGTGTACAGGTGTGCGTGCATGGGCCTGTGTATGTGTGTGTCTGTGCAGGTGTGTATGAATGTCTGTGTGTATATGTCTGTGTGTGGGTGTGAATGTATGTGTACAAGCGTGTGTGTGCACCTGTGTGTGCGTGGGTGTGTATCTGTGTGTGTATGAATGTGTGTGTGTACAGATGTGTATGTCTGTGTGTAGGTGTGAATGTATGTGTACAGGCGTGTATGTGCACCTGTGTGGGGGGGGTGTGTCTGTGTGTGTGTGTGTACAGGTGTGTATGTCTGTGTGTAGGTGTGAATGTATGTGTACAGGCATGTGTGTGCACCTGTGTGTGGGGGGTGTGTCTGTGTGTGCATGTGAATGTATGTGTACAGGTGTGTGTGTGCATGTGCCTCTGTGTGTGTGTGTGCAGGTGTGTCTGTATATGTCTGTGGGTGTGAACGTGTACAGGCGTGTGTACCCGTGTGTGTGTGCATGTGTGTATGAATGTGTGTGTACAGGTGTGTGTCTGTGTGTAGGTGTGAATGTATGTGTACAGGCGTGTGTGTGCACCTGTGTGTGTGGGGGGCTGTGTCTGTGTGTGCATGTGAATGTATGTGTACAGGTGTGTGTGTGCATGTGCCTCTGTGTGTGTGTGTGCAGGTGTGTCTGTGTATATGTCTGTGGGTGTGAACGTGTACAGGCGTGTGTACCCGTGTGTGTGTGCGTGTATGAATGTGTGTGTACAGGTGTGTATGTCTGTGTGTGGGTGTGAATGGATGTGTACAGGCGTGTGTGTGCACCTGTGTTCAGGTGTATATGAATGTGTGTGTCCTGGTGTGTACGTGTGGGGTTGTGAATGTGTGTGTACAGGAGTGTGTGCGCCTGTGTGTGGTGCAGGTGTGTATGAATGTGTGTGTGGGTGCGTATGTCTGTGTGTGGGTGTGAATGTATGTGTATAGGAGTGTGTGTACGTGTGTGTGTGTGCAGGTGTGTATGAATGTATGTCTGTGTGTTGGTGTGAATGTGTGTGTACAGATGTGTGTGTAGGTGCGTACGAATGCATATGTGTGTCTGGGTGTGAATGTATGTGTACAGGCATCTGTGTGCCTGTGTGTGTGTGGGTGTGTATGTCTGTCTCTGTGTGCACAGGCCAGGGAAGCTCACACACAAACAGCTGTCTTCTTTGATTCATCTCTGCCCCCACCCTGGTGCGTTGTGCAGAGTTCATTGCACCCCCAAAATACTCAGTGCCCCGGCGTGAACCCTGAGTGGCCCAGCCTGGGCAGGTGCATGTCTCCAACCCGCCGTGTGGAACCCGCCACACTCCTGAAGGAAACGGTCTTCCCAGCTGAGCAGGCTTGAACCTGCTGCCCTAGAGTCCTGGGTCTTCCTATTGGGCTCCTTTCCAGGGTACCTCCTGGGGTCTCTGCACCCTCCTCCAACACCAGCTCTGGGGTCTGTGTGAAGGTCATAAAAACACCAACCCTCCCAGCACTTTGGGAGGCCGAGGTGGGTGGATCACCTGAGGTCAGGAGTTCGAGACCAGCCTGGCCAACACGGTGAAACCCCGTCTCTACTACAAATACAAAATTAGCCCGGTGCGGTGGCAGGTGCTTGTAATCCCAGCTATTCGGGAGGCTGAGGCAGGAGAATGACTTGGATCCAGGAGGCGGAGGTTGCAGTGAGCTGAGATCACGCCACTGCACTCCAGCCTGGGCAACAGAGTGAGACTCTGTCTCAAAAAAACAAAACAAATCAAAAACGCCAGCCCACCCAGGCAATGCCTGTTGCGCACCCAGGACTCTGCATTCCAGGCACCAGAGGCAGGAAGCTTGACCGAGCTGGCCAGGAGAGAAGCAAAGCTGCCCGTGTCGACCTGTCCTTCACTGCGGGAATGCAGGTGCTCAGGTACGCCACCGTTTGTCCCCAGCTTCCTGGCCAGCCGCGGGAACCCCCTGCTGCTCCCTTTCTTGGGGACAGTGATGGGGACCGGGTGCTTTTGCTCCCCTGAGACTGTGACTGTGTTTTGAAGCTGCCGCCAGGATGCCAGCGGCTCCGTCCCAGCAAACAGGCCACATAGCCGGGCGCGGTGGCTCACGCCTGTCATCCCAGCACTTTGGGAGGCCGAGGCGGGCTGATCCGGAGGTCAGGAGTTCGAGACCAGCCTGGCCAACATGGTGAAACCCCGTCTCTACTAAAAATACAAAAAATTAGCTGGGCGTGGCGGCGGGCGCCTGTAGTCCCAGCTACTCGGGAGGCTGAGGCAGGAGAATGGCTTGAACCCGGGAGGTGGAGGTTGCAGTGAGCCGAGATCACACCCCTGCACTCCAGCCTGGGCAACAGAGCGAGACTCCATCTCAAAAACTAAAAATAAAAATAAAAAAAACAGGCCACATGTGTGCACAGTGAGGCTCTCCAAGCCCATCGCTGTCCCAGGAAATGTTAACAGCTCCCCGAGCTCTGCTCCTCATCCAGGACCCCAGACCGACTTCTCCTCGACAGCCCTGGGACAGACACGACCGCGGCCTCCTCCTCCCCCTCCTCCCCTCTCCGCCTCTTCGGCAGAGGCCCCCACGTCCGCACGATCGGGAACAAACATCCTTTCTGATTCAGCATCACGTTACCTGCCAGTCCTGTGGCCTTTCCTCATCTGGTTGCACGTACCTCATATGCTTTGTGGTTAAATTATGCATTAAGGTCAATGTCAAAACACAGCAGCCCCGTAACCTGCAGGGAACTGGCTTTTACTCGTGATCACGGTGAAACGGGGGCCGCCTGTCAGCCAGCCGGGGTGGGCGCCCAGCGTGGGGGGCCCCCGTGCCGTGGCGTTGTCTACAAAGGCGGCCCGTCGTCTCCCAGGACGCACCCTTGATGGATTTACCCAGACAACGCGCCTCTCTTGAAAGGCGTCTGCCCTGCCTCTTCCATCTGAAACCTGTCAGCCTCACCTATAGACTCACGTCGGAAATCAAACAGCAGAGGCTGCGCGTGCCTGGGACGCTCCACGTGTCATGTCCTGACTTGTAGTTTCAGATCTTCTAAAGGAAAACGGTGTCAGAAGAAGGAAGGCCGGGAGGAGTGTGCTGTTCCGTGTTTGCTTTATCTTTTTTTACCCCTTAAAAAAAATAAAAATAAAAAAAAAATAAAAAGTTGCCGCATATTCCGGAAGCCGCCGTGGGCCTCGTGGTAGATGAAGCACGTCGGGGTGTTGAAGGAGGCGGCTCTGGGAGTGGGTGGGGGGTGGCGGGGGGTGGCGGGCCCCGGGGAGCTGCGGGAACCTCCTGGAAACTGCAGGAATTTGTGCAGGACGTATATTGATTGTGACTCTTGGGGGTTTTTCTTTCCTTTCTTTGGTTTCATTTCCTCCTTCCCTCCCTCCCTTCCTTCCTTCCCTGTCTCTGTCTCTGTCTGTGTCTCTGTCTCTCTGTCTCTCTGTTTCTCTGTCTCTGCCTCTCTCTGTGTCTCTCTGTCTCTCCATCTCTCTGTCTGTCTCTCTCTGTGTCTGTCTCTGTCTCTCTGTGTGTATCTGTCTCTCTGTCTCTGTCTCTCCATCTTTGTCTCTCTGTCTCTCTCTGTGTCTCTGTCTCTCTCTGTGTCTCTGTCTCTCTCCATCTCCATCTGTCTCTCTCCGTCTGCTGTCTCTGTGTCTCTGTCTCTCTGTGTGTATCTCTCTGTCTCTCTCTGTCTCTCTGTCTTTGTCTCTCTCTGTGTCTCTACGTCTCTCTGTATCTGTATCTCTCTGTCCCTCTCTGTCTCTCTCTGTCTCTCCATCTTTGTATCTCTCCCTCTGTCTCTGCCTCTCTGTCTTTCTGTCTCTGTCTCTGCCTCTCTCTGTGTCTCTCTGTCTCTCCATCTCTCTGTCTGTCTCTCTCTGTGTCTCTCTGTCTCTGTCTCTCTGTGTGTCTCTGTCTCTCTGTCTCTGTCTCTCCATCTTTGTCTCTCTGTCTCTCTCTGTGTCTGTCTCTCTCTGTGTCTCTGTCTCTCTCCATCTCCATCTCTCTCTCTCTCCGTCTGCTGTCTCTGTCTCTGTCTCTCTGTGTGTATCTCTCTGTCTCTCTCTGTCTCTCCGTCTTTGTCTCTCTCTGTGTCTCTACGTCTCTCTCTGTATCTGTATCTCTCTGTCCCTCTCTGTCTCTCTCTGTCTCTCCATCTTTGTATCTCTCCGTCTGTCTCTGCCTCTCTTTCTTTCTCTGTCTCTGCCTCTCTCTGTGTCTCTTTCTCTGTCTCTCCATCTCTCTTTGTCTCTCTGCGTCTGTCTCTCTTTCTCTCTCTCTATCTCTCTTTCTCTTTGTCTCTGTCTCTCTGCCTCTCTCTTTGTCTCTGTCTCTGTGTCTCTCTCTCTTTCTCTCTGAGCCAGTTCATCCTCCCCTGGTGCCTAGTTTTTAGGGGATTTTGAGCGTAATAAAAACTGATTCCTGGCCGGGCGCAGTGGCTCACACCTGTCATCCCAGCACTCTGGGAGGCTGAGGCAGGCGGATCCCCTGAGCTCATGAGTTCGAGACCAGCCTGACCAACATGGTGAAACCCCATCTCTACTAAAAATACAAAATCAGCCGGGCGTGCTGGCAGGTGCCTGTCATCCCAGCTACTCGGGAGGCTGAAGCAGGAGAATGGCTTGAACCCGGGAGGCGGAGGTTGCAGAGAGCCGAGATCACGCCCCTGCACTCCAGCCTGGGTGACAGAGCGAGACTCTATCTCCAAAAACAAAAAAGAGAGAGAGAGAGAGAGAGAGAGACAGGGTGTTGCCCTGTCACCCAGGCTGGAGTGCAGTGGCGCAATCACAGCTCACCGCCGCGTCCACCTCCCGGCCTCACACCATCCTGCGGTCTGGACGGGTCCCCGGGACACCCCTGTCTTTTCCCTCAGCTCTGCATTTTCCCAGTGAATTCTCCTCTTTCCTGGGGCCTCACCCACACCCGGGACCTGGGGCCACCGCTCCTGCCCATCCCGGCGCCGGGCACCCATGGCCGGCCGTGAGTTCTGGTCCTTCACTGGCAAGGAGGCACCTCCCAGGACCGTATACAAACCTGTAGGTACAAATGTCATCCGTCCTCAGCTCGGGGAGACACAGGTGCCTCTCACGGCGCTGACAGCCCCGGCACGTGTCGTGGGCTGGGTCAAGAATAGAAGCTCCTTCCCCTACTGAGAATGACCGAGAATCAGTGGTGTTTTATCCTGAATTTGATATTCAGAGTCGAATGAACTGTTTTTTTTTTTTTTTCTTCCCCCAGCTCAACTCTCATCTATTTATCTTAAGGCAGACGATCGCTGTGATTTTATAAGAAAGCGCTCCCAATCAAAGCGTACCTATGCGGAGGTAATTAATACAAAGATTGCTGAATTAAAGATGTGAGTCTCCGCTCTCGGGCGAGGGGCCCAGGGACCCCGTCTCCCGGGCCCAAATTATGCCAGAGACAGACCAATTAACACCCCGCGTCATCCTCTTTTATGTTAACTTCAATGACGGCTTCTCACCATTTTTAAAGTTATTTTCTTCTTCGCCATCTCTGCACATCAAAGAGCCAGGCCGGAGAGGCTCCCGCAGGTGAGATCGGTGCCAGGAGACCCCCCGGGAGGGGACGACCGCCGCCCCAGGAACCCCCACACGGATCACTGTAGGGTCCGCCTCGGGGAGCGAAGACCCTCAGGGAAAGGGCCCTTCTGAGGGGAAATCCTGGTCAGCTTATTATTACTATTATTATTATTATTATTATTATTATTATTATACTTTAAGTTTTAGGGTACATGTGGACAATGTGCAGGTTTGTTACATACGTATACATGTGCCATGTTGGTGTAGCATTAGGTATATCTCCTAACGCTATTCCTCCCCCTTCCCCCCACCCCACAACAGTCCCCGGTGTGTGATGTTCCCCTTCCTGTGTCCAAGTGTTCTCATGGTTCAATTCCCACCTATGAGTGAGAATATGTTTGGTTTTTAGTCCTTGCGATAGTTTACTGAGAATGATGATTTCCAATTCCATCCACGTCCCTACAAAGGACATGAACTCATCCTTTTTCATGGCTGCATAGTATTCCATGGTGTATATGTGCCACATTTTCTTCATCCAGTCTATCGTTGTTGGACATTTGGGTTGGTTCCAAGTCTTTGCTATTGTGGACAGTGCCGCAATAAACATACGTGTGCATGTGTCTTTATAGCAGCATGATTTATAGTCCTTTGGGTATATACCCAGCAATGGGATGGCTGGGTCAAATGGTATTTCTAGTTCTAGATCCCTGAGGAATCGCCACACTGACTTCCACAATGGTTGAACTAGTTGACAGTCCCACCAACAGTGTAAAAGTGTTCCTACTTCTCCACATCCTCTCCAGCACCTGTTGTTTCCTGGGGGAGAGGGGAGGGACAGCATTAGGAGACATACCCAATGTAAATGACGAGTTAATGGGTGCAGCACACCAGCATGGCACATGTATACGTATGTAACTAACCTGCGCTTTGTGCACATGTACCCTCGAACTTAAAGTATAATAATAAAAAAGTAAAAAAAAAAAAATGCCATTGACAAACCCAACTCCCATCGCGGCTGCCTCCCAACCTCAAAACGGCCGTCTCAAAGCACAAAATGAAACCGCCTCTGCCGTCGCCTCTGTCCTCCTCACCAATCGCCAGGTGGGAGAGGTTTCCACGGGGTCCGTCTCCTCGTCTCTTGAAGTCCCTTCACGCAGCTCGGCCGCCAAAAGCTCCCGAGTTTCAGCGTCTTGACCGGTGAACGGGAGAAAACAGAACGGCCCAAGGTGTCATCCCAGGTCGGCGGGCAGCTGGTGACATTTCGGCTCAAGCACGCTGAGTAAGACTCACCGCCACACCAGGTCACAGAAAGTGGAAACGAAGCCCGGGCTGGGCAGTGTACGCTGCTGCTACAATGGAAGAATGGAAGCTTCCTTCCTTCCTTCCTTCCCTCCCTCCTTCCTTCCTTTCGTCCTTCCCTCCCTCCTTCCCCTTCCTTCCTTCGTTCCATCACTCCTCCCTTCCTTTCTTCCTTTGTTCATTGCCTCCTTCTTCCTTCTTCATTGCCTTTGCAGCAATGAAGGGATCATCCCTTGCCAGGTGCCAGCCTCCCATATAGATTCTCTCCTTCCTTCTGAGCCCCTGTTGGTGTTTGACTAATCCATGGGTCCATGCCCATGCCAAGATCCCAAAGACAGGTGCCAGCGTGCAAGGGTCATAATCAAGCCACTTAAAGAGCTGTTGGGCCGGGCGCAGTGGCTGACGCCTGTCATCCCAGCACTTTGGGAGGCCGAGGCAGGCGGATCACGAGGTCAGGAGATCGAGACCATCCTGGCTAACACGGTGAAACCCGGTCTCTACTAAAAATACAAAAAAGTATCCGGGCGTGGTGGCGGGCACCTGTAGTCCCAGCTACTCGGGAGGCTGAGGCAGGAGAATGGTGTGAACTCGGGAGGCGGAGCTTGCAGTGAGCCGAGATGGCACCACCGCACTCCAGCCTGGGCGACAAGAGCACGACTTTGTCTCAAAAAAAAAAAAAAAAAAAAAAAAAAACAAAAAAAAAACAAGATTTCAGAGTGACCTGCTTGGAGAAGCCGGTATGAGCTCATGGGCAACTGTGTCTCTAAGTGCGGCCGTCCTCTTAATTCCTTAGTGCAGTGTGGTTCTCAGCCAGGGGACATCCTGCCCCCTCCCCGGACACACTCAGCAATATCAGGGGACATGTCTGCATGTCACAACATGGGGGTGAACTGGCATCTGCTGGGTGGAGCCCAGGGACGCTCCTCAGCACCCTACAGCGCCCAGGACGGCCCCACCACAGAGTCAACACCCTACAGCTCCCAGGACGGCCTCATCACAGAGACTCAACACCCTACAGCGCCCAGGACGGCCCCACCACAGAGTCAACACCCTACAGCTCCCAGGACGGCCTCATCACAGAGACTCAGCACCCTACAGCGCCCAGGACGGCCCCACCACAGAGTCAACACCCTACAGCTCCCAGGACGGTCTCATCACAGAGACTCAGCACCCTACAGCGCCCAGGATGGCCCCACCACAGAGTCAACACCCTACAGCTCCCAGGACGGTCTCATCACAGAGACTCAGCACCCTACAGCGCCCAGGACGGCCCCACCACAGAGTCAACACCCTACAGCTCCCAGGACGGCCTCATCACAGACACTCAACACCCTACAGGGCCCAGGACGGCCTCATCACAGAGACTCAGACTCAACACCCTACAGTGCCCAGGACGGCCTCATCACAGAGACTCAGCACCCTACAGTGTCCAGGACGGCCTCATCACAGAGACTTAACACCCTACAGGGCCCAGGACGGCCTCATCACAGAGACTCAGACTCAGCACCCTACAGTGTCCAGGACGGCCTCATCACAGAGACTCAGCATCCTACAGGGCCCAGGACGGCCTCATCACAGAGACTCAGACTCAACACCCTACAGAGCCCAGGACGGCTTCATCACAGAGACTCAGTACCCTACAGTACCCAGGACGGCCTCATCAAGAGAGTTAGCACCCTGCAGCACCCAGGGTGGCCCCAAGACAGAGAGTCCTCCAGTCCCAAACATCAGCAGTGCCAGAGCTGAGAAAGCTGCCTGGGCATGAGAGATTCTTTATCTATCATCTATCAATTATTGATTAATCAATTATCTATCTATTAATCAGCTATCCATTACTATCGGTCAATTATCTGACAACCAATCATCTGTCAATCATGCATCTATATCAATTACCTATCAACCAATCACTGATCAGTCATACATCTATATAAATTATCAATCATCTGTCAATCAATTCCCTATCAATCATGCATCTGTATCGCTTATGTATCAATTGTCTGTCAATAAATCATCTATCAATCATGCATCTATACCAATTATCTGTCAATTATCAACCATCTATTAATCATGCATCTATATCAATTATCAATCATCTGTCAACCAATCATCAATCATACATTTCTATTAATGTCTATCAATTATCTGTCAATCACCTATTAATCATGTGTCTATATCAATTATCTGTCAACCAATCATCTATCAATCATACATTTATATTAATGCCTATCAATTATCTGTCAATCACCTATTAATCATGCATCTATATCAATTATCTATCATCTGTCAACCAATCAATCATACATTTATATTAATGTCTATCATCTGTCAATCACCTATTAATCATGCATCTATATCAATATCTATCCATCAACTATCTGTCAACCAATCACCTATCAATCATACATGTATGAATCAACTGTGTATCCTATGGTTTGAATCAATGTGTCCTCCGAGTGAGAACATGTCCCCGACACCCCACAGGGCACAGGACGCCCCACGACGGAGAATCCTCCAGCCCCCGATGTCGGCAGATGTGAGGCTGAGAAACCAGCCTTCGTGAGAAGTCACCTGCCTGATCCCAAAATCCCTGCCGACAGCCACCTTCTCACCCTGGCGACAGAGGAATAGGACTTCGTGGCCACAACCCAGGACCCCACGACTGGGCATTAAACCGGCAGGCGAGGAGACACACGTGTGTTTAACACGAGGCTTTTCTTGAGGAGTCTCGGGCTCGTCCTGGACGTCAGCCGTGCGGGTCCCCTGTGAGATGAGCTATTTTCAGCTGAGACTCCCCAGGAAGGGGGCAGTGACCCCCTGCCTGGTCCAGGGTTCCCAGGGCCAGGCTGGAGGCTGGATTCTTTCCCAGGACCCCCCGAGTTTCAGGGGGAGAGACCCTCTCCTGCGTCCCCAGCCTCATACACACGAGCCCTTTTTTGTTTGTTTGAGATGGAGTCTCGCTCTGTCGCCCAGGCTGGAGTGCAGTGGTGCGATCTCAGCTCACTGCAACCTCCGCCTCCCGGGTTCATGCCATTCTCCTGCCTCAGCCTCCCGAGCAGCTGGGACTACAGGTGCCCGCCACCACACCCGGCTAATTTTTTTCTTGTATTTTTAGTAGAGACGGGGTTTCACCATGTTAGCCAGGCTGGTCTTGATCTCCTGACCTCAAGTGATCCACCCACCTCGGCCTCCCCAAGTGCTGGGATGACAGGCGTGAGCCACCGCGCCCGGCCAACAGGTGAGACATCTTTATGTGCACAGTTCCGGGGTAACAAGCACGCTCACACTTTTCTGCAACCATCCCCGTGATTTGTCTCCAAAATTCCACTTCTAAACCCGAAACTGCGACCCCCCCCTTCAACGACAGCTCCATTCGCCCTCCTCAGCCCCCGGCACCCACCGTTATACTTTCTGTCTCTGTGACTCTGGTGACTCGAGGGACCTCCTCGAAGTGGAATCACACAGGACTTGTCTTTCTGTGTCTGGCTGATTGGTCAATATTGTCAAGCTTCTTCCACATGGTAGCAGGTGTCAGAATAGCCTCCCTTGTTAAGGAGTCTCGCTCTGTTGCAGGCTGGAGTGCGATGGGGCAATCTCGTCTCACTGCAACCTCCGTGTCCCAGGTTCAAGCAATTCTCCTGCCTCAGCCTCCTGAGTAGCTGGGATTACAGGCACCTGCCACCACTCCCAGCTAATTTCTTTTGTATTTTAGTAGAGACGGGGTTTCAACATGTTGGCCAGGCTGGTCTCGAACTCCTGAGCTCAGGCAATCTGTCCGCCTCAGCCTCCCAAAGTGCTGGGATGACAGGCGTGAGCCACTGTGTCCAGCCTTTTTTTCTTTTTTTGAGATGGAGTTTCACTCTCGTTGCCCAGGCTGGAGTGCAATGGTGCGATCTCAGCTCACTGCAACCTCCACCTCCCAGGTTCAAGCAATTCTCCTGCCTCAACCTCCTGAGTAGCTGGAACTACAGGCACCTGCCACCACTCCCAGCCAATTTCTTTCGTATTTTAGTAGAGACGGGGTTTCGCCATGTTGCCCAGGCTGGTCTCGAACTCCTGACTTCTGGTGATCCACCCGCCTCGGCCTCCCAGAGTGCTGGGATGACAGGCGTGAGTCACTGCGTCCGGCCACTTCTTACATGATTTCTGCAAAACCCTCAGCAATAAAAAATAGGCCAGGCACAGTGGCTCACGCCCATCATTGCAGGACCCTGGATGGCCGAGGCAGGAGGATCGCTTGAGGTTAACAGTTCAAGACCAGCCTGGACAACACAGTGAGGCCCCATCTCTACAAAAACTGTAAAAATCGGCCCAGCGTGGTGGCGGGCACCTGTGGTCCCAGCTCCTCCGGAGGCTGAGGCAGGAGAATCGCTCGAGCCCAGGAGGTGGAGGCTGCGGTGAGCCGACATCACACCCAGACTCCAGCCTGGGTGACAGAGCGAGACCCTGATTTGAACAGGCTCTGAGGTTCTATGACTGGACAACAGCCTCGGGTCCCGGCCGCCACCATCCCAAGGGCCCCCCTCTCTGTCCTGGGCCGTTTTTGCAGCTCGACGAGTCAGGGTGACGCTTTTCCATGGATCTAAGTTCATGTGAGACAGCTGTAAACAAATGCTGGAGGGGTGACCTCGAGGGGTGCCTGTTTCCGTCCCTGCCTCACAGATGGGGAAACTGGGGTGCAAAGATGGTGAGACACGCCCCCCTCAACGAGGCCACAGAGCTGGCAGGAGGCTCAGCCAGGACACGGTGCAGATGCCAGGCTGTCCAGGAAGAAAGGAAGGAAGAGAGGCAGGGAGGGAGGAAAGGAAGGAGGGAGGAAAGGAGGGACGGAGGAAAGGAAGGAGGGAGGAAAGGAAGGGAGGGAGGAAACAGGCTGCAGTGAGCCGAGATCACACCCAGACTCCAGCCTGGGTGACAGACCCTGATTGGAAACTGTCCAAACGCTGAGCCGTCTAGACGTCGAGCCGAGGCCACTCAGGTCAGCAGCAGCACATGCTGTGTGCCCACGAAGACGATTATTCTAAGGGAGAATCTCAGGGAGGATGTTTGTGGACTTTTGTAGCCACTTAAACAATTTCTACAAAAGAAATAATAAAATAAAATAGGCCCGGTGCGGTGGCTCACACCCGTCATCCCGGCACGTTGGGAGGCTGAGGTGCTGGACGGCTTGATCCCAGGAGTTCAAGACCAGCCCAGGCAACATGGAGAAACCCCGTCTCTACAAAAAATACAAAAAAATACAAAAAAATGAGTTGGGCGTGGTGGCAGGTGCCTCTGGTCCCGGCTACTCGGGAGGCTGAGGCGGGAGGATCACTTGAGGCCACAGTAGCCGGAGGCTGCTCTGAGCCGAGATCATTCCCGCCGTGCTCCAGCCCCCGGATGACAGAATGAGACCCTGTCTAGAAAAGCAAACCACAAAAAAAATAAACTTTTTGAGGAAAACCCCAACAGACCTCCAGAGCCCGTGTGAGGAGGGGTGTCTGCAGGCAAAGCCGGGAATGGGAGTCTTTTGCCCAAGAGGCCCTGGCGGCCGCCTGCTGCGTCTACAGACACGGAAATGTGTCCTTGGCCTTTTCTGCACAGCTTGGGACCCGGGTCCGAGAAGCGGCTTCCTCCCTCGGAATCTTGCAAGTGTGGGAGGGAACGGGGCGGCTGAGGAGATGACGGTGCAAAGTGAAACGCGGCTGATTTTCCTCTCCTGGGCTAGACCATTGCTCACTCCCGACAGCTTCTGTTCTGTGACGGGAGCGTCAGAAACACAGTCGAGCAAAGGTTTCACGACGTCAGTTCCGAAGTAGCCGGTTACGGGGCCTGAACGGCACGGGGTTGGCAGCCGGGGGAGGGATGGGGCTTGAACCCGGTTTGGGATGAATGTAAAGACCTGAGCCCCGGCCCACGAGGCGGGAAGGCGGTCCCGGGGTTCGCAGCCCGGGGACCCACAAGGCTGAAGGCAGTGACGTGTTTCAAAACTCAGCAAAGGGTCCGACAACGGTCCACCGTTTCCGTAGCTGGCACTGCCATCCTGTGGCCGAAGAGAAAATATGTCATGGAAAACGCGGGGCCGGGGCGGCCGTCCTGTCTCTGGGGCGTCCGTGCTGTCTCTGGGGTGTCCGTCCTGTCTCTGGGGCGTCCGTCCTGTCTCTGGGGCGCCCGTCCTGTCTCTGGGGCGTCCGTCCTGTCTCTGGGGCGTCCGTGCTGTCTCTGGGGCGTCCGTCCTGTCTCTGGGGCGTCCGTGCTGTCTCTGGGGCCTCCATCCTGTCTCTGGGGCGTCCGTCCTGTCTCTGGGGCGTCCGTGCTGTCTCTGGGGTGTCCGTCCTGTCTCTGGGGCGTCCGTCCTGTCTCTGGGGCGTCCGTGCTGTCTCTGGGGCCTCCGTCCTGTCTCTGGGGCATCCGTGCTGTCTCTGGGGTCTCCGTCCTGTCTCTGGGGCGTCCGTCCTGTCTCTGGGGTCTCTGTGCTGTCTCTGGGGGCGTCCGTCCTGTCTCTGGGGCATCAGTCCTGTCTCTGGGGCGTCCGTCCTGTCTCTGGGGTCTCCGTGCTGTCTCTGGGGGCGTCCGTCCTGTCTCTGGGGCATCAGTCCTGTCTCTGGGGTGTCCGTCCTGTCTCTGGGGGTGTCCGTGCTGTCTCTGGGGTCTCCGTGCTGTCTCTGGGGCGTCCGTCCTGTCTCTGGGGCGTCCGTCCTGTCTCTGGGGTGTCCGTCCTGTCACCCGTGTGCCTTTCATGTCACTGGAGTGGCCGTCCTGATTCCAGATTCTGATCCCGGCACAGGGAGCATAACCTTGAGCCTGTCTGGGAGGGAAGGAGCCCAGCCCTGCCATAGTTGTACATTGCTTGCATGTGAGTCACGACTGTGGAAACTCCGAGATGGACCAGACAGTCTGTGTTTAGGGAACCATTGCTTTTCATGAGGGACGTGTGCGATCAATATTTTTAAGAGATATTCACTGAAGTACTATCAGCATGAAAATCATTTTCTAATGGGTTAAATATACATCTAGATCATATATATCTCTATATGCACAAATACCTCCACACCTGTATAAATGCATATATACATACAAGGGATGTGTCTGTGTGTCTGTGTGTGTGTGTGGAGTTAGAGCTAGAAAAGAGATATTCACTGAAATATTAGCAATGGAAATCATGTTCTAATGGCTTAAATATACGTATATATCATATATATCTATATATGCACAAACACCTCCACACCTGTATAAATGCGTATATACATACA
The DNA here is from genome assembly GCF_000001405.40 of Homo sapiens. Taxonomy (NCBI): domain Eukaryota; kingdom Metazoa; phylum Chordata; class Mammalia; order Primates; family Hominidae; genus Homo; species Homo sapiens. The sequence continues at coordinate 426,657 of NC_000024.10, read as the reverse complement.
AGCTGTGTGTGTGTGTGTGTGTGTGTGTGTGTGTGTGGAGAGAGAGAGAGTGAGAAGGAGAGACAGAGGCAATTTGGTTGAGAATTATGTCCCCCCCAAAAGACGTCTTGGCCAGACGCGGTGGCTCACACCTCTAATCCCAGCACTTTGGGAGACCAGAGCGAGAGGAGGCCTTGAGCCCAGGAGTTCAACACCAGCCTGGGCAACGTAGCAAAGACGTCATCTCTACAAAACATTAGAAAATTAGCCCGGCACATGCCTGTGGTCTCCGCTGCTCGGGAGGCTGAGGCGGGAGGACGGCTTGAGCCCAGGAGTTGGAGGCTGCTGTGAGCCGAGATGGCACCACTGCACTCCAGCCTGGGTGACAGAGCGAGACCCTGTCTTAAAAATAAATAAATAGAAAAGAAGAGCCTGAGGCAGAGGAGAGAGGCAGCTTGCAGCCTGGGACCCGCGTCTACACCGCCAACAGCCTCTAAGGCTCTACGACCGGACAACAGCCTCGGGTCCCGGCCGCCACCATCCCAAGGGCCCCCCTCTCTGTCCTGGGCCGTTTTTGCAGGTTGACGAGTCAGGGTGACGCTCTTCCATGGATCTAAGTTCATGTGAGACAGCTGTAAACAAATGCTGGAGGGGTGACCTCGAGGGGTGCCTGTTGCCGTCCCTGCGTCACAGATGGGGAAGCTGAGGTGCAAAGATGGTGAGACACGCACCCCGCCCCCCTCAACGAGGCCGCAGAGCTGGCAGGAGGCTCAGCCAGGACACGGTGCAGATGCCAGGCTGTCCACAAAGAAAGGCAGGGAGGGAGAGAGGGAGGAAATTGGAAGGAAGGAGGGAACGAAAGGACGGAGGGAGGGAGGAAAGAAGGAAGGAAGGAGGGAGGCAGGAAGATTCCGTGTGAATTCACGCCATGAACAAACACTCCCTGAGCCCATCCTCCACGGCCCGTTCTGCTCCAACCCCGGGATGAACCATGACCTCAGCTGACCGGGCCTTTGGGGGGTCCTGGTGTCCCCTCCCCCAACCCCGGGATAAACCATGACCTCAGCCGACCAGGCCTTTGGGGGGTCCTGGTGTCCCCTCCCCCAACCCCGGGATGAACCATGACCTCAGCCGACCAGGCCTTTGGGGGGTCCTGGTGTCCCCTCCCCCAACCCCGGGATGAACCATGACCTCAGCCGACCAGGCCTTTGGGGGGTCCTGGTGTCCCCTCCCCCTAGAATGGCTCAGGTGGGTTTTCCTCTGAGGTCAAGCCTGCATCCCGGGGACCCCGCCTCCGTGGGCAGCTGGTGGGATGGGCCGTCGCCGCCTCCCTGGAGAGCCGAGAATCCAGGGAGACACCCAACGTGAGGACGATGGTGACATCACGATGACAGTGAAGACCAGCCCTGCGGCCACCGCTCCAGCGACGGAAGCCAGGGACCCCCCCACCTCCATCCAAACCTTTCAGACGAGATTGGGTTGACTTGAGGCTGTGGCAAGGGGGTGTTTTCCTGGCTGATATGACAACACTTTGCACAGAGCCACCTCCAGGAATCGCCCCACAACTCCCGAGACCCACCGGCTCGTGCCTTTGGGGGCTCAGGAGAAGAGGGGCCCCCGGCACTCCGTTCACACGTGTGCGATGAGACACACCTGCCCCCCCACCCCCCACGTGGCTTCTAAACACGATGCACCCCCTCTGTCCCCACTGGAGTTTTCTCTGCATGCAGATGTGGCTTTCCTCTGCCTGGAACCCTCAGTACCGTCCCCAGCGGTCACCTAAGGTTCATCGGATGCAGGCGGGAAAGACATAAGCCCCAGAGGTGTTTTCCCTGTTTATTTTAGACAGTTTCTTTCTCTCACCCAGGCTGGAGTGCAGTGGTGCCATCTCAGCTCACTGCAACCTCTGCCTCCCGGGTTCAAGCGATTCTCCTGCCTCAGCCTCTCGACTAGCTGGGATTACAGGCGCCCGCCACCACACCCAGCTAATTTTTTGTATTTTTAGCAGAGGCGGGGGGGTTGCACCATGTTGACCAGGCTGGTCTCGAACTCTTGACCTCAGGTGATCCGCCCGCCTTGTCCTCCCAAAGTGCTGGGATGACAGGCGTGAACCACCGCACCCGGCCCCTCCCAGGTATTTATGCACCCACCGTCGACAGCCCTTGGTTGGGAGAGACTCTGGAGGGTGCGGTTAATTCTGTGGTTCTCCCAACCTACCACTCGGGAGGGCTCCATCACCCAGAGAGGCCCCTACGCACGCAAAGGAAGCTGGACTCGAGGTCTCCATGCTCTGAGCAAGAAAGAGAGCGGAGACACAGCTGCATACAGACCCCTTCCCTTTGTCCTTGTCATGGAGTATCTGAGCTCCCAATCAGCCCTGCAGGCTGCTGGGAAACCCTTCAACCCTCCACCTTGCCATCCTCCTCTCCACCCTAAGCCTGCCTCCCTGTCTCGGTTCTCGGAATACACAGAGGTTTTTCCCAGCTCAGAGTCTTTGCACACGCTGATCCTTCTTCCTGCATTGCTTTTCCCTGCGCACAGCCAGCTCCTCCTTCTTGCTTCTTTTCAGCACTTTTTTTTTTTTTTGGAGACGGAGTCTCGCTCTGTTGCCCAGGCTGGAGGGCAGTGGCACGATCTTGGCTCACTGCAACCTCTGCCTCCCGGGTTCAAGTGATTCTCCTGCCTCAGCCTCCCGAGTAGCTGGGACTACAGGTGCCCGCCACCATGCCCGGCTAATTTTTTGTATTTTTAGTAGAGATGGGGTTTCACCGTGTTAGCCAGGCTGGTCTCGAACTCTTGACCTCAGATGATCCACCCGCCTTGTCCTCCCAAAGTGCTGGGATGACTGGTGTGAGCCACCGCACGTGGCCTGCTTGTGATGAGTTCTTTTGGAGAAATGAATTCACGGGGTGTTGAGATGGGGAATAACAAGGGTACCAACTTTGGCTGCTCCTGGAGGTGTCTTTGAAGGGGTAATGATATTTTAAAAATGCTGAAGGGGCCAGGTACGGTGGCTCACGCCTGGAATCCCAGCACTTCGGGAGGCTGAGGTGGGAGGATGACTTGAGGCCAGGAGTTTGAGACCAGCCTGGGAAACCTAGCAAGACTCTGTCTTTATGAAAAAAAAAAAAAAAAATTAGCCAAACATGGTGACATGCACCTGCCATTCCAGCTACTCAGGAGGCTGAGGCAGGAGGATCCCTTGAACCCGGGAGTGGAGGTTGCAGTGAGCCGAGTTCGCCCATTGCACTCTAGCCTGGGCAATGAGAGCAAGACTCCATCTCAAAAAAAAAAAAAAAAAGGCCACGCACGGTGGCTCACGCCTGTCATCGCAGCACTTTGGGAGGCCGAGGTGGGTGGATCACCTGAGGTCAGGAGTTCGAGACCAGCCTGACTAACATAGTGAAACCCAGTCTCTACTAACAATACAAAATTACCCAGGAGTGGTGGTGGGCGCCTGTAATCCCAGCTACTCGGGAGGCTGAGGCAGGAGGATGCCTTGAACCCCGGAGCAGAGGTTGCAGTGAGCCGAGTTCGCCCACTGTACTCCAGCCTACACAGTAAGAGCAAGACTCTGTCTCAAAAAAAAAAAAAAAAATAGGCCAGGTGCGGTGGCTCATGCCTGTCATCCCAGCACTTTGGGAGGCTGAGGCGGGCAGATCATGAGGTTGGGAGTTCGAGACCAGCCTAACTAAGATAGTGAAACCCAGTCTCTACTAAAAATACAAAATTAGCCGGGCATGGTGGTGCACACGTGTAATCCCAGCTACTCGGGAGGCTGAGGCAGGAGGATGCCTTGAACCCGGAAGCAGAAGTTGCAGTGAGCCAAGATTGCACCATTGCACTCCAGCCTGGGCAATGAGAGCAAGACCATCTCAAAAAAAAAAAAAAAAAAAAGAAAAAGGCCAGACATGGCGGCTCACGCCTGTAATCCCAGCACTTTAAGAGGCCGAGATGGATGGATCACCTGAGGTCAGGAGTTCCAGACCAGGCTGACCAACATGGTGAAACCCCGTCTCTACTAAAAATACAAAATTACCCAGGCGTGGTGGCAGGTGCCTGTACTCCCAGCTACTCGGGAGACTGAGGCAGGAGGATGCCTTGAACCCGGAAGCAGAGGTTGCCGTGAGCCAAGATCACGCCATTGCTCTCCAGCCTGGGTAACAAGAGCAAGACTCTGTCTCAAAAAAAAAAAAAAAAAAAACTCATCACAAGCAGCAGTTAGATGCTATTTTCTTTGTCTACTCACTCCTGATCTCTGCACTAGAGAGGAGGGAACCTCACACACCCCACCACGTACCCAGCACCCGGAACAGCACTCACAGCTCCGTGGACACTCAACAAGCGTTCACTGAAAGCCCCACTCAGCCAGGGCAGGGCCGGGAGGCTGTGACAGAAAGGAGAAAGAAGACGCGCATTTGGGGACAGCTCCCCAGGGGCCCGTCCATCAGCCAGGACCACTTCCAGGCTGTGTTTTTCTTCCCCGTCTCCGAGGCCGAGCAGGTGATAAATCTTTCACCGAAGCCGGGGCTTTGCAGGACGGAGCCGGCTGCCACCTACGTGGTGTGGCTCTGGGGACCCCAGGAACTCCCCACACGCCGTCCGCGTCCAGAAATCCCCCTGCCCCACCCCAACCCGGCCGCAGGTGCCTCAAAGTCCTTCCTTTCTTCCTCAGGGTAAGAAATTAACGGCAGCTGTGAAAACACTCATTTTATCTGGGTGGCGAAATACATTAGACAGGGGCCCTGCCGTTAACACCTTCGCCCCAAGGAGTTTATCCGGATTCCCGTCAGGACCTGGGAGGTCTGGACAGAGAAGGCTCCGGGGTCCCAAGAACCAGGACAGACGGGAGGCGGGAGCAGGTGGGGGCTCTGAGAGTTTGCAGAGCGAAAGTGTTCTCACAAGGAGGGCGCTGGCGCAGGACCTCCAGCCAGGAATGCAGGGACGTCCCTTAGACGTTCTCCGACGGCCCCTCACGAGACCCTGACGTCCTGGCCTGTGTGCTGTCTGCAGCATGAAAACAGTTGTTTTTATTATTATTATTATTATTATTATTATTATTATATTATTTTTGAGACAGAGTTTTTGCTCTGTTGCCCAGCCTGGAGTGCAGGGGTGCGATCTCGGCTCACTGCAACCTCCGCCTCCCGGGTTCAAGCGATTCTCCTGCCTCAGCCTCTCCTGAGTAACTGGGATTGCAGGCACCTGCCACCACCACGCCCGGCTAATTTTGTATTTTTAGTAGAGACAGGGTTTCTCCATGTTGGTCAGGCTGGTCTCGAGCTCCCTACCTCATGATCCGCCCGCCTCGGCCTCCCGAAGCGCTGGGATGACAGGCGTGCACCACCATGCCCGGCTAAGTTGGTATTTTTAGTAGAGACAGGCTTTCTCCATGTTGGTCAGGCTGCTTTTGAGCTCCTGACCTCGTGATCCGCCCGCCTCGGCCTCCCAAAGTGCTCGGATGACAGGCGTGAGCCACCACGCCCGGCTAAGTTTGTATTTTCAGTAGAGATGGGGTTTCTCCATGTTGGCCAGGATGTTCTCGAGCTCCTGACCTCATGATCCACCCGCCTCGGCCTCCCGAAGCGCTGGGATGACAGGCGTGAGCCACCGTGCCCGGCCTCTGGTTTGCAATTGTGACCGAGCTGGTAAGAGGTGGGGGCCAAGGGTTCTCAATCTGTTTTTTAAATTTTTGTGTTTTGTTTTGTTTTGTTTTCGAGACAAGATCTTGCTCTGTCGCCCAGGCTGGAGTGCGGTGGTGAGATCACAGCTCGCTACAGCCTCCAACTCCTGGGCTAAAGCGATCCTCCCACCTCAGCCTCTTCAGGAGCCGGGGCGACAGGCACCCGTGTCACTACGCCCAGCTGATCTGTCTTTTATGATTTTTAAAGACACGGTCTCGTTACGTTACCCAGGCTGGGGGACTCAAACTCGTGGCCTCCAGCGACCCTCGTGCCTCGGCCTCCCGTAGTGCTGGGACTGCAGGTGTGAGCCACCACGCCTGGCCCAAAACAAAATTTACAGAGCAGGACAAGCGCGGTGGCTCACGCCTGTCATCCCAGCACTTTGGGAGGCGGAGGCGGGCGGATCACTGGAGGTCAGGAGCTTGAGACCGGCCTGGCCGATGTGGTGAAACCTCATGTCTACCTAAAAAAACACAAAAATTAGCCGGGCATGGTGGCGGGCGTCTGTCGTCCCAGCTACTCAGGAGGCTGAGGCAGGAGAATCGCTTGAACCTGGGAGGCGGAGGTTGCAGTGAGCCGAGATCACACCACTGCACTCCAGCCTGGGCCACAGAGTGAGACTACATCTCAAAAAGAAAAGGAAAAAGAAAGAAGGAAGGAAGGAAAGGAAGGGAAGGAAAGGAAAGGAGGGAGGGAAGGGAGGTAAGGGAGGGAGGGAAGGGAGGGAAGGAAGGAAGGAAGGGAAGGAAGGAAGGGAAGGAAGGAAGGGAAGGAAGGAAGGGAAGGAAGGAAGGGAAGGAAGGAAGGGAAGGAAGGAAGAGGGGCCGGGCGCGGTGGCTCCCACCCATAATCCCAGCACTCTGGGAGGCCGAGGCGGGCGGATCACCTGGGGTCAGGAGCTTGAGACCAGCCTGGCCAACACGGTGAAACCCCGTCTCTAGTAAATATACAAAAATTAGCCGGGCGTGGTGGCAGGCGCCTGTCGTCTCAGCTATTGGGAGGCTGAGGCAGGAGGATCGCTTGAACCCGGGAGGCGGAGGTTGCAGTGAGCTGAGATCGCACCATTGCACTCCAGCCTCGGCGACACAGAGAGACTCATCTCAAAAAATAAAAATAAAAGTTCCATGGGGAAATGAGCCAGAATATGTGTATCCCCAGCTGTTCTCTAAAGACTGAGGGTATTTGTGCTGTTAGGCGTCTCAAAGTTTTCTCGAATTAATTTATTTTTTTCCTTTATCATCTTCCAGAACTTTCTGCCAGCAGCCTGCGTGCATTTCTTTTGCAAGCAGAAGGCAGCCCTTTTTTTTTTAATGTTAGAATCAAAGAGCCGGTTTCTTTCTGTCTTTGTCAGGAGGATGCGGTACGGTGACCGGGCCCCAGGGCTGCACCGACCGCGTTTTGTGGGGACAGACGTGGGCAGAGTGGCTGAGATAGGAGGGGAACAGGTGCCCTCGGGCTGGGGCAGGGAGAGGGCACTGCCACGCATCGCCCTGATCATTCTATTCTGTCGCAGAGCCGTGGGCAGGACCCCCTCGGGCAGGTGAGAGCCCCAGGTGAGCCCCCCCCGCCTCACCTGGCATGCAGGCCGGGGAGGTGACCCCACCCGCAGGTCACAGACACGGGTGTTCTTACGGGAAGCCCGGAGCGTCCTGCGTGGCGAGGTGCCCGGGGAGGCGGCGGTGGGGGGTGGATCGGCAGAAACAAGTTGTGTTCTGAGGCGCAGCGCCTGTGATGTGGGAGCCGGGCGCCCGGGGTTTGCAGACGTTTCTCGGTAATGTTTGTGCAGAAGCAAAGATCGAGCTCCTGGCTGGAGACCGTGAGGCCACTATAGAGAGACCACGGATGCTGGCTGCCGGGAAGGTGGCAATTAGCAGGATTTATGGTGTTTGCACGGCTCCCTGCGGTGGGGCATCCTCTTGGAGGCGGCCCTGGGGAGCAGCGTGGGGTCCAGACGGTGTCTCCGGCCCGGCTTCAGAACAAGCCACGCGGCGTCCGGGAGGACCCGTTGTCAGAGGCGAATGAACCGCAGTGACTCCCTCTTGACTGACGGCTGATTCCTCGCCTGCAGACGTTTACGGTCAAGGGAACGAATGCGGCTCACGCCTGGAATCCCAGCGCTCTGGGAGGCCGAGGCGGGCGGATCACGAGGTCAGGAGTTCGAGACCAGCCTGGCCAACACGGTGAAACCCCGTCTCTACTAAAAACACAAAAATTAGCCGGGCGTGGTGGCGGGTGCCTGTAATCGCAGCTGCTCAGGAGGCTGAGGCGGGAGAATCACTTGAACCCGGGAGGTGGAGGTTGCGGTGAGCAGAGATGGCACCACTGCACTCCAGCCTGGGGACAGAGTGAGACTCCATCTCAGAAAAAAAAAAAAAAAGGAAGAAATTGATAATGTTTACTGGCACGGTGGCTCACGCCTGTAATCCCAGCACGTTGGAAGGCTGAGGTGGGTGGATCACATGAGGTTGGCAGTTCGAGGCCAGCCTGACCAACATGGAGAAACCCCGTCTCTACTAAAAAAAATACAAAATTAGCCGGGCGTGGTGGCGGGCGCCTGTCATCCCAGCTACTCGGGAGGCTGAGGCAGGAGAATTCCTTGAACCCGGGAGGCGGAGGTTGAGGTGAGCTGAGATCGCACCACTGCACTCCAGCCTGGGCAACAAGAGCGAAACTCCATCTCAAAAAAAAAAAAAAAGTATTTACTAAACAGCCCCAGACTTGGGAGTGTCCAGGTATCTTAATATCTGGAGAACAAAGGCATTTTCCTAAGTTTGCTCTAAACATAATACCAATTCTCGGCCGGGCGCGGTGTTTCACGCCTGTCATCCCAGCACTTTGGGAGGCCGAGGCGGGCGGATCAGGTAGTCAGGGGTTCGAGACCAGCCTGGCCAATATGGTAAAACCCGTGTCTATTAAAAGTACAACGATTAGCCGGGTGTGGCGGGTGCCTGTAGTCCCAGCTACTCAGGAGGCTGAGGCAGGAGAATGGCTTGAACCCGGGAGGTGGAGGTTGCAGTGAGCCGAGATCGCGCCACCGCACTCCAGCCTGGGCGACAGAGCGAGACTCCATCTCAAAAAATAATAACTATAATACTGATTCTTGCAAAATATAGTAATTAAGAAAATTAATCCTTTATCACGAACCTTTGTAGCAGAGCACGTGTACCCGTATAGACAATTCTTTCTTTCTTTTTTTTTTTTTTTTGAGACAGAGTCTCGCTCTGTCGCCCAGGCTGGAGTGCAGTGGCGCGATCTCAGCTCACTGCAACCTCCGCCTCCCGGGTTCACGCCATCCTCCTGCCTCGGTCTCCCGAGTAGCTGGGACTACAGGTGCCCACCACCACGTCCGGCTAATTTTTTGTATTTTTAGTAGAGATGGAGTTTCATCGTGCTGGCCAGGCTGGTCTCGATCTCCTGACCTCGTGATCCACCCGCCCTGGCCTCCCAAACTGCTGGGATGACAGGCGTGAAACACCGCGCCCGGCCCCATTTTACTTTCTAAATAAACTTGCTTTTATTTTGCACTGCAAACTTGCCGTGAATTCTTTCTTGCACGAGATCCAGGTACCCTCTCTTGGGGTCTCAATCCGGAGACCCCAAGATGGCGTTGGCTGCCCGGTGGTCCGGGACTCAGGGGTCCACACGGGCTCTTCTGTGGCAAAAGGGGGATACCGAAGGGACGTCCTCCCTGTCAGCCTCCTGGACAGCTCAGCGTGGGCACCCGGGGAGCCCAGAGCCGCAGCCCCACACCCACCTCCCCGCCCACCAGCTCCCTACATGCTCAGAAGCAGGAGGACGTGAGTTTGAATTTGGCGACGTATCACCCTCTTGTTCTCCAAACCCAACATCAGGGCTGGGAGCCGTACTGCACACCTGTAATCCCAGCACTTTGGGAGGCCGAGATGGGAGGATCGCTGGAGCCCAGAGTTTCAGAGCAGCGTGGGCAACATAGGGAGGCCCTATCTCTACAGAAAATACAAAATGAGGCTGGCACGGTGGTGCATGCCTGTGGTCCCAGCTACTCGGGAGGCTGAGGCAGGAGGATCGCTTGAGCCCAAGGATTGGAGGCTGCAGTGAGCCAAGATCATGCCACTGCACCCCAGCCTGGGCTACATAGGGAGACCCTATCTCTACAGAAAATACGAAATGAGGCTGGCACAGTGGTGCATGCCTGTGGTCCCAGCTACTCGGGAGGCTGAGGCAGGAGGATCGCTTGAGCCCAAGGATTGGAGGCTGCAGTGAGCCAAGATCATGCCACTGCACCCCAGCCTGGGCTACATAGGGAGACCCTATCTCTACAGAAAATACAAAATGAGGCTGGCACAGTGGTGCATGCCTGTGGTCCCAGCTACTCGGGAGGCTGAGGCAGGAGGATCGCTTGAGCCCAAGGATTGGAGGCTGCAGTGAGCCAAGATCATGCCACTGCACCCCAGCCTGGGCAACAGACCAAGACCCTGCCTCGAAAAAAAAGAAAAGAAAAACCACATCCTTGAAGGTGCCAGGAGGGACGTTTATTTGGACCTCACGGAACGCTCTCTCGTCTTGGGGATCTGGGGGTGGGGGGATGGCTTCAGCGTTCACCTCCGTGCCAGACGCAGCCCCGGGCACACGGTGAACAGTTCCTAGTGGGCTGGTGATGAAGGCCTTTCGCCAGGTCCCGTTAGGTCCTCTGAGAAGTCTCCAGGGCCCCAGGGGCAGGAACAGGCTTGAAGTATTTGTGGGCTTATAAAGGTTTCCACCTGCCCGTAAAACGACGTTTACGAGAGCCCACCTCCACCTAGCAGTCACGGCCGCCTCCCCTCCTCACCCCTCCGGCGGCTCCAAATCCCTGGATTATGGAAAACGGTGTGCGTGATCTGGACTCGGAGATCTGTTAGAAATACACACATTTGGGAAGAGAGGTCAGAAAGGCAGATTTAAGAATAAAGACCTTCCCTGGGGTGGGCAGGGGTGGGGGCAGTGTAAATGAAAGGCGGGATTTGGGCGGGCAGATACATCAAGCCCAGGTGTTCAAGATCACCATGGGCAACAGAGCAAGAGTCTGTCCCTACAAAAAAATTTAAAAATTAGCTGGGAGTGGTGGCACCTGTCTGTAGTCCCAGCTCCTCAGGAAGCTGAGGCAGGAGGATCACCTGAGCCCAGGAGGTGGACGCTGCAGTGAGCTGAGATTGCACCACTGCACTCCAGCCTGGGCCACAGAGCAAGAGCCTGTCCCTACAACAAAATTAAATATTGGCCAGGTGTGATGGTGTATGTCTGTAGTCCCAGCTCCTCAGGAGGCTGAGGTGGGAGGATCACCTGAGCCCAGGAGGTGGAGGCTGCAGTGAGCGGAGATTGCACCAGTGCACTCCAGCCTGGGCCACAGAGCAAGACCCTGTCTCTACAAAAAAAATTAAATATTGGCCAGGTGTGATGGTGTATGTCTGCAGTCCCAGCTCCTCAAGAGGCTGAGGCAGGAGAATCGCTTGAACCAGGAGGCGGAGGTTGCAGTGATCCGAGATCACACCACTGCACTCCAGCCTGGGTGACAGAGCGAGACTCCGTCTCAAAAACAAACAAACGAAAAATGGCTCACACGGTGAATTTTATGTTCTGTACGTCTTACGTGCCACGGTAAACAAACAGGAAAACAAGACTCAGAAAGCATTCATCAGCCACCACGTGAAAACCACCCCTTGATCCATTTTTATAATTAATTTCAGACAGTCAGGTATTTGGTTTAAGAGCTGTGGGAGTCCACGCTACCTGGGGTGCTCGGACGCTTAATTGCAAAATAATTAGAGAAAATTGGTGACTGCTTTCATCTCTGTTTCATCTTTCAGGGTGAAAAGTGAAAATCTAGACGCTTCCGGTTCTATTCTAATGATGTTTCATACGCGGCCGCCAAGGCACAAAGCAAGCTGACCGTTTTGTACCATTTGGACTTGACTTTTTTCTAAATGTCATAAGGGAAACTTAATTCCTTTTAATTAAATGTCTTTAAAAGCCCGTCCCTTTAGTCTTTGAGCTCCTCTTCTCGGTCTCCTCCCGCGCTGTGGAGGGTACTTCCATTTTCAATAAATCCCTTCATTCCTTCCTTGCAAAAAATAAAAATAAAATAGGGCCAGGTGAGGTGGCTCACACCTGTCATCCCAGCACTCTGGGAGGCAGAGGAGGGTGGATCACCTGAGGTCAGGAGTTCGAGACCAGCCTGACCAACATGGTGAAACCCCGTCTCTACTAAAAACACAAAATTAGCCGAGCGTGGTGGTGCACGCCTGTAATCTCAGCACTTTGGGAGACTGAGGCAGGAGAATCACTTGAACCCGGGAGGCGGAGGTTGCAGTGAGCCGAGATCCCGCCACCGCACTCCAGCCTGGGCAACAAGAGTGAAACTCCGCCTCAAAAATATTAATAATAAAATAAATAAAAAATAGGCCGGGCGCGGTGGCTCACGCCTGTAGTCCCAGCACTTTGGGAGGCCGAGGCTGGCGGATCACCTGAGGTCAGGAGTTCAAGAACAGCCTGGCCGACACGGCGAGACCCCATCTCCACTAAAAATACAAAAATTAGCTGGGCGTGGTGTGGGCACCTGTCATCCCAGCTACTCGGGAGGCTGAGGCAGGAGAATCCGTTGAACCCGGGAGGCGGAGGTTGCAGTGAGCCGAGATCACACCATTGCACTCCAGCCTGGGTAACAAGAGCAAAACTCCATCTCAAAAATGATAATAATAATAATAAAATAAAAAATAAAAGGTGCCATTTCCCCTGCTCCTTTTATTTTTGACATGCTTTTCAGCATGACTGTGTACAGCAGTCGGCCCCTGCCCTGGAGTCCAGCTGCACCTGCTCCTGCCCCAGCCCCGGCTGACCGAGGTCTGTTTACGTCTCCCCAGTATCACCCAGCAACGGGGACCTAAACACAGCTGAGCAGCAAAGACAAGGGCCCCCGGGTGGTAAAGACGCAGGTCCTCTTTCCGCAGATGGCCCTGAAAAAGACCCTATGCCCCAAGGACCCGGGGTCGGGGGAGGTTTCTCCTCTGCTCTGCACCCCACATCCCGAGCTCTCGGGCAGCTCCGAGCTCAGCCGTGGGTCCTGGAGGAAGGAGGGAGACGCTGTGTTACGGTTCCCCGCGGGTGGGAACCAGTGCCCTTCTAATTCGGAAGGTGGCACATTCCCCAGGCCTGAAGTCATGCTGGCCTGGAGGGGGGCTGCCATCCTGTCCGGGGGGCCTGGCTCGTCTTGGAAGGGCAGGCATTGTGGAGGCTGGGACTCCCGGCTTCTCCCCAGCTTCCTTCCTCCCTGACCAGCCCATCGGAAAAGCAATTCCTCCTGTAGACCTCAGAGCTCCAGCGTCTCCGGCATCCACCCACCCCGGGCCTTTGCAAGCCACCCTGACCGCCGATGCCAAGCGGGATGTCTAAATCGGGCGCGTGCATTCCTGCCACTAAGCGTGGCCCTCGGTTAATCCCTGGCAGGGGGTGACTGTCTTGGCCGTGGAATGTGTGGACGGAATGTTGGGGCCGGGTGAGCTGTTGAAAGCTCGTCCCCGGCGCCCACCCGGACTCCGCAGCTCCATGGACACTATTTCCAGGATGGGGGAGCGGACAGGGCCCCTTTCAACCTTCGGAATTCCTGGCGGGGCCTCCCAGCTGTGCTCGCCATGCTTATTTAAATCTCGCTGATTTAAAAGAAAATCCTTTTCCATCTTCTTCTGGGTGGCTTGAGGCTGTGCCTAGGGGGGTCCATGGTCACCGGCTGTATTTTCACAAACCATTGATTTTTTTTTTTCTTTTTGAGACAGACTTTCGCTGTCACCCACGATCTCAGCTCACTGCAACGTCCGCCTCCCAGGTTCAAGCAATTCTCCTGCCTTACTCTCCCGAGTAGCTGGGATAACAGGCACACACCATCACACCTGGCTAATTTTTTTTTTTGTATTTTTTTTTTTAGTAGAGATGAGGTTTTGCCATACTGGCAAGGCTGGTCTTGAACTCCTGGGCTCAAGCAATCCACCGGCCTCGGCCTCCCAAAGTGCTGGGATTACAGGCAAGACCCACTGCACCTGGCCTCTACAAACAATTTAAAAATAAAATCAGCCGAGCATGGTGGCTCACGCTCGTAGTCCCAACCACTCAGGAGGCCGATATGAGAGCATCGCTTGAGGCCAGGAGTTTGAAACCAGCCTGGACAATATTGCAAGACCCCCATCTCTCAAAAAACAAATTTAAAATTGGCCAGGCATGGTGGCGCACACCTGTAGTCCCAGCTACTCGGGAGGCTGATGCAGGAGGATTGGTGGAGCCCAGAGGGTTGAGGCTGCAAGGAGCTGAGATCCCAACACTGCACTCCAGCCTGGGCAACAGAGCAAGACCTCAGCTGAAAAAATAAAGACAAGTTTGATACCGACAGTGACAGCTGTGCTCAAATTTGTGGGTTCCTAGCCCTGGAGCAGGGTTTCAATTTTTTTCTTTGAGACAGTCTCAAAAAACCAAAGAAACAAAAAACCTCTGAGATGGTTATATTTCAATTTCTCTGAGATACAGGGTGTATTACCTTGGAACACTATTGTTGCCAACTTGATCTCCCACCTACGGTGAACAAAACTTTGCGTTTGAATCCAAAAACAGGCTAGGCAAGTATATTGAGACATTCATAAAAGCTCTTTGAATCGGCAATGGGAGTCATTGCAACTTTATTTATTTACTTTTTTTTTGGAGACGAGGTTTTGGTCTGTTGCCCAGGCTGGAGTGCAGTGGTGCGATCACAGCTAACTGCAGCCTCGACCTCCTAGGCTCAGGCAATCCTCCTGCCTCAGCCTCCTGAGTAGCTGGGACTATAGGTGTGCACCGCCACAGCTGGCTAATTTTTAAGTTTGTTTTTTTTTTTTGAGACGGAGTCTCGCTCTGTCGCCCAGCCTGGAGTGCAGTGGTGCCATCTCAGCTCACTGCAAGCTCGGCCTCCCGGGTTCACCCCATTCTCCTGCCTCAGCCTCCTGAGTAGCTGGGACTATAGGTGTGCACCACCACAGCTGGCTAATTTTTAAGTTTTTTTTTGTTTGTTTGCTTGTTTCTTTGTTTTGAGATGGAGTCTCGCTCTGTCGCCCAGGCTGGAGTGCAGTGGCGCGATCTCGGTTCACTGCAAGCTCCGCTTCCCGGGTTCACGCCATTCTCCTGCCTCAGCCTCCCGAGTAGCTGGGACTACAGGCGCCGCCACCACGCCCGGCTAATTTTTTTTGTATTTTTAGTAGAGACGGGGTTTCACCGTGTTAGCCAGGATGGTCTTGATCTCCTGACCTCGTGATCCACCCGCCTCGGCCTCCCAAAGTGCTGGGATTACAGGTGTGAGCCACCGCGCCCGGCCCCAAATTATTTATTTATTTATTTATTTATTTATTTATTTATTTATTTAGACACAGTCTCACTCTGCCACCGAGGCTGGAGTGCAATGGTGTGATCTCGGCTCACTGCAACCTCCGCCTCCCGGGTTCAAGCAATTCTCCTGCCTCAGCCTTCCGAGTAGCTGCAATTACAGGTGCCCACCACCGTGACCAGGTGATTTTTGTATTTTTAGTAGAGATGGGGTTTCACCATGTTGGCCAGGCTGGTCTCAAACTCCTGACCTCAGGTGATCCGCCCACCTCGGCCTCTCAAAGCGCTGGGATGACAGGTGTGAGCCAACATGCCCGGCCTAAAAGTAGCCACTTTTAACACTATAACTAAAGCAAGCTGCTTTGGGGCAGACATCAACAACATTCTTTTTTTTTTTTTTTGAGTCGGAGTTTCAGTCTTTGTCACCCAGGCTGGAGTGAAATGTCGCGATCTCAGCTCATTGCCACCTCGGCCTCTTGGGTTCAAGCAATTCTCCTGCCTCAGACTCCTGAGTAGCTGGGATTACAGGCACATGCCACCATGCCCAGGTGATTTTTGTATTTTTAGTAGAGACAGGGTTTCGACACGTTAGCCAGGCTGGTCTCGAACTCCTGACCTCGGGTGATCCGCCCGCCTCAGCCTCCCAAAGTGCTGGGATTACAGGCGCATGCCACCATGCCTAGGTGATTTTTGTATTTTTAGTAGAGACAGGGTTTCGCCATGTTGGCCAGGCTGGTCTCGAACTCCTGACCTCAGGGGATGCACCCGCCTCAGCCTCCCAAAGTGCTGGGATTACAGGCGTGAGCCACCGTGCCCAGCCTAAAAGTAGCTGCTTTTACCACTATGAGTAAAGCAGTTGGGCAAGTGTGGTCAGCAGATTCCCAGACATAAAATCCAGGACCCAGGCTCTTTTCCACAGCTCACCGTGGAGCCCATCGCAATGCCTGGGATCCACCTGGCCACCAGGTCCTTGCACCCCACAGTCACGACAGCTGCCCTGGGTCCCCGGGGTCATGGAATTCTCCAGATCTGCCAGTCCGCCTGAATTGGAGTAGCTCTTCCCAGAAAACCTCTGCAAACCCCAGCCGAGGCTCAACAGCCCGGCTGCCACGGGTGCCGAGAACCAGGCGTGCCCACGGAGGTGAGAGCAGGTAGGAGACAGAGCTGATGCTTGGATAGGACCCACACGTTCCTCCCACCGAGAGGTCCGAAGGCAGCCAGGCGCGGTGGCTCCCGCCTGTCATCCCAGCACTTTGGGAGGCCGAGGCGTGTGGATCACCTGAGGTCAAGAGTTCAAGACCAGCCTGGCCAACATGGAGAAACCCCATTTCTACTAAAAATACAAAATTACCCAGGTGTGGTGGCGGGCACCTGTAATCCCGGCTACTCAGGAGGCTGAGGCAGGAGAATCGTTTGAACCCGGGAGGCGGAGGTTTCAGTGAGCCGAGATCACACCACTGCACTCCAGCCTGGGTGACAGAGCAAGACTCCATCTCAAAAAAAAAAAAAAGCCTGAAGGCTCCCACTGAGTGTCCTGCTTTCAAGTTAGCTGCACCCCAGCCTGCTGCGGTGGCTCACGCCTGTCATCCCAGCACTATGGGAGGCGAAGGCGGGTGGATCACTTGAGGTCAGGAGTTTGAGACCAGACTGGCCAACATGGTGAAACCCCATCTCTACTAAAAATACAAAAATTAGCCCGGGCATGGTGGCAGGTGACTGTCATCCCAGCTACTCAGGAGGCTGAGGCAGGAGAATCGCTTGAACCTGGAAGCCGGAGGTTGCAGTGAGCCGAGATCGTGCCACTGCACTCCAGCCTGGGCGACAGAGCGAGACTCTGCCTCAAAAAAAAATAAAATAAAGTAAAACAAAAATAAAATAAAATGTATTCTGATGTCTGGACACCATGGTTCATACCCATAATCCCAGCAGTTTTGGAGGCTGGGACAGGAGGATCACTTGAGGCCAGGAGTTCAAAACCAGCCTGGGCATATAGGGAGAACCTCTCTCTACAAAAAAACAAACCAAAAAAACTTAACTGGGGATGGTGTTGTGCACCTACAGTCCAAGTGTACTAGTCTGTTCTCAGGCTGCTAATAAAGGCATAACGAAGATGGGGTAATTTATAAAGGAAAGAGGTTTAATGGACTCACATTTCCGCATGGCTGGGGAGGCCTCACAATCATGGCGGAAGACGAAGAAGGAGCAAAGTCACATCTTACATGGCGGCAGGCAAAAAAAGGGCGTATAGAGGGGTGCTCCCATTTATAAAACCATCAGATCTTGGCCGGGCACGGTGGCTCACGCCTGTCATCCCAGCACTTTGGGAGGCTGAGGAGGGTAGATCACCTGAGGTGAGGAGTTTGAGATCAACGTGGCCAACATGGTGAAACCTCGTTTCTATTAAAAATACAAAAAATTAGCCAGGTGTGGTGGCGGGTGCTTGTAATCCCAGCTACTTGGGAGGCAGAGGTTGCAGTGAGCCGAGATCATGATATTGCACTCCAGCCTGGGTGACAAGAGCGAGACTCTGTCTCAAAAAAAAAAAAAAAAAAAAAAATCAGATCTCATGAGACCTATTCACTACCACGAGAACAGTCTGGGGGAAACTGACCCTATGATTCAATTCTCTCCACCTGGCCCTGCCCTTGACACGTGGGGATGATAACCGTTCAAGGTAAACCTTGGGAGGGGACATAGCCAAACCATGTCACCCAGCTACTCAGGAAAAACCGCGTCACCCAGCTACTCGGGAGAAACCGCATCACCCAGCTACTCTGGAGAAACCGCGTCACCCAGCTACTCGGGAGAAGCCGCGTCACCCAGCTACTCGGGAGAAGCCGCGTCACCCAGCTACTCGGGAGAAACGGCGTCACCAGCTACTCCGGAGAAACGGCGTCACCAGCTACTCGGGAGAAACGGCGTCACCCAGCTACTCGGGAGAAACGGCGTCACCAGCTACTCTGGAGAAACGGCGTCACCAGCTACTCGGGAGAAACGGCGTCACCAGCTACTCGGGAGAAACGGCGTCACCAGCTACTCGGGAGAAACGGCGTCACCAGCTACTCGGGAGAAACGGCGTCATTCAGCTACTCGGGAGAAACGGCGTCACTCAGCTACTCTGGAGAAACGGCGTCACTCAGCTACTCGGGAGAAACGGCGTCACCAGCTACTCGGGAGAAACGGCGTCACCAGCTACTCCGGAGAAACAACATCACCCAGCTACTCGGGAGAAACGGCGTCACCAGCTACTCTGGAGAAACAGCGTCACCAGCTACTCTGGAGAAACGGCGTCACCAGCTACTCGGGAGAAACGGCGTCACCAGCTACTCGGGAGAAACGGCGTCACCAGCTACTCGGGAGAAACGGCGTCACCAGCTACTCGGGAGAAACGGCGTCACCAGCTACTCTGGAGAAACGGCGTCACTCAGCTACTCTGGAGAAACGGCGTCACCAGCTACTCGGGAGAAACGGCGTCACCAGCTACTCGGGAGAAACGGCGTCACCAGCTACTCGGGAGAAACGGCGTCACCAGCTACTCGGGAGAAACGGCGTCACCAGCTACTCGGGAGAAACGGCGTCACCAGCTACTCGGGAGAAACGGCGTCACCAGCTACTCTGGAGAAACGGCTTCACCCAGCTACTCGGGAGAAACGGCGTCACCAGCTACTCTGGAGAAACAGCGTCACCAGCTACTCGGGAGAAACGGCGTCACCAGCTACTCGGGAGAAACGGCGTCACCAGCTACTCGGGAGAAACGGCGTCACTCAGCTACTCGGGAGAAACAGCGTCACCAGCTACTCTGGAGAAACAGCGTCACCAGCTACTCGGGAGAAACGGCGTCACCAGCTACTCGGGAGAAACGGCGTCACCCAGCTACTCGGGAGAAACGGCGTCACCAGCTACTCGGGAGAAACGGCGTCACCAGCTACTCGGGAGAAACGGCGTCACTCAGCTACTCAGGAGAAATGGCGTCACCAGCTACTCGGGAGAAACGGCGTCACTCAGCTACTCGGGAGAAACGGCGTCACTCAGCTACTCGGGAGAAACGGCGTCACCCAGCTACTCGGGAGAAACAGCATCACCAGCTACTCGGGAGAAACAGCATCACCAGCTACTCGGGAGAAACGGCGTCACCAGCTACTCGGGAGAAACGGCGTCACTCAGCTACTCGGGAGAAACAGCGTCACCAGCTACTCGGGAGAAACGGCGTCACCAGCTACTCGGGAGAAACGGCGTCACTCAGCTACTCTGGAGAAACGGCGTCACCAGCTACTCGGGAGAAACGGCGTCACCAGCTACTCGGGAGAAACGGCGTCACCAGCTACTCGGGAGAAACGGCGTCACCAGCTACTCGGGAGAAACGGCGTCACCAGCTACTCTGGAGAAACGGCTTCACCCAGCTACTCGGGAGAAACAGCGTCACCAGCTACTCTGGAGAAACAGCGTCACCAGCTACTCTGGAGAAACAGCATCACCCAGCTACTCGGGAGAAACGGCATCACCAGCTACTCTGGAGAAACGGCATCACCAGCTACTCCGGAGAAACAGCGTCACCAGCTACTCCGGAGAAACAACATCACCCAGCTACTCGGGAGAAACAGCGTCACCCAGCTACTCGGGAGAAACGGCGTCACCCAGCTACTCGGGAGAAACGGCGTCACCAGCTACTCCGGAGAAACAACATCACCCAGCTACTCGGGAGAAACAGCGTCACCCAGCTACTCGGGAGAAACAGCGTCACCCAGCTACTCGGGAGAAACGGCGTCACCCAGCTACTCGGGAGAAACAGCATCCTCCAGCTACTCTGGAGAAGCCACGTCACCCAGAAACTCTGGAGAAGCCGCCTCACCCAGATACTCGGGAGAAACCGCGTCACCCAGCTACTCTGGAGAAACAGCGTCACCCAGCTACTCGGGAGAAACAGCATCCTCCAGCTACTCTGGAGAAGCCGCGTCACCCAGAAACTCTGGAGAAGCCGCGTCACCCAGATACTCGGGAGGAACCGCGTCACCCAGCTACTCTGGAGAAACAGCGTCACCCAGCTACTCGGGAGAAGCCACGTTGCCCGGCTACTTGGGGAGCTGAGGAGGGAGGATCCCTTGAGCCTGAGAGTCCAAGGCTACAGGAGCGAGACCCTGTCTCAAAAAAAAAAAAAAAAACAAATATAAGTAAAGCAATAAAATAGACTGTGGTGATGGTGGCACAAGTCTCTGCATACAGAAAGCCACGGGTTGGAAGAGTTTAAACGGACACATTGTCAGCTGTGTAAATTCTCTCTCTATACAGCTCTTTTCTGGAAAACCAGTGAATGTGACGCACCGTATTCATGGCTAAGGGGCCAAACTCACATGACCATTTGCAGAAATGCAGGAAAAGCATTTGAGCAAAGGCAGTGCCTTTTCGCGATAAAAATTCAGTCAACCCAGAAGGGGACAGAAAGTTCCTCAAGCCGCTGAAGATCCAGAAGACGGCCCTGGCCGGTGGGCCGCGATGAAGGTCGCTCTGGGCGCCGTCGGGTAAAGCGTGAGACGCACTCCCTGTCAGAATACAGTCCAGGAAGGAAGGGCTTCTCCGAGGCGTCAAAAGTCATGCGTTGCCCCGGCCTGGGTTAGGAACCATCAGTCTTGTCATCCCAGAGACTCTCCCAGCACCCGGGGAATAAATGAGACATTGGAACGGGCTGCAATCCCGCCCCGGCAGACGGTGCCGTTTGATTTCTCTTCCATCTACACGATGCGCGTCACATAAAAAGGTGACTGTGTGGCCGGGCGAGGTGGCTCATGCCTGTCATCCCAGCACTTTGGGAGGCCGAGGCGGGAGGATCACTCGAGGTCGGGAGTTCGAGACCAGCCTGGCCAACATGGTGAAACCGCGTCTCCACTAAAAATACAAAAAGTAGCCGGGCGTGGTGGCGGGTGCCTGTCATCCCAGCTACTCGGGAGGCTGAGGCAGGAGAATCGCTTGAACCCGGGAGGCGGAGGTTGCGGCGAGCCGAGATTGCACCTCTGCACTCCAGCCTGGGCGACAGAGCAAGACTCTGTCTCAAAAAAAAAAAAAAAAAAAAAAGGTAACTTTGTGACCCTGAATAAAATTAAAATGTCTAAAAAATATGAGCCAGGCTTGGTGGTGCATGCACGCTGAGGCAGGAGGATCTCTTGAACCCAGGAGGCGGAGTCTGCAGTGAGCCGAGATCACACAGGTGCGCTCCAAGCTGGGCAACAGAAGGAGACCCTGTCTCTAAAATAAAATAAAATAAAATAAATAAAATGAAATAAAATAAAAATAAATAATAATAAATTTAAATAAATTTAAATAACTATCTAAATGAATACATAAATAAATAAATGAATAAATTTAAATAAATTTAAATTTAAACAAATTTGATTATTTATTTATTATTATATATTTATTATATATTATTATTTATTAATTAAATTTATTAAATAAATTTAAATCGTTTTTTAAATTAAATTATAATTTCCCTCATGACATTTAAATTTAAATGAAAATGTCATGAGGGAAATTATAACTATATTTCATTTAAAATACGTTAACAAAGCAAATGTTATCACAGAGTATTTACAACAAAGCACTTTTGGTGACTTTAAAAGCAGATTACACAAACAATATCACAGTGTTTTAGATCCAATGGGGACTACAAATGTCCGTTAAGGGTTTTGTGGGGTTTGTTTTTTTTTTCGGTACGACATTAAAACAGATTTTGTCAAGAATTATTACCTCCTCGAACAAAAAGCACATTGTTGTCTCAGGGAAAAAAAAACACACAATTATGCTATTGAGTTTGTGGCTACAAAGATGTACTGTCATATAAAGTAATAAAAACGGGGAAAACAACATAAAATAAGAGTTAGACGGATTAAACGACTTCATAGGAACCTGAGGAAAAGGAAGCAAAGTCCCTTTACTGAGAGCGCTTTTAGGGACGCATAATCAATACTAAAGTTTATACATCCTGCCTCGGGACTTGATTTAAAAATTCTCCTATTTATTAAATAAGTTGACGTTGTTTTGAGATGTAATGAAATGGCCGCAGCAGGTGCGGAGGCCGATTTTTGAGGGGGGCAGGTGGAGCACGGCTGGCCTTGTGCAGCCCTCTGCTGAGTGTGCGTGATTTCTACTGCAAATGCTCACTGTCAAGACACGAACCATTCCCGTTTATCTCAAAGAGGACTTATTTAATAATTCCAGCATTGTGTCCTTTCCTTGAAAGAAAGGACACAAAGAAGTGCAGGGGTGGCCGGGTGCGGTGGCTTATGCCTATAATCCCAGCACTTTGGGAGGCTGAGGTGGGTGCATCCCCTGAGGTCAGGAGTTCGAGACCAGCCTGGCCAACAAGGTGAAACCCCCGTCTCTACTAAAAATACAAAAATTAGCCAGGCATGATGGTGCACACCTGTAATCCCAGCTACTCGGGAGGCTGAGGCAGGAGAATCGCTTGAACTGGGAGGTGGAGGTTGCGGTGAGCCGAGATCGTGCCACTGCATTCCAGCCTGGGAGACGGAGAGAGACGCCGTCTCAAAAAATAATAATAATAATAATTAGCTGGGCATGATGGCAGGTGCCTGTAATCCCAGCTACTCGGGAGGCTGAGGCAGGAGAATCGCTTGAACCAGAGAGGCGGAGGTTGTGGTGACCTGAGATCGTACCACTGCACTCCAGCCTGGGCAACAGCGCAAGACTCCATCTCAAAAAAAAAAAAAAAAAAAAAAAAAAGAAAAAGAAAAGAAAAGAAAAAAAAAGAAGTTCAGAGTTTGCAGACGTGAACCCTACATGACCCAAATGTCGTCCTTTCCGGAGAGAAATCGCGTGGCTATGATTTAGGACGATTTCTACTTCCAACCTTTAGGAAAATGACAAAGAGGAGGTTCAATGTCTGCGCTGGGGACCCCCCGAGCCTGTCCAGGTTGCACCGTCATTGCCCAGAGAATGCTCAGATTGCATTTCACAATGTGGTCCCAGGGGCCGACCTATTCCGTTGCAGGTGAGCGTAGAAGCATGAAGCTGTTCAATCTGCACACAGCACCTGACGGCCCTGGGGTTTTACGCCGGCAATGACCGTGCTGTGGTTCCCACCTTCCGGGGTTGAGGAAGGACCTGCCAGCCTTTACGCTTTGCCGCCCCAGCACGCAGGTGGCAACTGTGGCAGAGAAGGGAAAATGGGAGCCCAGGAGGTCTCCTAGGGAGAGCAGCGATCCGACTGTGGGTCCCAGGGCGGGCTCTGAATCTCAGCCCCACTGTCTCCAAGGGGCTTCCTCAGCTGGGAAGTGGGAACCACGGTGCCCCCTAAACGAGGCATATTCTTCACTCCAGCATCAGGTTCCTGCCAGGGACTCCAAGTCAGGAGGACAAGCTCCTGCGCGGCCTGCGTGGCCGCTCCCCTGTGCGGGCCCTCTCCTGAGTGGGGAGAAAGCTGCTTCCCCCAGTTCTTCCCTGGGCAACACCCCCTGCCAGCTGCAAGGACACACACGCACACACAGAACCACGTGCTCAGTCACAGGCTCACGCACTCACACGTACCCTCACACACATGCACACACATACAGTCACGTGCTCAATCACACACGCACTCACACATACCCTCACACACACACAAATAGCCACGTGCTCACACTCACACGTACCCTCACAGAGCCAAATGCTGAATCACACACACATACCCTCACACACACACCCTCACACACACACACATACTCATACGTTCACACTCACGCACTCACACATACCCTCACACACACATACTCAGTCACACATCAAAGCATTTTCATAGATAGCTTGTTTCTAGCTTTTATCATTGGATATTCTATGTTTCCTTACAAGCCTCGATGGACTCAGAAACGTCACTTTGGAGATTCTACAAAAAGAATGTTTCCAAGTTGGTGACTCAAAACATTTAAAGTGATCCTCCTATCTCCTTGTAGCTGGGCCTACAGGCAGGTGCCACCATGCCCGGCTAATTTAGTGTATTTTTTTTTTTTTTGCAGAGACTGGATCTTGCTGTGTTGTCCAGGCTGGTCTCAGACTCCTGAACTCAAGGAACCTACCCACCTCTACTTCCCAAAGTGCTGGGATGACA
Source organism: Homo sapiens (assembly GCF_000001405.40). NCBI lineage: Eukaryota > Metazoa > Chordata > Mammalia > Primates > Hominidae > Homo > Homo sapiens. The sequence continues at coordinate 402,549 of NC_000024.10, read as the reverse complement.
GGCTGGAGCCCCGACGCCCTTGTTTCATTTATCGAGGGAACAAACATGTATTAGGAAGCTACCGTGAAGACAGTTCCATGGTGTAATGGTGAACATTCTGGACTCTGAATGTGTCTGTCTGAAAGCTACCGTGTGACAGGTGCCATTCTATTTCCCGGGGTCCCTGTAGTGAGAGAAACAGACCAAGGAGAAACCTTCCTGTCCTCGGCGGCTCACGTTCTGATTGGTGGGGGCTGGGTGGGGCTGTGAGGGGTGGGTTAAACCCAGACAGCCAGCAGGCACACAATTCGCTGTCATAGTGTCAACATTCTTCTCCATAAAGGCTTTCTTCTGGCCGGGCACGGTGGCTCACGCCTGTCATCCCAGCACTATGGGAGGCCGAGGCGGGTGGATCACGAGTTCAGGAGATCGAGACCATCCTGGGTAACACAGTGAAACCCCGTCTCTACCAAAACTACAAAAAATGAGCCGGGCGTGGTGGCGGGCACCTGTCATCCCAGCTACTCGGGAGGCTGAGGCAGGAGGATGGCGTGAACCCGGGAGGCGGAGCTTGCAGTGAGCCCAGATTGCACCACTGCACTCCAGCCCAGGCGACAGAGCGGGACTCCGCCTCAAAAAACAAACAAACAAAAAAGAATACACGGTTCCATTAAACAAGCCAGCCTCTCTGAGACTCCCGGAGGTCAGCTTTGCAGGTTGCTAATTTAATACAGAAGAAGGGTGAAGGGCTTATGTTTTTATAAAATGTAATTTTATATATTTTCATATTTTAAAACTTTTTATAAAATACAATTTTACATATTGTCATATGTGTAAAAATGTTTTTACAAACTATAATTTTGTTTCTATATTTTAAAATTTTTTATAAAACATAATTTTATAAACTATATTTTTTAAAAAATTTATATTGTATTTTATATATATACACACATACACACATATATATACAGACACACACATATATACACACACACAGATATATACACACACACACATACACACACACACACACACACACACACATCTGCACCCAAATTTCCCCGTTCTTTAAGGATAGAAGACATGGTGGTGAGCACCTGTAATCCCAGCTACTTGGGAGACTGAGGCAGGAGAATGGCTTGAACCTGGGAGGCGGAGGTTGCAGTGAGCCAAGATCGCACCACTGCCCTCCAGCCTGGGTGACAAGAGCGAAACTCCGTCTCTTTAATATATATTAAAATGCATACATGGGCCAGGTGCAGTGGCTCACGCCTGTAATCCCAGCACTTTGGGAGGCTGAAGCAGGAGGATGGCTTAAGCCCAGGAGTTTGAGACCAGCCTGGGCAACATAGCGAGATCTCATTTCTAAAGAAATTTAAAAATTAGCTGGGTATGGTGGTGCACGCCTGTGGTCCCTGGTGCTCAGGAGGCTGAGGTGGGAGGATTGCTGGAGCCCAGGAGTTTGAGGCTGCAGTGAGCTGTGATCGTGCCATTGCACTCCAGTCTGAGTGACAGAGAAAGAGTCTGTCTCAAAAAGAAAAAAAAAAAATCTAATTTTCTGCCATGAGAAAGCAAGTTGCTATTGCAGACAGCCACCTCAATCATGCATCCTGGGCTTCTAACCCTGAACTGACAGGATTCACACACTCTCTCATATGCCGAAAGGGTCATGGCTTATAACAATCATGTAGGCGGCCGGGCGCGGTGGCTCACGCCTCTAATCCCAGCACTTTGGGAGGCCGAGGCGGGCGGATCACAAGTTCAGGAGATCTTGAGACCATCCGGGCTAACACGGTGAGACCCCCTGTCTCTACTAAACATACAAAAAATTAGCCGGGTGTTGGTGGCGGGCGCCTGTAGCCCCAGCTACTCTCTAGGAGGCTGAGGCTGGAGAATGGCGTGAACCCGGGAGGCAGAGCTTGCAGTCAGATGAGATGGGGCCACTGCTCTCCAGCCTGGGCGACACAGCGAGACTCCGTCTCAAAAAAAAAAAAAGCATGTAAGCAAGCCTAGGAATCCCTTAGTCTTCCTTCCTATAATAGCAAAATCGTACCAATTCCTCCCTCCCCCAGCTGCCCTCCAAAAATAGCGCCACTCAGCAGGCCCACGATCGAGTGACGGGCACAGAGGTGAGCCCCACAGATGCCGTCTGTACACTTTCCACGGGATGTTTTTAGAACGTGAAAGGCCGGGAATAGCCTCCCCTGCCCACACCCACAAGGCGCCCCAGGAGAGGAAGGTCCCGCAACACGTGGTCTACCTTCTTTTATTGTTGCTTTTCATTTATTTTTATTGTTTACATTTTTTGGTAGGGGCAGGGTCTTGCTAGGTGGCCCAGGTTGGTCTCGAACTCCAGGCCTCAAGCGATCCTCCTGCCTCGGCCTCCCACTGTGCTGGGATTGTGGGCATGAGCCGCCGCGCCTGGTCCTATGGTCTTTCATTCCAGGGCTGAGAGGGAGTTCAGGTGGCCCCTTGGCTCTGTGTCCGTGTGTAACTGTGGCCGGGCGCGGTGGCTCACGCCTGTCATCCCAGCACTTTGGGTGGCCGAGGCGAGCGGGTCATGAGGTCAGGAGTTCGAGACCAGCCTGGCCAACATGGAGAAACCCCGTCTCCACTAAAAATACAAAATTAGCCGGGCGCGGTGGCTCACGCCTGTCATCTCAGCACTTTGGGTGGCCGAGGCGAGCGGGTCATGAGGTCAGGAGTTCGAGACCAGCCTGGACAACATGGAGAAACCCCATCTCCACTAAAAATACAAAATTAGCCGGGCACGGTGGCTCACGCCTGTCATCTCAGCACTTTGGGTGGCCGAGGCGAGCGGGTCATGAGGTCAGGAGTTCGAGACCAGCCTGGACAACATGGAGAAACCCCATCTCCACTAAAAATACAAAGTTAGCCCGGCACGGTGGCTCACGCCTGTTATCTCAGCACTTTGGGTGGCTGAGGCGAGCGGATCACGAGGTCAGGAGTTCGAGACCAGCCTGGCCAACATGGAGAAACCCCATCTCCACTAAAAATACAAAATTAGCCAGGCACGGTGGCTCACGCCTGTTATCTCAGCACTTTGGGTGGCTGAGGCGAGCGGATCACGAGGTCAGGAGTTCGAGACCAGCCTGGCCAACATGGAGAAACCCCATCTCCACTAAAAATACAAAATTAGCCGGGCGTGGTGGCTCACGCCTGTCATCCCAGCTACTTGGGAGACTGAGGCAGGAGAATTGCTTGAACCCGGGAGGTGGAGGTTGCAGTGAGCTGAGATCGTGCCACTGCACTCCAGCCTGGGCAACAAGAGTGTAACTCTGTCTCAAAAAAATTTAAAAAAAAAATGCAAAAAAAGAAATCAAACTATACATAATATTGCATACAGACAGTCCCCAGCTTCCAATGGTGCAATTCAGGATTTTTTAACTTTATGCTGGAGAGAAAGCAGTATGCATTCAACAGAAAGTGTACTTGAAGGCCGGACGTGATGGCTCACGCCTGTAATCCCAGCACTTTGGGAGGCCAAGGTGGGCCGATCACTTGAGGTCAGGAGTTTGAGACCAGCCTGGCCAACACGGTGAAACCCCGTCTCTACTAAAAATACAAAAAATTAGCCGGGTGTGGTGGCGGGCGCCTGTAGTCCCAGCTACTCGGGAGGCTGAGGCAGGAGAATGGTGTGAACCCGGGAGGCGGAGCTTGCAGTGAGCCGAGATCGCACCACTGCACTCCAGCCTGGGCGACAGAGCGAGACTCCGTCTCAAAAAATAAATAAATAAATAAAATAAAATAACAAAACAAAATAAAGTAGGTCAGAAAGGCAACTGGAGTCCATAGCCCACGTTCTGTAACCCAGTTCTGACTCTGCTGTGCGCCCCGTGGTTAGAAAATGGCAAGTCAACAGAAACGTTCTCAAACCAGAGACCAAGGCACATCCCGAGGCATCCGTCTCACTAACAACTGCGGGGACGTGGGATCTGGGGGACATCCTGTCTCTGCCACTCAGAGCGCTGCTGCGTGCAAACAGGTACAAATGCCAGCAACTCTTCGAGAGCTTCCCACGTCATCCACGGACGGGCACGACCTCTTCCTCACCACCAACACCCACCCTATCCCATCTACCATAGTGTGCTTGCCACAGCGAAGATGATTCCATAAAACACCACTTGTGCTCTGAAACCACAGGGACCCACGTCTGCCTGGACCCGGAAAAACGGTGCAGAATATAGCAGGTTTCTGGCCGGGCGCGTTGGCTTACGCCTGTCATCCCGGCATTTTGGGAGGCCGAGGCGGGTGGATCGCTTGAGGTCAGGAGGTCGAGACCAGCCTGGCCAACATTATAGGTGTGAGCCACCGCCCCCAGCCTGGGACCTTATTTGGAAATAGCGTAGAGATGCTGAAACCCCATCTCTACAAGGAATACAAAATATTAGCCGGGCGTGGTGGCGGGTGCCTGTAGTCCCAGCTACTCGGGAGGCTGAGGCAGGAGAATCGCTTGAACCCGGGAGGCGGAGGTTGCTGTGAGCAGAGATAACACCACTGCACTCCAGCCTGGGTGACAGAGCAAGACTCCATTTCAAAAAAAAAAAAAAAAAAAACAAAAGAAGAAAAGAAAAAAAAAAGAGAGAGTTTTTGTCACGGAAACGCCTGACAGTGCCTTGAAGCTGGGGATTAAGAGTGAATTGCATAGTTGGGATTCTGCAGCCAGAAAGTCATCGCGGAGTTAACGCAGTGCCTGGCCGAGGCTTCCTGAAAGCTGCTGGTCCCTGACCTCTGGGGCACGAACAAGACATCTGAAAATAACTGGGGTTCCGTGCTGCCAAAACGGCACCGGACGTCAGCTGTTCTCCCCGGAGGCATTCCTTCCACACACGGGTTCCTTTGGAGGACAAAGGGAGCAGATGCTGCCGGCCGAGCCTACGGCCTCTTCAGTCCTGGAGGGTGTGGGGGGCAGGAGGAGAGGGCTGCGGTGTCTGGGGCAGCCTCGTCCGGCCACTTCTCAGCAAGACGTCCCTCTGTGCTGTTGAACAACCATGTCTGGACTTTTTTTTTTTTTTTGAGACGGAGTCTCGCTCTGTCGCCCAGGCTGGAGTGCAGTGGCACGATCTCGGCTCACTGCACGCTCCGTCTCCCGGGTTCACGCCATTCTCCTGCCTCGTCCTCCCGAGTAGCTGGGACTACAGGCGCCCGCCACCATGCCCGGCTATTTTTTTTTTTTTGTATTTTTAGTAGAGACGGGGTTTCACCATGTTGGCCAGGATGGTCTCAAACTCCTGACCTCGTGATCCGCCCGCCTCGGCCTCACAAAGTGTGGGATGACAGGCATGAGCCACTGCGCCCGGCCTATTTATTTTATTTTATGTGAGACAGGGTCTTGCTCTGTTGCCCAGGCTGGAATGCAATGGTGTGATCTCGGCTCACTGCAGCCTTGACCTCCTGGGCTCAAGTGATCCTCCCACCTCAGCCTCCCGAGTAGCTAGGACTACAGGTGCACACCACCATGCTGGGCTAATTTTTTTTGGGGGGGGGGTAGAGATGGCATCTCACTACGTTGCCCAGACTAGTTTCAAACTCCTGGGATCAAGTAATCCGCCTGCCTCAGCCTCCCGAGTAGCTGGGACTACAGCATGGGCCACCATGCCCAGCTAATTTTGCTTTTTGGTAGAGATGGGGTCTTGCTATGTTGCCCAAGCTCATCTCAAATTCCTAGGCTCCAGTGATCCTCTCACCTCAGCCTCCCAAAGTACTGGGATTACAGGCAGGAGCCATCCGGCCCGGCTTTTTTTTTTTTTTTTTTTTTTTCAGATGGCATCTCGCTCTGTTGCCCAGGCTGGAGTGCAGTGGTGCAATCTCGGCTCATTGCAACCTCCGCCTCCTGGGTTCAAGTGGTTCTCCTGCCTCAGCCTCCTGAGTAGCTGGGATTACAGGTGCCCACCACCCCACCCAGCTAATTTTGTATTTTTAGTAGAGACGGGGTTTCACCATGTTGGTCAGGCTGGTCACGAACTCCTGACCTTGTGATCCGCCTGCCTCAGCCTCCCAAAGCCCAGCCCTGATTTTTGAATACTCTCTGTACTTCCCAAGTTTTCTCCAATCAGCAACTACTCCTTTTACAAAGAGGAAAAAAACAGTTTTCTGTACTACAGTGCTGTAAATCACTACCCCTGGCTATCAGAAATACGTCCTTCTGGCCGGGCGCAGTGGCTCACGCCTGTAAATCCCAGCACTTTAGGAGGCCGAGGTGGGCGGCTCACGAGGTCAGGAGATCGAGACCATCCTGGCTAACACGGTGAAACCCCGTCTCTACTAAAAATACAAAAAAATTAGCCGGGCGTGGTGGCGGGCGCCTGTAGTCCCAGCTACTCAGGCGGCTGAGGCAGGAGAATGGCATGAACCCGGGAGGTGGAGCTTGCAGTGAGCCGAGATCGCGCCACTGCACTCCAGCCTGGGTGACAGAGCGAGACTCTGTCTCAAAAAAAGAAAAAAAAAAAGAAATACATCCTTCTGTCATTCAGAAAAATGTGCATTTCGGCCGGGCACGGTAACTCACGCCTGTAATCCCAGCACTGTGGGAGACTGAGGCAGGCGGATCACGAGGTCAGGAGATCGAGACCATCCTGGCTAACATGGTGAAACCCTGTCTCTATTAAAAATACAAAAAATTAGCCGGGCGTGGTGGCGGGTGCCTGTAGTCCCAGCTACTAGGGAGGCTGAGGCAGGAGAATGGCGTGAACCCGGGAGGCGGAGCTTGCAGTGAGCTGAGATCACGACACTGCATTCCAGCCTGGGCGACAGAGTGACAGTCTGTCTCAAAAAAAAAAAGAAAGAAAGAAAGAAAGAAATACGTCCTTCTGTCATTAAGAAAAATGTGCATTTCACCAACTACACTCTGAGTCAAATGTAGGTCTTACGCAGAAAAAAAAAAACAAAGCTTTTACCGAAATGGGTACCCAGGCTCCATTCTCAATTTGCTTAAAATTTATGCTGAGCGAAATAAAAGAAGGCGTCACATCTGACATGCTAAGACTTTTTGCCTCATTTCAGATTAGGAGGAAAATCCACCCCATAGCAAAAGTCCGATATCTATCGTTCTAGTTAAAGAATCACCTAGAGGCCAGCGCGGTGGCTCACGCCTGCAACATCCCAGCACTTTGGGAGACTGAGACGGGTGGATCACCTGAGGTCAGGAGTTCGAGACCAGCCCGGCCAACATGGTGAAACCCTGTCTCTACTAAAACTACAAAAATTAGCTGGGCATGCTGGTGGGTGACTGTAATCCCAGCTACTCGGGAGGCTGAGGCAGGAGAGTCACTTGAACCTGGGAGGCGGAGCTTGCAGTGAGCCGAGATTCTGCCACTATAGCACAGGCGAGATAGCGAGACTCCATCTCAAAAAAATAAATAAATAAAATAAAATAAAAGTGAACTGTTTCACAGTAGCTGGATTTCGTAACGGCCCAAAAGCAGAAACCACTCAAGTGTCCACCAGTGGATGGGTGGATTAGCACAATGTGGTCCATCCACATGGTGGAATAGTATGCAGCCATGAAAAGGAACGAGGCTGTGACACAGGCTGCAATGTGGATGAGCCTTGAGGATGTCACACTCCGTGAGAGAAGCCAGACACAAAAGGCCACATAGAGTAAGATTCCATTTCTAGGAAAGGTCCAGAACAGGCAAATCCATGGAGGCAGAAAGTGGATGGGTGGTTGCCAGGGGATGGGGAGGGGGACGAATGACTGTTAATGGGGACAGGGTTTACTTTTGGGGTGAAGAAAATGCTCCAGACCTTTTGTTGTTGTTGGTTTGTTTGTTTATTTTTGAGACCGGGTCTCGCTCTGTGGCCCAGCCTGGAGCGCAGTGGCGTGATCTCGGCTCACTGCAACCTCCGCCTCCCAGGCTCAAGTGATTCTCCTGCCTCAGCCTCCCAAGTATCTGGGATTACAGGCACCAGCCACCAAACCCAGCTAACTTCTGTATTTTTAGTAGAGATGGGGTTTCGTCATGTTGGCCAGGCTGGTTTTGAACTCCTGACCTCAGGTGATCCGCCCGCCTCGGCCTCCCAAAGTGCTGGGATGACAGGCGTGAACCACCATGCCCAGCGCAAGTGTTCCGGAACTAGACAGAGGTGGTGGTACGCCATTGTGGATGTTTTAAATGCCCCTGTTCACTTTAAAACGGTTCCTTTTATGTTATGTGGAATGTATCTCAATTACAAAATTAAAAACAGAGGCCTGGCACGGTCACTCATGGTGGTCATCTCCGCACTTTGGGAGGCCGAGACCAGTAGATTGCTTGAGCTCAGGAGTTTGAGACCAGCCTGGACAACATGTCAAAACCCCGTCTCTACAAAAAAAATTAGCCAGGTGTGGTGGCAGGTGCCTGTGGTCCCAGCTAATTGGGAGGCTGAGGTGGGAGGATCGCTTGAGCCTGGGAGGCGGAGGTTGCAGTGAGCTGAGATCGCACCACTGCACTCCAACCTGGTGACAGAGTGAGATCCTAGCTCAAAAAAAAAATTGGCCGGGCGCGGTGGCTCACGCCTGTCATCCCAGCACTTCGTGAGGCTGAGGCGGGCGGATCACAAGGCTAGGAGATCGAGACCATCCTGACTAACACGGTGAAATCCCACCTCTACTAAAAATACAAAAAATTAGCCGGGCGTGGTGGTGGGCACCTGTGGTCCCAGCTACTCGGGAGGCTGAGGCAGGAGAATGGCGTGAACCCGGGAGGTGGAGCTTGCAGTGAGCCGAGATTGTGCCACTGCAGTCCGGCCTGGGCAAAAGAGCAAGACTGTCTCAAAAAAAAAAAAAAAATTAAAAATATAAATCTTTCAAAACCCTAAACAACTGTCTACAGTGTGATGTTCTGGGTCGTGGATAAGAGGAAAGTACTTATTAAAAGGATTCAAGGCTGCGTGCGGTAGCTCACGCCTGTAATCCCAGCACTTTGGGAGGTCGAGGCAGGAGGATTGCTTGAGGCCAAGAGTTTGAGACCAGCCTGGGCAACATAGTCAGACCCCATCTCTAGAAAAAAATAAAAAAATTAGGCGGGCATGGCGGTGCATGCCTGCAGTCTCAGCTACTCGGGAGGCTGAGGGTGGAGGATCACTTGAGCCTAGGAGGTCAAGACAGCAGCTGTGATCGTACAACCGCACTCCAGCCTGGGTAACGGAGTGAGACCCTGTCTCGGAAGGAAGAGAGAAAGAGAGAGGAAGGAAGAGAGAAAGAGAGAGGAAGAAAGAGAGAAAGAGAGAGGAAGAAAGAGAGAGAAAAAGAAATCTCAGCTCCAAGTATTACCAAGAAAAATAAGAGATGACACATAGGAAAACCTGTTTCTAATGAGCTCAAGCACGGGCCAAGTTCAATCAGAGATATGCATGACATTTATTATTATCATGAACAACACCAAAATAGATGCAGTTAGGGGTGATACAAAATGCTGGCCAGGCGCGGTGACTCACATCTGTAATCCCAGCACTTTTCGGAGGCCGAGACGGGCAGATCTCCTGAGGTCGGGAGTTCGAGACCAGCCTGGCCAACGCGGCAAAACCCAGTCTCTACTAAAAATATAAAAGGTAGCCGGGCGTGGTGGCAGGTGCCTGTAATCCCAGCTACTTGGGAGGCTGAGGCAGGAGAATCGCTTGAACCCGGGAGGCGGCTCCAACCTGGGCGACAAGAGCAAAAACTACGTCTCAAAAAAAAAAAAATAGAGAGAAAAGAAAATGCCATCTGCGTGCTCTTTGCAAACATTTCCCCATCTGCGTGCTCTTTGCAAACATTTCCTCCCGAAAGTCTCCCGGAATGATAAAAGCAACCACACAGCCTGGCCACCTAGAATCTGGGTCCGCTTGTTCCAGGCTCAGAATCTTTTTCCTCTCAGCCAGTCTCATCTTCCGGGCTGTCAACAGCGTGTGCAGGGCCGCAGGATTTATAGGTAATGACATGCTTCTAATTCTCCATTACCTCCAAAGATTTCATCTTCCCCTTTTCTAAATCCTTCTTAGGAGATACTTGTCAGGTTCATCTGGCCCAGCAGCTTCTGACAAGGGGACCCCGCTCATCCCCGTCATCTCTGTGACTTCATGTAAATAGCGGCACGTGGCGGCCGCCTTTGGCCCTCGGCCCCGAATCCATTGCGGAGTCTCACTTCCATTAATTCTTAATTTGTGACCACGCTTCCTTTTCTGTTCTGTGTTTAAATGGAGATGTGATTAGTAAGGTAATAGGAGAAAGCCGGGGTCCTCACGATGCAACGTGCATTTCTGCGCCTTATAGAAAATTGGATAGGCGTCATTATTTCTTCCAGTAGCAGAGTGCATTCTGACATCTGATTGCTTGAACTGTGATATTTCCATACGCCATCCATCACCCCGGCCACGGCGGCACGCTGAATATTCAGATTAAATTGGAACTTTTTCCCTATGAATAAGGGATTTCATTCTATCCTATAAGATACACTGTCTCCGGGGAGAGGAAATTGAGTTGAAGGTTGCTGAAAATCGTATTATCCAAATACAGAGTTCTTTTCCTTATCATCAAAACCTGAAACACAGCCGTGGGGAACCGAGAGGTCAGGAGAGAATTCAATTAGAGAGGAAAATGGAAAAGGGAGCATTTTTCCACTTACGTTTTATTTTGCCAAGCAGGTGGCAGCGGGCGCCGCTCGGGACAAAAGGGGCGATGTGTGAAGGGTTTTTGGTTTCTGGAAGATGGATGAGGACACAGCCTCAAGGAGTTATGAAGAGGCAGGAAAACCTCTACAGCAAATGTTCCATCCTCTCCTTTGCCGGTTTTGGACGAGGTATCTGTGAGAGTTCCTGGCCTCTTACTGCCACAGTTACGGTGGTTTCTTTTTTTGGGAGGGAGTCTCGCTCTGTCACCCAGGCTGGAGTACAGCAGCGCGATCTCGGCTCACTGCAACCTCCGCCTCCACCGGGTTCAAGCGATTCTCCTGCCTCAGCCTCCCCAGTAGCTGGGATGACAGGTGCACGCCACCACATCTGGCTAATTTTTGGATTTTTAGTACAGATGGGGCTTCACCATATTGGCCAGGCTGGTCTCGAACTCCTGACCTTGTGATCCGCCCACCTCGGCCTCCCAAAGTGCTGGGATTATAGGAGTGAGCCACCACTCCCGGCCCACGGTTAGAGTCTAAACTGTGCACGCTGCCTGGAGTCCCCACCTCTCCTCACCTGAAATATGCACTCGGAAATGTGTTTCCAAAACCTGCAGAATGCAGACCCACACTACTTTCCTATTTATTTATTCATTTTGAGACAGAGTCTCGCTCTGTCGCCAGGCTGGAGTACAGGGGCATGATCTCTGTTCACTGCAAGCTCCGCCTCCCGGGTTCAAGTGATTCTCCTGCCTCAGCCTCCCGAGTTGCTAGGGTTACAGGTGCCCGCCACCACGCCCAGCTAATATTTGTATTTTTAGTAGAGACGGGGTTTCACCACGTTGGCCAGGCTGGTTTCGATCTCTTGACCTCGTGATCCACCCCTGTCGGCCTCCCAAAGTGCTGGGATGACACTGTGCTCGGCTGGGTTTTTTGTTTTTTTTTGTTTGTTTGTTTTGTTTGTTTGTTTTAAGTCATCGTGCGGAATGCAAGCGGCAGATATAAACTTGATCCCTCTTTGACCTCTCACTGCACGCACCTAGCTGGGAGCTTTGGGTCGGCGCAGGACCAGGGAGATCCTACTTGCCAGGTGCTTCCTCTGAGGCATCTCCAGGTCTGGAGCTTTAGTGTTCGATCAACCACCCAGGTCTGCGGGGCGAAGGCCGACTGAGATCCAGAGCATGTCATACAGTGGGTGAGTTTGCATTTCTGAGCAGCTGCAGGTGGGGCAGAGGCTGCAGAGGCTGTGGCCACACAGGAGACCCGGGCTCAGGTGGATGAAGGAAGGAGCTTCTCTCCCTCTACAACCGTTGTGGCTCCCTCCTTCCTCACCTCCCTGGGAAGCGCTGACCCAGCTCTTTGTTCCTGGACCTACATCCCACAGAGGAGCAGAGTCTTCCGGAATCTTCCTCGCTACTCTTCCCTCCCCATTCTCGCTTTTTATTTTATTTTTATTTTTATTTTTTCGAGAGGGAGTCTCGCTCTGCTGTCCAGGCTGGAGTGCAATGCTGTGATCTCGGCTCACTGCAACGTCTGTCTCCTGGGTTCAAGTGATTCTTCTGCCTCAGTCTCCCAAGTAGCTGGGATTACAGGCACCCGCCATCATGCCCAGCTAATTTTTCTATTTTTGTAAAGACGGGGTTTCACCATGTTGGCCAGGCTGGTCTCGAACTCCTGACCTCAGGTGATCTGCCTGCCTCAGCTTCCCAAAGTGCTGGGATGACAGGTGTGAGCCACCACGTCTGGCTAATTTTTGTATTTTTGTAGAGACGGGGTTTCAGCATGTTGGTCAGGCTGGTCTCGAACTCCTGACCTCAGGTGATCCTCCCACCTCAGCTTCCCAAAGTGCTGGGATAACAGGTGTGAGCCACGATATCTGGCTGCTTTTTAAAATTTAATGCTTTTAGGGACAGAGTCTTTCATTCCTGCCTCGGCTGGAGAGCGGTGGTGAGATCTCGGCTCACTGAAGCCTCAACCTCCCAGGCTCAAACGATCCTCCTACCTCAGCCTCCCGAGTAGCTGGGACCACAGGCACACGCCAGGATGCTCAGCTAATTTTTAAATATTCTCTAGAGATGGGGCTCGCCATGTTGCCAAGGCTGGTCTTGACCTCCTGGGCTTAAACAATCCTCCTGCCTCGGCCTCCCAAAGTGCTGGGATGACAGGTGTGAGCCACCATGCCTGGCTAATTTTTGTATTTTTGTAGAGACGGGGTTTCACCATGTTGGCCAGGCTGGTCTCGAACTCCTGACCTCAGGTGATCCACCACCTCGGCCTCCCAAAGTGCTGGGATGACAGGTGTGAGCCACCGTGCCTGGCTAATTTTTGTATTTTTGTAGAGACGGGGGTTTCACCATGTTGGCCAGGCTGGTCTTGAACCCCTGACCTCAGGTGATCCACCGTCTCGGCCTCCCAAAGTGCTGGGATGACAGGCATGAGCCACTGCAATCTCCCGGCCTGCCCTCACCTTTCTCTCCCCAGGACAATTCTGGTGGCCACCCACCACCCCTGCAAGACGGACAGACCCGAATGGGCAGGGCGTCCATCCGGCTGTGGAGCAGCTTGGATAATTGCAGCTGGCCACATCCCAGCAAACTCTGCAACACCTCAGGCCCTGCCAGCCTTGGGGGCCCGACAGCACCTCTTTGTTCTCCCAGAGCAAAGCCTGCACGGAGTGGGCCCCCGGGCCCCAGCGCAGACTGAAGGCGCATTCTGTTTCTGCCCTGAGTTGATTTCTGTCCTGTTGGCCCTGGGCCTCACTACACTGTGCCCCAGTAACCTGGCAGAGAAAGGCCTCTTGTGCAGGCATTCAAAGGAAACCCTTTCCCCTCAAAACTGCAGTGATGCTTCCAACAGTGACTCGCAGCTCATCGAAACACCCAGAATGAAAAGCACGTTTGTTCCTTGAAAAGACGTCTGTGTCCGATACATACTCAAACAGAGAACTGTATTAATATATTCACTTCCCTCCAGAAATCACAGCATCGCACACACACACAAACGGTTGCTTCCCAATTAGGAAAAATAACTTCACAGAATTCCTGCGTGATGGCGCTCTTCTGACCAAGTACACTCGGATTTTTATATCCAATCACGAAACACAAACTGAAATTCAAATCATTATGTACACAACACAAAACTATCGTTTATGAGTGATTTAAATCGGGTGCGGTGGCTCACGCCTGTAATCCCAACGCTTTGGGAGGCAGAGACAGAGGCAAAGGCAGGAAGATTGCTTGAGGCCAGGAGTGTGAGACCAGCAACACCTCGTCTCTATAAACAATAAAATTAAAAATGAGCCAGGCATGGTGGCGCATGCCTGTTGTCCCAGCTGCTTGGAAGGCTGAGGTGGGAGGATCGCTTGAGCCAGGAGATCAAGGCTGCACTCAGCTAAGATCGCAGCCTGGGTGACGGAGCAAAACCCTGTCTCATACGAACAAAAAGAGTTATTTAGGCCGGGCGTGGTAGCTCACGCCTGTAATCCCAGCACTTTGGGAGGCCGAGGCGGGTGGATCACTTGAGGTCAGGAGTTCGAGACCATCCTGGCTAATACGGTGAAACCCTGTCTCTACCAAAAATACAAAAATTAGCCAGGCGTGGTGGCGGGCGCCTGTAATCCCAGCTACTCGGGAGGCTGAGGCAGGAGGATCCCTTGAACCCGGGAGGCGGAGGTTACAGTGAGCTGAGATCTTGCCATCGCACTCCAGCCTGGGCGACAGAGCGAGACTCCAACTCAAAAAAAAAATAAAACTAAAAAAAGAGTTATTTTTTTTTTTTTTGAGACAAAGTCTGGCTCTGTCGCCCAGGCTGGAGTGCAATGGTGTGATCTCAGCTCACTGCAACCTCCACCTCCTGGGTTCAAGCAATTCTCCCGCCACAGCCTCCCGAGTAGCTGGGACTACAGGCACACGCTACTATGCCCGGCTAATTTTTCTATTTTTAGTAGAGATGGTGGGGGCGGTTTCACTATGCTGGCCAGGCTGGTCTCGAACTCCTGACTTCGTGATCTGCCCGCTTCAGCCTCCCAAAGTGCCGGGATTACAGACTTGAGCCACCGCGCCCGGCCAAGGGTTACTTATTGAGTCTGGCTCGATTTATGCAGCTCAGAAGTAGGAGAACCTGGCTCATAAAAGACCTTGAAATTACTCTCTAACAGGGTGCAACACCAGGTGAAACCCTATTTTGATAAAAAATGAATAAAAAGCGGGGCAAGATGTAAAGGAAACAGGTGCATGTGTGCCAGACAGATGATAATGCAGTGTTTTTATGGATACTGTTAAAAGCAGAAACAAAAACGACCATTGGGTAAAGTTATTTAACTAATGTCACCTCCCTGGACGTGGATGATTTTTGCAATTTTCAACGCACTTCACGCTCATCCCTGAACACCAACGTTTAAAGGGGTCCAACTCCTCCAACCTGTCTCTACTGTTTGATAAGCAAAGCTAAAGTAAACGGGGCCCTTTGGGTCCCAGGTAGCCCGCTGTTATTGAAAAGTTTGATCTTTTCCTCGCGCGCTCCCGTAGGACGCACGCTCGCTCCCGAGCTCGGCGGGCGCGCACCCCGCATGCTCGCTCGTTCCCGGTGCCTCCCACTGCGCAGGCGCACTCCCGTCCTCCAGCCCCACCCGCTCACACACCTCCCAGCCTCTGGCTTGCGCCCCGCGGGCAGCCATTGCGCACGCTCACCCGACCGGCCTCCCGAACTCCGCTCCTCCACCGCTATGCACGGCGCATGCTCCATGCGGAGGTTCCACCCTCTCCTCGCTCTGGCAGGCACGCATTGCGCATGCTCGCATTTCCGCAGCTCTAGGACTGCCACGCCGCCATGGGCCGCGCCTCTAAAAATCCTAAACGCAGAAAGAGCTCGGGCGGTACGGCCGCCACAGCCCCTCCCTCGTCCTCACCGCAGCCGCTCGGCCCCACCAAAGCCTCCTGCAAAAGCTCCGAGGGCCGCGGGGCGCGCGTGGCTAGCGGCGGCGTCGCCTCGTGATGACATCGTCGCGATGACGCGACGCAGTGACGTGAACGCGGGCGCCCTTGTTTGGGAGCGCGGCCGGCGCGCCCGTTTTGAAGCTGCCCTGAGCAGCGCGGGCCGGACCGCGCCCCCTCCTCGGTCCCCGCGCCCCGCGAGTCCGCGCAGTTCCCGAGGCGCGGGCCCTGTTCCCTGCGCCGCGCCCCCTCAGCGGGCCGTGCTCGCATCACCGAGGTCGGTCCGGGGCGGACCGAAGCCCCCGGGGCGGGGCGGGGCGCGGGCGTCCGGGGGCGCCGCGGGCCCAGCCCCCGCCATGCCGCCCGGCAAAGTGCTGCAGCCGGTCCTGAAGATGAAGGTGGACGAGCTGTTCCTGTACTGGCTCAGCGAGGCCAGCACGCAGCGGATGCTGCAGGACTGCCTGCGCCGGATCAAGGCGCCCGGGCGGGACCAGCCGACCCCGGGGGACGGGGAGCAGCCCGGGGCCTGGCCCACAGCCCCGCTCGCCGCCCCCCGGCCCAGCGGGCTCGAACCCCCGGGAACCCCCGGGCCGGGCCCTGCGCTGCCCCTGGGCGCCGCCTCCAGCCCCAGGAACGCGCCCCACGTTCGAGGCACCCGTAGATCCGCAGGGACGAGAGTAGTAAGTTACTCTTCCTTCTGCTAACAACTGCGCAGGTGGCTCTGGTCGCATAGTGGGCGTGTGGCTGCGCGATGGAGGCTGGTGGGCGAGCGTCAGACCCCAAAACGGTTTCATATTGAGTCTGTTCCCCGCCCCGACCCCCCCCACCACACACATACAGACAAGAAAGTCCCACGTACTGAACATTCCGTCATTGACAGTTGTTAACCTAAAAATCACACAATTTATAAAGGTAGAAAGGCTTCCTATTTTATTTTATTTTATTATTTTAATTTGTTTTAATTTTGAGACAGAGTTTTGCTCTGTTGCCCAGGCTGGAGTACGATGGCGCGATCTTGGCTCACTGCAACCTCTGCCTCCCAGGTTCAAGCGATTCTCCTGCCTCAGGCTCCCGAGGAGCTGGGACTTACAGGCACGTGCCACCACGCCTGGCTGATGTTGTATTTTTAGTAGAGACTGGGTTTCCCCCATGTGGGCCAGGCTGGTCTCGAACTCCTGACCTCAAGTGATCCTCCCGCCTTGGCCTCCCAAAGTGCTGGGATTTCAGACGTGAGTCACTGCGCCTGGTCCGTTTTTTATTTATTTTACAATTCTTTGGAGACAGGGTCTTGCTCTGTCTCCTAGGCTGGAGTGCAGTGGCGCAAACACAGTTGGACTTCCTGCCTCAGCCTCCCCAGTAGCTGGGATTACAGGCGTGCACCATCACGCCAGGCTAATTTTTGTTTATTTATTTATTTATTTATTTTTGCAGAGACGAGGTCTTGCTATGTTACCTAGAGTGCTCTGGAATTCCTGGGTCCAAGCAATCCTCCCGCTTCGGCCTCCCAAAATCCCACTGTATTTCTTAGAAGAAACGCCATTTATTTCATAGAAGGTGATTATACACCGCAGGTGAGAAGCGCAGCCTCTGGCTAATGTACCTGTAATCTCAGCTACCCGGGAGGCTGAGGCAGGAGAATCACTGGAACCCAGGAGGCAGAGGCTGCACTCCAGCCTGGGCACCAGAGCAAGACTCCATCTCAAAAAAAAAAAAAAAAAAAAAAAAAAGAAAACTAAAAACAAGCACTTGGAGGGAAGAAAAGATGAGACGGGAATTTATGCTGAGTGGGTTGGCCAAGTGTATATATTCAAGAAGTTATAGGAAGAGCTATGGATATTCACCAAGGGTGTCCTGACGCATGGGTATTGAACAAACATGCATGTTACCTACTCCCGAGTTCACCTTGGAGCGGAGACTTAACATTTAAATGCATTATGGTTAGGCCCCCTAGGTCAAAAGGTGAAGCAACTCTGCAGCCTCTGTCAACCGGCCAGAACCAGTCCGTGGTGAGTAGTTACCAGGATAAAGTGATTGCAATCAGTTTTTTTTTTTTTTTTTTTTTTTTGAGACAGATTCTCACTCTCACCCAGGCTGAGATGCAATGGTGCAATCTCAGCTCACTGCAACCTCCGCCTCCCGGGTTCAAGCGATTCTCCTCCCTCAGCCTCCCGAGTAGCTGTGATTACAGGCGCACACCACCACCCCCGGCTAATTTTTGTATTTTTAGTAGAGGCAGGCTTTCACCTTGTTGGCTAGACTGGTCTCAAACTCCTGACCTCAGGTGATCCACCCGCCTCAGCCTCTCAAAGTGCTGGGATGACAGGCGTGAGCCACCACACCTGGCCTGGAATCAGTCTTTTCCCAGTCAAAGCTGTAGTTACGGCTGGTGGAACAGAGGGGTCTGTTCATCAGGATCTGACAGGAAGCTGCAGGTGTTTTAATATTGTTTATATTGGTCAGGCATGGTGACTCACGCCTGTGATTCCAGCATTTGGGAGTTGGAGGCAGGCAGATCACTTGAGTTCAGGAGTTCGAGACCAGCCTGGGCAACATGGCGAAACCCCATCTCTGCTAAAAATACACAAATTAGCCAGGCGTGGTGGCGCACCTGAAGTCTCAGCTACTCAGGAGGCTGAGGCAGGAGAAATGCTTGAAGCTGGGAGTCGGAGATTACTGTGAGCTGAGATTGCACCACTGCTCACCAGCCTGAGCAACAGAGGAAGGCCCTGTCTCAAAAAAAAAAAAAAAGTATATATATATATATAGAGAGAGAGAGAGAGAGAGAGTCTTCTTGCGTGCGCGAGCTTGAGGCCAAGATAAGCAATAGAGAAAAAGAAAAACATCCTTTATTTACTTCTTGAATCTCAAAAACGAGTTTCTGCAGAGGTCTCTAGTGAATAACCTAAAAGGACATTTAGCTGCTGGAGAAAAAGAAATGCTTTGGCAGTTGGAACTGTAGTTTATTCTTTAAGTGTAGGCGGTGTGTGACTTAACCCTCACCTCAGGTGGCCCTTGGTCTTGTTTGCCACAGAGTCTGTTCTGTCAGTCTTACGATGTTGATTTTAACCTTTTTGCTGGTTGGTTGTGTTTAAACTGCCAAAGCAGGAGGGGTATAATAAGGTGTGTCCAAACTCCCATCCAGTCATGACTGGGAACTTAGTTGTTTTTTTGTTTTTTTGGTTTTTTTTTTTTTTTTTTTTTTTTTTTTTTGAGACGGAGTCTCGCTCTGTCCCCCAGGCTGGAGTGCAGTGGCGCGATCTCGGCTCACTGCAAGCTCCGCCTCCCGGGTTCACGCCATTCTCCTGCCTCAGCCTCCCAAGTAGCTGGGACTACAGGCGCCCGCCACCACGCCCGGCTAATTTTTTTGTATTTTTAGTAGAGACGGGGTTTCACCGTGTTAGCCGGGATGGTCTTGATCTCCTGACCTCGTGATCCGCCCGCCTCGGCCTCCCAAAGTTTTGGGATTACAGGTGTGAGCCACCGTGCCCGCCGACAGCCGTGTATTTTTAAAAATGCTTTCTGTCGTTTTATACTATGCAGTTTAAAGCGATAAAACATTGCTTCCAGATGTTATAGAAACACGTATGGCTGGTGCGTCTGGTGTCCCGAGAATACTACGGAAGCCTGAAATATTCAGAATGTTCCGTCGGAACTTGTTTATACCATTTGAAAATTTTCAGCTGAACACCAGCTTTCCATCAGCAGCACTAATAAGCATGTCACAAAGTGATATTTACGTAGCACCACAGTTTTCCAGCCAAAATGGACCAGCCTCTCTACTTGCTGAGTGAGAGGTGGGTGGCAATCTGAGGTGAGCTCCTTGCGTTCTAAATTACCGGTGGTTGTCCGATGTCTTCTGATGGATCTAGAACATTTTCCAAAAGTACGTGTCGATGAAAATGTGAACTAGAGCTAGAGGCAGCTTGGAGACCGTCTGGCTCAGGCCCTCCAGATCCCGATCCAGGAGGGGACTCAGGGCCCCAGGACGCATCTCTTGAGCTCCGGCCCAGTGCACTTTCCCAGTGAGCTGCAAAACCTGAAGCACCTTAGGAACTCTTGCCCAAATCCCTCATTTACTGAGGAGGTTGAGAGGAGGGCCAGGACTCAAGAAGCATGTGCTAGTAATGATGGTTCCCCTCCATGACTTGCTTTCTCAGTGGGATCGCTAATGAGCTGCCATTTTGTCCTTAAACGTGTTGAATGACAGCCAGACGCTAAGGTAAATGCTTGAATTGTGTGACTTTGCAAGAATTCTCCTAGGGCTGGGACTATTGTGACTTTGCATGAATTCTCCTAGGGCTGGGAATATTGACGGAAGGTCAGGTCTGTGCAAACGAGGCCATTTGGGTGCATGTGAGAGGATGATATATTCTGTAAATCAGGCAAGAAGCCTCTAACAAGTGGAAATTAAGTTCCAAAGGTGTTCAAAGCAGGGAGACATCATTTCTCTCCTGGAGAAAGTTTTGAGGAGGAAGTGAGTAGTGGAACTTGAGAAATGCACTGAGTTTATTGGGTATAGGGGGCAGGACCAAGGGAGGCGGTGAAAATGAGACCAGGCTCAGTCGCTCACACCTGAATTCCTAGCACTTTGGGAGGCTGAGGTGGACGGATCACCTGAGGTCAGGAGTTCGAGATCAACCTGGCCAACATGGTGAAACCCTGTCTCTACTAAAAATACAAAAATTAGCTGGGTGTGGTGGTGGGCACCTGTAATCCCAGCTACTCTGGAGGCTGAGGCAGGAGAATCACTTGAACCTGGGAGGCGGAGATTGCAGTGAGCTGAAATTGTGCCACTGCACTCCAGCCTGGGTGACAAGAGTGAGACACTCTGTCTCAAAAAAAAAAAAAAAAGAAAAAAAAAGATGAGATGTTCAGGTCACGTTGAGGGACTGGAGTGGTCTGACCGGAGAAGCAGAAGGAAGGATGCGTGTGGACCGTGGGCATGGCGGCCAGGGTGTGCAGGGTGCAGGATTCTGCACTTAGGAGATGGCAAGAATTTTCAAAAAGCAGTGACTGACCTTGTTTGGGACTAAAAGTTTACCTTAAACATGTCTACGTGTTTGGAACCTATGGCTTACTTCAGCTGAATCTCAAGAAGTGAATAACTTAGAAAGATGTGTCTGTTCATTGGGACAAAAAAGATGAGCTTGGGCTGGGCACGGTGGCTCATGCCTGTGATCCCAGCACTTTGGGAGGCCGAGGCGGGCGGATCACAAGGTCAGGAGATAGAGACCATCTTGGCTAACACAGTGAAACCCTGTCTCTACTAAAGATACAGAAAATTAGCCGGGCGTGGTGGCGGGTGCCTGTAGTCCCAGCTACTCCGGAGGCTGAGGCAGGAGAATGGCATGAACCTGGGTGGCAGAGCTTGCAGTGAGCTGAGATCGCGCCACTGCACTCCAGCCTGGGTGACAGAGCAAGACTCTGTCTCAAAAAAAAAAAAAAAAAAAAAAAGATGAGCTTGTTCCTGTCCATCCCATATACAGAATACGCGAGGCCACGTTAACAGTGAAGGATGCAGTTCCATGCTACAAACTCTGGCTGGGGAGGGGCGATGCTGGGGTCAGAGGAAGAGATTTTCATAAATAAAGCAGCTTTTTCTCACCCACACATGTACAGAATGGAGTATGAGCTGTCAGGAGGGTTCACGCTAGGTCCATTGAACTCCCCAGCCAAGGGTGAAAGGAACGGCATTGTTTTACGTTACCTACGCCTTCATCGTTACTGAGCAGAGAGATTGCATTCTGTGTTTGAAAGGGGTGCTTGCAGTGGCTCCTTCCCGTCTTTGGGGAAGAGAAACTGGTACAAATTAGAAAATGTGAGCATTGGCCGGGTGCAGTGGCTCAATCCCAGCACTTTGGGAGGCCAAGGAGGGAGGATCCCTTGAGGCCAGGAGTTTGAGCCCAGCCTGGGCAACATAGCGAGACTCCCCCATCTCTGTAAAATAGTAAAATCAGCCAGGCATGGTGGTTCATGCCTGAAGTCTCAGCTGCTTGTGAGGCTGAGGCAGGAAGATCCCAGGAGTTCGAGGCTGCAGTGAGCTATGTTTGTGCCAGTGCACTCCCGCCGGGGCAACAAAGTGAGACTCTGTCTCTAAAAAAAAAAAAAAGAAAGAAAACGCCAGTATCGATGGGCTGATGCTGCAAGCCAGGGTGCTTCTGCTAGGGGGGACCCTAAATGCATCTTTAAAGTAAGTTCTTACAAGGGGAATTAAGAACCTCATGTGGATGAGCTGCTTTTTTTTTTTTTTTTTTTTTTTTTGAGATGGAGTTTCACTCTTGTTGCCCAGGCTGCAGTGCAATGACGCAATTTCGGCTCACTACAACCTCCACCTCCTGCAGTTCAAGTGAGTCTCCTGCCTCAGCCTCCCGAGTAGCTGGGATTACAGGCACCCGCCACCACGCCCGGCTAGTTTTGTATTTTTAGTAGAGATGGGGTTTCACTATGTTGGTCAGGCTGGTCTTGAACTCCTGACCTCAGGTGATCCACCCGCCCCAGCCTCCCAGAGTGCTGGGATGACAGACGAGGGCAACCACACCCGGCCAGTACTGCACGATTTTGATTGCATTTCCCTGCGGCCTGGTGACGCCGAGGAATTTTCAGGTGCTTATTTGCCATTCATGTGGTTCCCACTGTCGAGCGTCTGTTCAGGTCGTGTGTTTGCTTTTTAAATTGGGTTATGTTATCACTGAGTTGCGAGAGCTCTTTACATACAACTGTTGGCAAGTCCTTGGTAAGACAATGTGGTGTGTGCATATGTCTCTTGAGTCTGGCTTGCTTTTTGTTTTCTTCAGTGTCTCAAAGAGCAAAAGTGTTTAGTTTTTCAACTTTTTTCTTTTATGACTCTTATTTTTTGTGTCTTATTACAAAATGTTTGCATACCACAAGGTGTCAAATATTTTCTCCTATTTATCTTGAGAAAGCAGTGTGGTTTTAGGTTTGCGTTTCGGCCTGTGATCCAGTTCAGGTCAGTTTTTCTGCGTGGTATGAGGTGAGGTATCTGGATGACCCCAGCACCGTATATTGAACAGTCTTTTCTCCCCCCGTGGAATTGTGTTGTTGAAAGTCAGTTGAGTACGTACGTCTGTTTTATTATTATTTCCATCCCATTGCTGTATGTGCATCCCCTCACCTTCATGGCACTTTCCAGATTAGTGTAACTTTCTAGCAAATTTTGAAAGCAGATACTGTGAGTCCAAGCCTGTTCTTTAAAAATTGCTTTCCAGCAAGAAAAGCCTGTTGGAATTTTGATTGGGATTGCTTTGAATCTGTGGATCAATTTAGGATAATTGATACCTTAACAGTATTTTCCAATCCACAAACAAAGGACTTTCCATTCATTTAGGTTTTGTTCAGCAACGTTGTGTACTTCCCCGGGTACACCTCTTGCACCTCCTTGATTAAGTTTCTATCTGTTTATTTAGTTCTTCTCTAATTTCTGGAAGCTACTCAGTTTTGGTGTCCACCTAACCTGTGATTTTTATCAGACCGGGTGCCAGCATTCTAGAACATTAGAACAGGGTATTTGGAGATAAACACGGGCGTGCGTGTGCATCACACACACAGGTGCATACACACAAACACACAGGTGCATACACACACACAGGTGCATATGCACAAACACAGGTGCATACACACATAGGTGCATACACACATAGGTGCATACACAGGTACATACACACATAGGTGCATACACACAGGTGCATAACAGGTGCATACACACGCATACACACATACATAGGTCCATACACACAGATACATACACACAGGTGCATACACATACATAGGTCCATACACACACACACACATAGGTGCATACACACAGGTGCATACACAGGTGCATACACACGCATACACACATACATAGGTCCATACACACAGGTACATGCACACATAGGTGCATACACACACATAGGTGCATACACACAGGTGCACACACAGGTGCATACACACACACGTAGGTGCATACACACACACAGGTGCATACACACAAACACACAGGTGCATACACACACACAGGTGCATGTACATACAGGTGTGGTTATCTTAACGTTTCATTAGAAGTTCTTAACAAACATGTTGTAAGACAAAAGCACCTAGAACCCTCAGGGCAGGAGCTCAGGGTTTCTGAAGGTTTCGTGCGGGAGCCTTGAGCTTGCCCAGGGACTGTAGCTTTTGTACAGGTGCGTGCCTGTCTGCGTTCAGTTCTCACTGCCTTCGTAACAACGACCTATTCACGTTTTCATAGTGGGCACCGATGAGAGTCTCGTTGTGAGGAGGAAGGAAGGTGTCGAAAACCCTTCTTGCAACCTCCGAGAATCTGCAACCATGGAAACTGTGTAAAGAGCTTCATCCCTCCCTCCCCTTCTGTTGACAGAGAGAACCATGCCGTTTCCTGAGATGAGGTGGACGGGTTTTGAATCCGCTGGAGCCTGTCCTCTCAGGGCCTTTGAAACAGGGAGGAAGCCGTGCTCTGCAGACGGCACCTGCAGGGTGAGGACAGGATTCTGGGCCATCTTCCTGTCTCATAGGCTTGCCTGTTACTAGCTATGCTTTTAGCTTTGGATGTTCAGAAAAACTTTTTCTCACAAAGGGCAGGTCGCCTTCGTAAGCCTTTCAAATCTGGGATTTCAGAAAAGCCATTATGTTTGCTCATGGAAGACACATTTTTATCCTAAAACAAGCCGTCTGAACAAATGTATGTTTAGTGAGAATGAAAAGTGAAGAGATTTTTATGAAAATTTTGCATAAAGGTCTTCTGGGCATTTTAGGAGCCTTTAGAGGTTGATGGTAAGATTGTGTCCCGACAGCAGAGGGACGGTGGAGATTCGGGTGCCGTGAGGGGCTTCATCGGCCCAGATGGCAATGTTGTCTCTTCAGAGTAGGAATTTGGGGGGAACAGGCTGAAAACAGGCCTCGCAGATTCCGTGCTGGCCTGTGGTGCAAAAACAATGCTATGACGGCCCCGTCCCTGTACACAGTAGTGTATAGACAGCCCTGTGGTGGTCCTGTCAAGTGTGGACGGCCCGTCCCTGTACACAGTAGTGTATAGACAGCCCCATGGCGGCCCCACTGTAGACGGCCCGTCCCTGCATACAGTAGTGTATAGACAGCCCCATGGTGGCCCCACTGGGTGTGGATGGCCCGTCCCTGTACACAGTAGTGTATAGACAGCCCCACGGCGGACCCACTGGGTGTGGACGGCCCGTCCCTGCATACAGTAGTGTATAGACAGCCCCATGGTGGCCCCACTGGGTGTGGACGGCCCGTCCCTGTACACAGTAGTGTATAGACAGCCCCATGGTGGCCCCACTGGGTGTGGACGGCCCGTCCCTGTACACAGTAGTGTATAGACAGCCCCATGGCGGCCCCACTGGGTGTGGACGGCCCGTCCCTGCATACAGTAGTGTATAGACAGCCCCATGGCGGCCCCACTGTAGACGGCCCGTCCCTGTACACAGTAGTGTATAGACAGCCCCATGGTGGCCCCACTGGGTGTGGACGGCCCGTCCCTGTACACAGTAGTGTATAGACAGCCCCATGGCGGCCCCACTGTGGACGGCCCGTCCCTGTACACAGTAGTGTATAGACAGCCCCATGGTGGCCCCACTGGGTGTGGACGGCCCGTCCCTGTACACAGTAGTGTATAGACAGCCCCATGGCGGCCCCACTGTGGACGGCCCGTCCCTGCATACAGTAGTGTATAGACAGCCCCATGGCGGCCCCACTGGGTGTGGACGGCCCGTCCCTGTACACAGTAGTGTATAGACAGCCCCATGGCGGCCCCACTGTGGACGGCCCGTCCCTGCATACAGTAGTGTATAGACAGCCCCATGGTGGCCCCACTGGGTGTGGACGGCCCGTCCCTGTACACAGTAGTGTATAGACAGCCCCATGGCGGCCCCACTGTGGACGGCCCGTCCCTGCATACAGTAGTGTATAGACAGCCCCATGGTGGCCCCACTGGGTGTGGACGGCCCGTCCCTGTACACAGTAGTGTATAGACAGCCCCATGGCGGCCCCACTGGGTGTGGACGGCCCGTCCCTGCATACAGTAGTGTATAGACAGCCCCATGGCGGCCCCACTGGGTGTGGACGGCCCGTCCCTGCATACAGTAGTGTATAGACAGCCCCATGGCGGCCCCACTGGGTGTGGACGGCCCGTCCCTGCATACAGTAGTGTATAGACAGCCCCATGGCGGCCCCACTGTGGACGGCCCGTCCCTGTATACAGTAGTGTATAGACAGCCCCATGGCGGCCCCACTGTGGACGGCCCGTCCCTGTACACAGTAGTGTATAGACAGCCCCATGGTGGCCCCACTGGGTGTGGACGGCCCGTCCCTGTACACAGTAGTGTATAGACAGCCCCATGGTGGCCCCACTGGGTGTGGATGGCCCGTCCCTGCATACAGTAGTGTATAGACAGCCCCATGGCGGCCCCACTGGGTGTGGACGGCCCGTCCCTGCATACAGTAGTGTATAGACAGCCCCATGGCGGCCCCACTGGGTGTGGACGGCCCGTCCCTGCATACAGTAGTGTATAGACAGCCCCATGGCGGCCCCACTGTGGACGGCCCGTCCCTGTACACGGTAGTGGATGGCCCCATGGGGGCTCTGTCGAGTGTGGACAGCCCTGTCCCTCCCCCATCCGGTGTAGACAGCCCTGTGGCTGCACTGGGGGCGGGTGGTGCGGGTTCTGCATCGGGACAGGACGCAAGGGCTCCAGGGGGGCAGTGGGACTGCATCCAGAGGTGGTTCGAGGGCTCCAGGTCAGAGTCTAAATCTCTGCCTATGTGTGCACTTCAGGATTTTGAGGCTGTTTTCCAAAAGTCTTTTTTTTTTTTTTTTCCTTTTTGAGACGAAGTCTCGCTCTTGTCCCCCAGGCTGCAGTGCAGTGGCGCAATCTCGGCTCACTGCAACCTCTGCCTTCTGAGTTCAAGCGATTCTTCTCCCTCAGCCTCCCAAGTAGCTGGGATGACAGGCACCCGCCACCATGCCCAGCTAATTTTGTATTTTTAGTAGAGACAGGGTTTCACCATGTTGGCCTGGCTGGTCTCGAACTCCTGACCTCATGATCTGCCTGCCTTGACCTCCCAAAGTGCTGGGATTACAGGCATGAGCCACTGTGCCTGGCTGTGTTCCAAAAGTCTTGTACGGAAAGAGGAAACCTGGCAGTAAAGTCCACAGGGGTGTGTGTCACCCGCCGTGGCAGGACAGGGCGTGTGTCACCTGGCGTGGCAGGACAGGGCATGTTGCCTGAGTGTGAGGATCGCGCCCGTTGGCTCGCTTCCCCCGCATTTTGGGTTTGATCTTTGACTTTCGGAGGGAGATCACAGGAGGTTGGCTCCCAATCTGGTTCCCCTAGCTGCGTTTGGGAGGCCGTCCGTGTGTAGTGCTGATATGAACTGAAGGGGCGGCACCTCTGCCCTGTGAGTTTGCGCCCCACATCGTGGGTGACTGGGCGGCACCTCTGTCCTGTGAGTTTGCGCCCCGCATCGTGGGTGACGGGACGGCACCTCTGCCCTGTGAGTTTGTGCCCCACATCATGGGTTACTGGGCCGCACCTCTGCCCTGTGAGTTTGCATCCTGCATCGTGGGTGACTGGGCGGCACCTCTGCCCTGTGAGTTTGCATCCTGCATCGTGGGTGACTGGGCAGCACCTCTGCCCTGTGAGTTTGCGCCCCGCATCGTGGGTGACTGGGCGGCACCTCTGCCCTGTGAGTTTGCGCCCCGCATCGTGGGTTACTGGGTGCACTTGTTTAAATCGTCTCCTGGTGGTTTGAGCACATTCCCTCTGGTGCTGTCTTAAAGCTTCCCTTTGGAGACTTACCGGGGGTCAGAGGCCGACTTCTGAATCCTCAAGGACAGTAAGGAAGTGAGAAGGATGGAGGGATCCGAGGATGGCTGGAGAAGGGAAGGAGGTGGAAGAGAAGGAAGTGGAGAGGGGCGTACCCCTAAGAAGAGTTGGAAGGGGCCTTGCGGGTGGGGGGCTGTGGTGGGCGTCAGAGGTGGTGTGGAAGGTTGCAGGAGAAGAAAAGGCCAGTCTGAGATGGCTGCAGACTTCTGGTTCCAAGTCTAGGACACTCGGAAAAAGGAAAACGATGGAGACAGGAAACAGATCGGGGCTTGCGGGGGTTGGGTGCGTCAGTGCCACACAGACGTTTTTCAGGGCAGGGAAACTCCTCTGCGTGACCCCACAGTGGTAGATCCGTGTCATCCTGCGTTTTTCCAGACTCAACAGAGCGTGCGGCAGCGGGAGAGCCCAGTGCACGCTGTTGACTCGGGGTGATAGTGACCCGTCCAAGGAGGTTTATTGACTGTAACAGATGCAGGCGGTCACGCAGGACCTTCCTGATCGGGGACCCGGGAGGCTTTCTGCTGACAGCGTTCAGCCTGGCAGGGATGTGGCCAGTTTCTGACCCTCAGCCCGAAGGTATCCTGTCTCCTTCCCGGTGGGATCGAGGTGCAGGCCCCCGGAATGTCAGCTCACCCTCATTTAAAGTTGCCCGTCCCCCTTTTCCACCGCCCCTCTTTTCTTGTTCTAAATACGATTGCAAACAAGCGCAGTTATCACAGTGAGCAGTGGCAGAGAAGACGAGATCCTGGATGCCCACTGCAGCTTAGCTGTATTCTAGAAACTCCTGAAGTTTGGGGAGGGGCGGAGATGCCGGCGCGCTTTGATGCCGGGCTGCCGGGATGTCTGGGCTGCCGTGCGTGTTTGTGGAGGCGCAGCTGCACCTGGCGTGCCCTGTGCTCTGGAGGGGCAAGCCGGAGTCGGCACCGAGCCTGCAGCCAGCTCTGGTGTTGTCGTGGAGGGGGGGGACCTCACTTCTCGCGGGGAGCGCCTTCGCCTGGGTCCCCGAGGCCGTCCCCAGGCTCTCTTCTCGGGGACCTGTTGATGCGCGTTCCGCCCAGGCTCTCCTCTCGGGGACCTGTTGATGCGCGTTCCGCCCAGGCTCTCCTCTCGGGGACCTGTTGATGCGCGCTCCAGGGCGAGCCACGTGACGGCTGCCGCGGTGCAGAAAGCGCCCCCTTGCCCGGCCGGACGGCCCAGCCCGGAGCGAACGGGGAGAGGAGAGAAGAGGACCGGAGGGAGCGGAGGGCAGTGCAGGGAGCGGAGAAGGAGGAGAGGAGAGCAGCGCCGGGAGCAGCCGGGTCTGCACAGTCGCGGGTCGGGAGAGGCGGCCGCCCCCACCCCCGGCGCCATGCGCCCTCCTCAGCCTGAGGAATGCGCGCGGCGCGGGCCCCGGCCCCAGAGCGCCTGGCGGGCGACGCATGGAGCGCGCTGAGCCCGGGCCACGCCTGCAGCGCCCCGCCGGCCCCGGCCCGGCCCTGCCCCGAGAGCGCGGCGCCCGGCCCGGCCCGCGGAGAGCCCTGCGCGCCGGCGGCATGCGACTCCGCGAGCGCTCGCTGCGCCAGGACCCCGACCTGCGCCAGGAGCTGGCCTCACTGGCCCGCGGCTGCGACTTCGTGCTGCCCTCTCGGTTCAAGAAGCGGCTGAAGGCCTTCCAGCAGGTCAGCCCCGCGCGCCCCGCGGCTGCCCGACACCGGGCGAGGCCTCCCGGCCCGGCGAGCCCTGCCCTCCCGGCCCCGCGTGGGCCCCCGCTCGCCGCTGCTGGCCGTGCACCCGTTGTTGCGTGGCGGGGCCCAAACGCCAGATTTACAGGGCCAGTTGTGGGCGCAGGGGACCCGCTCGGGCCGCACGCCGCCGAAAACCGGGTGCTGCTCTGTGGGAAGCGGTGCCAAGCTTGTTAGGAAAACCGGGCTTTGAAAAGAGCACTCGCTCCTTTCCCGGGAGTTTTGGCTGTGAGTGCGCGCCTTGCTGTGATCAACCAAGGCGGGTGAGAGCCGTCAGCGCCTGGGAGTGTTCGCTGCAGACAGATTTTTAATTTAAATATACCTTGCATTGCTGGTAATAAACATCGGGAAACTCCTTCACCCTTCGTAAAGGCGTCGGGTGGGTGAAACTTTCCCGGCGTTATTGCAATACCCAGCATTCCTTCCCACTGGCTAACTTAAGAGTCGGTTGAGATATCACTCACATACCGGACTATTTATGCAGCGTGGTTTTATTCAGTAACTCAGTGGCTTTGAAATTTATTTATTTATATTTATTTATTTGAGACGAAGCCTCTCTGTTTCCCAGGCTGGAGTGCAGCGGCGCTATCTCGGCTCACTGCAACCTCCACCTCCTGGGTTCAAGTGATTTTCCTGCTTCAGCCTCCCGAGTAGGGCTAATTTTTGCATTTTTAGTAGGGACGGGGTTTCACCATGTTGGCCAGGCTGGTCTTGAACTCCTGACCTCAGGTGATCGCCCACCTGGGCCTTCCAAAGTGCTGGGAGTAGGGGCGTGAGCCTCCACCCCAGCTGGCTTTGAAATTTAATCTCAGTTCTCATAAGTGCTCAGGGAAGTAAAATTTGTGTCTGTACCCCGTGTATATTGTATGAGTTAGTTTTACGAGTACCATGTGATTTAAACGTGTAAGAGTCTTCCTGTGACAATCCCAGTATAATTTGAGAATTTAGGGTTTGGCTGCGGCCGAATCTGATCCGAATTTCATCCAGACAGGGTGTGCGTGGCGGGCGCCTCACACCCACGTGGCACATCAGACGCGCTTTTCAAACTCAGTTCCAGGAGTCTGGAACTAGTGGCCTAACATCAAGGTGAACCAAGGCATCCTGCTTGAAGGGGGAGGAAGACCCACTTCTTTCTGTTGATATTTTAATTGAAATTTTTTCTGTAAGATCTCACATCAACTTTTGCACTCCTTCGGAGTTTTTGACCTCTGTCTTCCAGGTTTTGACATTTTGCCTGTAAGTGGGTAAGGGCGAGGCTGGTGTCTTTAAAATCCTCTTAACCTGCGAAGAGCGAGATCAGCCTCGTGCGGGATTTGCTCTAGATGGTGGGAGGTGCTGGGCGGTGCGGGCTCGCTGGTCGCAGAGTCAATGAGGTGATTAGCTCGCACGTGGCTGGATGAGGAAGCCCTTCAGCCCTGCAGTGGGGCCCTGGCTCTTCTGTGGGGGGCTGTGGTGACGATGCACCTGTGAGGACTGTTTATTTTTAAAAAGTCAGTTTCTGGGAAATCATGAATTCCGTTTACAGAAGTTTGCTTCATTTTACAGAAAATAGGTTTCCACGTTTTTAGGGAGTGAGGACAGACGTGTGAAATGCATGTTGTCTGAGGGGTGGTGGAGGAATTACAGGCATATTTGGGGGTATTTGTGGGGGTGGTGTTGGGGGAGAAGGGGACGTTTCCTGGCTGCTTTCACTCCGCGCATGAGTGTGGGCTCTGTCTGTTGGGTCCACCCCACTTGGACACACCCTCAGGGTTGTCAGGGAGCACCCGTGTTGGAGCCACTGGACGTGTTGGGGTGCCGCACCTCCGCCTTCGGACGCTCCCGGCCGGGCAGCACGGTACTGTTTTCAGGGGTCCTCTGACGGGCACAGCCTTCCACGGCCAACGTTGGCCGCACCCACGAGCCCCTGGCGGGTGCTCCTGAGCTTGATCTTCTGACTGTGCGACGTCCCACCTGGGCTTCTGTTCCCACTAACCCCCTGGCGGGTGCTGCCTGCCCCGATGGTGAACCCAAGCTCCTCCTCCTCCCTGCCACTGCCCACTTCCCTGTCACCGGCATCCTTGACAAACCAAACTCGGGGGGTGGGGGCGTTCAGCGACCGCCGGCCTTGGGAACGGAACAGCATGCGTTCACGCCGTGGGTCCGGGGAGGCTCCCGTGTGACGATGGCGTGTTACACGTACTCTCACCGTGGGTCCGGGGAGGCTCCCGTGTGACGATGGCGTGTTACACGGCTCATGCTCTCACTGTAGGACCCAGCATGTACCTGGAGTGGGGCCGTGCAGCTGCTTGGCTGAGCTCTTCTTGCCGGAGCCACTGCCTGCGCCTCCTGCCCAGGGATTCTCGGGCCTTCTGTCCCCGGGCAACAGCAGGACAGCTCAGACCTTGTTCCCAGCCCAGGACAGCTGTGCTGCCTAGCCTGGCCCTCCCCGCCTGGGGAGTGACTCTCCCGCTCCCCACACACTGACTCAGCACACAGACGCCCCTCTTCACCTGTCCTGGTCACACAGACACTGTCCGGCGTCCCCACGGGGTCCTTCGGGTGGACGCACAGACCCTACACGGCACCACGCATGGCTGAAAGCGCCGTCCCCTACGCGGCAGCCCCGCTGTACTTGGAACTGACTTCAGCGTGGTGACAGCCTGGGCTCTGGGCGTCCCTGACGCACCTCCTGCTCTCACCGCCAGGGCACGTGCCGTTCCCCTCCCAAGGCCAGTGGTCACCAAAACCCTTGCAGCCTTTGGTTTGGCCAGGACGCTGCCCAGGATGCCACTCCCTGGGCAGTGGCAGGGAGAAGGCAGGGCTTGGGTTCCCCACCTGGCAGGGAGCTGCAGCAAGGGGGGTTAACGGGAAACAGAAGCCCGGGTGGGAACGTCCACACAGAAGACCAAGCTCAGGAGCATCCGCCAGGGGCTTGTGGACGCAGGGAGGGTGCCGGATCCTCCCCTCGCTGTGTTGCGCGGCATCCACCGTCACCCCTTGGCTGGTGGACAGAATGATCCCCACGTCCCCCAGCCCAGCCTTCCGAGCTCTGTGGAGACTCACGCCTCGCTGCAGCCGTGGCTGCAGGCGCCAGTGCCTGGGCTGCAGGTGTGGGTGCAGGCCCCAGCCGACGTCTCTCAGCGTCCGTTGAGGCCCGGTTGCTCGGCTGCAGTCATGTGTCTGAGTGAATGTTAGCCCACGTGAGCTCTGGCCTACTCAGACACCTGCACCTGCTGCGTTTCTGTGTTGACCCCTCCACACCAGTTCTCCCTCTTTGCTAGAGAGGGGATTTTTAAACCCACACGTGGGGCCTCTCATCTCCGTGTTCGGCTCCTCTGTGTAAACACCGACCTTTTTGACTCCTGTGTTTAGCCGTCCAGCGTGCGGTTTGCAGGTGTAGCTGGCAGCCCTCTACCAGCCCTCTCAGAGGGTCCCTGGGAGTCAAGTGCTGGGCCGAGAAGAATGCTCAGAGCTTGCAGCAGGCCCTGCCTTCCAGGGGGTGGCCGTCATCTGGGTGGGCGAGGGGCTCAGCTGGAATCCATGAGTGTGCGTCCCGGCCAAACCCCCCGTCCCTGATTCCATACCACAGCCTCCCGTGCTTCCGCCTCCCGCTGCAGAGTGGGGGCCGCTGCAGAGCGGGGGCTCCTGGGGGCACGGCTGTGCGTTGCAGCCCGTACTGAGCGTCCCTTCCGCCGGCCCCCTGCTGCTCCGGCACCTCCTCTGTGGCTTTGATCGTGGTGTCCGGTCCTGCTGCCGTGGGGGCGAGGGTCATTTCTGCTGGTCACCGCGCCCTGCCTGCTGTGCGCACCCTCTGCACATGCGGGGGTCTGCCCGAGGCTGGTGTCGCGAGAGGATGTGTCACGGTGCACGTGGCCTGTGTTCTCGGGGTACACTCACCTGCACCCATCAAGCGCACGCACTTCTACGCAAAAACAGGCAGCCTCAGTGTTAGGCTCAGCCTTTGTTTTTGGTCGTATATGGACGTGTTTTGCAAAACTGTGGGTGTACTCTGGAAGGGCGACACATGTATCTGTGACTTCTGGAATTGTGATGAGTCAGGGAGCTGCCTTCTCAGTGCCCTCAACAGAAATAGCTTGTTGGGAGTCAGGGTGTCGCCTTTATCAGTGCGCTTTGGGTGACGGGCTCTTTACGAAGTTCTTTTTAAAGTACACGTACTGAGGAGGATTTAAAGTGGATGACCTGGCCGCCACAGGCCCCTCTGGTTTGTCTGAACTTTTTAATGAACAGGCGGCTGGCTTTAGAATTCTTCTTCCACATACATGCAGCTGTTTTTGCTCCTTCTGTGTTTACCGTAGATGCCTGGCCTCACCGGCTACGTTTGGGGCAGGGCAGCAGTCCCTGTGATTCCTTCAGAACCCCCTGAGACCTGCAGCTCAGCCCGAGAGGTGGCCAGTTCCCAAGTGAGCTGTGTGTGTTGAAAAGAATGTGTGCTCTGCAGCTGTGCTGGGGCCGAGTCTATTTCTGTCCATGAGATTAAGCTTGTAAATCTTCTGTGCCCGCATGGGGTGGTTGTGTTGTTTGTTCCATCTCTCGTCTATTAGTGCCCATGGTGGGTGGTCCCGGCTTTCCCCCCGTCGGTGCCCAGGGTGGGTGGTCCTGGCCTTCCCCCGGTCGGTGCCCAAGGTGGGTGGTCCCGGCCTTCCCCCCGTCAGTGCCCGGGGTGGGTGGTCCCGGCCTTCCCCGTGTCGGTGCCCAAGGTGGGTGGTCCCGGCCTTCCCCCCGTCGGTGCCCAAGGTGGGTGGTCCCGGCCTTCCCCCCGTCGGTGCCCAGGGTGGGTGGTCCCGGCCTTCCCCCGGTCGGTGCCCAGGGTGGGTGGTCCCGGCCTTCCCCCCGTCGGTGCCCAGGGTGGGTGGTCCCGGCCTTCCCCCGGTCGGTGCCCGGGGTGGGTGGTCCCGGCCTTCCCCCCGTCGGTGCCCGGGGTGGGTGGTCCCGTCCTTCCCCCCGTCGGTGCCCAAGGTGGGTGGTCCCGGCCTTCCCCCCGTCGGTGCCCGGGGTGGGTGGTCCCGGCCTTCCCCCCCGTCAGTGCCCGGGGTGGGTGGTCCCGGCCTTCCCCGTGTCGGTGCCCAAGGTGGGTGGTCCCGGCCTTCCCCCCGTCGGTGCCCGGGGTGGGTGGTCCCGGCCTTCCCCGTGTCGGTGCCCAAGGTGGGTGGTCCCGGCCTTCCCCCCGTCGGTGCCCAAGGTGGGTGGTCCCGGCCTTCCCCGTGTCTGTGCCCGGGGTGGGTGGTCCCGGCCTTCCCCCCGTCAGTGCCCGGGGTGGGTGATCCCGGCCTTCCCCCCGTCAGTGCCCAAGGTGGGTGGTCCCGGCCTTCCCCGTGTCTGTGCCCAGGGTGGGTGGTCCCGGCCTTCCCTGTGTCTGTGCCCGGGGTGGGTGGGCTCCGCCTTGCCTAGCGGGCTCAGTTTGTGTCCAGTGGTGTTTACTTGATCAGTGCCGAGGCTGCGTTGTCAGGCATGGATAAAGTTAGCATCAGCCTGTCTTCCCCTGACTGACCTCTTCAGCGTTCCTTGGTGGCCTGTCTGTCTCCAGGTCTGTCCATCACCTTGTGTCACTTCATGGATGTTAATACAGCGACACCAGCTTTCTCTACTGTCTGCCTGCTCTTTTTCCATCTCAAAAAAAAATGTGTAGCCTCTGGGTCCTTAAGTCACATATATCTCCTGTCTTTCTGTCCTCTGTGTCTCCCATGTACGTGAATGCTGTTTTCTTTCTGCAGTCAGACCTTTGTCTTGTAACTAGAGCACTCGGTGCATTGAGGTCGATGTTGCCTGCTCATCCGTGTGATGGACTGTGACCGTCTCATCCTGCACCTCTGTCTCCTGCTCTTTTTCAGCTTGGTCGCCTTTTCTCTCGTTTGGAGTACACGCTTCCTACTAGCTCACTGTTTATCCTACAAATGTCAATGGCTGGCCGGGCACGGGGCCTCACACCTGTGATCCCAGCGCCTTGGGAGGCTGAGGCAGGAGAATCGCTGGAGGCCAGGAGTTCAAGACCAGCCAGCACAACATAGCGAGACCCCGTCTCTATAAAGAAAAAAAAAAGGAACGTCGACTAAATTTTTCAAAGCCCAATATTAATCAGTATCTTTTCCTCCAACTCACAAACCGTCTCACACTCATCCAGTCAGCATGTCACTGACAGGCTGTTGTATTGACTTTTTTTTTTTAATTGAACATACGTTGTTTTCACTGATTTATGTTTTTTAAATTGAACATACATTGTTATCACTGATTTATGTGGTCAGCTGCCGAGGTTTTCCCACTCATTACCGCTGACCTGCTCTTCATCCCTTCTTTCAATTCCAACCTTCCCTTTGGGAGCTCTTGGCTTCTCCCTGCTGCATTTCCTCAGCTTTTGCCCCGTAGAGTGTCTGTTAATGGGGTGCATGCTCTGTAAATTTGGGGCTAAAAATGTCCAAGTATTCATCTCACTTTTTTTTTTTTGAGACAGAGTCTCACTCTGTCACCCAGGCTGGAGGACAGTGGTGCGACCTCAGCTCACCGCACCCTCCGCCTCCCGGGTTTAAGCGATTCTCCTGCCTCAGCCTCTCAAGTAGCTGGGATTACAGGCATGCGCCACCACACCTGGTTAATCGTTTGTTTTGTTTTGAGACAGAGTCTCACTCTGTCGCCCAGGCTGGAGTGCAGTAGTGCGATCTCAGCTCACTGCAACCTCTGCCTCCTGTGTTGAAGCGATTCTCCTGCCTCAGCCTCTCAAGTAGCTGGGATTACAGGCATGCGCCACCACACCTGGTTAATCGTTTGTTTTGTTTTGAGACAGAGTCTCACTCTGTCGCCCAGGCTGGAGTGCAGTGGTGCGATCTCAGCTCACTGCAACCTCTGCCTCCTGTGTTGAAGCGATTCTCCTGCCTCAGCCTCCCGAGTAGCTGGGAGTACAGGCACCCTCCACCACACCTGGTTAATCGTTTGTTTTGTTTTGAGACAGAGTCTCACTCTGTCGCCCAGGCTGGAGTGCAGTAGTGCGATCTCAGCTCACTGCACCCTCCGCCTCCTGTGTTGAAGCGATTCTCCTGCCTCAGCCTCTCGAGTAGCTGGGAGTACAGGCACCCTCCACCACACCTGGTTAATCGTTTGTTTTGTTTTGAGACAGAGTCTCACTCTGTCGCCCAGGCTGGAGTGCAGTAGTGCGATCTCAGCTCACTGCACCCTCCGCCTCCTGTGTTGAAGCGATTCTCCTGCCTCAGCCTCTCGAGTAGCTGGGAGTACAGGCATGCGCCACCACACCTGGTTAATCGTTTGTTTTGTTTTGAGACAGAGTCTCACTCTGTCGCCCAGGCTGGAGTGCAGTAGTGCGATCTCAGCTCACTGCAACCTCTGCCTCCTGTGTTGAAGCGATTCTCCTGCCTCAGCCTCTCAAGTAGCTGGGATTACAGGCATGTGCCACCACACCTGGTTAATCGTTTGTTTTGTTTTGAGACAGAGTCTCACTCTGTCGCCCAGGCTGGAGTGCAGTGGTGCGATCTCAGCTCACTGCAACCTCCGCCTCCTGTGTTGAAGCGATTCTCCTGCCTCAGCCTCCCGAGTAGCTGGGATTACAGGCATGCGCCACCACACCTGGTTAATCGTTTGTTTTGTTTTGAGACAGAGTCTCACTCTGTCGCCCAGGCTGGAGTGCAGTGGTGCGATCTCAGCTCACTGCAACCTCCGCCTCCTGTGTTGAAGCGATTCTCCTGCCTCAGCCTCTCCAGTAGCTGGGATTACAGGCATGCGCCACCACACCTGGTTAATCGTTTGTTTTGTTTTGAGACAGAGTCTCACTCTGTCGCCCAGGCTGGAGTGCAGTAGTGCGATCTCAGCTCACTGCAACCTCCGCCTCCTGTGTTGAAGCGATTCTCCTGCCTCAGCCTCCCGAGTAGCTGGGATTACAGGCATGCGCCACCACACCTGGTTAATCGTTTGTTTTGTTTTGAGACAGAGTCTCACTCTGTCGCCCAGGCTGGAGTGCAGTAGTGCGATCTCAGCTCACTGCAACCTCCGCCTCCTGTGTTGAAGCGATTCTCCTGCCTCAGCCTCTCGAGTAGCTGGGAGTACAGGCATGCGCCACCACACCTGGTTAATCGTTTGTTTTGTTTTGAGACAGAGTCTCACTCTGTCGCCCAGGCTGGAGTGCAGTGGTGCGATCTCAGCTCACTGCACCCTCCGCCTCCTGTGTTGAAGCGATTCTCCTGCCTCAGCCTCTCGAGTAGCTGGGAGTACAGGCATGCGCCACCACACCTGGTTAATCGTTTGTTTTGTTTTGAGACAGAGTCTCACTCTGTCGCCCAGGCTGGAGTGCAGTAGTGCGATCTCAGCTCACTGCAACCTCCGCCTCCTGTGTTGAAGCGATTCTCCTGCCTCAGCCTCTCAAGTAGCTGGGATTACAGGCATGCGCCACCACACCTGGTTAATCGTTTGTTTTGTTTTGAGACAGAGTCTCACTCTGTCGCCCAGGCTGGAGTGCAGTGGTGCGATCTCAGCTCACTGCAACCTCCGCCTCCTGTGTTGAAGCGATTCTCCTGCCTCAGCCTCTCCAGTAGCTGGGATTACAGGCATGCGCCACCACACCTGGTTAATCGTTTGTTTTGTTTTGAGACAGAGTCTCACTCTGTCGCCCAGGCTGGAGTGCAGTGGTGCGATCTCAGCTCACTGCAACCTCCGCCTCCTGTGTTGAAGCGATTCTCCTGCCTCAGCCTCCCGAGTAGCTGGGAGTACAGGCATGCGCCACCACACCTGGTTAATCGTTTGTTTTGTTTTGAGACAGAGTCTCACTCTGTCGCCCAGGCTGGAGTGCAGTGGTGCGATCTCAGCTCACTGCAACCTCCGCCTCCTGTGTTGAAGCGATTCTCCTGCCTCAGCCTCCCGAGTAGCTGGGAGTACAGGCACCCTCCACCACACCCGGCTAATTTTTTTTATACTCTTTTTGTTTTTTGTTTTCTGTTTTTTTTTTTTTGTTTTTTTTTTTTTTAGTAGAGATGAAGTTTTGCCATGTTGCCCAGGCTGGTCTTGAACTCCTCAGCTCAGACAGTCTGTCCCCCTCAGCCTCCTTTCAAAGCGCCAGGATTGCAGGCACGAGCCCGGCCGGTTTGAGGGTTTTCGCAGCATCCTGGTGACCGTGAGTTTGGTTTGCAAACCTGCAGGAGAGTCGGCTGTAGCCGTCAGTTCTCGGGGGAGAACTCCCCCCTGCCCAGCTCGTACCAGCAGCTCCAGGTGAAGGCTGCTACTTTCATTCCTGGGGCCGGAGGCGCGCTGGGGATTTACTTGGAGCTCATTCTTCCCACTGAAGGTGACGCGTTCTGGGAGCTTCCCCGGAGGACCCTGCGTTTTGCCTCCTCTTCCCCAGAGCTCTGCAAGGCTGTGAGAGATTTCGGGTGAGCCCGCTCGGCCCACGCTTCTGAAGGCAGAGCCTGTTCAGGCTCCACGGGCTTCCCCGGGTTCTTCCTTCCAGGCAGCTGTGGCCTGAGGTGTCCTCCTTTCCTGCCAGCCTGTGGGCGCCGTCTAGAAGACGTTTGTCAACTATTCTGTCCAGGGTTCTTGGCAGTTTTCATCAGGAAGGTTGGTTTGTGTACCCAGGTCATTGCTATATTGCCAAACACAGGAGCCCGAGAGCTCACTGCAGAATATTCGCGGGGTCAGTTCCGTACCCCAAATAGCAGAGCTGTGTGAACCCAGCGTGATGAAGGAGGAAGAGCCGCAGGCTCCACAGTGGGACCCCCACAGCGAGAGACGGGAAGGCGCCGCTGCGGGAATGCGTTGTGGGCTCGGGAAGATGCACTGTGGGATCGCGGGCTTGGGGAGATGCATTGTGGGATGGTGGGCACAGGGAGATGACTGTGGGATGGTGGGCTCGGGGAGATGCATTGTGGGATTGCGGGCACGGGGAGATGCATTGTGGGATCGTGGACTCATGGAGATGCACTGCGGGATCGCGGGCTCGGGGAGATGCACTGCGGGATCGCGGGCTCGGGGAGATGCATTGTGGGATGCTGGGCTCGGGGAGATGCATTGTGGGATGGTGGGCTCGGGGAGATGCATTGTGGGATCGCGGGCTCGGGGAGATGCACTGTGGGATTGCGGGCTCGGGGAGATGCACTGTGGGATGGTGGGCTCGGAGAGATGCACTGCGGGATGGTGGGCTCGGGGAGATGCACTGTGGGATGGTGGGCTCGGGGAGATGCACTGCGGGATCGTGGGCTCGGGGAGATGCACTGCGGGATCATGGGCTCGGGGAGATGCACTGTGGGATCGCGGGCTCGGGGAGATGCAGGGACCTCCTGCCCCAGGACACAGAGGTCACGTTCTGAATCACAGGGAAGGGGTGTGCCCTTAGGTAAAGCTGTGCTGAAGGAGCACTCAGTCGGCAGCTACTGCGGGAAGCCTGCTCTGCCCCAGGTCACGGAGGCGGCCTCTGTTCCTCCTACATGGGGATCAGAGAAAAACAACTGAGTCTCACCGTGGGTGAGGGTCCTGCAGCGACAGCAGGGTGGGCACAGTTGAGGCGCTGTCAGTGGGACCCTTGTGACCTGGGGTGAGGGTCCTGTGGGAGTAGCAGGGTGGGGACAGTTGGGGCGC
This sequence comes from Homo sapiens, assembly GCF_000001405.40. Lineage (NCBI taxonomy): Eukaryota > Metazoa > Chordata > Mammalia > Primates > Hominidae > Homo > Homo sapiens. The sequence goes on along the minus strand of NC_000024.10, from coordinate 362,902 downwards.
TGTGGGACCCTTGTGACCTGCGGTGAGGATACTGTGGCAGTAGCAGGGTGGGGACAGTTGGGGTGCTGTCTGTGGGACCCTTGTGACCTGGGGTGAGGGTCCTGTGGGAGTAGCAGGGCGGGCTGTTTTCTCTGTGTGGACACTGGAGCTTGGACCCAGTCCTGGATTGATCCAGGCAGTCAGGATTGTGGGTGCAAAGGCCCTGAGCTGTGGTCCACTGGTATGCGGACTTCCTCCCTGGACCCCTCCTCCATGGCAGTTGGTTGAGGAGGACACAGCCCCGTCCCCTGAGTAGTTGATGGAGGAGGAGGAGGACGCAGCCCCATTCCCTAGGTAGTTGGTCAAGGAGGACACAGCCCTGTCCCCTGAGTAGTTGATGGGGGAGGACGAAGCCTCGTCCCGAGTAGTTGATGGGGAAGGACACAGCCCCGTTCCCTGGGTAGTTGGAGGAGGAGGAGGACGCAGCCCCGTCCCTTCAGTAGTTGATGGTGGGGGAGGACGCAGCACCGTCCCTTGGGCAGTTGATGGAGGAGGACGCAGTACGGTTGCTGATGCTGTTAACTGTTTCAGATGGTGTTTTAACATCACGGGATGAGATCAAATGTCCACCTCGCAGGTTGTGTAGAGATGCAAGCAGGAGACTCTTGAGTGAGTGTTCTGGGGCCTGCAGATATACTGGGTGAGGAGAGTGCTGGTGCTGAGTGGGGCCAAGAGCCCGTGGGCGTGGGCTGTGCACCGGGTGAGGGGCTGAGGCGTGTCCGCAGCAGTACCTGGTGGTCGACCCCTTCTCCTGGCTGTGTGGTTGCCTGCCCTGCCTCTGCCTCTCAGAATGTGAGTCTTCCGGGCTCCAGGGACAGGGTTGCCTGTGGACGGCACCTGTGCCTCTCCACGTCTGAGCTCTCAGGCGTCTGGGGTGCGTGGCTGCCCTTTTCCCCAGGTCCCTGCCAGGTGTGGTGGGGTCAGTGGTGTGGCTCATGGGAATCGGGAGTGGGTCCTGGCTGGGCTCTCAGGTGCCTGGGGCACGTAGCTGCCCTTGTCCCCAGGGCCCTGCTCGGTGTGATGGGGGCTCAGTGGCGCAGAGCCGCCACCCAGAGTGGGGTCCATGGCAGCATGGTGTGGCCTCCTGGGTGAAGGTGGGCCCTGCAGTGGAGTACGTGTGTGGTCCCCCGCAGGGATTGCAGTGTGTCCTCTCCCGGCTGGGATCAGGTGGCCTCAGCACTGTCGGCCCTAGAGAGGCCCCGTGTGTTGTCCGGGTGAAGAAGGCGTTCGATGCTCCCAGGTTCTAACTGAGCGCTGTCTGTCGACTCTTCAGGTTCAGACACGGAAAGAAGAGCCTCTGCCCCCGGCCACGAGCCAAAGCATTCCGACCTTCTACTTCCCCAGAGGACGCCCGCAGGACTCCGTCAACGTGGATGCCGTCATCAGCAAGATCGAGAGCACCTTCGCCCGGTTCCCCCACGAGAGGGCCACCATGGATGACATGGGCCTGGTGGCCAAGGTACGTGTCACGCGTGGGACGTGGAGCAGCCGAGGTGGTACTGCGGGCATGTGAGGGTGAGGCGGAGCGGCCGTGGTGGGTGCGTGTCACACGAGCGTGAGTGAGGCGGCACGGCCGAGGAGGGTGCGTTTCACACGTGTGCGGGAGCGGCCCAGGTTTTCTCTGAGGTTATAGTTGTGGTCTGAGGTTTGCTGTCTGGTTGCTGCTGTGTGAATTCTTAAGCATCTGAAATGCGAGTGGGAATTCCGTCTGCATTCTCATCCTGATGCTGTGAAGAGCGCAGGCCCGCCCTGTGCCACCCTCCCCTTCTCTCCCCTCCGGGGCCAGTGGCGCCAGCTCTCGTGGCTCTCGGAGGCCGTTCTGCACCCTCCTGGCCTTGCCCCTTTCTGCCCGAGGAGCGGCCATCCCAGGCTGGGCAGCTGTGGACCCGTCTCCTGGCAGCAGCCCCATGGGCCCATTTCTAGACTCACCCTGAGTGCTGCGGCGCGGCGTGCATCATTCGCCGCCTGCTTTCCTTCTCAGCTGCATGCTCTCCAGGCTGACCGCCTGGACGCCCACAGATGGAGCACACTCAGTTTAGTGTCTGTCCGTTACCAAGGCAAGGCCTACACCAGAGATGCGTGTCTGGACCCCTGGTGGGTGGTTGTGTTTCCAGGGACCTGTGCCCGCATCTCCAGCCTCCTACCCTCCAGGTGGAGTCGCTGGCCAGTGGATGCTCCCACCCCTCCAAGTCAGAGCCCCAGAGCCTCGGTGCACGGTACATGTGAGCCCCTCACGGTGAGACCCCTGCCCCCCAGCCCTCTCCAGCTCTGCAGCTGTGAAGGGGGTCCTCGGGAGTGAGCAGGTTTTTGTTTTTTGGGTTTGCTTGTTTGAGACAAAGTCTTGCTCTGTCACCCAGGCTGGAGTGCAGTGGTGTAATCTCGGCTCACTGCAACCTCCACCTTCTGGGTTCAAGTGATTCTCCTGCCTCAGCCTCCCAAGTAGCTGGGACTATAGGCATGCACCACCATGCCTGGCTAATTTTTATATTTTTAGTAGACATGGGGTTTCACCATATTGGCCAGGCTGGTCTTGAACTCCTGACTTCAAGTGATCCGCCTGCCTCGGCCTCCCAAAGTGCTGGGATTACAGGCATGAGCCACTGCACCTGGCCGGGTTTTGTTTTTTTAACTTATTAATACAGTCTATTAAATGAGTTGGTTTTGGGATGTTAAACCAACCTTGCATTCCTGGGATAAATTCCGCATGGTCGCTGTGTCTCATCTTTTTTATATGTTGCTGGATTCCAATAATTTTGCAACTGGATTCACAGAGAAGACAGTGCTTGGTAGTTTTCTTGTGAGTCCTTTGTCTGGTTTTGGTTTTAGGGCAATACGGGTCTGAAAGAACACATTAAGTGTCCCCGCCCTTTTTCTATTAGGGATTGTGTTTTTAAAGTATTTTAAAAAGTTTTGTTTTATAAATATGTAAAAACCTCCATGGTTACAAAGTGAGCACTAACAAACTAGACACATTCAGGTAAGTCCAGGTTCTGTCCCTGTCTGTGCTGTTTCTACCCCAGAGGTAATAGTTTCCATAGCTTTGGTTTATCCTCTTATTGTTATTTTAGCTTTTAATATGAGCAATTATGTACAAATATGTGTATGAGTATGAACATACATACTTCTTGCATTTCTTAGAGAAAAATTAGCATGCTGTTGTACACTTGCATATTTGTTTTTGCTAAGTCACTCCGTATTTGTAGAGGTGTCCCTGTCTTGTACGGCAGTGTGGGGCCATGAAAGGACCAGATAAGTCACAACCATGCAAAACCATCTTCCAGTAAAAATTAGGATCATTCTATAATCATTTTTGTTGAAATATTAGAAACTTTCTTACAGTCGGTTGCAAACATGTAGTGAATGAAAAGAACTAATATTTACCTAGTATGCTGTAACTTAAAACACCAGAAGCATTAAGAATTGTTTCATCTCTCAGTAAAAACTTGCCAAAAGTAGTTACAGCAGTGCCATCTCCTTGTCCCGTGTGGAGTGAGCACCTGCTCCGTGCCCTGGCAGACTCACTCGACTTAACACGCCTTGCTCAGCTTCCGCGTTTTATCCTTGGTGCTCTTGAAGTTGTGGGGTATCTCTGAGAGTTCCTTCACTGGGAGGTCTCTTTGCTGGCATTCCGTCTGCTGGGACACCTTCATCCTTTTCAGTACAGCCTCCGTTGTGTGGAGAACTCACCCTCGCGGAGTGCGCCCGGCCCCACCCACAGGGTCTCTGCGCGCCTCGGGCTGGGTCAGACACCTCTTTTGCAGCTCACGCGCTGCGTCCGCTTCGGGTCCTACAAAGCCGCTCGCGCAGCCCAGTGAGGTTCCTGCATGGGACCCATGTATTCCCCTCAGTGCTTCCCCGCCACGATGCCCCTCCCCGGCCGCGGTGCTTCCCCGCCAGGGCGCCGCCCCGCCCTCCCCTACCCCCGCCGCGGTGCTTCCCCGCCAGGGCGCCCGTCCCCACGGTGCTTCCCCGCCACAGCGCCCCTCCCCACGCGGTGCTTCATCCCCACGGTGCTTCTCCCCAACGGCGCCTCCCCCCACCGTGGTGCCGCCCCCCACAGCGGCCACCCCCCCTCCGCGGTGCTTCCCCGCCTCGGCGCCTGGTTCTCATGTGCGCGTTTCATGTCATTTTCCTTCCAGGACTCAGTTCTCGGTGTCACCTCGCTTCCACGCACAGCGGCACTGGCCTTGGTGGCCGTCTAAGGTAGTGAGGCTTTAAGACTTGAAAGAACCTGGTCCGTTGGCTGGATGTCACGTTTGGTGGTAAAAAGCAAGTTTTGTCGTTGTCTTCGACGCCCCAGAGAAGCAGGGTGACCTGGGTGTGACCCAGCGGGGCAGGGGAGAGCTCTGAGACTGAAGTTGTGTCGCTTGCAGCGTCTGCACCGCTGGGAGTCCGAGAGACACCTCCACAGGCCCCACTGTGCCTGCACGCACCGACCCGGCCCTGCAGGCGGAGAGCATGGTGCTCGAGCACCCACCGTGACTGTGGGCAGAGGCCAGCAGGGTGTGCGCTGTCGCGACTTAATCCACCTGCGCTGTGGCGGCAGAACCCTGTGAGCGTCCCGCGTGTGTGGGGGCCGCAGGCAAACTTCAGCTTCCCCGCCAAGGCTGCTGAGCCTGTCTCGGTGGCGCCCAGCTCGCCGCCACCTGCAGATGTCCGTCCACGTCTCCATCGTGTGCCTTTGGGACGGTTTTCTGTGAGCCGGGCCCCCGGCCCAGGGGACGAACGAGTAGGGGTGTCACTGCCGTTTCGAGTTCTCCCCGTCGCGTGAGTGACTGAATGAGGGCCTGGAGTCACAGCTCCACACGCGTGTTGTCAGGCGGGTGGACTTTGGCCGGCGGCTGCTTGAGAACTCACGTCTGAGGGGACTTTGAGTTTGATGAGGGGGGTCCCCCCGTGGATCTTAGCCGTGGCCGTGCAGCGAGGTCCGTGTGTGCCTTCTCCTGGCCCGGTTCTTCCTGTCTGTGTGAGTCAGGGCTGATCTCATACATCATTTCCTCCCTTTCATCATTGTCACTCCTCTGTGTTTTCTCTGAAGCCGTTTGAGACAGAGTCATCAGCTCCTTCACCTCCACCAAACTCCACCCCCTCAGCTGCCCCCACAGGAAAACACACTTTTCTCTTTGTTAATTTCCTTCAAACGTTGTTGGCTAATTCAGGGTTTTCATTTATGGAGACTATTTTGATGATTTACATTTTTTCTAAAAATTTTTTGCGTAACTTAGAAATTTCTTGCTCTAAAGCTTTTCCTTGTCTTGTACGATTTACAAAATCTTGATCGTATCTGCATCATACATAGACACTTTCTTGACAGAATCATTTATTTCCGGTTCCTTTCTTGATCCGTCATGCTACACACTAACGTATATCTCTTTCAGTAAAGCAGCTGTCAGTGTTACAGATTATTTCAGTTCTTTCTCTCATGAATATCTATGGTCATCTTTTTTACATACACTTCCTTCTGTCATTTTTTTTAGTTTATTGAATAGTTTTTTGTTTGGCCAGCTGTATTGTCATATAATTACACACCCTAAGATTCACCAATTTTAAGTGTACAATTTGATCCATTTTGGTAAAGCACACACCTGGGTATCCATCCTCATAGGCAGGACCGGCCGTTTGTCACCTGCCGCGGGTGTCCCACGTGCCTCCTTTTGCACCTCATCATTCCCCTCTTTTCTCCCTGGCCCGGGCCAGCTGCAGATGTGCTTCCGGTCGCTGTAGCTTTGCCTCTCTTAGAATTTCACATGAGGACTCTTGGAGCATTTTGTCTGTGGTTTCTAACTTCTTCCTGGCAGCATCTTTATTTTAAATTTTATTTTGAATGGACAAGTAATATTTGTGTATACAGGGTACAGCAAGATGTTTCGCTATGTGTGTGTGTTGAGGACTGATTAAGTCCTGTGGTGTGGATACTGTGGGGCTCGCTGTGTGGCTGGCGAAGGCGTGGTTACCGTGGGGCTCGCTGTGTGGCTGGCGGGGTGTGGATACTGTGGGGCTCGCTGTGTGGCTGGCCAAGGCGTGGTTACCGTGGGGCTCCCGTGTGGCTGGCCAGGGTGTGGATACTGTGGGGCTCACTATGTGTCCCTGGCCGTATGGGCAGTTTCTTTTCTATCACTGAGTAGCTTCTGCTGTGTGTGTGCTCCATCTCTCCCCTGTTCCAGGGTTGATAGACGTCTGGTTGCTTTGGTTTTTGCTTCTTGTGAGTAAAGCTGCTGTGTGTCTGTGCACTGATTTACGCAGACATGCTTGCATTTTCCTGAGGTGATTAATACCGCAGAGGTGAGCTCTGCCTCATCTGGTGGCCACATGTTTAGTTTTGTAAGAAGCTATAAAACTGCTTCCAGGGCCCAGGAGTGGTGGCTCACTCCACTAATCCCAGCACTTCGGGAGGCTGAGGTAGGCAGATCACCTGAGGTCAGGAGTTCGAGGCCAGCCTGGCCAACATGATGAAACCACATCTCTACTAAAAATACAAAAATTAGCCAGGTATGGTGGCGGGCACCTGTCATTCCAGCTACTCGGGAGGCTGAGACAGGAAAATCGCTTGAACCTGGGAGGTGGAGGTTGCAGTGAGCCAAGATCGCACCACTGCACTCCAGCCTGGGCGACTGAGCAAGACTGTGTCTCTACGCAAAAAAACAAAAAACAAAAAACCCTGCTTCCGGGGTGGCCCTGAGTGACGCATTTCCAGGCAGCAGCGTTGACCCCTGCGGGCACGTGGCCACACGCTTTGCCTTTAGCCGTTCTGTGCGTGTGCAGGCGTCCCGTCCTGGCTGCACTCCTCATTTCCCTGATGTACGTGTTGACCACCTTACGTGTTTCTTTCTCATCAGTTTGCCTTTTTTTCATTTTGGGGCAGCTGTGTTGAGATATAACTGATGTGGGATGCATGGTGCGTGTGGAAGGTACAATTCAATGAGCTTTGACGTCTGTACCCACCCATGAAACTATCCACAGCACCAAGACAATAGGCGTCCCTGCATCCTTGCGCTTGAGCGGGCACGTGCGCTGGACTTTTCTCTGCTGCTTTCTGACGCGCACCTGCCCTCATCCCACGCTACCTCAGGCCTCCTTTCTGTCAATATAGATTAGCCGGAATTTTCTGGAATTTTATGTAAACAGAATCAGACAGCAGGCACTTTTTTTTATTATGGGAAAATTCACACAACAGAATTCACCACCGTAACCATTTGGAGCACAGAACTCGGAGACGTTTGTGGCATATACAGCACGGTGTTCCATGTGCGTGTGTGGAGGGCCGGATCGCGTGGTGTTCCGTGTGCGCGTGCAGTTCCACTTCCGGCTTTCTGGGGAACCTGCACGCTGTCTTCCCGAGTGGCTGCACCGTTGTTCGTTCCCACCGTGTGAATTTTAGAGCCGGTCCCTCCGTTGCTACGACAGCCTGCTGGGATTACATGGGCATCCTGTTGACTCCAGATGAACTTGGAAGAATCTTGACCATATTGAGGCTTCCGTCTCATGAACGCGGTCCAGCTCTCCCTTATTTCAGGCATCTTTCACTTCTTTCAGTACGCCTTGTAGTTTGGTCTTGTTCACGGTTCATCACATTGATACCCAAGCATTTCCTGTTTCTGATGACACTGTACGTGGTATTTTTTTACTTTAATATGATTGTCAATTGTGAATGTTGAGAAGCACTGTTAGGTTTTATATGTGGACTTTGCATTTTCTGACCAAGTTTAACTCAGTCATCGGCTCTACCAGCTCAACCTTTAAGTCCGGCAGAGTCTCTAACGCACGGTCAGGTCATCTTCAGGTGAGCACAGTTCAGCCTTTCTCTTCTCGTCTGCATCGGTGTCTCCTCCCTGACTTTCTGTACACAGGCTCGGCCTGCCAGTGCAGTGCTGGAGAGCCGTGGAGAGCACGCCCCTTCCCGCCTCGGGCTCAAGTCGTCCGTGACGCAGCGGCCCTGCCTGGCGTCCTTCATCAGACTCAGGAGGCCCCTTCCCTTTTGGTTTCTTGTTTGCTGGGAGCTCTTGTGTTTTTTTTGAGACAGGTTCTCATTCTGCCCCCGGGCTGGAGTGCAGTGGCATGATCTCAGCTCACTGCAGCCTCGACCTCCTGGGCTCCAGTGATCCACCCACCTCAGCCCTCCCGAGTAGCCGTGACTACTGGCACCCGCCACCACACCTGGCTGATTTTTTCTTTTTTGGTAGAGACAGGGTTCTGCTATGTTGCCCAGGCTGGTCTGGAACTCCTGGGCTGGAAGGATCCTCTTGCCTCAGCCTCTCATGGTGCTGGGATGATGACAGGCATGAGCCATCACGCCTGGCCTCAGTTTACTTTTTAAAATTATAAAAGTGCCTTGAAGTTTGTCCGGGATGCTAAATGTGTATTTCTGCGTGTATTGAGAGGGCAGTGAGGTTTTCCTTTGGTCCTGTAAAAGGTGAATGGACCTGACTGACGTCTGAGTGTGAAGGCAGCCCCGGTCCTTGGGTGAGCCCCCGGTCCCTGTTCCACCGCAGCGTGCATTGCCCGGCCACGCAGGGGTAGCGTCTGTGGTCATGAAGGACTGGTCTTGACCTGACTGACGTCTGAGTGTGAAGGCAGCCCCGGTGTTTGGGTGAGCCCCTGGTGTTTGGGTGAGCCCCCAGTGTTTGGGTGAGCCCCCGGTCCCTGGGTGAGCCCCCGGTCCCTGGGTGAGCCCCCGGTGTTTGGGTGAGCCCCTAGTCCCTGGGTGAGCCCCCGGTGTTTGGGTGAGCCCCCAGTCTTTGGGTGAGCCCCCTGTGTTTGGGCGAGCCCCTGGTCCCTGGGTGAGCCCCGGTCTTTGGGCGAGCCCCGGTCTTTGGGTGAGCCCCTGGTCCCTGGGCGAGCCCCTGCTCCCTGGGTGAGCCCCGGTCTTTGGATGAGCCCTGGTCTTTGGGTGAGCCCTGGTCTTTGGGTGAGCCCCTGCTCCCTGGGTGAGCCCCCGGTCCCTGGGCGAGCCCCAGTCTTTGGGTGAGCCCCCGGTCTTTGGGTGAGCCCTGGTCTTTGGGTGAGCCCCCGGTCCCTGGGCGAGCCCCGGTCTTTGGGCGAGCCCCTGCTCCTTGGGTGAGCCCCAGTCTTTGGGTGAGCCCCGGTCTTTGGGTGAGCCCCCGGTCTTTGGGTGAGCCCCCAGCCCCCGGTCCCTGGTCCACCACACAGTGTCACACTTCTCCTATGTGTTGGGTCCACATTGCCAGGCCTCGCAGGGGTTGCGTCTGCGCTCGTGAAGGACTGGCCTGCGGTCTCCTTTTCTTGTGATAGCTTGGTCTGGTTTAGCATCGGGGGGATGCTGGCCTCGGAGAGTTGCTTGGAAAATGTCCTTTAGAATTCACTTTTCTGGAGCCATTTGTTTAGAATGGGTGTTATTTTTATTTGAATGTTTGGTAGAACTCATCAGTGAAGCCATTTGGGATAGTTTTCTCTGTGGGAAGGTTTTTAATGACAGCATGAATTGTTTCAATAAACACAGGCTGTCTGTATCATCTTTTCTCTTTTTTTTTTGGAGACAGAGTCTTGCTCTGTCACCCAAGCTGGAGTGCAATGGCACCATCTCACCTCACTGCAACCTCCGCCTCCTGGGTTCAAGCCATTCTCCTGCCTCAGCCTCCTGGGTAGCTGGGATTACAGGCATGCGCCACCACACCCGGCTAATTTGTGTATTTTTAGGAGAGATGGGGTTTCACCATGTTGGCCATGCTGGTCTCGAACTCTTGACCTCGGGTGATCCACCCGCCTTGGCGTCTCAAAGTGCTGGGATGACAGGCCTGAGCCACCGCACCCGGCCACTGCCACCCACTTTTAGACCATCGGATCTCACAAGAACTCAGGATTACGAGACCAGCAAGGGGGCTGTCCACCCTCATCACCCAGTCACCCCCCAGCAGAGCCCTGCTCCAACACTCAGGATCACAGTTCCCCGTGAGACTTGGGTGGGGGCTCCGAGCCACAGCCCACCACTGGTTCATGTGACCCTGAAGACTCCTCCGGCTCCGCGATGTCACTCGCTCACATAGCTTGGCAGCGTTTTCACATCTTTACGTGTCTGCAGATCGTCCTCTTGTCCCGTCACCCGCCGAGGAACGCGTGCTGAACTTGCCGGCCGTGGTTGTGGCGTCCTCCTTTCTCCTCTCACACCTGTCGGTTGGTGTCGGCGTGCCCTGTGCGACTGTAGACGCTCGGGACTTTGTCTGCCTCGCGAGTCCCCCTCAGCAGCACCATCACGTGGGCCTTGGGGCCGGCGGTGTTTCCTGCTCAGGGAGCTACTCTGAGGTCAGCAGAGCCATAATGGAATAGGGTTCAGCAGTACACAGGCAGACGATCCACACAGAGCAAGGTGGGCAGACGATCCACACAGAGCAAGGTGTGTGAGTCCCACACGCATGTGCTGAGCGAGGGAAGCCAGGTCTAAAAGTCCGCAGATGGCCGGGTCCCGTTGCCGTGTCCTGGAAAAGGTGAACTGGAGCCACGGGGAGGAGGCCTGGGGGCCGTCGCCGTAGCGGACTGCGGAGGGGCCGAAGGGACTGTCAGGGCTGGCGGCCTCGTTCCCTGTCCTGGCCGTGCGGGTGGGCGTGCCGCCGCGTTGCCGGGCCCCACAAGGAGTCGGTCTTTCTGTGTGTCGATCACGAAAAGACTTTTAAAAGTCAGATCAGGGTATCTGATGTTTTATTCCCTTTCCCATAAGGATTTTGTGACATTCAGGTAAAACTGCTTTCCTTTGTATCTTTTGCATTTTAGAGTTGATTATCTCCATTTACTTTAGGATTATTTTAAATTATGAGCTAATTCATTTGGAGGTAATTTTCGGGTTTGGTGTGGTGGGGGGACTGTGTGCCCAGCACTCTCCCGCTCAGTTCTCATCCCCCAGACGCCGGGGGTGCAGCTGTCTCTGGTTGCAGTGTCATCCCTGTAGTCCCAGCACTTTGAGAGGCCAAGGCGGGAGGATGGCTTGCGGCCAAGGGTTCCAGACCAGCCTCGGCAACATAGTGAGACTTCACTGTAGAAATTAAAAAAATTACCCAGGCATGATAGCGCGCACCTGTGGTCCCAGCTACTTGGGAGGCTAAGGTGGGAGGATTGCTTGAGCCCGTGAAGTTGAGACTGCACTGAGCTGTGATCACACACTGCACTCCAGCCTGGGCAACAGCAAGACCGTGTCTCGAAAAACAAGTAGAATAAAAATGGATCACGCTGTGATCACACACTGCACTCCAGCCTGGGCAACAGCAAGACCGTGTCTCGAAAAACAAGTAGAATAAAAATGGATCACGCTGTGATCACACACTGCACTCCAGCCTGGGCAACAGCAAGACCGTGTCTCGAAAAACAAGTAGAATAAAAATGGATCACGCTGTGATCACACACTGCACTCCAGCCTGCAGGTCTGGACACATGAGACGCTATATCCTGCACGGCTGGATAGATCTGATGCTCCATCCCTGCCACCGGGTCATGACGGTGTGTCTTGCACGCGGTGAGGAGCACAGATGTGAAGGCTCACACATCCCCCCATCCCTGGGTGTTGAGCGCTTGGGGTTTGAAACCTGCACGGCCTGTGAGCCAGAATGGTCTCATGAGGTCAAAAGCGTGGGACTAGCACTAGCCCAAGGACCCGGTGCTGCACCCGGCTCGTTCCCTCCCACCGCACCGGGACGCCCTTCCAGGTGGCCAGGGCTGAGCTCCGTCAGGATCCTCATCACGGGAGCCGGCACGTGCCTGTGCGTCCTGCGGGGCCCGGCCCCTCCAGCCGCACACGGCTGCCTTCAAGTCATCCACAGGTGCGCCAGCCGGAGCGCGTCCTTTCCCATAGCAGCACTGCAATCCCCGCTGTGGCGCGCAGCCCCCTCTGCAGTCCCCCACGCCCCCCCGTGGTCACTCCCGCCCTGCACCTGTCAGGACGACTCTGCCACAGTTTATTCCTCCAGTCCCTGCTCTGGCGTCCGGCTCCTCTCGCCTGGGGCACCGTGAACCAAGCAGCCGACGTCCCCATCTGTGCAGGCTCTCACGGGCACGGGCCCTCTTCCCACTGGTGTGCTTCTGGGAGGACAGATGTCCTGGCCGGGCCACGGGGCTTTACGCTCAGCCGCCCCGTGGGCCGCTTTCCCGGCAGCTGCGTGGCGTCCCAGTTCCCCCAGCAACGCGGAGGACACCCAGCTGCCTGGCAGCCTCGCGGGACCTGGCGTCTTCAGTCCTTTTTGTCTCAGCCGCGCGTGTCATGTTCTTGTTGCCACCTCTCCATGCCCTGTGAACCCTGCCCTCGCCGGCGCCAGTGCTGGGCGCTTCCCCTTGTCTACGGCCACCGTGCACCCCTCTCCGGAGGGCAGTGCATGTCCACTCGGTCGTGTTCGGGCCTCTTTCTCACTGATGCTTAAAATTCTGCCTCTGAGTCCCTCGTCAGAATCTCGCCTTGCAGAGACATTTCTCCCTCTGTGTCATGTCCTGTCATGGTGTTCACCGTGCCGGTAGCTGACCCTGAGTCCTGCGCTGGGGCGGTGCAGCGGTGCTCCCTTCCTTCAGGGAGCGCACGTGTGGCCCGTGAAAGAAACCTTGGCCGCGGCAGAGCCGTGCAGCGTCCCTCGTTTCCTTCCAGGAGGGGCCGCTGTTTGGCCTTTCACCCTTCGGGCTGGGATCCCCTGGTATTCAGTTTGTGTGAAGTGTCTTTGCCTGTGGATATTCCACGGGGCTCTGTCCCAACTCACTTCCTTCCCTTGCTCTCTTAGGCCACCGGTGCCCGACAGAGACTGACTGAGTCTTCATTACTCTGACTTTACAGGAAGGGTTGAAACCGGGCAGTGGGACTCATATCCACCAACTTGGTCCCCCTGTGAGTTCTTTTGTGTTCCCTGGTAAGTTTTCACATGAGCCTGTCCGTGTATACTACAAACCCCAAAACAACAGGCCCTCGGTGCATGTGGATGGGGATTGCTGGACTCTGTGGGTGGGGATCGCGTGGACTCTGGGTCAACAGAGTCGTCTGGAGGAAACTGCAGTCTGTGAACTCAGCAGTGAGGTCCACCTCACCACGTTGAGGTCGTCTTTGATTTCACCCAGCCGTGCCCTGCAGTTTGCTTTGTAGACACTGTGTGTGATTTTTGTTCCATTTTTCGTAGGTTGATTTTTCATGCTCTTGATAGATGGCATTATTGAAGATTTTATTTTTAGTTGTTTGTTGCCAGTATATTGAAATAATTTATTTTTGCATATAGTCCTTGGATCCAGCAACTTTGCTGAAGATACTTATTAATTCCCGTATTTGGTAAGCATTTGGATTGTCTACACAGTGTGTTGCTTGTGAATCATGACGGTTCTGCCTCTTCTTACCCGTCGTCGTATCTTTCGGTCTTTCCCTTGCCTGCTGCCCTGGCTCGGCCGTCCAGGCGGCCTTGGTGGTGACACTGTCCTCTTGTTCCCAGCACAGGGAAGAAGTGTTCATGTGTCATCGCTGTCTGAGCAGCTGGGGTGTTTCGTAGAGGCCCTTTGTCTGAGCATTCAGGCTGCTGTCAAGAAACACCATAGCCCGGGCAGCTTGTCACCAGCAAGACATTTACTGTTCACAGGTCTGCAGGCTGGAAGATCTCGGTGTGGCAGAGTGGTGCCTGGTTCATCGACGGCGCCTTCCCGCTGCGTCCTCACGGGGTGGAAGGGGTGAGGGAGCTCTCTGGGGTCCCTCAGAAGGGGACTCATCGCATTCATGAGGCCCCACCTCCCAACACCATCGCCTCGGGGGAGAGGATTTCAGCACGTGGATCTTGGGGACCCAGGCATTCAGGCCATAGCACCCTTTATGAGAATAAGAGTGTCCCTCCTGATTCTGGTTTCCTGGTCTATTATTATTATTAGATATTCCTGTTCTATTATTGCCGAGTTGGACTTGCTACTGTGTGTTCTGTGTGGGATTTCTGCCTCTGCTCTCCAGTGATAACTGGCCTGTGACTTCCTGTGTCCCTGACCGCGTCCAGGCTGTGCCAGCCTCGGAACAGGCACTGGGAAACGCCCCTCGTTTTTCTTCTCCAGGGGAACGCATGTGTGATTTCTTCCTTCAATGTTTGGTCGACTCATGGGAGCAGCCTTTGGGGGCTGGAATTTTCTTGGTGGGACAGTTTTAAATTATGGACACAATTTCTTGCAGAAACAGCTCTTTCAGATTTTCTATTGTAGTTTATTTTTTGACTTGTTCATCGGGGAGTCTGTTTCAGCAGTCATCTGACTTACAGGCATAAAGTGATTCATGAGCATCCACTATCTGATGTTTGTAGGATCTGTAGTTACAGCTGACATGGCTAATCTGTATTTGCTCTTTTTTTGAGACAGAGTCTCTCTCTGTCACCCAGGCTGGAGTGCAGTGGTGTGATCGTGGCTTACTGCAACCTCCACCTCCCAGGATCAAGTGATTCTCCTGCCTCAGCCTCCCGAGTAGCTGGGATTACAGGCGCCCGCCACCATGCCAGGCTAATTTTTGTGTTTTTAGTAGAGACGAGGTTTCACCATGTTGGCCAGGCTGGTCTCGAACTCCTGACCTCAGGTGATCCACCCCCCTCGGCCTCCTAAAGTGCTGGGATTACAGGCATGAGCCACCACGCCCAGCCAGCCAGGGTTAATTAATTTTTAAGAAATCTTTCAAATCATCGAGTTTTGATTTTGTTGATTTTCTGTTACTATTTACTTTGCGTTCCATCTCTGCCATGTATTTGTTCCTTTGGGGTAGAAGTGTAGACGATCGATTTTAAACTTTCCTTCCTCACGCGTGTATTTAAGGCTGTGAACCTGCCATGGGTCGCTGCTGTAGGTGCGTCCCACACATTCCATGAGATGTTTCTGTCGCCGTCCGATTCACCGCGTTGCCTGGCTGACGGGGCCATTTATTCCCGTACTTACTGGTTCTTAGTACGTGCCGCTTGATTTCCAGACGCTGGGGATGCAGCCGCCTCTGGTTACAGTGCCCACGCGTGGTCTGTGGTCAGGGGATACTGCGTGCCCGGCACTCCCACGCTCAGCTCTCATGACTGATTGAAGGCTGGAGCGAAAGCCACGTTGAGTTTGCAGATGCCCAGACAGGCCGCGCTGAGCGTGCTGTGTCTTTCTGCAGCAGAGGGTCTCTGGGCGGCGTCGGTCAGGCGCGAGGTACGCAGCAGGAGCGCCGGCGTCCAGGCCCTGCTGACTGCCCACTCCTGCCCTCTCTGCCCCAGGCCTGCGGCTGCCCCCTCTACTGGAAGGGGCCGCTCTTCTATGGCGCCGGCGGGGAGCGCACGGGCTCCGTGTCCGTCCACAAGTTCGTCGCCATGTGGAGAAAGTGAGTCCTGGGCTGGGCAGGGGGCTGTGTCGGGAGGGCGGAGGCGTCCCCGGGTCCCCGTGGTGCCAGGACGGGTGCCCCCTGAGGCTGCCGCAGTGAGAGGAGAAACCCTTGTACGGGCACAGGCCTGGCCGTCGTGTGTGGCCACCTGCCACGCACCACGTGGAACACCACACACGTGTTCCACCCTGCGTCTGCGGGGTCGAAAGCCACCCCCCTGTGAGGGTGGTGCCCAGTCATCCTGTCCTTCCAGAATCCTCCAGAACTGCCACGACGACGCGGCCAAGTTCGTCCATCTGCTCATGAGCCCCGGCTGCAACTACCTGGTGCAGGAGGACTTTGTCCCCTTCTTGCAGGTGAGAGCCTGCGTCTACACCACAGGCCTTATCCTTCACGGGAGGGCCCGCGTCTACACCGCATGCCTCATGGGAGGGCCGGCGTCTACACCACACGCCTCATCCCTCACGGGAGGGTCCGCGTCTACACCGCACACCTCATGGGAGGGCCCGCGTCTACACCACATGCCTCATCCCTCATGGGAGGGTCCGCGTCTACACCGCACACCTCATCGCTCACGGGAGGGTCCGCGTCTACACTGCACACCTCACGGGAGGGCCCGCGTCTACACCACATGCCTCATCCCTCACGGGAGGGCCGGCGTCTACACCATACGCCTCATCCCTCACGGGAGGGCCGGCGTCTACACCGCACACCTCATCGCTCACGGGAGGGTCCGCGTCTGCAGCGTCCACACCGCACACCTCACGGGAGGGCCGGCGTCTACACCACGCGCCTCGTGTCTTCCCACCCGCAGGACGTGGTGAACACGCACCCGGGGCTGTCGTTCCTGAAGGAGGCGTCCGAGTTCCACTCGCGCTACATCACCACGGTGGGTCCCCAGCGGAGGGGCCGTCGGTTCCAGCGCGGGGCGCGGGTGTTTCTGCAGCGGCCGCCGCGGGGCTTCTGCGGACGGGGCGGGCGGGGCCCGGGGTTCCTGAGCTTCCGGAGGAGGCGGCCGCGCTCTGGGAGAGTCTCCACCCGCCCGGGAGCCCGGTGTTGGGGGGACTCTGGTTTTCCGGGGTGGCCGCACCCCCTTCCCACCTGTCCTGGGCCCGTGTAGCTCCGGGGCGTCCCCGGCCAGACCCTCCCCGCTTTCCGCGGCCTGGGGCGGCGCCTCCCGCAGGGCCCTTCCCTCTGCCCCCGCCTGTGCCCTGGCGGCCCCGTGCGGCTGAGACCAAGGGCGCGCCCCTCTCCCGGCTCCCGGTCTCCGTGCGGGGCGAGGCTCCTGGGGGTCTCTGCGCACCCACCGCACTGACAGCGCCCCCGCAGGTCATCCAGCGGATCTTCTACGCCGTGAACCGGTCCTGGTCCGGCAGGATCACCTGCGCCGAGCTGCGGAGGAGCTCCTTCCTGCAGGTGCGGAGCGGCCCCCTGTCCCCTGCCCCCTGCCTTGTCCCTACCCCTCCTACCTCCACTCCCTTCCCTTCCCTCCTCCCCCCTCCCTCCTCCCCTCCCACCCCCTCTCCCACCCCCACCCCCACCCCCACCTCCACCGCGCTCCCAGCCCACCCCCAGGCCTGTGAGCACTGGAACCCCGCCGCCTGCGGTTGGGGGTCCACGGTTGATCTAGGAGGCGGGTGGGGCCGTACTGGGCACCACCCTGAGGGGGAGCCGAGCCCTGACTCCCCCAGAGCTGCCCCCACCCCCACACCCGCCTAGGGAGCCACCCCCATGCTGGAGCTCCCCCCACCGCAGAGTTGCCCCCACTCGGAGTGCCCCCCGGCCCCAGCTGCCCAGTCCCCCCCACCCACGGAGCGGCCCCGACCCTCCCAGCCTTCCCTGCCCCGCCCGCAGCCAGGCGGACTTGGGGCATCCCCGCAGAGGCCCCGCGCTCAGGCCGCCTGGGTCCTTTGGCAGAATGTGGCGCTGCTGGAGGAGGAGGCGGACATCAACCAGCTGACCGAATTCTTCTCGTACGAGCATTTCTACGTCATCTACTGCAAGTTCTGGGAGCTGGACACGGACCACGACCTGCTCATCGACGCGGACGACCTGGCGCGGCACAATGACCACGGTGCGTGGGGGCACAGGGGCGGGCGGGCCGCGCGGACACCGAGCACACCCTTCTCTCAGGGCCTGCGGGTCTGCAGCTGCCTCTCCTTCCGCACTCCCAGCTCTGTGTCTGCAGCTGCCTCTCCTTCGCACTCGCCGCTCTGTGTCTGCAGCTGCCTCTCCTTCCCCAGTCGCTGCCCCGTGTCTGGGTCCCCGCGTGCGCCTCTGCCCGAGGCCTCTGCCTGGGGGCGTCTACAGGGTCAGTGTGGGCCGCTGGTCCTGAAGCTCCTGGCCCGAGGGCCAGCAGCGCTGTGGGGCTTCCTTGTTAACACCCGAGCAAGGGCGGGCAGGCCACACGCCTTCCCTCAGGAGCTCCAGGTTCCAGCCCCCAAGGCCTGGAGCAGTTTCCATCCAATCCCGGGCTAGGTGGAGCCCCAGGCTTAGCGGTCGTTCATATACCTCCGCGGGAGCCGGTGCCGCCCAGGTGTCCTCACAGCAGCCACTGCCTCCCGGCCCCTCTAAGAGTCATCCACACTTGCAGGAACTCAAAGCGGCCTGTGGCCTGTGGGGCTTGAGTTTTCTAAAGGATTCCTTTAAGTGTGCTTTTTACCCCAAAAAACCATATGACCAAGACTGTTTCCGAATTACGGTGGCATCTGTTGTGTGTGGTCGACTCATAATACGCCTGGTTCCCCGAACGTGAGCTGCACCCGTCTGCGTCTCCCGGGGCTGGTCCTGGGTCGCGTGGCCGCAGTAGATCCCTGCGTCGGACGCGCACCTGAGCAGACGTAGCATTCCCTGGATTTGTCCTGCGCTCAGTTCAGGGAGCCACCTGCGCCCTGGGCCCCTAACTAGCCACGAGGAGAGCACAGCTCCACAGCGCCGGCCCGTGTGGCCTGGGCCAGCACCTGCACAGCTGGGAATCGGCCCAGAACCAGGCGCTCACTGTCCCTGTGAACCCCCGGCCCGGCGCGGCCCCAGCTTTCCGCGTTCCTCTGGAGCCCACTCTCGGTCCCAGGGCAGGATGCCGTGTGCGGCCGGGCTGCGCTGTTTCTCACGCACTGCGGCCTGAAGCGGGGGGCGGCACCTTGGCTCGTGCGTCCCAGGGACACCGGTGACCGCAGGGATGGCCGCCCAGGCTGCGGGACCTTCTCGTGGCCCAAGCTGACGGCGACGGTGCTTTCACTCCTGCCTCCCGTTGGTGAGGTCTCCCTCCCGCCTCCCGTTGGTGAGGTCTCACTCCGGCCTCCCGTTGGTGAGGTCTCACTCCCGCCTCTCCTTGGTGAGGTCTCACTCCGGCCTCCCGTTGGTGAGGTCTCAATCCCGCCTCCCGTTGCTGAGGTCTCACTCCCGCCTCCCGTTGGTGAGGTCTCCCTCCCGCCTCCCGTTGCTGAGGTCTCCCTCCCGCCTCCCGTTGGTGAGGTCTCACTCCCGCCTCCCGTTGGTGAGGTCTCCCTCCCGCCTCCCGTTGGCGACGTCTCCCTCCCGCCTCCCGTTGGCGACGTCTCCCTCCCGCCTCTCCTTGGCGACGTCTCCCTCCCGCCTCCCGTTGCTGAGGTCTCCCTCCCGCCTCCCGTTGCTGAGGTCTCCCTCCCGCCTCCCGTTGCTGAGGTCTCCCTCCCGCCTCTCCTTGGTGAGGTCTCCCTCCCGCCTCCCGTTGCTGAGGTCTCACTCCCGCGTCTCCTTGGTGAGGTCTCCCTACCGCCTCCCGTTGCTGAGGTCTCACTCCCGCGTCTCCTTGGTGAGGTCTCCCTCCCCCCCTCCCGTTGCTGAGGTCTCACTCCCGCGTCTCCTTGGTGAGGTCTCACTCCCGCCTCCCGTTGCTGAGGTCTCACTCCCGCCTCCCGTTGGCGAGGTCTCCCTCCCGCCTCCCGTTGGCGAGGTCTCACTCCCGCCTCCCGTTGGCGAGGTCTCACTCCCGCCTCCCGTTGGCGAGGTCTCACTCCCGCCTCCCGTTGGCGAGGTCTCACTCCCGCCTCCCGTTGGCGAGGTCTCACTCCCGCCTCCCGTTGGCGAGGTCTCCCTCCCGCCTCCCGTTGGCGAGGTCTCCCTCCCGCCTCCCGTTGGCGAGGTCTCCCTCCCGCCTCCCGTTGGCGAGGTCTCCCTCCCGCCTCCCGTTGGCGAGGTCTCCCTCCCGCCTCCCGTTGGCGAGGTCTCCCTCCCGCCTCCCGTTGGCGAGGTCTCCCTCCCGCCTCCCGTTGGCGAGGTCTCCCTCCCGCCTCCCGTTGGCGAGGTCTCCCTCCCGCCTCCCGTTGGCGAGGTCTCCCTCCCGCCTCCCGTTGGCGAGGTCTCCCTCCCGCCTCCCGTTGGCGAGGTCTCCCTCCCGCCTCCCGTTGGCGAGGTCTCCCTCCCGCCTCCCGTTGGCGAGGTCTCCCTCCCGCCTCCCGTTGGCGAGGTCTCCCTCCCGCCTCCCGTTGGCGAGGTCTCCCTCCCGCCTCCCGTTGGCGAGGTCTCACTCCCGCCTCTCCTTGGCGAGGTCTCACTCCCGCCTCCCGTTGCTGAGGTCTCACTCCCGCCTCCCGTTGCTGAGGTCTCACTCCCGCCTCCCGTTGGCGAGGTCTCACTCCCGCCTCCCGTTGGCGAGGTCTCACTCCCGCCTCTCCTTGGCGAGGTCTCCCTCCCGCCTCCCGTTGCTGAGGTCTCCCTCCCGCCTCCCGTTGCTGAGGTCTCCCTCCCGCCTCCCGTTGCTGAGGTCTCCCTCCCGCCTCCCGTTGCTGAGGTCTCCCTCCCGCCTCCCGTTGCTGAGGTCTCCCTCCCGCCTCCCGTTGGCGAGGTCTCACTCCCGCCTCCCGTTGGCGAGGTCTCACTCCCGCCTCCCGTTGGCGAGGTCTCACTCCCGCCTCCCGTTGGCGAGGTCTCACTCCCGCCTCCCGTTGGCGAGGTCTCACTCCCGCCTCCCGTTGGCGAGGTCTCACTCCCGCCTCCCGTTGGCGAGGTCTCACTCCCGCCTCCCGTTGGCGAGGTCTCACTCCCGCCTCCCGTTGGCGAGGTCTCCCTCCCGCCTCCCGTTGGCGAGGTCTCCCTCCCGCCTCCCGTTGGCGAGGTCTCCCTCCCGCCTCCCGTTGCTGAGGTCTCCCTCCCGCCTCCCGTTGCTGAGGTCTCCCTCCCGCCTCCCGTTGCTGAGGTCTCACTCCCGCCTCCCGTTGCTGAGGTCTCACTCCCGCCTCCCGTTGCTGAGGTCTCACTCCCGCCTCCCGTTGCTGAGGTCTCACTCCCGCCTCCCGTTGCTGAGGTCTCACTCCCGTCTCCCGTTGGTGAACCTTTGGTTGAAACGTGTTTGTTTCCGTGATCACACTCGAGGTCTCTCTCTCCGTCTGAAAGCTGTACCTTTGAGGCCTGAATATTCTGCTCTTTACAAGTCGGTCTTGGAGCCGCGGTCAGCTTTGCGCTCTGTGGATTTCATGCTGGACTTGGCTCTGCTCGACGGGAAAGCGTGGTGGGCCCCTAGGATGGGCCGTGCAGGGGCATCGGGGCCCCGGGGCTCTCCCAGACCCAGGCGTCCTCTCAGCTTTTCGGTCCCCACCGCATCCAGTCTCGGCTCCGGGGGGTGGTGACGTCGGGGCCGAGGCACGGTGCGGGCTGCCCATCAACCGCATTCCTTTCCAGCCCTTTCTACCAAGATGATAGACAGGATCTTCTCAGGAGCAGTCACACGGTACGTACGGCTCAGGCGCCTGACGGCAGCCATTGCCCCTGCGAGGACCCCGGTCCCTCTCCTCATCGTTGCCTGACGTGAGCTTTTTGTGCCCCGACAGCGAGTGGTTGTCACCCCAGGCCCTGGCGAGGGGGGCACGTGTCTCTGTCACGTGAATCCCTAGTGGGGGGGGGTGGCACAAGACTGTCACGCGAAGTCTGAGGAAGGGGGTGGCCCAGGCCCCAGGTCGGGGGTTCTTGTCGGGCGCTGGGCCTGAGTGAGCAGTAACGAAGGTGCACTCCTGACCCTGCCTGGATCTGGGGAAAACCCTCTGGCCACGGGGCCTCCACCTCCTCCCCGGAGAGGCAGGAGGAGGGGCAGGAGGGGGGCAGGAGGAGGGCCGGGCCCGGGGGGCTCCCCTCACCGAGGCGCGTGGACAGGGGCTCCGTTCCTGTGAAGCTCTCCCTGACATGCATCTTCGTCTCTCCATCCTGGCTTTCGATCTAGAGGCAGAAAAGTGCAGAAGGAAGGGAAGATCAGCTATGCCGACTTTGTCTGGTTTTTGATCTCTGAGGAAGACAAAAAAACACCGACCAGGTGGGTTCCTGCTGCGGCATGCGTTTGTCCCAGTGGAGGGGCCGGGAGCCGCCCATGTGACATGTGTCCCCAGGCGGATGCCTGCACGCCTGGTGGGGGCTGCACGGCACAGGGGGACATGTGCACGCCCGGTGGGGGCTGCACGGCACAGGGGGACATGTGCACGCCTGGTGGGGGCTGCACGGCACAGGGGGACGCGTGCGCGCCCGGTGGGGGCGGCAGGGGGCAGGGGATGCCTGCACGCCCGGTGGGGGCTGCAAGGCACAGCGGGGACGCGTGCACCCCCGGTGGGGGCTGCCTCAGGGGCTGCAGGTCACGGGCTGGGAGGGCCCAGGGCAGGGGCTGACAGAGCTCGCCGTGCCGCAGCATCGAGTACTGGTTCCGCTGCATGGACCTGGACGGGGACGGCGCCCTGTCCATGTTCGAGCTCGAGTACTTCTACGAGGAGCAGTGCCGAAGGCTGGACAGCATGGCCATCGAGGCCCTGCCCTTCCAGGACTGCCTCTGCCAGATGCTGGACCTGGTCAAGCCGAGGACTGAAGGTGATGCCCCGTGAGGGCATGGCCCAGGGTGAGGGGACGGACGGGCGAGAGGACGGCCCAGGGTGAGGGGACGGACGGGCGAGAGGACGGCCCAGGGAGAGGGGACGGATGACAGCCCAGGGAGAGGGGACGGACGGGAGGGAGGACGGCCCAGGGAGAGGGGACGGACGGGAGGGAGGACGGCCCAGGGTGAGGGGACGGACGGGAGGGGGGACGGCCCAGGGTGAGGGGACGGACGGGAGGGGGGACGGCCCAGGGTGAGGGGACGGACGGGAGGGGGGACGGCCCAGGGTGAGGGGACAGACGGGAGGGGGGACGGACCAGGGTGAGGGGACGTCCCTGTGAGGCGCTGTCCTACTGAGTTTGTGAGGAGGGCCAGCACCACAGGTGCCTAGTCTCACAGTGCAAGAACCTCCTATTCGGGGCGTCGACACCCCCCGAGGGGTGACCTAGAGAACCTAGGGCCGGAGCTCACCGGGGACGTTGGCACTGGGCTGAGGGAGCAGTTGCCACGTTCGTGCTGATGCCGCACAAGGCGGTCCTCCCCTCACCCCCCCCCCCCCCGTCTCCTCCCCTCTCACCCCGCCCCCCCCGTCTCCTCCCTTCTCACCCCCCCCGGCTCCTCCCCCCCTCTCGCCCCCCCCATCTCCTCCCCTCTCACCCCCCCCATCTCCTCCCCTCTCACCCCCCCATCTCCTCCCCTCTCACCCCCCCCATCTCCTCCCCTCTCACCCCCCCCATCTCCTCCCCTCTCACCCCCCCCATCTCCTCCCCTCTCACCCCCCCGGCTCCTCCCCTCTCACCCCCCCGGCTCCTCCCCTCTCACCCCCCCGGCTCCTCCCCTCTCACCCCCCCCAGCTCCTCCCCTCTCACCCCCCCCCGGCTCCTCCCCTCTCACCCCCCCCCGGCTCCTCCCCTCTCACCCCCCCCCGGCTCCTCCCCTCTCACCCCCTCCGGCTCCTCCCTTCTCACCCCCCCCGGCTCCTCCCCTCTCACCCCCCCCGGCTCCTCCCCTCTCACCCCCCCCGGCTCCTCCCCTCTCACCCCCCCCCCGGCTCCTCCCCTCTCACCCCCCCCCGGCTCCTCCCCTCTCACCCCCCCCCGGCTCCTCCCCTCTCACCCCCCCGGCTCCTCCCCTCTCACCCCCCCGGCTCCTCCCCTCTCATCCCCCCCCGGCTCCTCCCCTCTCACCCCCCCCGGCTCCTCCCCTCTCACCCCCCCCCGGCTCCTCCCCTCTCACCCCCCCCGGCTCCTCCCCTCTCACCCCCCCGGCTCCTCCCCTCTCACCCCCCCCCGGCTCCTCCCCTCACCCCTGTTCCCCCCACACCATCTCCCCAGCTCCTCCCACCCACCCCCGTGCCCTCTAAGGCAAAGGGGAGCCCCACCGTCCACGCCGCCTGGCTTCCTTCTGCATCTCAGAATCCAGCTCTGGGACTTTCACTTTGGAAATGGCTCTGAGGCCCGGGCACCGCCCTGCAGCCCTGCCCCCCCCGGCCATGGGGCGCCTCCTGCTGCTCAGTGTCCCCGGGACACCCTCTGGCCTCTGCCTGCACGGGGAGCTCCGTTCTCTGTAATTTCAGATCCAGCAGCGCCCCTGCTGGCCGCGCCTCCCTGCGCTAGTCCCAGTCCACGCATCCTTGGGGCACCGGTGGCCCCTAGTCGCCTCCGCATCACGGCCTCCCACGCCTCAGTCCCCACCCAGAACCAGGACACTCGCGTGTCCGCCTTTCACGTCAAACACGTGGCGTGAGAGCCCGGAGCTTCGTGCCGCGTCCTTAAGCACGTGTGACAGGACGCGCGCACCCCACACCCAGGCCCCGAAGGTGAGACCGGGCTCACGCGCCTTGGACGCACTCCCCTCCCCGCAGGGAAGATCACGCTGCAGGACCTGAAGCGCTGCAAGCTGGCTAACGTCTTCTTCGACACCTTCTTCAACATCGAGAAGTACCTCGACCACGAGCAGAAAGAGCAGATCTCCCTGCTCAGGGTGAGTGCGGCGGGCACGCGGGCCGGGCCGCGCCACGCCGTGTACGTAACCCGTGTGCTTCCTCCAGGACGGTGACAGCGGCGGCCCCGAGCTCTCGGACTGGGAGAAGTACGCGGCCGAGGAGTACGACATCCTGGTGGCCGAGGAGACTGCGGGAGAGCCCTGGGAGGACGGGTGAGTGGGGAGGACGGGTGAGTGGGGGGACGGGTCAGTGGGAGGACGGGTGAGTGGGGAGGACGGGTGAGTGGGAGGACGGGTGTGTGTGCAGCCGGGGGATGCGGGGTCAGTCAGGTGGGGTGCGCGGACACAGAGGGGCGGGGTGAGACCTGACACGGGGCCGGTGAGGTAAGGACAGCCGATGACAGGGCCGGGCCTCGGTGCAGTCTGCCCGTCATTCCCCGCGTGGGGTTCTGTGATCCTGGGCGCGAGGCTTCGCACATCAGGCCCAGCACGGGGAGGCCGAGTCGTGTTTCGCCAACGACGTCTGTCCTTATCCCACGGCTGGCACCTGCTGGGCAGGCTGCAGGGCCCGTGGCCATTCCAGCCTCCGCTTCGGCCTTCCAGCCTTGGAGGCCCTGAGAGGCCCTGGGCTGGTTGCTTTCTCACGGAGCGTGAGGGTTCTTCGTGTCTTCAGCATACAAACCCTTTATTTGCGACGTGTTCGCCTTTTTCCCAGTTTGTGACGTATGTTTTCACCCCCTCTTCACGTGGTGTCTCAGAGATGTTCTGAATTTGGAGGAGGAGACACTGACTGGTTATTTTTACAGCGGTGTTTCTGGTGTCATATCTAAGAATTCATTTCTGAATCCAAAGCCACGAAGATTTTCCTCTGCGATGTTTTGTGTTTTGGTCTGGGGTCCTCTTGAGTAACCTTCCCTGTGGGGTGTGAAGCTCGGATTGAGGTTCCCCTTGTGGTACGTGGGTGTCCGGGTGTCCGACTGTCCCAGCATCAGCTTTGCAGGCCGCAGCGTTGCCTCGGCGTCGTGACTGTGCCGTGTGCGGGCTCCGTTCCGGAACCTTCCTCCGTCCCACTGCTGCACGCGTCTGTCCGTTCCCGCGGCAGAGCTGGCTGTGGTGAGAAGCCTCCGACTTGGGCGCCGTGTGGAACTGTCGGGGCCATTCTGGTGTTGGGCTGCCTGTGTGTGAATCTTAGACTCAGCCCGTCCTTGCTCTGCCGTCCTGTGGGAACGTGTGTTGGACTCTGACGTGGTGGTGAGTGCTGGTCCCGGGACCACGTGGACTGTGGCCCCCACCGGCCTCCCGTGGTGCACGCTGGAGCGACGTGGTCACTTTTGCCATCCCGTGCTGAGCTTCTCAGTTCTGCTTCTGTCCCGCGCTACGTTGGCTATTCTGGTTTCTTTGCCTTTGTATGAAAACACATAAGAATAGGCTCCTTCTGGCCGGGCGCGGTGGCTCACGCCTGTCATCCCAGCACTTTGGGAGGCTGAGGAGGGCGGATCACGAGGTCAGGAGATCGAGACCATCCTGGCCAACATGGTGAAACCCCGTCTCTACTAAACAAAAAAAAAATTAGCCAGGCGTGGTGGCGGGCGCCTGTAGTCCCAGCTACTCGGGAGGCTGAGGCAAGAGAATGGCGTGAATCTGGGAGGCGGAGCTTGCAGTGAGCCGAGATCGCGCCACCACACTCCAGCCTGGGTGACAGAGCGAGACTCCGTCTCCAAAAAAAAAAAGCCAGGGATGGTGGCACACGTCTGTAATCCCAGCTACTCGGGAGGTGCAGGTTGCAGTGAGCCAAGATCGCGCCACTGCACTCCAGCCCGGGCAACGAGAGCAAAACTCCATTTCCAAAACAAAAACAAACAATCTGAACTTTTGAGTGAGATCTCGCTGAGTGAATGGATCCCTGTGGGCCCAGCTGCCGCCTTCATAACCGCAGGAGGCCCAGTCCATGGGCGCCGTCCGTGTCTCTCGGCAGGATTTTTGTAGCTTTCCGTGTACGCTTGATGCGAATGTTGTGAGACTTCTGAGTGTTTCCTGATGTTTTCCTGTTGTCAGCGGTGCTTTTAAGGTTCCCGTTTCCAGTTGTTCGTTGGTAGCATATAGAATTTATTGACCTTGTGTTTTGCACCTTCATGAAACTCACTTACTGGATCTCAAAGCTCTGTCGGTTCTTTGGGGTTTTCTGCGTGGACAGCCCATGTCTGTCAGTGGGTCCGTCTCTCGTCTTCCTTTTCACCTCTCTGTGTACGTTACTTCCTTTCTCTTGCCTGCTGCATGGCCTGGAACCCGCAGGGAGATGTGGTGGATGTCAGGGCAGACCACGGCCAGCCTTGAGTGAGCCCTGCTGGTTTGTGTGCCGTCCTCGTTCCCAGTCCTGGGGGACGTCTCCCCTCACGCAGCGGTAAGCACGCTCATTGGCGAGGATGTTCTCCCTCTTCCTGGTCTGCGGGGGCTTTCTCGCAGTGGGGGCCGAATTTCTCAGATGCTTTCGCTCCGTGGTTCCTCTGTGTGTCCATACAGCGAGTTACACCGAGTCATTTTCAGCCAGCCTCGTGTTCCCAGGATAGATCTTGCCGAGTCATGTGTTATCCTCACATATTACTGGATTCTCTTTGCAGAGATTATCTGTAGTATTTTATTATTTTTTTGGAGACAGGGTCTGGCTGTGTCACGCAGGCTGGAGGGCATTGGCGCAATCTCAGCTCACTGCACCCTCCACCTGCTGGGCTTAAGGAATCCTCGCACCTGAGCCCCCCGAGTAGCTGGGCTTCCAGGCACGCACCACCACACCCGGCTACTTTTTTGTATTTTTTTGTAGAGATGGGGTTTCACCGTGTTGCCCAGGTTGGTCTTGGATGCCTGAGCTCGAGGGTTCTCCCCGCCTCGGTCCCCCAACGTGCCGGAATTACAGGTGTGAGCCCCTGCCCAGCCTTGAGTGAGCTTTGCTGGTTTGTGTGTTTCGGAAACTTGCCCGTTCCCATCAGTGGGTTATTGTTGGTATTTCCTGCTCGTGACTCTGATGTCTGCAGAATCCAGTGATAGCGTCTCTCACGCTCCTGATACTGACTTTGTGTGTGATCAGTGAGGCGAGGGGCCGACGAGGTTCACTCCTCTTCCCAGGGAACCACGGGTGTTTCTCCCCTTTGTTCTGCTGTTTTCCTTGAGTATCTTCAGGCAGCGACGTGGGCCATGGACACCGCAGCCCGCGGCCTTCTGATTTTGGTGCAGCTCAAAATACTTTCTGGTTACCGTTGGGTTCCCGACCCATGGGTTCCATGGACGTGCATTTTAACCCCTGCTCCCCCATCAGCCGCCCCGTCCGATTCCTGCCAAGCAGCACAGGGCCCCTGCGGCCCACCCTGGGCCGTCTGTCCTGTGTGTCCGTCCTCCTCGTGGTCATTGTTTGCACGGTGGCTCTGACCTGGCAGCCAACCTCTGGGTCCCCACAACTTCCCAGTCTCTGCCTTCTCCTGTCGGACACCCTAAGGCAGCTGTGGCCCCCAGACCTAGCCTGGATGGGTGTGCGCCTGTCCCCACCACCGTCTGTCACCTCTGCTCCCCACCTGACCAGTGTCCACCCCCACGGCTGCCCGGCTTTGTGTCTGCGGCACAGCCAGCAGCACGCTGGGGTCGACTGCCTTCACCGTGTCCACGCCTGCTCCGGCAGTGGGAGCTCAGGTCCGTGGGGGTGACCGCGGGGAGCTCAGTGCCAGGCTGTCGGGGGCGTCTTGGAAAGCAGAGGTGTCCCCACAGGATCTCTGAGAGTCTGTGTGGTCCGTGGCCGCGCTGGGTTCCCCGGAGCAGCGCCCGACGTCACTGCCGAGACCTTAAGGGAAGGCGCGCGTCCAGTCCTCGCACTGCTGCGTGTTCTGGTCAGAACGGAAGTGGTAGCCTCCACTGGGAGCTTCTGTGCTTTGGGAGAATGTGTCTAAACTGTGGTCCTGTTTGTTCTCCAGTCCTGTGTGGACACCACGACCCAGTTGTAAACACAGGTCCCGTGCAGCTCGCTTTGGGGAAGAGGCGCGCCCGCCCAGGTCCTCTGTGTGTAGCTCACGCCCGGGGCTCCGTCCCGTCCTGGGTGGGTTTTCACCTGCACCGCAGGCCCCTCCCCCGGGAGCATTCGTGGAGCCGGCGTCCTCAGCCAGGAGCGCGTTGCTGGCTCAGCGGCTGGAGCTCAAGGTCGGCTCAGGGGACTGTCTCGTGCTGGAGGTTGGCGGCCGAGCAGCCTGTGTTTCCCGGAAAACGGCCCAGGGCCTGCTCCGCGCTGCTGGCCACGTCTTCGCCATCCCCTCGTTGCAGGTTCGAGGCCGAGCTCAGCCCTGTGGAGCAGAAGCTGAGTGCGCTGCGCTCCCCGCTGGCCCAGAGGCCCTTCTTCGAGGCGCCCTCACCGCTGGGCGCCGTGGACCTGTACGAGTACGCATGCGGGGACGAGGACCTGGAGCCGCTGTGACGCCGCCCGCGAGAACGCCGCCGCGGGGCCGCTCCCCACGTGCCACCACCGGGCCACCGCGGCTCGTGTAAAAACTGTTGTGGAAAATGAGTGCGTTTGTACGGAATGATAAACTTTTATTTATTCACAGAAGCGTGTTGATTGCCGCTGTGGGTTCGTGGCTGGACCTGCCCAGAGCTCTGTGCCAGGGGGACACGTAGGGCCGCGCGTGAATGGGACGGGTTCCCACACGGACACCCTCTGGCGCTTGCCGTTCCCGACCCAGCCTGGGTTCCGGGGCCTGCGTCTGTGGAAAGGGTCCGTGTGCGCACAACGGTGACCGGCGGCTCCCGGGCGCCTCAGTCCTGGACAGGAGCCTCCACCACAGGCTGTGTGAATGTTTTGTGTAAACGTACAAAACCGTTTCTGGCGATCACGCTTGTACGTTTGGAGGATTTTCAGTCACGGGCTCGGCTCCCTCAGCCACAGCGTGGCTCCGTCCAGGATTTACAAGCGTCAGTGCTGGAGGGGGACCGCAGCCACGCCAGACGCCTCGGGGTGCAGCCTGGGCCTCTCTGCGGGGCCCCTCCCCAGCCAGGGGGACCCCACCCTCGGGGCCGTTCCCTCCCGGAGCCACGGACCCAGGCCCCGTTCCACAAACGACCCCAGAAGGAAGGAGCCCGCGCCAGAGTGGGGACGTCCACAGCTGGGGGACACCTAAATGAGGGGGGTCGGAGGCCCCACCAGGAGGAGCTCCCTGTGCAGGGGAGGCCACAAGCACCCCAGGGGCACCCGACGTGGATGAGCCCAGGCCCAGCTGTGCTCCCTCTGCACGCAGGTGAGGGTCACAGGTGGTGACCATGGGAACAACCCCGTCCTCACACACGACAAAACTCTCCCCCAGGAAACGGAGGTGGCAGCGTCCACGCGGCAGGGCAGGGCCAAGCCGGGACCACCCCGAGAGCAGCATACGCACCCCGTTCATCCACCGGCAGCCGTCGCTGTGAAGGAGGCGGACGCACAGGGTGGTCCCGTGACCCCTGAGGAGAGACTGCGGGGGCTCCAGGTGGTGGGTAGACGAGGCAGCACCTCCCGGGGGAATGCTGCTGTCCCCAAGGTGTCCTCAGTGTCACCAGGTGCTCCCCTGAATTCCCGGATGCCCCCACCTGGGTCTGCGAAGGGTCAGGACCCCCAACAACAGGACAGGTGCAGGGCAGGAGGTTCTGCCGCAGGGAAATGACACTGGGAGCCACGGCCCGCAGGGCCCACCCTGCCCTCAGCTCCGGGGAGCCCGTCTGGGAGACCATGTCCGCCCCACACCACCTCCGGACACCACCCCCCAACACACACACACCTATGAGCCGGAGCCCATGGTCATGGGAGGGCTCTGACCAGCGCCCTCAGCCTCCCCACACTGACACTGGGAGCCCCCCCAATTAGGGTTCAAGGCTGAGACATGAGAGGCCTCCCTGGGGCCGTGAAAGACAGCGTCCCCCACCCACGACGCTGGTGAGGCCCCTGCACAGCCACTGAGCATCCTCCGACATCCCTGTACCCAATGCATTCCCCCAAGTGCCCCGTCCTTCCCCAGCCACAACCCCAGATGCCCCGGGCAGTGCCGGGGCCGGGCGTGCACACCGACACCTTTGCCGGAGAAGTGGGGGGGTCCTGTCGGGGGTCCTCGTGGACGGCGGCGCTGCGGGGAGACCCAGAGCCCAGCAGTCATGCCCTCCACGTGTTCTGGGGGTCCATTCCCCCGAGGGCTCACGTGTGCAGGGGGCCAGGGACCCCACAAAACAAGCACTCGGGGCACCCTGACCGTGGCCAGCGTCCCGCCAGAAGCCAGGATGTTCCAGGGCTCAGCGCCTCACCCTCTGAATGACAATCGTGGGTCCCCCGCACTTCGTGGCCGTCACCCCTTGGAGATCCCCGAGCAGGGACCCGACCCAGCCCACCCCTCCCCTCCCTCACGGGGTGCCTTCGTGTCAGAACCAAGAGTGTTCACAGGGGCAGCCCCGGGTCCACCCAGGAGCAGCAGCATGAGCTCTGTTCCGGGAGGACCATGAAAGGTGCCAGCCACAGCCCTGAGGTCCCGGGGCACCTCCTCACGGGACAAGACACAGCTGCTCAAGGCGCAGCAGGGGTGACCGCCGGCACCAGACCGGCATCCACAGCGCTGTCCTGAGGGGCGGCAGGGACAGTGATGGCAAGACGGGCTACCCAGAATAAGGGGACCCAGCCTGGTGGGGGGGACGGGGCCCGGAGAGCCATGAGACGGGGGAGACAGAGGAGATGGAGAGGGGGAGATGGGGGAGAACTGGGGGGCCTCAGATACAGGGGATGAGGCAAAGCCGGACCCAGCCATGGCCTGCAGCCCTGAGGTCCCGGGGCGCCTCCTCGTGGGACAGGACACAGCTCCTCGAGGTGGAGCCGAGGTGACGGGGAGCAGAGGTGACGGGCACCACAGGTTCCCAGCACTGGCACCAGACCGGCACCGAGAGCCCCGCCCAGAACAAGGGGGGACCCAGCCTGCGGAGGGACGGGGTCTGGACAGCCACGAGACGGAGGAGACGGAGAAGGGAGAGATGGAGGAAATGGAGACGGGCAAGACGGAGGGGAGGGAGGAGATGGAGAAAGGGGAGTTGGGGGAGAACGGGCGGGCATCAGATGCAGGAATGAGGCAGAGCCAGACCCAGCCGCGCTCAGCAGTTCCTAGAGAAGACACGGCTCCCGGGGGAGCGGGAGGCCTTTATGACTCAGAGCCGGGGAAGGAGCAGAGGCCGGAGGTCGTCCCCAGCACGGTGCCCACGGGCCGCCCTGCCCAGGCCGAGGGGTCGGACCCCACACGGCACAGAAGCCCCGTCTGCCGCAGCCCCGAGACACACATCCTGTGGCTGACAGCGGTGCGGCCCCTGGGCCGGCGCAGACCCCACGTGGCACAGACGGCCCCGCTGGGTCTCAAGCCTGCAGACAAGGCCACGCACCCGGCAAGACGCTGCTGCGTGGCTACAGCAGAGGGGCCTCGAACCACGTTCCCCATGACCCACGGGCAGACCCTGGCACAGCAGGGATCCCTGCGCCCTGGCGCCGTGTAGAAGTCACAGCTCCCCCAGCCTTGGCTGCCGCACACGCCACTCAGAGCCTGGGGAGCAGCCGTTCGGGTCTCGGTGAAACAGCGGCCCCAGGACGTGTCTGCGCAGCTCCTAGGCGGGGGCTGCCCCGGGTCTTCCGCACGGGGGCCTGGCCGTCGGCTGCAGCCTCCCCCGGCCCCGTGTCCTCACCATGGCGTAGCTGTCTCCACCCCGGTATCAGCTCCCGCAGCAGCCCCGGCCGCCACGAGTGGGTCCTGACCACAAGGAGGGGGGTCCTGACCACAAGGCGGGGGGTCCTGCCCGCCTCTGCCCCAGAGAACAGCCCCTCTGCGGGGACAGGGCCACCCCATCTCCCTAGCGCGGCGCTGCCTGACCTCACGGAGCAGCCATGGGGGGGACGAGGCCCCGTCGGGGGGGACGACCCCAGTGGTGCAGGGATAGGAGGTCCCGCTTGGACAAGCCCCCCACAGGCCTCCCCACAACAGGGCTTCTAGGCCCCGTCTCTCAGCCCCCAACACACAGGCCCTTGCCCCGCAACCAGGACGGGCCTGAGCGGTACCTACGGCCGACAGCCCACAGGTGCGACCACAGGGGGACGCGACCACAGGGGGACGCGACCACAGGGGGACGCGACAGCCCCTCCCCCAGGTCACAGAGGCCCCCGAGCCCCCATCCTCCTCGCCAGGGCCTCGGCCCCCAGGCACTCACACAAACCTTGCAGGAGACTCAGAGAAGTGGGGCTTAGGGAGGCAGCCCCCTAGCTATAGCGATTCCAGAAAGGCAGACTCTATGCTGTGCCTGTTTTCTGTTTGTCGCCCAGGCTGGACTGCCATGGTGCGATCTCGGCTCACTGCAGCCTCTGCCTTCTGGGTTCAAGCGATTCTCCTGCCTCAGCCTCCCGCGTAGCTGGGATCACAGGCGCCCGCCACCACCACGCCCGGCTAATTTTTGTATTTTCAGTTGAGACGGGGTTTCTCCATGTTGGCCAGGATGGTCTCAAACAACTGACCTCAAGTGATCCACCCGCCTCGGCCTCCCAAAATGCTGGGATGACAGGTGTGAGCCACCGCGCCCGGCCTTTTTTTAATAGAAAACTGGGGTCCCACCAGGCACAGGGGCTCACGCCTGTCATCCCAGCACTTTGGGAGGCCGAGGCAGGCGGATCACGAGGTCAGGAGTTAGAGACCAGCCTGGCCAACATGGTGAAACCCCGTCTCTACTAAAAATACAAAAAATTAGCCGGGCGTGGTGGCGGGCGCCTGTGATCCCAGCTACTCGGGAGGCTGAGGCAGGAGAATGGCATGAACCCGGGAGGCGGAGCTTGCAGGGAGCCGAGATCACACCACTGCACTCCAGGCTGGGCGACAGAGCGAGACTCCGTCTCAAAAAATAAATAAATGTACCATGGAAACCTGCCCCGTCCTCACCTCACCCAATGTCAGAGTCAGGGACACAGGGCATAGCCCACAGGGTAGGATGACAGGATGTCCACCCAGGCCCTGACCCTCCTGACCGCCCCTCATCCAGGGGTACCCCGACCTTTTAGGACTATGACGTGCCCTGAACACCGGGGATGTGGGGTGCCCCAATCCTTTAGGACTACGGGGTACTCTAAACATGACAGCCATGGGGTGCCCTGACCCTTTAGGACTATAGGGTGCCCAGAACATGACGGCCGGAGGGTACCCCAACCTTTTAGGGCTGCGGGACACACTTCTTAAGACTACAGCTCGGCCTACAGGAGTCCAGGGGACGCCAGGCCTATGTGGGGAGGGGGCAGAGGCAGAAAAGCGATGGGGGAGGTGCGGGGCATCGGCTGTCCCTGCCCTGAAGGGACGGATGGGGCCGCCAGGTAGGCGTGCGGCCAGGACCACCCAAGGACTCAAGGGAGAGATGGGACGGGGAGAGGGGGAGGGGGGGACGGGGAGAGGGGGAGGGGGGGACGGGGAGAGGGGGAGGGGGGGACGGGGAGAGGGGGAGGGGGGGACGGGGAGAGGGGGAGGGGGGGACGGGGAGAGGGGGAGGGGGGGACGGGGAGAGGGGGAGGGGGGGACGGGGAGAGGGGGAGGGGGGGACGGGGAGAGGGGGAGGGGGGGACGGGGAGAGGGGGAGGGGGGACGGGGAGAGGGGGGACGGGGAGAGAGGGAGGGGGGACGGGGAGAGTAGGGGGGACGGGGAGAGGAGGGGGGACGGGGAGAGAGGAGGGGGGACGGGGAGAGAGGAGGGGGGACGGGGAGAGAGGAGAGGGGGACGGGGAGAGAGGAGAGGGGGACGGGGAGAGAGGGAGGGGGGCGGGGAGAGAGGGAGGGGGGCGGGGAGAGAGGAGAGGGGAGGGGGAGGGGGGAGGGGGAGAGAGGAGGAGGAGGGGGAGGGGGAGAGAGGGGGGGAGGGGGAGAGAGGAGGGGGAGGGGGGAGAGAGGAGGGGGAGGGGGGAGGGGAGAGGTGGGGCGGAGAGGGGAGGGGGGCAGGGAGGGGGGGCAGGGAGAGGGGAGGGCAGGGAGAGGGGAGGGGGGCGGGGAGGGGGGAGGGGGAGAGGGGAGGGGGGCGGGGAGGGGGGAGGGGGAGAGGGGAGGGGGACGGGGAGGGGGGGCGGGGAGAGGGGAGGGGGGATGGGGGGGCGGGGAGAGGGGAGGGGGGACGGGGAGAGAGGGAGGGGGGACGGGGAGAGAGGGAGGGGGGACGGGGAGAGGGGAGGGGGGACGGGGAGAGGGGAGGGGGGACGGGGAGAGGGGAGGGGGGACGGGGGGGCGGGGAGAGGGGAGGGGGGACGGGGAGAGAGGGAGGGGGGACGGGGAGAGAGGGAGGGGGGACGGGGAGAGAGGGAGGGGGGACGGGGAGAGAGGGAGGGGGGACGGGGAGAGGGGAGGGGGGACGGGGAGAGGGGAGGGGGGACGGGGAGAGGGGAGGGGGGACGGGGGGGCGGGGAGAGGGGAGGGGGGACGGGGAGAGAGGGAGGGGGGACGGGGAGAGAGGGAGGGGGGACGGGGAGAGGGGAGGGGGACGGGGAGAGGGGAGGGGGGCGGGGAGAGGGGAGGGGGGGCGGGGAGAGGGGAGGGGGGGCAGGGAGAGAGGAGGGGAACAGGATGGGGGGGCGGGGACAGGTGCCGGAACCAGGGTCACACGTGGAAGGCCAGGACCCTGGGTCAGGGCGGGGTGGGAAGACCCGGGGTCACACGTGGGGCGGCCTCCTGACTGCAGCGTGGCCTTCAGTCGCGCTGTCACCAGCCTGTGGGACCCCTGGGGTGCAGAGAGGGAGCCAAGCCTCGGGGGCCCAGCCCGGATGCCGCCGACTCCCACCCGCCAGCCTCGCCGAGAGCCCACTGACGTGATCACTCCACAGAGATCCCATCCCGGGGTTCCGGGGCCCGTGCAGGAGAAACGCAGGTGCAGGGCCTCGTGCCCACACCGCCGGCATCTGTGCTCCACAACCAAACTCCTAGAGCCGTCATCATCCCTGGGCTGCAGCGCTGGCCGGCGACGACTCCCCGACCACCTCGCTGGGGTCACATGTCCCCGTGGGTAGAAAATCCAGTGACGGATGTAGACAAAGAGCCCTCTGCACGCCTGGAAGCCCAGCGCCTTCGGAGGCCGAGGTGGGGGGATCACCTGAGCTCAGGAGTTTGAGACCAGCCTGGGCAACGTGGCAAAACCTCGTCTCTAGGAAAAATTTAACAATCAGACGGACACGGTGGTGCGCACCTGTGATCCCAGCTACTCGGGAGGCTGAGGCAGGAGAATGGCTTGAACCCGGGAGGCAGAGGTTGCAGTGAGCCGAGATCGCCCCATTGCACTCCAGCCTGGGGGACAGAGCAAGACCCTGTTTCAAAAAAAAACCATTTAGCCATTTGCATGATGAGGACCAAGAGAATAAAAATGAAATCTCAGCAACTCACTCTCCAATTCCTGTAGGAAAATGAAATGAGAAACATACGCATGTAAAGTATTTAGTATTTCCTGCAGTTTAAGAAATAGAATCCGGGGCCGGGGCACGGTGGCTCACGCCTGTCATCCCAGCACTTTGGGAGGCCGAGGTGGGTGGATCACCTGAGGTCAGGAGTTCGAGACCAGCCTGGCCAACATGGTGAAATCCCGTCTCTACTAAAACTACAAATACTAGCTGGGTAGTGGTGGAGCATGCCTGTAATTCTAGCTTCTCAGGAGGCTGAGGCAGTAGAATCACTTGAACCTGGGAGGCGGAGGTTGCAGTGAGCCAAGATCGTGCCATTGCACTCCAGCCTGGGTGACAGAACAAGACTTCGTCTCAAAAAAAATAAATAAAAACAATGCTCATCTTTGTACGATCTAATTGTCAGTCATTTTTATTTCCTTCTGCGTTTGCTTTCAGGAGAACTTACCACCATTTTCCTGGCCACCGTCTTCCAAAACAGACGACGGCTTCACCATATCATGAAGAGATTTTCCTCTAACACACGAGAAAAACAAACTTGCAAACTGGTTATAAAACAGCCACCCCCTTGGCCGGGTGTGGTGGCGGACGCCTGTAATCCCAGCTACTCAGGAGACTGAGGCAGGAGAATAGCTTGAACCCGGGAGGCGGAGGTTGCAGTGAGCCAAGGTTGTGCCATTGCACTCCGGCCTGGGCAACAAGAGCAAAACTCCGTCTCAAAAAAACAAAACAAAACAAAACAAAAAACAAACTTGCAAACCTATTATAAAACAGCAACCCCCTGGCTGGGCACGGGGGCTCACGCCTGTAATCCCAGCACTTTGGGAGGCCGAGGCGGGTGGATCACCTGAGTTCGGGAGTTTGAGACCAGCCTGGCCAGCACGGAAAAACCCCTATCTCTACTAAAAATACAAAATTAACCAGGCATGGTGGCAGGTGCCTATAATCCCAGCTACTCGAGAGGCTGAGGCAGGAGAATCCCTTGAACCCCGGAGGCAGAGGCTGCAGTGAGCCGAGATCTTGCCATTGCACTCCAGCCTGGGGAACAAGAGCAAAACTCCACCTCAAAAAAAAAGAAAAACAAAAACAAAAACAAACTTGCAAACCTGTTATAAAACAGCCACCCCCTTGGCCTGACGTCGTGCCTCACGCCTGTAATCCCAGCACTTTGGGAGGCTGAGGCAGGCGGATCCCTTGAGCTCAGGATTTTGAGACCAGCCTGGCCAACGTGGTAAAACGCTGTCTCTACCAAAAATACAAAAGTTAGCCAGGTGTGGTGGTGCATGTTTGTAATCCAAGCTAGCTGGAGGGCTGGGGCAGAAGGATCACTTGAACCTGGAAGGCAGAGTTTGCAGTGAGCCGAGATCGCGCCACTACACTCCAGCCTGGGCGAGCGAGCGACACTCTGTCTCAAAAAAACAGACAACGGTCACTCCCAACCAACTCACATTAAACCCTTCTCTCAAGGGCTATGGATAAACAGTTTGAATTTTAAGAACACAAGCTGCCATGAGACATTTTAAATGTTTTTGTCAGCAAAGGGCAGAAAGTTATAAAACTCAATGACAGGAAATTGCAAACATATAAGATTATAGTAGGTAAAATATCAACCCAATCTTTTTTTTTTTTTTTTGAGACAGAGTCTGGCTCTGTCACCCAGGCTGGAGTGCAGTGCTGCAATCTCAGCTCACTGCAAGCTCCGCCTCCTGGGTTCACGCCATTCTCCCGCCTCAGCCTCCTGAGCAGCTGGGACTACAGGCACCTTCCACCACACCCAGCTAATTTTTTGTATTTTTAGTAGAGACGGGGTTTCACCGAATTAGCCAGGATGGTCTCGATCTCCTGACCTCGTGATCCACCCACCTCAGCCTCCCAAAGTGCTGGGATGACAGGCGTGAGCCACCGTGCCCGGTTTTTTTTTTTTTTTAAACACTTGTGAAGGTGCACAGGTAAATGATCAGATTTTTTTTTTTTTAAGATGGAGCCTCGCCCTGTCACCCAGGCTGGAGTACAGCAGCATGGTCTCAGCTCACTGCAACCTCTGCCTCCCGGGTTCAAGCAATTCTCCCACCTCAGCCTCCAGAGCAGCTGGGATTACAGGCACCTGCCACAACGCCCCGCTAATTTTTTGTATTTTTAGTAGAGACAGGTTCTCACTATGTTGGCCAGGTTGGTCTCGAACTCCTGACCTCAGGTGATCCACCTACCTCGGCCTCCCAAAGTGCTGGGATGACAGGCATGAGCCACCGTGCCCAGCGTAGATTTATTGGATTCTAAAATGCACAATTCTCTGTGTCTGGGTGTTTCTGAAACCAAGGTCATCTCACCATCCACAGGAATCTTTAATAGCTTTTTCCCCCCAACAGTTATTACCATCCATGGTATATGAAAGTCAAGAAAACAGGAAACTCTCAAAACCAAGTTCCGAAAGCCCTGGTGCTTCTGCTAAGCTGGCTGCGGCCTCCTGTGTGTTTCGAATACCAGCCACACTGTGGCAGCCGCATCTCACCAGGCAGGCCTCCATAACGGCTTCAGTACCGACTGAGTGGCAAAGTTACATATAAAAACCTGAAAGAGGCCGGGCGCGGTGGCTCACGCCTGTCATCCCAGCACTTTGGGAGGCCGAGGTGGGCGGATCACCTGAGGTCGGGAGTTCAAGACCAGCCTGACCAACATGGAGAAACCCCGTCTCTACTAAAAATACAGAATTTAGCCAGGCATGGTGGCAGCTGCCTGTAATCCCAGCTACTCGGGAGGCTGAGGCAGGAGAATCACTTGAACCCGGGAACCCGGGAGGCAGAGGTTTCCGTGAGCTGAGATCATACCACTACAGTCCAGCCTGGGTGACAGAGCGAGACTCTGTTTCAAAAAAAAAAAAAAGAAAAGAAAAAAAAATTGTTACAGAGAAGAGGGTCTCGCTATGCTGGCCAGGCTGGTCTCGAACCCCTGAGCTGAGGCAACCCTCCTGCGCTGGTATCCCACAGTGCTGGGATGACAGGCCTGAGCCACCGCCCCCGGCCATCTATGGCTTTTTATCTCCAACGTGAGGCAAGGAAGAGGCACAGCTCAGGAGCGAGCTGAGTCGACGGCAGATGGCGCCCAGGTCCCGAGCCAGCTGTGTCTGCAATGCGGCCACCTGCACGTCCCCTCTCATCCCAGAGCTCACCCTCCGGAGCCATCATCCCCCCAACACGCAGGGCTCACCCTCCAAAGGGCCCCTGGCGGGGTCAGGGCCTGCGTGGTGGTCCGTGGACTCGCTTACCGACCCTCCTTCTGCGCGGCCTCCTGAAGCCCTTGGATGGCTTGGAGGGCACGGGGACCAGGTACTAAAGGATAATCATGGCTACACACACGTCCCTGAGCTCACCACCTGAGGACGCCCTCATTCCGTCTCTATGAACAGGGCAGACGGAACCCAGGAGCCCAGGAGATTGATGGTTACACACACACACACACACACACACAACGTCCCTGAGCTCACCACCTGGGGACGCCCTCATTCCATCCCTATGAACAGGGCAGACGGAACCCAGGAGCCCAGGAGATTGATGGTTACACACACACACACACACACACACGTCCCTGAGCTCACCACCTGGGGACGCCCTCATTCTGTCTCTATGAACAGGGCAGACGGAACCCAGGAGCCCAGGAGATTGACGGCTACACACACACACACACACACACACACACACACACACACACACAACGTCCCTGAGCTCACCACCTGGGGACGCCCTCATTCTGTCTCTATGAACAGGGCAGACGGAACCCAGGAGCCCAGGAGATTGACGGCTACACACACACACACACACACACACACACACACACACACACACACGTCCCTGAGCTCACCACCTGGGGACGCCCTCATTCCGTCTCTCAGTCTATTAACAGGGAATACTGAGCCTGGGAGACTGTCGGCTACACACACACACCCAAGCTCACCACCTGGGGACACCCAATGCTCCTCCCCCAGCACCTTCGAAGCTCTCATTCCGTCTCTCAGTCTATTAACAGGGAAGACGGAGCCCGGGAGAGGCCTCGTCCCGCGCTGCCCCGGCGAATCTGGGTCCCGATTCTGAGTTCAGTGGTGTTAGAAATAATAGGGTATGTGCCCCCTTCAGGGTGAATATAGCTAACCCCATTTACCCAGGCTGTGCACGTCACAATTCCACTCGTGGTGTAGCTGGGACCACAGGCACCCACACACCACACCCGGCTAATTTTTAAATTTTTTTTTTGTAGATATGGGTTCTTACCATGTTGCCCATGCTGGTGTCAAACTCCTGGGCTCAAGCGATCCTCCCACCTCAGCCTCCCGAGTAGCTGGGACCACAGAAGGTCCATCCCACACCCCCACCCCACCGTCAAGCTCTCGCTTTAGGGCCCAGGCTGGAGTGCAGTGGTACAATCTCAGCTCCCAGGCTGGAGTGCAGTGGTACAATCTCAGCTCACTGCAACCTCCACCTCCCAGGTTCAAGCAATTCTCCTACCTCAGCCTCTGGAGTAGCTGGGACTACAGGTGTGTGCCACCACGCCCGGCTAATTTTTGCACATTTAGTAGAGTCAGTGTTTCTCCATGTTGGCCAGGCTGGTCTCAAATGCCTGACCTCAGGTGATCCACCCACCTCGGCCTCCCAAAGTGCTGGAATGACAGGCGTGAGCCACCGTGCCTGATCTCAGACACCTTTTGGTGCTTCTTGTTTGAGATGGGGTCTCACTCTGTCACCCAGGCTGGAGCACAGTGCTGCAATCTAAGCTCACTGCAGCCTCCACCTCCTGGGCTCAGGTGATCCTCCCACCTCAGCGTCCCGAGCAGCTGGGACCACAGGCACCCACCACCACACCAGGCTAATTTTTCTTTCTTTCTTTCTTTTTTTTTTTTTTTGTAGATAATAGGGTCTTACCATATTGCCCATGCTGGCGTCAAACTCCTGGGCTCAAGCAATCCTCCCACCTCAGCGTCCCGAGCAGCTGGGACCACAGGCACCCACCACCACACCAGGCTAATTTTTCTTTCTTTTTTTTTTTTTTTTTTTTTTTTTGTAGATAATAGGGTCTTACCATATTGCCCATGCTGGCGTCAAACTCCTGGGCTCAAGCAATCCTCCCACCTCAGCGTCCCGAGCAGCTGGGACCACAGGCACCCACCACCACGCCCGGCTTTTCTTTTTTTTTTTTTTTTTTGTAGATAATGGGGTCTTACCATATTGCCCATGCTGGTGTCAAACTCCTGGGCTCAAGCAATCCTCCCACCTCAGCGTCCCGAGCAGCTGGGACCACAGGCACCCACCACCACACCAGGCTAATTTTTCTTTCTTTTTTTTTTTTTTTTTTTTTTGTAGATAATAGGGTCTTACCATATTGCCCATGCTGGCGTCAAACTCCTGGGCTCAAGCAATCCTCCCACCTCAGCGTCCCGAGCAGCTGGGACCACAGGCACCCACCACCACACCAGGCTAATTTTTCTTTCTTTTTTTTTTTTTTTTTTTTTGTAGATAATAGGGTCTTACCATATTGCCCATGCTGGTGTCAAACTCCTGGGCTCAAGCAATCCTCCCACCTCAGCGTCCCGAGCAGCTGGGACCACAGGCACCCACCACCACGCCCGGCTTTTCTTTTTTTTTTTTTTTTGTAGATAATGGGGTCTTACCATATTGCCCATGCTGGTGTCAAACTCCTGGGCTCAAGCAATCCTCCCACCTCAGCGTCCCGAGCAGCTGGGACCACAGGCACCCACCACCACGCCCGGCTTTTCTTTTTTTTTTTTTTTTGTAGATAATGGGGTCTTACCATATTGCCCATGCTGGTGTCAAACTCCTGGGCTCAAGCAATCCTCCCACCTCAGCGTCCCGAGCAGCTGGGACCACAGGCACCCACCACCACGCCCGGCTTTTCTTTTTTTTTTTTTTTTTTGTAGATAATGGGGTCTTACCATATTGCCCATGCTGGTGTCAAACTCCTGGGCTCAAGCAATCCTCCCACCTCAGCGTCCCGAGCAGCTGGGACCACAGGCACCCACCACCACGCCCGGCTAATTTTTCTTTTCTTTTTTTTTTTTTTTTTTTGTAGATAATGGGGTCTTACCATATTGCCCATGCTGGTGTCAAACTCCTGGGCTCAAGCAATCCTCCCACCTCAGCGTCCCGAGTAGCTGGGACCACAGGCACCCACCACCATGCCACACTAAAATTTTTTTTTTGGGGGGGAGGGTAGAGAAGGGGTCTTACCATGTTGCCCAGGCTGGTGTCAAACTCCTGGGCTCAAGCGATCCTCCCACCTCAGCCTCCCGACATGTAAACGGTGGCTACATTTCCGCACAATCCCCGCGGTCTCCCTCATTCTGTTTTACAACTACTCCCACATAAAGTAACGTAGAAAGACGAGCCCCGTTATTCCCTTAGAAGGTAGACTGGAGCTTGCAGGAAGCTGTAGGATAAACATTCAGAGGCCAACTGAGATAAAACGAAACACCCAGGTGATTTTAAGCTAATCAAGAGCCCCTTTCACGTGGGTGATTTTAAACTAATCAAGAGCCTCTTTCACGCAGGTGATTTTAAACTAATCACGTTCTCCCTTCACAGAACTAAAAAGGGAGGTTAATTTACACAAACGCGCAGGCTACAGCCACCCGTCCTGCCTAGGGACTTCGGGCCAAAAATGCCACCTGTCACACCTCCAATCCAGGCGCTGCAGGGCTGTTAGGAGGGGAATTAGCAGCTGGGATACCCCGATCCTACAAGGAGGGGGGTTAGCAACCCCTCCTGAAATACCAAAAAGGCCTCGGCTTCCTGCAGACGCTTAAGGAACATGCCAATCACAACCGATTTCCTGAAAAACGCAAGAAATCCTGGTGAGGGCTGGGGTTGCAGGACGCTCTGCACACCACGGGTAACAGTTTTGGGGTAGCTTCTCTGAGACCGGCTGCCTCTTACTGTCCCCTGGACCAGGGGGGCGCCGCTCTCATCCTCCTGGCATCTCCCAGGCCCCTGCCCCACTCAGAGCTCCACCGCAGGGGCTCCCGAGGCTGGACTCAGACCCGCTGGATCCCATCCAGGCCCCCAAGGCAGCAGTGGAGACCCTCAAGGCTGGACTCCAGCCCCTAATGTAGACTCAGGGACCCCTGGGATGGATGGGTTCGAACCCCCAAAGCTGACTTCAGGACCCTCAGAGCTGGACTCCACCCTCCAAGGCAGCATTCGGGACCCTCACGGCTGGACTCGAGGCCCACGGCAGACATGAAGACCCCTGGGAGGCGTCCGGGACCCCCAGGACTGAATTTGAGGCCCCCAGGCAGACGTGGGGGCCCCTGGGCGGTGGTC
The DNA here is from genome assembly GCF_000001405.40 of Homo sapiens. Taxonomy (NCBI): domain Eukaryota; kingdom Metazoa; phylum Chordata; class Mammalia; order Primates; family Hominidae; genus Homo; species Homo sapiens. The sequence goes on along the minus strand of NC_000024.10, from coordinate 320,063 downwards.
AGGACGCCTGGGGCTGGACCCAACCCCCAAGGCAGACGAGGAGAACCCCCGGGCGGCATCCGGGCCCCCCAGGGCTGGACTCAAGCCCCCAAGGCTAGACGTGGGGACCCACCTGGGCGGCGACCGGGACCCCCAGAGCAGGTCTCAAGCCCCAAAGGCAGACGTGGGGGCTCCTCGGCGACGTCCAGGACCCCCAGGGCTGGACTCAAGCCCCCAAGGCTAGACACGGTGACTCCGGGGTGGCGTCCGAGACTCCCACGGGGGAACTCCAGTCTCCAAGGTAGACGTGAGGACCCCCGGGCGGCATCGGGGACCCCCAGGGCGGGACTCGAGCCCCCAAGGCAGACGCGGGGATGCCGAGGCGGCGTCCAGGACCCCCAGGGCGGGACTCGGGCCCCCAAGGCAGACGCGGGGACGCCGAGGCGGCGTCCAGGACCCCCATGGCTGGACTCGAGCCCCCAAAGCAGACATGGGGACCCCCTGGGTGGCGTCCGGGACCCTGAGAGCTGGACTCGAGCCCCCAGGGCAGACGTGGGGACTCCGGGGCAGCTTCCGGGGCCCCCACGGCGGCTCTCCAGGTTCCAGGGCAGACGTGGAGACCCCTGGGCGACGTCACGGACGCCCAGGGCGGGACTCGAGCCCCCAAGGCAGACGTAGGGACCCCTGGGCGCCGTTCTCGATCCCCGGGGCTGGAGTCAAGCCCCCGAGGCGGCGTTCCGGACTCTCGCAATCAGACTTGGACTCCACCCAGCGCGGAACGGGGTAGGACGGGAGCGAGGACGAGGTGAGTGAAGGCAGCGCTGCCGCCGCCGCCGCCGCCGCCGAGGCTCGGGGTCCTGGCGCCTACCGGGCCGGCGGCTGCACCGCGGGATGGGTCTGCCAGGAGCCGCCCACGCCGAACAAGAAGCGGCCCGGTCCCGCCTCCCCCGCCGGCAGCGCGTGCCAATCACCAGCACCTGATGCGGGGCGACCAATGAGGAGCACGCCCTGCCGGGGCGCGGCGCTAGGGAGCCCGCCCCGGCCGCACGCCAATCACCAGCACGTGACAAGGGATGACCAATGAGGATCACGCCCTATGCTGCGGAGAGGCGCTGGTGAGCACGCCCCAGCTGCACGCCAATCACTAGCACGTGACGCCGGATGACCAATGAGGAGCACGGCCTGTGCCGGGGAGAGGCGCTGGTGAGCCAGCCCCGGCCGCACGCCAATCACGAGCACGTGATGAGGAGCGGCCTGTGGGCAGCCCCCGCCCCAACGTTCAGCCTCCAGACGCGCCATGTGGGCCCTGCGGGCCGCCGTACGCCCGGGGCTGCGGCTCTCCCGCGTGGGCCGCGGCCGCTCGGCTCCGCGGGCAGCCGCGCCGTCCTGCCCCGCGCGCGCGCTAGCCGCTGTCGGCCGCAGGAGCCCCGGGAATCTGGAGGGGCCGTGGGGCGGAGGGCGGGGCCTGCGGGCGGACGGCGGCCGAAGCCGCACGGGAGACGACGAGGAGGAGCCGGAAGATGCGGACGAGAACGCCGAGGAGGAGCTGCTGCGGGGAGAGCCTCTGCTGCCGGCGGGGACCCAGCGCGTGTGTCTGGTTCACCCTGACGTCAAGTGGGGCCCGGGGAAGTCGCAGATGACTCGAGGTGACCGCGGCAGGGCTTTCGGGGGAGAAACAGGAGCTGGAGACCTGGGGGCGGGGCTCTGAGGGGAGGGGGCTCATAGGTGGAGATTCAGGGGCGGGGCTCTGAAGGGACGATCTCATAGGTGGAGATTCAGGGGCGGGGTTCTGTGGGGAGAATCTCATAGGTGGAGGCGCAAGGGCGGGGCTCTGCAGGAAGGATTTCATAGGTGGAGATTCAGGGGCGGGACTCGGGAGAATCATAGCTGGCGATGCAAGGGCGGGGCTCTGGGGAGGCTCATAGGTAGAGATTCAGGGACGGGGCTCTGACCTGAGAATCTCATAGGTGGAGACCCAGGGCGGGGCTTTGAGGGGAAGAGCTCAGGTGGCGACGTAGGGGCGGGGCTTCAGGGGGCCAGGCTCTAAGGAGAGGGTCTGATGGTTGGAGATGCCAGGGCGTGGCGCTGAGGGGCGGGGCTCTGAGGGGAAGAGCTTATGGATGGTGATGCGGGGGCGGGGCTCTGAAGGGAGGATCTCATAGGTGGAGGTGCATGGGTGGGGTTCGGGGGAGGAGCCCATGGGTGAAAGGGCGGGGCTTATGGGGAAGAGGGGAGGATATCATTGGTGGAGGTGCGTGGGCGGGGCTTCGGGGGAGGGGCCTATGGGGTAAAAGTGCGGGGGCGGAGCTTATGGGGTGGAGTCCGTGGGATGGGGTGGGGCCCGTGGGGTCCGTGGGGTGGGGTGGGGTGGGGTGGGGTGGGGTGGGGTTGGGTGGGCCGGGGCGGTTCTCGCCGATGGGACCTACGTTTCTCTTGCTCTGGGTTAGAGGTAGGCACGGTGTGTTTGAGGTCAGGGAAGGGAGGGCGTCCAGCGGACCAATCTGTGTCTAGTCCCACCCCCCACCCCCCAGGAGGAAATGCAAATGAATAAGTCGCTGCACGTGTCAGAGTCTCATAAAGGTTGATTTTTCCCTTGGAAGCTCCTGTAGTCGATGAGTGGTTTTTCTTTACGGGTGTTTTCCAAAATGGCTAATTCCTGGAACAGATGAAGCCCCGAACTGCTCAGAACAGCGCGCAGACCTCTTGCCTCTCTACTCCCCAAACCTGCCGGTGGTTCCTCAGTAATCCCCTGAGCACCCGCAGCTCCCGGGTTCCCTGCTGCGCCCGCCTGGAGCCCAAATTCCATGTAAGGCAGGGTCGCCCTCGTGTCCCGCTGTGGCTCCGGTGTCCTTCTCCCGTCAGATTCCTACTTAGAGGCCCTGGGGGGACGAAGTCATATCGGGGGACAAACGGCGGCTCAAGGTGCCTTCTCCGGGGAGATTGTCTCAAGGGCAGGAGGAGGCCTCCCCGGGCAGGTGTGGACGGGGGCCCCGGGCAGAAGCGTCTCTCACGGTGGCCCTTGTGTCCCCGCAGCCGAGTGGCAGGTGGCGGAGGCCACAGCGCTGGTGCACACGCTGGACGGCTGGTCCGTGGTGCAGACAATGGTCGTGTCCACCAAAACGCCGGACAGGAAGCTCATCTTTGGCAAAGGGAACTTTGAGCACCTGACAGGTGGGTCCGTCCAGACCTGCTCCTTCCCCAAACCTCCTTTCCTGTCCGCCGCTACCGAAAACATCCAACCGAGACATGCTGAAGTACGGGGGTCTTGCGGGGCCAGAGGGGAAGCGGCCTCTCGGATTGCCCAGGTGAGCTGGGAGCACACGCCAGTAGGAGTCGGAGGACGGTGAGGCTTTATCTGTGTCGAGATTCACACCGGGCCCTGGAGAGACTTAAACTGGTAAAGATTAGGTCGGGGCAGTTTATAGAGTCCAACAAACAGGGTAGGCGGTGGACCGGCTGTAACCCCACCTGCCCCTGCAGGCCCCAGCCAAATCCTCCTCCTGGGTGACCCCCACCCCACCAGCAGTCTCTTAGGGTGGGGTCCAGCATGCGATCCTTGCGCTTCCCAGGTTTCTGACCATCCCGCTTCCAGTAGAGTTGGGAAGACGCTACTCACTTGCCCAGGTGGGGGTCGGCTGCCCTGGGTCACCTGCCCAGGTGGGGGTCAGCTTTCCTGCCTGACTCAGATGCATCTCACCCCTGCTGGGATGTGTTCACCCTGTGTGTGTGTGTGTGTGTGTGTGTCCCCAATGGGATGTGTCCACGGTGCATGTGTGTGTGTGTCTGTCCCTGTCGGGATGTATTTACTGTGTGTGTGTCTGTGTGTGTGTCTGCGTGTGTATGTGTTTGTGTCCCTGCTGGGATGTGTTTACTGTGTTTGTGTGTGTCTCTGTGTATGTGTCTGTGTGTGTGTCTGTCCCTGTCGGGATGTATTTACTGTGTGTGTGTGTGTGTGTGTCTGCGTGTGTATGTGTTTGTGTCCCTGCCGGGATGTGTTTACTGTGTTTGTGTGTGTCTCTGTGTATGTGTCTGTGTGTGTGTCTGTCCCTGTCGGGATGTATTTACTGTGTGTGTGTGTGTGTGTCTGCGTGTGTATGTGTTTGTGTCCCTGCCGGGATGTGTTTACTGTGTTTGTGTGTGTCTCTGTGTATGTGTCTGTGTGTGTGTCTGTCCCTGTCGGGATGTATTTACTGTGTGTGTGTGTGTGTGTCTGCATGTGTATGTGTTTGTGTCCCTGCCGGGATGTGTTTACTGTGTGTGTGTGTGTGTGTCTGCGTGTGTATGTGTTTGTGTCCCTGCTGGGATGTGTTTACTGTGTTTGTGTGTGTCTCTGTGTATGTGTCTGTGTGTGTGTCTGTCCCTGTCGGGATGTATTTACTGTGTGTGTGTGTGTGTGTGTATGTGTTTGTGTCCCTGCCGGGATGTGTTTACTGTGTTTGTGTGTGTCTCTGTGTGTCTGTCTGTGTGTCTGTGTCTGTCCCTGTCGGGATGTATTTACTGTGTGTGTGTGTGTGTGTGTGTGTGTGTGTGTCTGCGTGTGTATGTGTTTGTGTCCCTGCCGGGATGTGTTCACCGTATGCATGTCTATGTCTTTGAGACACACACTCCTAGAGACACACCCCCTCCCACGCTGACTTCCTGGATCCCGGGTCTCGTGCTCAGGAAGTCGGGGATGCCTGTGAAGTGAGCTCTCCGCGGTGCATCCCACAAAGGGTATGGTGGGCTCATCCCACAGTCCACGGGTGTGGACGGCCAGCCTCTGACGGGACCCCCTCTTTCTGTTAGAAAAGATCCGAGGGTCTCCAGACATCACGTGCGTCTTCCTGAACGTGGAGAGGATGGCTGCCCCGACCAAGGTACCACAGGATGTGGCTTGCTGTGTTTGTCCCCGCACTCCACGCGATGAAGGAGGGGACGCCACGGCGTCCGGCCAGGCGGGGGACAGATGGGGACAGATGGGGACACGGTGGGGTTAAGGCATTAGAGACGTCCTCCTTCCTCTCACATTGGCCACCAGGGCCCGGCCTTCCCCCGTGGCTTCTCAGTTGCTCTCTCCTTTTGCAGAAAGAACTGGAAGCCGCCTGGGGCGTGGAGGTGTTTGACCGCTTCACGGTCGTCCTGCACATCTTCCGCTGTAACGCCCGCACGAAGGAGGCCCGGCTTCAGGTGGCCCTGGCGGAGATGCCGCTGCACAGGTATCGTGGGGCCCCTGGGCCGCGCCGAGCGTCACGTCCACTCCCGGAACCCCTCCGTTCTGTAGTCACCTGTAGGGCGTTCTGGGGGTGCGTGAGGAAGAAAAGCACCATGGGGGCCGGGCGCGGTGGCTCACGCCTGTCATCCCAGCACTTTGGGAGGCCGAGGTGGGCGGATCACGAGGTCACGAGATCGAGACCATCCTGGCCAACACGGTGAAACCCCGTCTGTACTAAAAATACAAGAAAAAAATTAGCCGGGCGTGGTGGCGGGCGCCTGAAATCCCAGCTACTCAGGAGGCTGAGGCAGGAGAATGGCGTGAACCCCAGAGGTGGAGCTTGCAGTGAGCCGAGATCACGCCACTGCACTCCAGCCTGGGTGACAGAGCGAGACTCCGTCTAAAAAAAAAAAAAAAGAAGAAAAGCACCGTGTGGGCTCTCTCTCCGGGGCCCGTTGCCCCCACTGCCTGCCCCCGGCTCCCCACTAGGCAGGTCCCCTCGGCCCGGGACACGCGTCACTCACAGTGTGTGAGCTACACGCGGAGCGGGGCCGCAACAGCGGCTCCTCCCTTCGGCCCAGAGGCCCAGCTCAGTGCCCCCTTCACCTTCACCTCGACCTCTGCCGGGAGGGAGACAGCGTCCGCAGAGACCGAGCCACTCCCGTTCCCACACCAGGTCGAACTTGAAAAGGGACGTCGCCCACCTGTACCGAGGAGTCGGCTCGCGCTACATCATGGGGTCAGGTAACTCGGGCCGGGCGCGGCGTCCCAGAGGGTCCTCGGAATGCGGTTGTCAGCGGCAGCCACCCTTCTCAGCCCTGGAAGATTCCAACAGGGTGGGGTCCAGCTGGGGTCTCCGTCTCCTGGTAGCATTTGAGGACATAGGAGACCCTCAGCCCTGGAAGATTCCAACAGGGTGGGGGCTGGCTGGGGGCTCCGTCTGGTAGCATTTGAGGAGATAGGAGATGCTGGTGGTTTTTGGAGGTTTTGCCTAAATCAGTAGCCACAAACTGGGGATTTAAACAGCAGAGATCTATGCTCTCCCCTCCTGGACACCAAAACTCTGAGATCAAGGTGAGGACAGGGCTGCGCTCCCTCCAGGGGCTCCTTCTGCCTCTCCCAGCTCCTGGGGGCTCCAGGCATCCCTGGGTTTGTGGCCGCGTCACTCCAGTCTCTGCCTCCGTCTCCACGTGGCCTCCTCCTCTGTGTCTGTGTCTCCTCTTCTGTCTCTTACAAGGACACATGTCATTGCATTTATGGCCCGCCCTAATCCAGAATCGTCGCATCTCTAGATACTTCAGTTATGACAAACACCTTATTTTCAAATAAGGTCCCATTGACCAGTTCTGGGAATTAGGATGTGGACAGATCTTTTAGGAGGACCACAGTTCAATCCGCTACACTTGTATCCACTTCCCTCTGGAGGCTCTAGGGCAGGGTCCTTCCTGCCTCTCCCAGCTCCTGGGGGCTCCAGGCGTCCCAGGCTTGTGGCCTCGTCACTCCGGTCTCTGCTTCTTAGAAGGACACAGGTCGTTGCCTTAGGGCCCACCCTAACCTAGGGTGATATTTTGAGACCCTACAAAGACCATATTTCCAAATCAGGTCCCATTCCCAGGTTCTGGGACTTCGGATGTGAAAGGGGCCCCACTGAGCCCGCTCACGATGACGTCCTGGGCCGTGTCCCGCTCGGAGGCCTCCGTAGTGATCTGGCCTTTACTTTCTCCCCGAGTCACGGGAAGCCCTCGTTGACCTCACAGGGTGGACACCCGGAGGCGAGATCCCGTTCCGCCGAGCAGAGCCCTTTCTCATGGAACAGGACGTGTCGGGGCCGCTGCTGGGGAAAGCAGCCGGGCCCCCAGATGCTGGAGCGGGAGCAGGCCCCGGGCCCCCGCAGACCCTCCGCGGCACCGCCCGCACTTGTGCCTTTCCCGGCGTGGCTCACCGCCTCACCATCTCGGGTGTCTTTTAGGAGAATCCTTCATGCAGCTGCAGCAGCGTCTCCTGAGAGAGAAGGAGGCCAAGATCAGGAAGGCCTTGGACAGGCTTCGCAAGAAGAGGCACCTGCTCCGCCGGCAGCGGACGAGGCGGGAGTTCCCCGTGATCTCCGTGGTGGGGTACACCAACTGCGGTGAGCACGCGCCCAGGGGAGGGGCCTTCCGCGGTCTCCGTGTCACCGGTGAGGACTCGCCCGGGGGAGGGCAGGGGGTCCCTGTCGTCTCAGTGGTGCCGTACGACAGCTGCGGTGAGCACGTGCCCAGGAGAGGGGGTTCCCATGGTCGCCGTGTGGGGTACACCAGCTGCTGTGAGAGCTCACCCAGGAGACGGGTTTCCTGTGGTCTCTGTGTGGGGTACAGCAGCCAAGGTGAGGATGTCATCTACCCCATCCTCCCATCCAGAGCTTTACCACCCTGTCTATACCACAATCTCCCCTCCATCTACACCATCCTCCTGTCTAGACCATCCCCACTGCCCTATCTATACCACCACCCTGTCTACACAATCCACCCATCTACACCATCACCTCTCCTCTGTCTATACCATCCTCCTGTCTACACCAGCACCACTACCCCATCTATACCACCACCCCGTCTACATAATCCACCCGTGTACACCACAATGTTCCCTTTGTCTGCACCGTCCTCCTGTCTACACTGGCACCACTGCCCCAGCTATACCACCACCCCGTCTACATAATCCACCCGTGTACACCACAATGTCCCCTTCGTCTGCACCGTCCTCCTGTCTACACTGGCACCACTGCCCCATCTATACCACCACCCGTCTATACAATCCACCCATCTGTCTACACCATCGCCTCTCCTCTGTCTACACCATCCTTCTGTCAACACCGGCACCACTGCCGTATCTATATCCACCCATCTACACCATCACCTCCCCTGTGTCTACACCATCCTCCCATCCACACCAGCACCACCACCCCACCTACACCATCCCACCATCTACGCCATTGCCAAATCTACACAGACGACCTCACTCCCATCCACGCCTTCACACGCACACCCGTCCACACCACCATCTCCCCCGTGTCCGCACGGCGGCCCCGCTCCATCGGCCCGAGAACAGCGACGGTGGCTTTGTCCCACGCGTCGGGTCTGGCCCGGGGTGCCCGAGGAGCTCAGGGACCGTGTAGCCCGGGGTGCGGCCCCCCAGAGGGTGCCGTGGTCTCCATTTGGAGGGCCTGGCTGCGGCGCTAGGAGTTGGGACGCAGGGATCTCTGCAGCGCCCTGACCTCCACGCCCTCCTAGGAAAGACCACGCTGATCAAGGCACTGACGGGCGATGCCGCCATCCAGCCACGGGACCAGCTGTTTGCCACGCTGGACGTCACGGCCCACGCGGGCACGCTGCCCTCACGCATGACCGTCCTGTACGTGGACACCATCGGCTTCCTCTCCCAGCTGCCGCACGGCCTCATCGAGTCCTTCTCCGCCACCCTGGAAGACGTGGCCCACTCGGTGAGCGTGGGACGGCCGGGGATCGGGTGCTCGGACACCCATTCGGCACGGGGGCTGGGCACTCAGACACACACAGCCAGGGGTCGGGCCCTCGGACACCCACTCAGCCCAGGGGCCGGGCCCTCGGACACCCACTCAGCCCAGGGGCCAGGCCCTCGGACACCCACTGGGCACGGGGACCAGGCACTCAGACACACACAAAGCCAGGGGCCGGGCCCTCAGACACCCACCCAACTCGGGGCCGGAACAACAACTGCCTCCTGGGGCTCAGACTTAGTGTCCCCCAAGCCTCCCACGTCCCCGGGCGAGAGGCTGAGCGGTTGCCCCAGCCTCACCGACACTCAGGGCCATGTTCTTGCCGCCGTGAGCCCGTGTAGAAATAGGAAGTCGGCCGTCAGTCCTCTCCCGGCTTATGTGCCTGAACACATAAGCGTGTTCCCGGGTGCACCTGCTCCACGTCACAGACCCCTGACAGACAGAGTGACCGTTCGTGTCACAGACGTGCGGGCAGTGGCGGACACAGCACGGTGATGCCTGAGGATCGATGAACACCGAGACCCTGGAAACACCTGTGGGGTCCTGAGGCTGTCACTGCAAAAGGGGCCACAAATGGGGGCCAGAAACCACAGGAACCAGCTCTACCACAGTTCCAGAAAGCGGGAGCTGACCACAGACTCTAGGGGAGGGTCCTTCCTGCCTCTCCCAGCTCCTGGGGGCTCCAGGCGTCCCTGGGCTTGAGGCCGCATCACTCCAGTCTCTGCCTCTGTCTGTGGCCTTCTCCTCTGTGTCTGTGTCTCCTCTTCTGTCTCTTAGAAGGACAGTAGTCATTAGATTTAGGGTCCACCCTAATCCAGGATGATCTCATTTCAGATCTTCCACTTAATCACATCTGCAGAGACCCTGTTTCCAAATAATGTCCCATTCACAGGTTCCAGATGATCAATACATGGACAGGTCTTTTGTGGGGGGCCACAGTTCAGTTCACTTCAGTTGGATCCAGTTCCTTCTGGAGGCTCTAGGGGAGGGTCCTTCCTGCCTCTCCCAGCTCCTGGGGGCTCCAGGCGTCCCTGGGCTTGTGGCCGCATCACTCCAGTCTCTGCCTCTGTCTGTGGCCTCCTCCTCTGTGTCTGTGTCTCCTCTTCTGTCTCTTAGAAGGACACCTGTCATTAGATTTAGGGTCCACCCTAATCCAGGATGATCTCATCTCCAGATCTTCCACTTAATCACATCTGCAGAGACCCTGTTTCCAAATAATGTCCCATTCACAGGTTCCAGATGATCAATACATGGACAGGTCTTTTGTGGGGGGCCACAGTTCAGTTCACTTCAGTTGGATCCAGTTCCTTCTGGAGGCTCTAGGGGAGGGTCCTTCCTGCCTCTCCCAGCTCCTGGGGGCTCCAGGCGTCCCTGGGCTTGTGGCCGCATCACTCCAGTCTCTGCCTCTGTCTGTGGCCTTCTTCTCTGTGTCTGTGTCTCCTCTTCTGTCTCTTAGAAGGACAGTAGTCATTAGATTTAGGGTCCACCCTAATCCAGGATGATCTCATTTCAGATCTTCCACTTAATCACATCTGCAGAGACCCTGTTTCCAAATAATGTCCCATTCACAGGTTCCAGATGATCAATACATGGACAGGTCTTTTGTGGGGGGCCACAGTTCAGTTCACTTCAGTTGGATCCAGTTCCTTCTGGAGGCTCTAGGTGAGGGTCCTTCCTGCCTCTCCCAGCTCCTGGGGGCTCCAGGCGTCCCTGGGCTTGTGGCCGCACCACTCCAGTCTCTGCCTCCATCTCCACGTGGCCTTCTCTGTGTCTGTGTCTCCTAGGACACCTGTCATTGCATTTAGGGGCCACCTAGATAAATCCAGGGTAACCTCATCTTAACTACATCTGCAAAAACTCCATTTCCAAGCAAGGTCCCCTTCTCTTCTGTGTCTGCCCCACATCTCTTTCTTTCTGTCGTAAACATACCGGTCGGTCGTTGGATTTAAGGCCCACTCTGCTCCACCCTGACCTCATCTTCACCAGCTGCATCCGCAGAGATCTTAATTCTGGGTAGGGTCCCATTCTGAGGCTGCTGGTGGATGTGGATTTGGGGGCGGGGTGCTGTTTGGCTCCGGAACTGCCCCCGGCCGTAGGGTGCTGAGTGAGCTGCACACTCCATCCGTACCGTAGACTTTCCAAGTGCATGAAGAGCACGGGGAAATATTGTCAAGCAACAAGGCAGGAAAACAAGGTGTGAGATTGTCACATTCAGGCTACGGCTTTGTTTTTTGCCCTGAGGGAGAAGCAGCAAATGTCCCAAAGAACGGACGCGGCTGCCACCTCCTTGAGGAGATGGGACTGAACCCCGCCCGGAGCCTGGACTCCGCTTTCGACTCCTCCCGACAATAAATTATGGACCGGGTGTGGTGGCTCACGCCTGCAATCCCAGCACTTTGGGAGGTTGAGGCGGGTGGATCACTTCAGGTCAGGAGATCGAGACCACGGCGAAATCCCGTCTCTACTAAAAATATAAAAAATTAGCCAGGCATGGTGGCGGGTGCCTGTAGTCCCAGCTACTCAAGAGAGGCTGAGGCAGGAGAATGGCTGAACCCGGGAGGCGGAGCTTGCAGTGAGCTGAGATCGCGCCACTGCACTCCAGCCTGTGTGACAGAGCGAGACTCGTCTCAAAAAAAAAAAAAAAAAAAAAGTAAAACTTTCCTGGGATGAAATTATTTTTTTTGTTTTTACTTTTCTTCTTTAGAGACAGGGTCTCGCTCTGTCACCCAGACTGAACCGCAGTGGTATGATCTCGGCTCACTGCAGCCTCGACCTCCTGGGCTCAAGTGATCCTCCCACCTCAGCCTCCTGAGTAGCTGAGACCACAGACACGCACAACCAGGCCATGGCTAATTTTTGTACTTTCTGTAGAAACGGCCTCACTCTCTTGCCCAGGCTGGTCTCAAACTTCTGGGCTCAAGCCACCTCCCAAAGTGCCTCAGTTACAGGAAAAATATTATTTGTATTAAGTGCATCCAAACAAACAAAAAGTAGACGTGGATACCCCGGTAGTATAAGTTGGAGAATTACACACGGCTTTATTTTTTTTTCCCTGTGTTTTTCAAATTTTGTGTAAGGAGCCTGCCTGTAAGATTTTTTTTGAACGTGAGAAAAAAAGCATCCTTTAAAGAGGAAATAATTCCGCTGTTAAAAGACATTTCACAGGAGGATGAAGCCGCCCTAAAGCTTTGAATGAAGACCCCCTGGGTGGGTGGGTGGTGGTTGGGTGCTCATATATGGCACCCCCTTGCGTGTGGGTCTGGGGGTGCGGAGCTGCTGCCTGTGGCTTGGAAGGTTGGGTAAGTGCAGCCGGGTGGGCTCGCGTCCACTGTTGGTCTAGGAGCCCCCGTCCTGGGGTGTCCGAGGGGCCTGCACACAGGCGTACCTCCCATGCCCAGCCTGTCGTTGGGAGCTCGTGTGAGCCCCTCTCCTGGGCCTGTCTGCAAGCTTGGGGTCAGGGACCAGAGGCTCCGCAGCTCTGACCCCACGGCCCGGCCCACAGGATCTCATCTTGCACGTGAGGGACGTCAGCCACCCCGAGGCGGAGCTCCAGAAATGCAGCGTTCTGTCCACGCTGCGTGGCCTGCAGCTGCCCGCCCCGCTCCTGGACTCCATGGTGGAGGTTCACAACAAGGTGGACCTCGTGCCCGGGTGAGTCCGGCCCTGGGGTCCGCAAGCGTCTCCTTCCCCTGCACGCGCTGGAGCCGGGTGGGGAGATGCCCCGTCTCCTCGTGTGAACCGCAGCGGTGGCAGTCAGGACACAGGGAGTGGCCCCAGACTGTGCCCCGTGGGCAGTGGACTCCTGGGGACCCTGATTTCGTCCGGCCGCCCCGACGCTGAGCGGGGCCTGTGACATCCCCACCCTTGCAGGTACAGCCCCACGGAACCGAACGTCGTGCCCGTGTCTGCCCTGCGGGGCCACGGGCTCCAGGAGCTGAAAGCTGAGCTCGATGCGGCGGTTTTGAAGGCGACGGGGAGACAGATCCTCACTCTCCGTGTGAGGCTCGCAGGGGCGCAGCTCAGGTGAGCGGCCTGCAGGGGCAGGAGACGGGATGGTGCTTTGGATGCCTGTCTCTGGCTCTGAAACGGGCTCTTCGTGGGTGCACAAGGAGCTGTGAGATCCCCGAGAGCTTTAGGATGTACAGACGAGATGAATGGGTTTGCATCAAATGTACATTTGTGACTGTGCATACAAGAGGTGCCTAATCTGCGCTTGAGAGTCAAAATCTACATTTGTGACTGTGCATACAACAGGTGCCTAATCTGTGCTGACAGTCAAAATGTACATTTCTGACTGCATACAACGGGTGCCTAATCTGTGCTTGACAGTAAAAATACATTTCTGACTGCATACAACAGTTGCCTAATCTGTGCTTGACAGTCAAAATGTACATTTCTGACTGCATACAACAGGTGCCTAATCTGTGCTGACAGTCAAAATGTACATTTCTGACTGCATACAACAGGTGCCTAATCTGTGCTGACAGTCAAAATGTACATTTCTGACTGCATACAACAGGTGCCTAATCTGTGCTGACACTCAAAATATACATTTCTGACTGTGGATACAACAGGTGCCTAATTATGCTGACAGTGAAAATGTACATTTCTGACCATACAACAGGTGCCTAATCTGTGCTTGACAGCCAAAATGTACATTTCTGTGCATACAACAGGTGCCTAATCTGCACTGACAGTCAAAATGTACATTTCTGACTGCATACAACAGGTGCCTAATCTGTGCTGACAGTCAAAATGTACATTTCTGACTGCATACAACAGGTGCCTAATCTGTGCTTGACAGTAAAAATACATTTCTGACTGCATACAACAGTTGCCTAATCTGTGCTGACAAAATGTACATTTCTGACTGTGCATACAACAGGTGCCTAATGTGTGCTGACACTCAATGTACATTTCTGACTGTGGATACAACAGGTGCCTAATTATGCTGACAGTGAAAATGTACATTTCTGACCATACAACAGGTGCCTAATCTGTGCTTGACAGCCAAAATGTACATTTCTGTGCATACAACAGGTGCCTAATCTGCACTGACAGTCAAAATGTACATTTCTGACTGTGCATACAACAGGTGCCTAATCTGTGCTGACAGTCAAAATGTACATTTCTGACTGCATACAACAGGTGCCTAATCTGCGCTTGACAGTCAAAATGTACATTTCTGACTGCATACAACAGGTGCCTAATCTGCACTTGACAGTCAAAATACATTTCTGACTGTGCGCACAACAGGTGCCTAATCTGTGCTGCCAGTCAAGGGGTACAGGTCTCCCTACCAATAAGAAAGCAAGCTCCAGCTGGATGCCGTGGCACAGGCCTGTAACCCCAAGACTTTGGGAGGCCGAGGCAGGAGGATTGCTTGAGCTGAGAGGAGTTTGAGGCCAGGCTGGGCAACATGGTGAGACCCCATCTCTACAAAGAATAAAAAGTTACCACCCCAGGTGGGGTGGCTCACACCTGTAATCCCAACACGTTGGGAGGCCGAGGTGGGCGGACCACAAGGTCAGGAGATCGAGACCAGCCTGGCTAACACGGTGAAACCCCGTCTCTAATAAAAATACAAAAAATTAGCCGGGCGCAGTGGCGGGCACCTGTAGTCCCAGCTACTCGGGAGGCTAAGGCCGGAGAATTGCTGGAACCCAGGAGGCCGAGGTTGCAGTGAGCCAAGATCGTGCCACTGCACCCCAGCCTGGCGACAGAGCGAGACTCTGTCTCAAAAAAAAAAATAAAAAATAAAAAGCCGGGCGCAGTGGCTCATGCCTGTCATCCCAGCACTTTGGGAGGCCGAGGCGGGTGGATCACGAAGTCAGGAGATCGAGACCATCCTGGCTAACACGGTGAAACCCCGTCTCTACTAAAAACACAAAAAATTAGCCAGGTGTGGTGGCATGCACCTGTAGTCCCAGCTACTCGGGAGGCTGAGGCAGGAGAATCACTTGAACCCGGGAGGTGGAGCTTGCAGTGAGCTGAGATCGCGCCACTGCACTCCAGCCTACGCGACAGAGTGAGACTCCGTCTCAAAAAAAAAAAAAAACAAAAGGAAACAGGACGGTCTGATGAATGGTTTGAGCTAAGCTCTTTTTAGCGTAATTATTTATCATGAAACTAAGCAAATACTTACGGGTTCTGCTTGTCTCCATACAACGCGCATCTGTGCCCAGCTGGCTGTATAAGGAGGCCACAGTTCAGGAGGTGGACGTGATCCCTGAGGACGGGGCGGCCGACGTGAGGGTCATCATCAGCAACTCAGCCTACGGCAAATTCCGGAAGCTCTTTCCAGGATGAACGGACGCCCACAGAGGCCTGCGGGGTGGGGGCATCGCTGCCTGGGGAGCTGAGGCGTTACCGCTGTGTTGGGGGCAGCTTGGTGTCAGGTGCAGCAGGGTCCTCCTTGTCTGGTTCTGCACCCGTCTCGCTCCCAGCCATTTGCTGGGATGACCGTGCAGGCCGGTGACACGGCCGCACCTGCCCCAAAGCGGGCCGCCCGAGCGTCCACTCCAAGCCTGAGCATCCACACAATTCCAGTGGGCCCTCGGTGCCTGCTGTGAACTGCTTTCCCTCGGAATGTTTCCGTAACAGGACATTAAACCTTTGATTTTACTTCCGTGAGCAGCATTTCCAGTTCCTCCTGCACCTGCCGTGAGCCGTGGCCCTGGTGGGCACCGACGGCCCCTCCGCCCGGCTGTCTGTGTTCACAGATGGTCTCGTTTCCCATGGTGGTGTCGGGGAAATGACGAAAAATCAGGTTTCCCGGCAGCACAGAGAACCCTTCCACAAAAGTAGAAGGGAAAGCAAATAGTTTTACTAAAGAAGCAGCTTCAAACCAGACCGTGAGGACGGGCACGGTGGCTCACGCCTGTAATCCCAGCACTTTGAGAGGCTGAGGTGGGTGGATCACGAGGTCAGGAGATCCAGACCATCCTGGCTAACATGGTGAAACCCCACCTCTGCTAAAAATACAAAAAATTAGCCGGGGGTGGTGGCGGGCGCCTGTAGTCCCAGCTACTCGGGAGGCTGAGGCAGGAGGATGGCATGAACCCGGGAGGCGGAGGTTGCAGTGAGCCAAGATCGCGCCACTGCACTCCAGCCTGGAAGACAGAGCGAGACTCCGTCTCAAAACAAACAAACCAGACGGTGATGTGTCACAGACCATCCACTAAGAGATGCAGAGAGAGAATTTCACCTGCGTGTGGCCAGGCTGTGCAGCCGTTACACGCACATTAGCCGTCTCCATCAACGGGAAAACAAAATGCCTTGTATGTTTTGAGACAGAATCTCGCTCTGTCACCCAGGCTGGAGTACAGTGGTGCGATCTCAGTTCACTGCAACCTCTGCCTCTTGAGTTCAGACAGTTCTCCTGCCTCAACCTCCCAAGTAGCTGGGATTACAGGCGCCCGCCACCACGCCCGGCTAATTTTTTGCATTTTTAGTAGAGATGGGTTTTCAGCATGTCGGTCAGGCTGGTCTCAAACTCCTGACCTCAGGTGATCCACCCAACTCGGCCTCCCAAAGTGCTGGGATTACAGGCGGAGCCACTGTGCCCGGCCTGAATTAACTTTTTTTTTTTTTTTTAGACGGAATGAGTGTCACTCTGTCATCCAGGCTGGAGTGCAGTGGTGCAGTCTCGGCTCACTGCAAGCTCCGCCTCCCGGGTTCACACCATTCTCCTGCCTCAGCCTCTTGAGTAGCTGGGACTACAGGCCCCCACCACCATGCCTGGCTAATTTTTTATATTTTTAGTATTCTTATATATTTATAATTTATATATTATTTTTGTATATTTAGTAATTTTTTGTATTTTCACCATGTCGGTCAGGCTGGTCTCGAACTCTTGACCTTGTGATCCGCCCACCTCGGCCTCCCAAAGTGCTGGGATTACAGGCGTGAGCCACCGCACCCGGCCTCCTGAATTAACATTTTCTAAAGATGCTTCTGGCGTGCTATCCTGAAAGCTGCCAGAGGTGTCTTGGCTGCATTGGTGGTAATAAAATTCATACTCATATTTGACTTTAATGATGTTCATTTATTTAAACGATCTGTATGAATTCGGTGATTTTGTGGATACGCCCCTGACAGACAAGGATTCACAGCCGACGGAAGTCAGGGAGGCTCCCTGCAAATTCTTCATCTCCGCGGGGCCTGCCCGAGCCCTGATCCTGCAGAGCCGTGGGGCTGAGGTAGCCGCCGGTTGTGGTCCAGGAGTGCGTCTTTCTGGATGCGGGGCACCTTCATTTCACCGTAGCAACCGGGTACCAAAAGTAGAAGCGGATTTTTGGAAAATGAGTCATTAGGTCCCAAAGAGAACCTATTGCAACATGGACTCCATAACGTTCTTGAGGATCATCCTGAGAAACTGATGTCTCTCGTTAGACAAAAATGCACGATTTGCTTGGGAAAGGGGAGTAAAAATGGTGCTGGCATCCATTGGCTGGCTGGGAACTTGAACCAGCAGCTCCAACAAGCGACATGTAGAAAATGAGGTATAGGCCGGGCGCGGTGGCTCACGCCTGTCATCCCAGCACTTTGGGAGGCCGAGGCGGGTGGATCACCTGAGGTCAGGAGATCGAGACCAGCCTGGCCAACATGGTGAAACCCCGTCTCTGCTAAACACACAAAAATTATCCGGGCGTGGTGGCGGGCGCCTGCAATCCCAGCTACTTGGGAGGCTGAGGCAGGAGAATTTGCTGGAACCCGGGAGGTGGAGGTTGCAGTGAGCCAGGATCACACTACTACACTCCAGCCTCGGCAACGAGAGCGAAACTCCGTCTCAAAACATAAATAAAAATACAAATACAAAATTAACCAGGCACGGTGGCACGCGCCTGTAATCTCAGCTCCTCGGGAGGCTGAGGCAGGAGAATCACTTGAACCCGGGAGGCAGAGGTTGCAGTGAGCTGAGATCGTGCCATTGCACTCCAGCCTGAACAACAAGAGGGAAAATCCATCTCAAAAAAACAAAAAAAAGTATTTGCAGGATCTGCGTCTGAAACTAGGACCGTTCACGCTTCAGAGGCAGAAAGAAACCTGTGCAGAAAACCGGTGTGCGAGTCTCCCACACGGACTGGGGGCGCCTTCCGTGGGGGGGGGGTCTCCCTTGTACCTGTAGGACTTTAATTCACGGAGGTGACCGGGACTAGCACAGAGAGGCCACTGAAAGAAGAAATTACTCCTGACCCTTCCCGAGAGAAGACGCTGCCACACCACGCAGGGCACAAGCGGATACCTGGGTTTGGCTCGGGAGGCAGGAATGAATGAGGGAACAGCCCAGGCCACAGCCTTCAAGGGGCTTCGGCAGAACCGGGCAACAGGACTAGGGAACGGCTGAGGATTGACAACTTTTGAACACTTCAGTAGCACTCCGGGCTGGGGGGCTGGCTCTACTGGGCTGGGACCCAGCCAGGAATGATTTAGGGCCAGGGAAATACTGGCTTGAGGCCAGGTGCGGTGGCTCACGCCTGTGATCCCAGCACTTTGGGAGGCCAATGCGGATGGATCACCTGAGGTCGGGAGTTCAAGACCAGCCTGGGCAACATGGTGAAACCCCATCTCTGCTAAAAATACAAAAGTTAGCCAGGCGCGGTGGCGGGCGCCTGTAATCCCAGCTACTCAGGAGGCTGAGGCACAAGAATTGCTTGAACCTGGGAGGCAGAGGTTGCAGTGAGCTGAGACTGCGCCACTGCACTCCAGCCTGGGCGACAGAGCGAGACTCCATCTCAAACATAATACTCCTCCTACTACTACTAAATAATTAGCTGGGCATGGTGGTGTACACCTATACTCCCAGTTACTTGGGAAGCTGAGGCGGGAGAATTGCTTCAGCCCAGGCGTTGAAGGTTACAGTGAGCTATGACTGTGCCCCTACTACACACCAGCCTGAGCAACAGAGCCAGACCCCATCTCTACAAAAAAAATTAGCTGTGGGTGTGGTGGCTGACACCTGAGGTCCTGGCTATGGCAGAGGTTGAGGTGGGAGGATCAGTTGAGCCCAGGAGTTTGAGACCACCCTGGACAACATAGCCAGACCACGTCTCTACAAAAAAATAAAATTACCTGGGCATGGTGGTGCCTGCCTGTGATCCTGGCCACTCTGGAAGCTAAGGTGGGAGGATCACTGGAGCCCAGGAATTTGAGACCAGACTGTGCCATGTGGTGAAACCCTGACTCTACCAAAAATACAAAAATTAGCCAGCAGTGGGGGTGTGTCCCTGGAGCCCCAGCTACACGGGAGGCTGAGCTGAGAGGATCGCTTGAGCCCAGGAGGTTGAGGCTGCAGTGAGCTATGACTGTACCACTGCCCTCCAGCCTGGGTGACAGAAAAAGACCCTGTCCCTAAACATAATTTAAAGAAATATCGGCGGCTGGGCACAGTGGCTCATGCCTGTCATCCCAGCACTTTGGGAGGTCGAGGCGGGCAGATCACCTGAGGTCAGAAGTTTGAGAACGGCCTGACCAACGCGGAGAAACCCCGTCTCTACTAAATATATGAAATTAGTCGGGTGTGGTGGCACATGCCTGTCATCCCAGCTACTCGGGAGGCGGAGGCAGGAGAATTGCTTGAACCAGGGAGGCGGAGGTTGCGGTGAGCCGAGATCTCGCCGTTGCACTCCAGCCTGGGTGACAGAGTGAGACTCCTCAAAAAATATATATATACACATATATATATATACACATACACACGCACGTATATATGTATACGTGTGTATATACACGCATACACACATATACATGTATACATACACGTATACACGCATACACACATATACATGTATAAACACATATACATGTACACATACACATATACATGCATACACATATACATGTATGCATACACGTATACACATATGCACACATATACATATATACACACATACACACATATACACACACACACACACATATACACATGTATAAACATACATACATATATACACACCGATATATACACATATATACACACAGACACATAAACACACATATATACACACACATATATATCTATAGGCTTGGTGTGAGAACTAGCTGAGGGGTTGGCTGACAGGGGAGGCCGGCTCCTAAGTGGGCTGTCACTGTGTTTAGTAATTAGTGAGCTGTGGGAGGATAGTGTCTCCCTGGGTCTGTAAGGGCTCCAGACGCCACAGCAAGGAGAATACAGAAATAAGAAAACATATTATGGGCTGCCATGGTGGTTCTTGACTGTCATCCCAGCACTCTGGGAGGCTGAGGTGGGAGGATCACTTGAGGCCAGGAGTTCAAGACCAACCTGGCCAACATAGAGAGACCCCATCTTTTTTTTTTTTTTTTTTTTTGAGATGGAGTCTCGCTCTGTCGCCCAGGCTGGAGTGCAGTGGCACGATCTCAGCTCAATGCAACCTCCACCTCCCGGGTTCACGCCATTCTCCTGCCTCAGCCTCCTGAGTAGCTGGCACTACAGGTGCCCATCACGCACCCAGGTAGTTTTTGTGTTTTTAATAGAGACGGGGTTTCACCATGTTGGTCAGGCTGGTCTCGAACTCCTGACCTCATGTTCCACCCGCCTTCGCCTCCCAAAGTGCTGGGATGACAGGCGTGAGTCACTGCACACTCGGCTGTTTTTTTTTCTTTTGAGATGGAGTCTCGGTCTATCATTCAGACTGGAGTGCAGTGGCACGATGTCAGCTCAATGCAACCTCCATCTCCCGGCTTCAAGCAGTTCTCCTGCCTGAGCCTCCCGAGTAACTGGGACTACAGGCGCCTGCCACACACCCAGCTAAGTTTTGTATTTTTAGTAGAGATGGGATTTCACCATGTTGGTCAGGCTGCTCTCAAGCTCCTGACCTCATGATCCACCCACCTCGGCCTCCCAAAGTGCTGGGAAGACAGGCGAAGTCACCACGCCCAGCCACCCCATCTCTATTTTAAAGAAAATGAAAACGTATTATCATCGGTCCTATGATCACCAACATTTGGCCCAAACAAAGTCACAATACTTGGAAATTCGGGGGTGAAACTGCAGCCGCCGCGTCCCGAACTTCAGAAGGGTCCCGTCAGCACCACAGCAGCTTCTGATTGAGCGCGATGACGTCACTGACGAAGCCGTCTGCGCCGATGAAGTCCCCCGCGATGATGTTGGTGCACCGTGAACCCGGCCCCGGGCACTGCTCTCGGACCCACGCGCTCAGCCGCGGAAGGTTGGGCAGCGTCATCTTCTCCAGGGACTCGGACGGGTGCGCCAGAACGTACTGCAGGTTCTCCGTGAGGTTGATGCCGGCCACGAACAACCCTCCTGCAACGGTGAGGGTGGGGAGAGGTTACACGGTCACGGGCCTCACCCGCCTGTTTCTCCCTCCTAGTCACATTATTAGAGGTTCGCATCTCAGGAATTAAGAGTTGAAAGCACCATGTCCAACAAGGAAATTGGGTGAGCTTTGCTTATAAAGCGTGGTGGGCAGTAGACAACCCCAAAGATGCTCACGTCGTAACACCGTGTGGGAGACAGAATAATGTCCCCAAAGATGTCCACATCCTAATCCCCATGTGATAGACAGAATAATGGCCCCAAAGATGTCCACGTCCTAATCCCCATGTGATAGACAGAATAATGTCCCCAAAGATGTCCACGTCCTAATCCCCATGTGATAGACAGGATAATGGCCCCAAAGATGTCCACGTCCTGATCCCCATGTGATAGACAGAATAATGTCCCCAAAGATGTCCACGTCCTAATCCCCATGTGGGAGACAGAATAATGTCCCCAAAGATGTCCACGTCGTAATCCCCATGTGATAGACAGAATAATGGCCCCAAAGATGTCCACGTCCTAATCCCCATGTGATAGACAGAATAATGTCCCCAAAGATGTCCACGTCCTAATCCCCATGTGGGAGACAGAATAATGTCCCCAAAGATGTCCACGTCCTAATCCCCATGTGATAGACAGAATAATGTCCCCAAAGATGTCCACGTCCTAATCCCCATGTGATAGACAGAATAATGTCCCCAAAGATGTCCACGTCCTAATCCCCATGTGATAGACAGAATAATGGCCCCAAAGATGTCCACGTCCTAATCCCCATGTGGGAGACAGAATAATGTCCCCAAAGATGTCCACGTCCTAATCCCCATGTGATAGACAGAATAATGTCCCCAAAGATGTCCACGTCCTAATCCCCATGTGGGAGACAGAATAATGTCCCCAAAGATGTCCACGTCCTAATCCCCATGTGATAGACAGAATAATGTCCCCAAAGATGTCCACGTCCTAATCCCCATGTGATAGACAGAATAATGTCCCCAAAGATGT
This sequence comes from Homo sapiens, assembly GCF_000001405.40. Lineage (NCBI taxonomy): Eukaryota > Metazoa > Chordata > Mammalia > Primates > Hominidae > Homo > Homo sapiens. Next base: position 298,079 of record NC_000024.10, on the reverse strand, counting down.
CCACGTCCTAATCCCCATGTGATAGACAGAATAATGTCCCCAAAGATGTCCACGTCCTAATCCCCATGTGGGAGACAGAATAATGTCCCCAAAGATGTCCACGTCCTAATCCCCATGTGATAGACAGAATAATGTCCCCAAAGATGTCCACGTCCTAATCCCCATGTGATAGACAGAATAATGTCCCCAAAGATGTCCACGTCCTAATCCCCATGTGATAGACAGAATAATGTCCCCAAAGATGTCCACGTCCTAATCCCCATGTGATAGACAGAATAATGGCCCCAAAGATGTCCACGTCCTAATCCCCATGTGATAGACAGAATAACAGCCCCAAAGATGTCCACGTCCTAATCCCCATGTGGGAGACAGAATAATGTCCCCAAAGATGTCCACGTCCTAATCCCCATGTGATAGACAGAATAATGTCCCCAAAGATGTCCACGTCCTAATCCCCATGTGGGAGACAGAATAACAGCCCCAAAGATGTCCACGTCCTAATCCCCATGTGATAGACAGAATAATGTCCCCAAAGATGTCCACGTCCTAATCCCCATGTGGGAGACAGAATAACAGCCCCAAAGATGTCCACGTCCTAATCCCCATGTGGGAGACAGAATAATGTCCCCAAAGATGTCCACGTCCTAATCCCCATGTGGGAGACAGAATAATGGCCCCAAAGATGTCCACGTCCTAATCCCCATGTGGGAGACAGAATAATGGCCCCAAAGATGTCCACGTCCTAATCCCCATGTGATAGACAGGATAATGTCCCCAAAGATGTCCACGTCCTGATCCCCATGTGATAGACAGAATAATGTCCCCAAAGATGTCCACGTCCTAATCCCCATGTGATAGACAGAATAATGTCCCCAAAGATGTCCACGTCCTAATCCCCATGTGATAGACAGAATAATGGCCCCAAAGATGTCCACGTCCTAATCCCCATGTGATAGACAGAATAATGTCCCCAAAGATGTCCACGTCCTGATCCCCATGTGGGAGACAGAATAATGTCCCCAAAGATGTCCACGTCCTAATCCCCATGTGATAGACAGGATAATGTCCCCAAAGATGTCCACGTCCTAATCCCCATGTGATAGACAGAATAATGTCCCCAAAGATGTCCACGTCCTAATCCCCATGTGATAGACAGAATAATGGCCCCAAAGATGTCCACGTCCTAATCCCCATGTGGGAGACAGAATAATGTCCCCAAAGATGTCCACGTCCTAATCCCCATGAGGTAGACAGGATAATGGCCCCAAAGATGTCCACGTCCTAATCCCATGTGGGAGACAGAATAATATGGCCCCAAACTTGTCCACATTCTTATCCCCCATGTGATAGACAGGAAGAATGCTGTTGTCTTGGGCACTAAGTCTGTGCCATCTCTTATGAGGCTTATAGAGAGGGTTGACGTTGACCAGTGATTCTCAAAGTGGGGTCCCTGCAATAGTTAGAAATGCAAATTTGGGGGCTCCACCTACATCTGCTGAGCCGGAATCTCCTGCAAGCCATATTTGAAGAAGCTCCCCCAGAGGTAGGTTCCAGTGCCCCTGTGTTGACCAGCTGGACTGATTCCACAGCCAGAGACGGCAAAGGCAACAGACGTTTATGGCCAAGTTCTCTCAGTGGTTTTTAACACGTATTTCTAGGCTGGGCACGGTGGCTCATGCCTGTCATCCCAGCACGTTGAGAGGTTGAGGCCGGTGGATCATGAGGTCAGGAGTTCAAGACCAGCCTGACCAACACGCTGAAACCCTTTCTCTAGTAAAAACACATCCAAAAATTAGCTCAGCATGGTGGTACGTGCCCGTAATCCCAGCTACTCGGGAGGCTGAGGCAGGAGAATCACTTGAATCCAGGAGGTGGAGGTTGCAGTGAGCCGAGATCACGCCATTGCACTCCAGCCTGGGTGACAGAGCAAGACTCTGTCTCAAAAACAAAACAAAACAAACAAAAAAAGGCCGGGCACAGTGGCTCAAGCCTGTAATCCCACCACTTTGGGAGGCCAAGGCGGGCAGATCACCTGAGGTCGGGAGTTCGAGACCAGCCTGATCAACATGGAGAAACCCCATCTCTACTAAAAATAAAAATTAGCCGGGCGTGGTGGGAGGCTGAGGCGGGAGAATTGCTCGAACCCAGGAGGCGAAGGCTGCAGTGAGCCAAGATTGCGCCATTGCACTCTAGCCTGGGCAACAAGAGCAAAACTCTGTCTCAAAAAACAAACACACAAACAAAAAAATTTTCCGCCTGGCACCGTGGCTCACGCCTGTCATCCCAGCACTTTGGGAGACTGAGACGGGCAGATCATGAGGTCAGGAGTTCGAGACCAGCCCGACCAACATGGTGAAACCCTGTCTCTACTAAAAATACAAAAAAAAATTAGCCGGGTGTGGTGGCGGGCGCCTGTAGTCCCAGCTACTCAGGAGGCTGAGGCAGGAGAATGGCTTGAACCCGGGAGACGGAGGTTGCAGTGAGCCGAGATCGCGCCACTGCACTCCGACCGGGGCAACAAGAGTGAGACTCCACCTCAAAAAAAAAAAAAAGACATTTCTGAAGTCTCTAAACCTCGTTCCTGTGTGAGGGCAAGAGACCAAGTTGAAAAAACCTGCTCCTTTGCCCGGCCCGTGACTGGGTTTCATGCTGCCCCTGTGGGAAGCAGCCCTCGCGGCCGTGAAGATCACCTTGAGAGAACCCAGCCGCAGGCTGCAGGACCGAGACGGCCCCACCTGCCACCGTCCCCGCGGGGAGGACCTTCCTCCCTCCCTCCCTCAGGCTCCTGCCTCCGGAGGACACGGGGCCGTGGCTGCCGACGCTGTCTGCACCTCACACCCCGTCGGTGGCTTTTTTACAAAAATTGTGGTGAAATTCACGTACAAAAAAGTTACCTTTTTTTTTTTTTCCCAAGATGGAGTCTCGCTCTGTTGCCCAGGCTGGAGTGCTGTGGCGCGATTTCGGCTCACGGCAGCCTCCGCCCCCGGGTTCAAGCAATTCTCCTGCCTCAGCCTCCCGAGGAGCTGGGATTACAGGTGCACACAACCACGCCCAGCTAAATCTTTTTGTATTTTTACTAGAGATGGGGTTTCACCAGACTGGTCGCAAACTCCTGATCTCAATTAATCCACCTGCCTCGGCCTCCCAAAGTGGTGGGATTACAGGCGTGAGCCACTGCACCGAAATTCACGATTTTAAATTGCACAACTCGGCTGGGAATGGTGGTTCAAGCAGATCGCTTGACCCCAGAAGTTTGATTTTGTCTTGTTTTGTTTTGAGACAGAGTCTCGCTCTGTTGCCCAGGCTGGAGTACACTGGCTCGATCTCGGCCCACTGCAACCTCCGCCTTCCTGGTTCAAGTGATTCCCCTGCCTCAGCCTCCTGAGTAGCTGGGATTATAGGCGCGCATCACCATGCCTGGCTAATTTTTCTCTTTTTTGTTTTGTTTTGAGATGGAGTCTTGCTCCTGTCGCCCAGGCTGGAGTGCAGTGGCGCGACCATGGATCACAGCAACCTCCGCCTCCTGGATTCAAGCATTTCTCCTGCCTCAGCCTCCCAAGTAGATGGGATTACAGGTGCCTATTTTTTTTTTTTTTTTGAGACAGAGTTCCACTCTGTCGCCCAGGCTGGAGTTCAGTGGCGTGATCTCGGCTCACTGCAAGCTCCGCCTCCCGAGTTCACACCATTCTCCTACCTCAGCCTCCGGAGTAGCTGGGATTACAGGCGCCCGCCACCACGCCCGGCTAATTTTTTGTATTTTTAGTAGAGACGGGGTTTCTCCATGTTAGCCGGGATGGTCTCGATCTCCTGACCTCATGATCCGCCCGCCTCGGCCTCCCGAAGTGCTGGGATTACAGGCGTGAGCCACCGCGCCCGGCCTGTGCCCGCTAATTTTTGTATTTTTGCTAGAGAAGAGGTTTCGCCATGTTGGCCAGGCTGGTCTCCAAACTCCTGACCTCAGGTGATCCACCCACCTTGGCCTCCCAAAGTGCTGTGATCACAGGTGTGAGCCACCGCACCTGGCTGACACCAGGAGTTTGAGACCAGCCTGGCCAACACAGTGAGACCCCTTCTCTAATCAAAGAATTAACTAAAAAAAATAAAGTGGATTCACGTTGTGCAACTCCGACCTCTCCCTAGTTCCAGAACATTCTCATCGTCCTAAAAGGAGAGACCCTGTTTCCATGAAGCAGTCAGTCCTCATTTCCCCTCCGCAGCCCCCGGCAACCACAAATCCTCTTTCTGTCTCTGGATTGGCATGTTCTGGGCATTTCCTGTAAATGGATTCACACACTACGTGTCCTTTTGTGTCTGGCTTCTCTCACTGAGCGTGATGTCTTAAGGTTTGTGCCCGCTGCATCCTTGTCAGAGCCTCGTTCTTTTTCATGGCTGTGTAATATTCCACCGCGTGGATGGACCACACCTTGTTGATCCCTCCCCCCGCCAATGTACATGGACTGCTTTCTCCCTGGGTGCTTCTTAAGTAGAGACAGGGTTTCATCACATTGGTCAGGCCGGTCTCGAACTCCCGACCTCAGGTGATCTGCCCGCCTCAGCCTCCCAAAGTGCTAGGATGACAGGCATGAACCACTGCGCCCGGCCGCTAAGTTTTATTTCTAGTAAAGTTGGGGTCTCACTATGTTGGCCAGGCTGGTCTCAAACTCCCGACCTCAGGTGATCCACCCGCCTCGGCCTCCCGAAGTGCTGGGATTACAGGTACAGGGATTACCACGCCCAGCTCATGGATTCCTTTTAAATTGTTTTCACGTAAAAGTGAAGGCAAGTCCATGTGGACCCGGCCTGCCGCAGGGCGTCACGGGAGGCTGTGTGGAATCTACCCCCACGAGGGGCGACCTGGTACCTGGGCGGCCGCAGCTCTTCATGGTCTCCAGGTATCGGATGAGGGCCTCGGTCTTCACCCTGTTTCCCCACCAGTAGGGGACTCCTGGCCACAGCTCGTGGTGCCGGCGCAAGGAGCTCTCGTCTTCATAGGAGACGATGACCTGTTGGCCCCGGGACCACAGCTGCCGCAGTGTCGGCACCTCCTGCAAAGGACCAGAGTTAAGGGGTGCAGGGGAGAGAGGAGAGCCGGGGGCACCTGGGAGAGCGGAGGGCTGGGAAGTCGGGACACCGGCCCAACACGAGTATAAACCAAAAATGAAATTCTGGCCGGGCGCAGTGGCTGACGCCTGTAATCCCAGCACTTTGGGAGGCCGAGGTGGGTGGATCACCTGAGGTCAGGAGTTTGAGACCAGCCCGGGCAACATGGTGAAACCCCATCTCTACTAAAAATACAAAAATTGGCCGGGTGCGGTGGTGCACGCCTGTCATCCCGGCTAGTCAGAAGGCTGAGGTAGGAGAATCGTTTGAACCTGGGAGGCAGAGGTTGCGGTGAGCCGAGGTTTCGCTATTGCACTCCAGCCTGGGAGACAGACCGAGACTCCCTCTCAAATAAATAAATAAATTAAGTATGGCCAGGTGCAGGGGCTCATGCCTGTAATCCCAGCACTTTGGGAGGACACGGCGGGAGGATCACTCGAGGCCAGGAATTCGAGCCTGGGCTGCACAGGGTGACCCTGTCTCTATTTTTATATATTTATTTATTTTTATTTTTTATTTTTTGAGACGGATCTCGCTCTGTCTCCCAGGCTGGAATGCAGTGGCGCGATCTCGGCTCACTGCAACCTCCACCCCCCGGGTTCACACCATTCTCCTGCCTCAGCCTCCCGAGTAGCTGGGACTACAGGCGCCCGCCACCACGCCCGGCTAATTGTTTGTATTTTGTGTTAGTAGAGACGGGGTTTCACCGTGTTAGCCAGGATGGTCTCGATGTCCTGACCTCATGATCCGCCCGCCTCGGCCTCCCAAAGTCCTGGGATGACAGGTGTGAGCCACTGCGTCCGGCACACCCACCGCCACACCCAGATAATTTTGGTATTTTTAGTAGAGACGGGGTTTCACCATGTTGGCCAGGATAGTCTCAATCTCTTGACCTCGTGATCCGCCCGCCTCGGCCTCCCAAAGTCCTGGGATGACAAGCGTGAGCCACCACACCCAGCCTAATTGTTGTATTTTTAGTAGACACCAGGTTTCACCATGTTGGCCAGGATAGTCTCGATCTCTTGACCTCGTGATCCACCCGCCTCGGCCTCCCAAAGTGCTGGGATGACAGGCGTGAGCCACCGCGCCCGGCTGACGCTGCACACATTTCTAAACCCGTCAAGGGAAGCAGATCTCACCAGGAGCCACCCCACCGGGTCAGCCAGGGCCCCCCACACTGCGGGAGAGCAGGCAGCCCCCGTTCGACGGCTTCACCTGCTACAGGAATCATGGCAGCACCCACACCCAGGGCACAGCAAATGGAGTCTGAGGCTGACGATGCCCCTGCCCCGGGAGAGACGTGCGGATATCCTTCCCCTCCTCACCCCACGAGGACACAGCATGTCCCCGAAGATGTTCTTGATACAGGCGACCAGGTACTCGTGCAGGTCCTCGCTCAGCCCCTCGAAGTTTCTGCAGGCCAGGATGACCACCTCGCGTGGATGCCGCTCCAGCCACTCCGAGATTTCCGTGAGTGTGTCCTGGGGAGGGGGGTGCTGGGCTGAGTCCTGCACGACTCCAACACCACAGGGAAGGCGGGGTGTGGCGGCTCACGCCTGTCATCCCAGCAATTTGGGAGGCCGAGGCGGGTGGATCACCTGAGGTTAGGAGTTTGAGACCAGCCTAGCCAACATGGTGAAACCCCGTATCTACTAAAAATACAAAAATTAGCTGGGCGTGGTGTCCGGCGTCTGTAATCCCAGCTACTTGGAAGGCTGAGGCAGGAGAATTGCCTGAACCCAGGAGGCAGAGGTTGCAGTGAGCTGAGATTGCACCACTGCACTCCAGCCTGGGCGACACAGCAAGACTCCATCTCCAAAAAAAAAAAGCAAAAAAAAAAGAAATCTCCGTAACGGATTGGCGGGGTCAGTGTCTCCTGTCTGGTGTATAGGTGACGTCACCCTTCCATTAAAGACCGGGCGTTTCCTGTCCACATCTGCATGTGGCTGTTTCATCCCCACGGGAGCTTGGCCACCTCCCGCCGTCCCCCTTGCTTCCCACCTCAGCCCGGCCGCACCTGCACCAGCGCCCGGCCGCCTCCCGCTGTCCCCCTTGCTTCCCACCTCAGCCCGGCCGCACCTGCACCAGTGCCCGGCCGCCTCCCGCTGTCCCCCTTGCTTCCCACCTCAGCCCGGCCGCACCTGCACCAGTGCCCGGCCGCCTCCCACTCTCCCCATTGCGTCCCACCTCAGCCCGGCCGCACCTCCACCAGCGCCGTTGTGTACACCATATGGACAAAGTGCAGGTTCTTCTCCGAGCCCTCCAGCATGTGGGCTATCCGCAGGTCCAGGTACCGCACCCCGGCATCCAGCTGCTCTGTGACGTCCAGTGCCTGTGGACAGAGGCTGCTGTCATGTCTGCCTGGCTGAGCGCCGCGTCTGGGGGGCTCAGGAATGGGCTGTGGGGTTGGCCCACCCGCATGTCCTGCTGCCCACTGGGACGTGGATGTCGTAACAACAGCTGTTTGTATGTGCTGGGAGCGCTGCAGCCACGGGGACCTGCATTTGGAAAACCTCATCTCCGGGGACCTGGCCTTTTTTTTTTTTTTTTGAGACGGAGTCTCGCTCTGTCACCCAGGCTGGAGTGCAGTGGTGCAATCTGGGCTCACTGCAAGCTCCGCCTCCCGGGTTCATGCCGTTCTCCTGCCTCAGCCTCCCCAGTAGCTGGGACTGCAGGCGCCCGCCACCGCGCCCAGCTAATTTTGTTTTGTATTTTTAGTAGAGATGTGGTTTCAACATGTTAGCCAGGACGGTCTCGATCTCCTGACCTCGTGATCCACCCACCTTGGCCTCCCAAAGTGCTGGGATTACAGGCGTGAGCCACCGCGCCCGGCCTCTACTAAAAATTTTAAAAATCAGCCTGGGTGTGGTGGTGTACACCTGTAGTCCCAGCTGCCCGGGAGGCTGAGGAAGGAGGATCCTTTGATCCTGGGAGGCCCAGGCTGCAGGAAGCTGAGATCGCACCACCGCACTCCAGTCTGGGTGAGAGAGCGAGACTCCATCTCTAAAGGAATGAATGAATGTGATTATTAGGGAGAAAGGGGCCTGTCTCCCTGTTTCCCAGGGACTAGCAGATGCCTGACTGCAAACTGCAGACCCGCCTCAGGTCCTAAAGACACGAGAAATGAGTCCTTGTCTGTCTTGAGTGCAGGCATGAAAGGGGTTGTCTCGGCCGGGCGCGGTGGCTGACGCCTGTAATCCCAGCACTTTGGGAGGCTGAGGCGGGTGGATCACGAGGTCAGGAGTTCGAGACCATCCTGGCTAACACAGTGAAACCCTGACTCTACTCAAAATACCAAAAATTAGCCGGGCGTGGTCGCGGGAGCCTGTAGTCCCAGCTACTCAGGAGGCTGAGACAGGAGAATGGCGTGAACCCGGGAGGCGGAGCTTGCAGTGAGCCGAGATGGCACCAACTGCACTCCAGCCTGGGCGGCAGTGAGACTCCGTCTCAAAAAAAAAAAAAAGAAAAAGAAAGAAAAAGAAAGGTGTTGTCTCTGCTGGGATGCAACAGGGCGAGACCCTCTCCCTCTGCAGCTCTCAGTGGAGGCCTGCGATGCTCACGGCATTAGCTTTACGCCATTTAATAAAATGCTGGGCCGGGCGCGGTGGCTCACGCCTGTAATCCCAGCACTTTCGGAGGCTGGGGCGGGCAGATCATGAGGTCAGGAGATCAAGACCATCCTGACTAACACGGTAAAACCCCATCTCTACTAAAAATACAAAAAATTAGCCAGGTGTGGTGACAGGTGCCTGTAGACCCAGGTACTTAGGAGGATGAGGCAGGAGAATCGCTTGAACCCAGGCAGCGGAGGTTGCAGTGAGCCGAGATCACGCCACTGCACTCCAGCCCGGGTAAGAAGAGTGAGACCCTGTCTCAAAAAATAAATAAATAAAAACACTGTTCCCCTCTCTTCCACCTCTGGGGAGGGGTTCTGGGTGGGCAGCAGGTTTTGTTTTAATCCTGTCTCCGCAGCTGGGATAGGAACCTGCCTCCTGAGCCCACAGGGCACCACTCAAACCCTACCTGGGTGAGGGGCCATTTCAGCACCACGGGGCCGTGGGCCCCACATAGCTGACAGGCCAGGTCAGCAGCACGGGGCACAGACCGTACCTGGGTGACGGACCATTTCAGCACGACAGGGCGCGTGATGCAGGGCAAGGCCTTGTTCAGCAGCTGCAGCAGCCGGGACTCCTCGTGCGAAATGGGGGACTTCTTGTTCAGGCAGTACGTCATCGTGTCGTGGCTCCCTGAGAGCAAAGCACACACGCGGACATGTCACCACGAGTCCGTCCCCGCCACCTGCTGTGAGTCGCTCCACAGCCCGCCTACAGCACAGGCTGCTGCCCGCCCACAGCACAGGCACAGGTATGGCGGGAGGGGTGCACGCTGACCCCCAAAACTCACGTCCACTGGAACCTGGGAACACGACCCGTGTTGAAACAGGGTCTCTGCAGATATCATTAGGTTGAAATGAGATCATCCTGGAGTAGGGCGGGCCCCCAAATCCAGTGACAGGTGTCCGTCTAAGACACAAGAGGAGGAGACAGACACAGAGGAGGAGGCCTCGTGGAGACGGAGGCAGAGACTGGAGTGATGCGGCCACAAGCCCAGGGATGCCTGGAGCCCCCAGGAGCTGGGAGAGGCAGGAAGGATCCCCCACTCTAGAGCCTCTAGAAGGAACTGAATACAATTTCAATGACTTGAGTGGTGATCCCCAAAAGAGCTGTTCAAGTCCTAACCCCCTGCCCAGAACCTGTGAATGGGATCCTGTTTGGAAATAGGGTCTTTACACATGCTCTCAAAATGCTCAAGATGAAGTCATCTTGGCTTTGTGCTGGGTCCTAAATGCAATGACAGGTGTCCTTAGGAGACACAGACCCAGAGGAGGAGGCCACGTGGAGATGGAGGCAGAGACTGGAGTGATGCGGCCACAAGCCCAGGGATGCCTGGAGCCCCCAGGAGCTGGGAGAGGCAGGAAGGACCCTCCCCTAGAGCCTCAGGAGGACGTGTGGTCCTGCCCATATCTTGACTTCAGATTTCTGTATCTAGAACTGGGAGAGAGTAAATTTCTGTTCTTTGCCGCCTCCTGACGTGTGCTCACTTGTTATGGTAACCGCAAGAAACACAGACCTTTGTAGAGTTTGACTGATGGCTGACGTTTGCATTTCCTGCCTATGACACGTAGTTGTTATTTCTTAAATATAGATATAAATATATCTATATTTAAGATATATATATTTAAGATATATATGACATATATCTATATATAAACATATATAGTATCTATATCTATAAACAAAGATATATAGTATCTATATCCATAAACATATATAGTATCTATATCTATATATAAACATATATAGTATCTATATCTATATATAAACATATATAGTATCTATATCTATATATAAACATATATAGTATCTATATCTATATATAAACATATATAGTATCTATATCTATATATAAACATATATAGTATCTATATCTATATATAAACATATATAGTATATATTCTATATATAAACATATATAGTGTATATATATCTATATATAAACATATATTAGTATATATTTACATAAATACATATTTTTGCATAAATATGTATTTATATAAATATATAAAATATATATCCACATATTATGTTTATAAATATAATATATAAATGTACTTATGTATCATATATTTATATAAATATATGATATATATTTTATATTTTACATTTACTTATTTATATATTATATATAAATATAAATATGTATGTTTATATATAAATATGTACACTTACATATAAATGTGTGTGTGTATATACATATTTGCAGAGATGGGGCCTCACTATGTTGCCCAGGCTGCTCTCAAACTCCTAAACTCAAGTGATCCTCCTGCCTTGGCTTCCCAAAGTGCTGGGATTACAGGCGTGAGCCACCACGCCCGGCCTTCCCCCTTTAAATCCCCTGAGGAACGTGAAGCCCCTTTACATCCTCTGAGGAACGTGGACCCCCTTTAAATCCCCAGACCCCGAGAGGCATTGGAACGAAGCCACAGTCACCTGCTCCCCCGATCTTGAGCTAAGGTGTTAAGGAAGGAGACCAGTACTTCTCCTGCTGCCCCCTACCCCCACCTTGCCTAGTTTATAAGACAGGAGAAAGCAAAAGGTTGGAAAGAAACAGAAGTAAGATAAATAGCCAGACAACCTTGGCACCACCACCCAGCCCTGGGAGTTAAAATAATATCAATCCATAACCTAAACCACTTCTGTTATCTGTAAATGCCAGACGTTGTATGAAAAAGCGTTACAAAACTTTCTGTTCTGTTAGCTGACACATGTAGCCCCCAGTCACGTTCCCCACACTTGCTTGATTTATCACGACCCCTTCACGTGGACCCCTCAGAGTTGTAAGCCTTTAAAAAGGCCAAGAATTTCTTTTTTAAGGAGCTCGGCTCTTAAGATGTGAGTCTGCCGAAGCTCCCGGCCAAAGAAACCTCTTCTTTCTTTAATCCGGTGTCTGAGTTTTGTCTGCGGCTGGTCCTGCTACAGTATCACCCCTGGAAGCTACTTACTAGGTCAGCTCTAGACTGACAGATGCCCCGCATCTCTACAAATTAACCTAAGATGTCGGGTGCAATAGCTCATGTCTGCAATGCCAGCACTTTGGGAGGCCGAGGCAGGTGGATTGCCTGAGGTCGGGAGTTCGAGACCAGCTTGACCAACATGGTGAAACCCCATCTCTGCTAAAAATACAAAAATCAGCCAGGCATAGTGGAGCGTGCCTGTAATCCCAGCTACTCGGGAGGCTGAGGCAGGAGAATCGCTTGAACCCAGGAGGCAGAGGTTGCGATGAGCTGAGGTGGAGCCACTGCACTCGAGCCTGGGCGATAAGAGCAAAACTCCGTCTCAAAAAAAAAAAATTAACCTCAGGATGTCACACTGGGGCACCATAACTCATTCCCTACATTGCAAGGAAGAACGCGATCAGTGCTCGATGCCACTTCAGTAACCCACATGAATTCCTGAAAAACAGCTTTCATCATCACCCCCTCTCCTGATGTGCACTTTCTTTAGAAGCTCCCGTCTCGACGTTGTTCTCCACAGCCACTTCCTAAGGCGAGTTGGAGGGTTTCCTGGGCTGCAGTCCTCAAATGTGGCTCAAGGAAACCCCCTACTTATATTAATTTTGTCTAAGTTTATTTCCTTAGGTTGACAATACGTATCTGTGTGCATGTGTATGTGTGTCCGTATGCCTATATGTGAGTGTGCATGTGTGTGCCTGTGTTTAAACATGTACCTGTGTTCCTGTGTGCATGGACGTGTGTCTACGTGTGTGCATGTGTGTACACGCGTGTGCATGTGCATGTGTGCCTGTGTACACGTGTGCATATGTGCATTCATGTATGTCTATGTGAATAGGTGCAAATGTGTACATGTGTATGTCTGTGTGCATGCATGTACGTGTGTACACGTGTATACATGCATTGCATAGACGTGTCTCTGCGTGCATAGGTGCAAATGTTTATGTGTGCACGTGTGTCTGTGCATGTACATGTCTACACCTGTGTATATCTGCAGGTGTATATATGTGTGCATAGGTGCAAATATATATATACATGTGTGCATGTGTGTACATGTGTACACGTGTGCATGTGCATGTGTACACACCCGCACATGTGCATGCATGTGTATGTGCATCCATGTGTGTATGAGCCTATGTGCATGTATACATGTGTGCATTAGTATGTGCCTACATCCATGTATACATGTGCCTGCATGTGTGTACACCTGTGTGTGTGCATGTATATGCATCCATGTGCATATGTGTGGGGATGTGCATGTGTGCATGCATGTATGTGTGTGCGCATGCATGTGTGTGTGTATGTATGTGTCTGTGTGTGCCTGCATGTGTGCCTATGTGCACCTATGTATGTGATATGGCTCGGCTGTGTCCCCACCCAAATCTCATCTTGAATTGTAGCTCCCATAATTCCCATCTGTCATGGGAGGGACCTGGTGGGAGGTCACCGAATCACGGGGCGGGTCTTTCCCATGCTGTTCTCGTGATCGTGAATAAGTCTCACGAGATCTGATGGTTGTACAAAGGGCAGTTCTCCAGCACACGCTCTGTTGGCTGCCACCATGTAACATGTGACTTTGCTCCGCATTCACCTTCTGCCGTGATTGTGAGGCCTCCCCAGCCAGGTGGAACTGAGTCCATTAAACCTCTTTTATAAATTACCCAGTCTCGGGTATGTCTTTGTTAGCAGCGTGAGAACAGACCAACACAGTATGCACATGCGTATGTGTGCAGATGTGCATGTGTGTGTGCAGATGTGCATGTGTGTGTGCAGATGTGCGTGTGCAGATGTGCATGTGTGCGTGTGTGCGTGTGTGCGTGTGTGCATGTATGCCTGTGTATGTGTGCACATGTGTGCATGCCTGTGTGTATGCATGTCTGTGCATGTCCATGACTATGTACATATGTGTATGCACACACGTGTGCACTGTGTGTATGTGTGTGTCCACATCAGTGTGCTTTCTAGGATTTCCCTACACCCAGGATTGCTCCTACAGCCAGCGTCCCCACTGGGGAATGCAGACGCCACAGCTCCCGCCCCACCCTGCCGTCACCTGGGATAGAGGCAACGGCCCCTGCCCCACCCCAACCTCACCTGGGATGGAGAGGTGGTGGAGGGGCACATCCCAGAGCCGGGGACACAGTGCCGACATCCAGTCCTCGTTGGCATTTCTGCAGTGCAGCCTCGAGAAGCTGTTGGAAGCGCTCACCTGCCCACCCATCAGAGGTGAGCCCTGGGCAACCTGAGGAAGGAGAAGAGGAAAAGAGGTTTTTTACGGTGACTTCAGGTCAGGAGTTCGAGACCAGCCTGGCCAACTTGACAAAACCCCATCTCTACTAAAAATACAAAAATTAGCTGGGCGTGGTGGTGGGCACCTGTGGCACCTGTCATCCCAGCTACTCGGGAGGCTGAGGCAGGAGAATCGCTTGAACCCGGGAGGTGGAGGTTACAGTGAGCGGAGATCCCGCCACTGCACTCCAGGCTGGGCAACAAGAGTGAAACTCCATATCCAAAAAAGAAAAAAAAAAAAGAGAGAGAGAGAGAGGAAAAGGGGTCCTTGGAAGCATTTTTTGCAGCTCCAAAAAATGTTTCTTGTCTAGCGTGAAAGCCCTGGCTCTTAGACCCGGCTTGGCAACCTTTAATATGCAAATGCGAGCCTTTAGCTGGTCCAGCCCACATGGCGATTCCCACCGTTGCCCTCTTGCCCTCGCCCCCACCCGTGCCTGACACCAAGGCCGCCCCCACCCGGGCCTGACACCAAGGCCGCCCCCACCCGGGCCTGGCAACACGGCCGCCCCCACCCGGGCCTGGCACCACGGCCGCCCCCACCCGGGCCTGACACCAAGGCCGCCCCCACCCGGGCCTGACACCACGGCCGCCCCCACTACCCTCAGGCGTGTGGAACATCATGGCGCCCTACATTTGCATATTACGGAACTGGGGTGGGCGGGCCAGGTTTTTCGCGGGCTACGTGAATGACAGGCCTGGTCAGACCAATCCCCTCAGCGCTATGCAAATGAGTCACGCCTCCTCCAGGCACCGTATAACACGGGCTGGTCTCCTGCCTGGGGTTTGGAGCCCCCGTCCCTCTGTCTCAGTCCAGGGGAGCCACTTCTTTCTGCCTTCTCGCCTTGGTTTTTTTTTTTTTGAGACGCAGTTTCGCTCTTGTTGCCCAGGCTGCAGTGAAATGGCGCGATCTCGGCTCACCGCAACCTCCGCGGTGCTGGGATTACAGGCGTGAGCCACTGCCCGGACCTCCCTTCTTTCCTATTAAACTCTCCGCTCCTTAAAACCACTCCACGTGTGTCCGTGTCGCCTACACACACACACACACACACACATACACACATAACAGAATATATACATATATACATATTATATACATAACATATATATAACATATATAATATATACATATAATATATATTATACATATAATATATACATATATAATATATATATAATATATATATAACATACATGTATAACATATATACATATATAATATAGACATATATAACACATACATAACATATATACATATATACATCACTATATATACATATATAAGTATATATATATAATATACTGTTGAAAATAAGGGAAGTGACCCTTTCCATAAGGACATTTTAGACAACTTGTAAATTCTTTCTCTGCCTCTGAAGTGTATATAACTTTTTTGGTTGGTCTTTTTTTTTTTTTTTTGACACAGTTTCCCTCTCGTTGCCCAGGCTGGACTGCAATGGCGCGATCGCGGCTCACTGCAACCTCCGCCTCCCAGGTTCAAGCAATTCTCCTGCCTCAGCCTCCAGAGTAGCTGGGATTACAGGCGCCCGCCACCACACCTGCTTAATTTTTGTATTTTTGGTAGAGACGGGGTTTCACTATCTTGGTCAGGCTAGTCTTGAACTCCTGACCTCAGGTGATCTGCCTGCCTCGGCCTCCCAAAGTGCTGGGATTACTGGCGTGAGCCACGGTGCCCAGCTGTATGTACGGTTTTTTTTTTGTTTTGTTTTGTTTTTTTTAAAGACAGGGTTTCACTCTTGTTACCCAGGCTGGAGTGCAATGATGCAATCTCGGCTCACTGCAACCTCCGCCTCCCAGGTTCAAGCAATTCTCCTGCCTCAGCCTCCAGAGTAGCTGGGATTACAGGCGTCCGCCACCACGCCCGGCAATGTATGTAAGATTTTTAATCATTTAGATTAAAACTGATTAGATTAAAATCATTAGATCTAATTGATTTAATCAAATCAATTAGAATTGTTGATCTTGAGCCCAGAAATCAGCCTGTTGACAGTTTCACATCTGAGGAATGTTTCCTGGTGGACCTGAGGCCTCCTCTTAGAAATGAGACCTGGAGGGGCCGGGCACGGTGGCTCACGCCTGTCATCCCATCACTTTGGGAGGCTGAGGTGGGTGGATCACCTGAGGTCAGGGGTTCGAGACCAGCCTGGCCAACATGGTGAAACCCCATTTCTACTAAAAGTACAAAAAGTAGCCGGCCGTGGTGGCGCACGCCTGTAATCCCAGCTACTCAGGAGGCTGAGGCTTGAACCCGGGAGGCGGGGGCTGTAGTGAGCCACAATCACACCATTGCACTCCAGCCTGGGTGACAAAGTGAGACTCTGTCTCAAGAAAAAAGAAATGGGACAGAGAGGAAGGGAAGAAGCCCCGGCCTCCTGGAGAAGAGACAAACTTCAGCTGCCTGCAAACTGCAAACCCACCTTGAGTCCCACACGCAGGGGGAGTTCGGAATTCGAATTGTTGGTCTCGAGCCCAGAATGAAAGGCCTGGTCTCCCTGGGCCGCAAGAAAGGACGAGATCCTCTCGGTCTGCAGCTCCTGGCGGCTGCCCGCGTTGGCTTCACAAGGTTCTGTAATAATCCTGCTGCCTTCTCTTCCACACTGAGGCCAGGCTTCCCAGGTGGCTGCAGATTTTGTTCTTATTTACATCTTCCCAAAAGCCTTCCTCCCAGACCCTAAGCCAACACCAGCTACATGAACTCAGATCTTCCCTGCTGCCCGGAAGGAGGGAGGGAGGGAGGGAGGGAGGGAGGGTCCCGGGAGCCTGCTGGGCCCAGGAGGAGGAGCCCATTCTTTATCAGCCCGGGGGATGTCAGCTCAGCCTCTTTCTCCAAGAGAAGCAACCACACCTGTACCGCGGCTCCGGGTCCCCAGGAGGGAGCTGGCCCCTTCTCTGCAGCCAGCTGGAAAAGGCCCAGGACGGCTTCCCCTCCCCCTGCACGCCCCCCGCTCCGCCTGCACGGCCCCCCCTCCCCCTGCACGGCCCCCCTCCGCCTGCACGGCCCCCCCTCCCCCTGCACGGCCTCCCCTCCCCCTGCACGGCCTCCCTTCCCCCTGCACGGCCCCCCTCCCCCTGCACGGCCTCCCCTCCCCCTGCACGGCCTCCCCTCCCCCTGCACGGCCTCCCCTCCCCCTGCACGGCCCCCCTTCCCCCTGCACGGCCTCCCCTCCCCCTGCACGGCCTCCGCTGCCCCCTGCACGTACCCCCCTCCGCCTGCACGGCCTCCCTTCCCCCTGCACGGCCTCCCTTCCCCCTGCACGGCCTCCCCTCCCCCTGCACGGCCTCCCCTCCCCCTGCACGGCCTCCCCTCCCCCTGCACGGCCTCCCCTCCCCCTGCACGTCTTCCCCTCCGCCTGCACGGCCTCCCTTCCCCCTGCACGGCCTCCCTTCCCCCTGCACGGCCCCCCTTCCCCCTGCACGGCCTCCCCTCCCCCTGCACGGCCTCCCTTCCCCCTGCACGGCCTCCGCTGCCCCCTGCACGTACCCCCCTCCGCCTGCACGGCCTCCCTTCCCCCTGCACGGCCTCCCTTCCCCCTGCACGGCCCCCCTTCCCCCTGCACGGCCTCCCCTCCCCCTGCACGGCCTCCGCTGCCCCCTGCACGTACCCCCCTCCGCCTGCACGGCCTCCCTTCCCCCTGCACGGCCTCCCCTCCTCCTGCACGGCCTCCCCTCCCCCTGCACGTCTTCCCCTCTGCCTGCACGGCCTCCCTTCCCCCTGCACGGCCTCCCTTCCCCCTGCACGGCCCCCCTTCCCCCTGCACGGCCTCCCCTCCCCCTGCACGGCCTCCCTTCCCCCTGCACGGCCTCCCCTCCTCCTGCACGGCCTCCCCTCTGCCTGCAGGGCTGTGCAGTGATCTGCCTGGAGCATCCCAGCAGGGCCGCTGTGAGCCTCCGGATGCCCAGGGTCCCGGGGCCGCGGGGTGGAGGGGAGGTTAAAATGCAGGTCTGGGCGGGGCCCGCTGGCTCACGCCTGTAATTCGAGCACTTCAACACTTTGGGAGGCCGAGGCGGGCGGATCACCTGAGGTCAGGAGTTCGAAACCGGCCTGGCCAACATGGCAAAACCCCATCACTGGTAAAAATACAAAAATCATTTAGCCGTGCTGGCGCGCGCCTGTAGTCCCAGCTACTGGGAGGCTGAGGCAGGAGAATCGCTTGAACCCGGGAGGCGGAGGTTGCAGTGAGCCGAGATCGCGCCATTGCACTCCAGCCTGGGAGACAGAGTGAGACTCCCGTTCAAAAACAAAAAACCTTCGTCTCCACATCCTCTTATCTTAATGCAGATATTCCTTTCTACTAATAACTCTTTTTTTCTTCTTTTTTTTTTTTTCAGAGACAGGGTCTCGCTCTGTTGCGCAGACTGGTGTGCAGTGTCATGATCTCAGCTTACTGCAGCCTCCGCCTCCTGGATTCAAGCTATTCGCCTGCCTCAGCCTCCAGCACAGCTGGGATTACAAGCACTTGCCACCATTCCCAGCTAATTTTTTGTATTTTTGGTAGCAACGGGGGTCTCACCATGTTGGCCAGGCTGGTCTCGAACTCCTGACTTCAGGTGATCCGCCCGCCTTGGCTTCCCAAAGTGCTGGGATGACAGGCGTGAGCCACCGTGCCCGGCCTAATAATAACTCTTTCAACCAATTGCCAGTCAGAAAATTTTAAAATCTACCTTATGACCTGGAAGCCCGCCTCACCACCAGTGGAGCAGTCCCACCTTCACCGATTGAACCTGTCAGGCCTCTGAGCCGAAGCTCAGCCATTATCACCCCTGTGACTTGCACATATACGTCCAGGTGGCCTGCAGGAGCCAAGAAGTCTGGAGCAGCCAAGGAAAAACCACAGAGAAGTAAAACAGCCAGTTCCTGCCTTAACTGGTTAACTAAAATTACAACATTTTACTATCGTGAGTTCTCCCTGCCCTACCTTAGCCGATCAATCGACTTTGTGCCGTTCGTCCTCTGGACAATGAGTCTTATGATCTGTGCACCACGCACCTTGCAATCCCTCCTCTGCTGACAATAGATAACCACCTTTTGCTGTAATTTTCCATTACCTACCCAACTCCTATTGAGCCACCCCTCCCCCATCTCCCTTCGCTGACTCTCTCTTCGGACTCAGCCCACTTGCACCCAAGTGAATGAACCGCTTTATCGCTCACACAAAGCCTGTTCGGGGGTCTCTTCGCACCGACGCGCTTGACAGAACCAAGGTTCGTCTTACACGTATGGATTCATGTCTGACGTTTCCTTAAAATGCATAATACCAAGATGTCCTCCGACCACCTAGGGCACAGGTCGTCAGGACCTCCTGAGGCTCGGTCACAGGCGCGTCCTCAACCTTAGCAAAACACACTTTTTTTTTTTTTTTTTTGAGACGGAGTCTTGCTCTGTCTCCCAGGCTGGAGTGCAGTGGTGCAATCTCGGCTCACTGCAACCTCCGCTTCCCAGGTTCAAGCAATTCTCCTATCTCAGCCTCCCAAGTAGCTGGGACTACAGGCGCCCACCACCACACCCAGGTAATTTCTGTATTTTTAGTAGAGACAGGGTTTCACCTTGTTGGTCAGGCTGGTCTTGAACTCCTGACGTCAGGTGATCTGCCCGCCTTGGCCTCCCAAAGTGCTGGGATGACAGGCGTGAGCCACCGTGCCCGGCCAGCAAAACACACTTTCTAAATGTCCTGAGACCTGTCTCAGATACTTTTTGGTTCAGAAGACTCGAGGAAATCAGTGTCTCCTAGGACAGGCTGGACCCAAAGCTGTACACTCACATCCTCTGTGTCATGACGGATTCCATCCATTCCGGCTACTGTCATACTCCCTCCCTCCCATCACAGTCCCTTCCCCCGTCACAGTCCCTCCCCTCCCGTCACCTTCATCATATCCCAGGTCCCCTGACCACTGAGGGGTGTCCCCTCCTGTCCCCACGTCCCCCGACCCCTCCCCTCACATCCCAAGTCCCCTGACCACTGAGGGGTGTCCACTCCTGTCCCCACACCTGTCCCCATGTCCTCCTGAGCCCTCCCTCACATCCCAGGTCCCCTGACCACTGAGGGGTGTCCGCTCCTATCCCCACACCTGTCCCCACATTCCCCCTGACCCCTCCCCTCACATCCCAGGTCCCCTGACCACTGAGGGGTGTCCCCTCCTATCCCCACACCTGTCCCCACGTTCCCCCTGACCCCTCCCCTCACATCCCAGGTCCCCTGACCACTGAGGGGTGTCCACTCCTGTCCCCACACCTGTCCCCATGTCCTCCTGAGCCCTCCCCTCACATCCCAGGTCCCCTGACCACTGAGGGGTGTCCACTCCTGTCCCCACGTGCCCTGACCCCTCCCCTCACATCCCAGGTCCCCTGACCACTGAGGGGTGTCCACTCCTGTCCCCACGTGCCCTGACCCCTCCCCTCACATCCCAGGTCCCCTGACCACTGAGGGGTGTCCACTCCTGTCCCCACACCTGTCCCCATGTCCTCCTGAGCCCTCCCCTCACATCCCAGGTCCCCTGACCACTGAGGGGTGTCCACTCCTGTCCCCACGTGCCCTGACCCCTCCCCTCACATCCCAGGTCCCCTGACCACTGAGGGGTGTCCACTCCTGTCCCCACACCTGTCCCCATGTCCTCCTGAGCCCTCCCCTCACATCCCAGGTCCCCTGACCACTGAGGGGTGTCCACTCCTGTCCCCACGTGCCCTGACCCCTCCCCTCACATCCCAGGTCCCCTGACCACTGAGGGGTGTCCCCTCCTGTCCCCACACCTGTCCCCACGTTCCCCAACCCCTCCCCTCACATCCCAGGTCCCCTGACCACTGAGGGGTGTCCCCTCCTATCCCCACATCTGTCCCCACGTTCCCCCTGACCCCTCCCCTCACATCCCAAGTCCCCTGACCACTGAGGGGCGCCCCCTCCTGTCCCCAGGTCCCCCGACGCCTTCCCCACACATGACAAAGTGGAGCAGGAAGGAGCCCCGGGGGCGGCCCCCACTCCCAGCCACCTCTGCCATCTCGTCCGGACGGCACAGCGGAGTGGGGTCTGGAGGCCGTCCCACGGAGCACTGACCCTTCCTGGGGGAGGTCCTCTCCACCCTGGCCTTCACGGTCGCGGCGGGACAGCGCAGATGACGGACGGGCCCAGACGCCCGGTGACCCGCCAGGCGGGGTGAGACACCTACACCTTCCCGCCCGCTGAGTCCTCGGGAGACTCACGTCCCAGAGGCGTGAGTGGCCGTGACGCGCACATTCAACGCACGGGGTGAATGGTTGCTGGGTGAATCAACGGAAGGACAGGGGTGCTCAGATCCCAGCATTCCCAGTGCCCCAACATCCCCACCGTCCCAGCTGTCCCGACCCGTCCCCACGCAGGCCCCGGCGGCAGGGTGAGGACGTCCAACCGGCCAAGCAAGTCGTGGCCCCCGGGCTCATTTCATAACCGTCCTGGGCTGTTTCCACACTGGCTCCGCGGCTCTGACCCGGCAGAGAATTCACGGTCTGCAAGGGGTGCAGGCCGCCTGTGGCTGCCAACGTCCAGGCCACAGATCCCAGGCGACCCTCCCCCTGAACCCCCTGCCCGTGCCCCCAGCTAAGGGTCCCAGGAGGAGGAGAAGGAGCCTCAATGACGGAAGCGCGGGTTCCTGATTCCCAGCCCACAACAGGCACAGACGGCACCCGCCACGTCCCCCGTAGGGGACTTGCCATCAGGAGAACGGGGTAGACACACTCACCTTCCAGCCGCTGGAATCCCAGAGCTCCTGGCAGCTCCCGCCGGGTCTCTGCGGGACACTCTTCCTAAAACACACCCAGTCCGCTGCGATTGGCTGTGGCGCGGACACTCCTGCCACCAGGAGGAGGGACAGCCCGCCCCCGCCACGGATCTGTCCCCACCGCAGGAGCGGGACCGGCTGGGCTGCAAACACCGCCCTGAACTCCCACGGGGACCCCACAGACCAGGACTGGGGACCGGAAGACCCCTCCCAGGGGACCCCACGGTGTGTCCCAACAAGGTGTCCCCGGGGTCCCCCGGTCAGGGGCTTAGAGACAGCAAGGACGTCCCAGAGGTGTGTGCCCACGGGTTCTCTGTGGTCAGAGGGGCCCTTGCAGGGGACATTGAGGTGTCTGACTGACGGGCCCCACTCGGGCCACTGGCCGCGGCTGCGGTGGGTCTCCCGGAGCCCCCAGGACGGGGTGAACAGGTGCTTTCATCTCGGCCCTGGGGTCAACGCATGGGGCCGGCAGTCCCAAGCCTGCAGGCTCTGAGCGCCTTGGCCAGCAAACCCACCGGGATCTTCCCCCTGCAGGTTCCGACCTCTCCCGCCCCGCGTGGCCCGGACCCTGGGCAGCCCGTGCCGCCTCCGTCGGTGGAAGTGGCTCCTCCCAGCGCAGCCCACGCCTGCGATCTCCCCCCCCGAGCCAACCTGGAGCTGACCAGGAGCCCAGGTCAGGGGTCTGTCCAGGGCCCCGTTCCTGCCTCCTCCTGGCTGCTTCCGGTCCACCCCGCAGGTGCTCCCCACGCACCCCGCTGTCTCCCACCCCGGGCTGGACTCCAGGACAGGGCCAGTGTGGGCTTCAGAGAGTGCACGGAACGTTTGGGGGCCGCAGTGGACGGCTCAAAGGGCTGCCTTGGGATCCCATGTTCCCGGGTGGAATTCTCCCGCATAGCCACGGCTGGGGCTTCTCTCCCTGCACCCCATTTCTGTCCCGGCTCCCTGTTTCCTCCCTCACCCCAGCTGTGGGGTACCTTGAGGGCGGCTGCTGTCCTGGCACAGGGACATCTGGTCGGCCTACAAGCCACAGGCCACCGGCCTCTCCGCCTCTTTCCATCCTAACTCAGGCCCCGTCACCTCCCCACACTCCGCCCTCCCCCCTGCTCCTCCTCCCCCTCCTCCTTCCTCCCCCTGCTCCTTCTCCATCCTCTCCCTCCTTCTTCCTGTCCATTGAGACTCCCCCTCTCTGCCCAAAGCCCCCTGTGGCTTCCTCTTGGCCCATCTGTTTCCTCCCTCCCCCTCCTCCCTCCTCCTCCTCCCTCCTCCCTTCACTGAGGCCCTGCGGGGACACCAGCCTCCTGGTTCCCGCCTCCTTCCACAGCCCTGGGAGAGTCTATAAAATGACCTGTGCCCTGGTGTGGCACGGGAGCAGGAAGCGGCTTCCACGCCTCCTCCCACAGTCACAGGGCCCGGCCCTTCCTCCCGCTGTGCCCCAGAGTCATGAGGACCAGAGGTCACAGGGCCCGGCCCTTCCTCTGTGTCCTGGTGTGATGTGGACTGTGGTCACAGGGCCCGGCCCTTCCTCTGTGTCCTGGTGTGATGTGGACTGTGGTCACAGGGCCCGGCCCTTCCTCCGTGTCCTGGTGTGATGTGGACTGTGGTCATGAGGCCCGGCCCTTCCTCTGTGTCCTGGTGTGATGTGGACTGTGGTCACAGGGCCCGGCCCTTCCTCTGTGTCCTGGTGTGATGTGGACTGTGGTCACGGGGCCCGGCCCTTCCTCTGTGTCCTGGTGTGATGTGGACTGTGGTCATGAGGCCTGGCCCTTCCTCTGTGTCCTGGTGTGATGTGGACTGTGGTCACAGGGCCCGGCCCTTCCTCTGTGTCCTGGTGTGATGTGGACTGTGGTCACAGGGCCCGGCCCTTCCTCCGTGTCCTGGTGTGATGTGGACTGTGGTCATGAGGCCCGGCCCTTCCTCTGTGTCCTGGTGTGATGTGGACTGTGGTCACAGGGCCCGGCCCTTCCTCCGTGTCCTGGTGTGATGTGGACTGTGGTCACAGGGCCCGGCCCTTCCTCTGTGTCCTGGTGTGATGTGGACTGTGGTCATGAGGCCTGGCCCTTCCTCTGTGTCCTGGTGTGATGTGGACTGTGGTCACGGGGCCCGGCCCTTCCTCTGTGTCCTGGTGTGATGTGGACTGTGGTCACGGGGCCCGGCCCTTCCTCTGTGTCCTGGTGTGATGTGGACTGTGGTCACGGGGCCCGGCCCTTCCTCTGTGTCCTGGTGTGATGTGGACTGTGGTCACGGGGCCCGGCCCTTCCTCTGTGTCCTGGTGTGATCTGGACTGTGGTCACGGGGCCCGGCCCTTCCTCTGTGTCCTGGTGTGATCTGGACTGTGGTCACGAGGCCCGGCCCTTCCTCTGTGTCCTGGTGTGATGTGGACTGTGGTCACAGGGCCCGGCCCTTCCTCTGTGTCCTGGTGTGATCTGGACTGTGGTCACAGGGCCCGGCCCTTCCTCTGTGTCCTGGTGTGATCTGGACTGTGGTCATGAGGCCTGGCCCTTCCTCCGTGTCCTGGTGTGATGTGGACTGTGGTCACAGGGCCCGGCCCTTCCTCTGTGTCCTGGTGTGATGTGGACTGTGGTCACAGGGCCCGGCCCTTCCTCCCGCTGTGCCCCAGAGTCATGAGGACCAGAGGTCACAGGGCCCGGCCCTTCCTCTGTGTCCTGGTGTGATGTGGACTGTGGTCACAGGGCCCGGCCCTTCCTCTGTGTCCTGGTGTGATGTGGACTGTGGTCACAGGGCCCGGCCCTTCCTCTGTGTCCTGGTGTGATGTGGACTGTGGTCACGGGGCCCGGCCCTTCCTCTGTGTCCTGGTGTGATGTGGACTGTGGTCACGGGGCCCGGCCCTTCCTCTGTGTCCTGGTGTGATGTGGACTGTGGTCACGGGGCCCGGCCCTTCCTCTGTGTCCTGGTGTGATCTGGACTGTGGTCACGGGGCCCGGCCCTTCCTCTGTGTCCTGGTGTGATCTGGACTGTGGTCACGAGGCCCGGCCCTTCCTCTGTGTCCTGGTGTGATGTGGACTGTGGTCACAGGGCCCGGCCCTTCCTCTGTGTCCTGGTGTGATGTGGACTGTGGTCACGGGGCCCGGCCCTTCCTCTGTGTCCTGGTGTGATGTGGACTGTGGTCACGGGGCCCGGCCCTTCCTCTGTGTCCTGGTGTGATGTGGACTGTGGTCATGGGGCCCGGCCCTTCCTCTGTGTCCTGGTGTGATGTGGACTGTGGTCATGAGGCCCGGCCCTTCCTCTGTGTCCTGGTGTGATGTGGACTGTGGTCACAGGGCCTGGCCCTTCCTCTGTGTCCTGGTGTGATGTGGACTGTGGTCATGAGGCCTGGCCCTTCCTCCGTGTCCTGGTGTGATGTGGACTGTGGTCACAGGGCCTGGCCCTTCCTCTGTGTCCTGGTGTGATGTGGACTGTGGTCACAGGGCCCGGCCCTTCCTCTGTCCTGGTGTGATGTGGACTGTGGTCACAGGGCCCGGCCCTTCCTCTGTGTCCTGGTGTGATGTGGACTGTGGTCACAGGGCCCGGCCCTTCCTCTGTGTCCTGGTGTGATGTGGACTGTGGTCATGAGGCCTGGCCCTTCCTCTGTGTCCTGGTGTGATGTGGACTGTGGTCACAGGGCCCGGCCCTTCCTCTGTGTCCTGGTGTGATGTGGACTGTGGTCACAGGGCCCGGCCCTTCCTCTGTGTCCTGGTGTGATGTGGACTGTGGTCATGAGGCCTGGCCCTTCCTCTGTGTCCTGGTGTGATGTGGACTGTGGTCATGAGGCCTGGCCCTTCCTCTGTGTCCTGGTGTGATGTGGACTGTGGTCACAGGGCCCGGCCCTTCCTCTGTGTCCTGGTGTGATGTGGACTGTGGTCACAGGGCCCGGCCCTTCCTCTGTGTCCTGGTGTGATCTGGACTGTGGTCATGAGGCCCGGCCCTTCCTCTGTGTCCTGGTGTGATGTGGACTGTGGTCACAGGGCCCGGCCCTTCCTCTGTGTCCTGGTGTGATGTGGACTGTGGTCACGGGGCCCGGCCCTTCCTCTGTGTCCTGGTGTGATGTGGACTGTGGTCACGGGGCCCGGCCCTTCCTCCGTGTCCTGGTGTGATGTGGACTGTGGTCACAGGGCCCGGCCCTTCCTCCGTGTCCTGGTGTGATGTGGACTGTGGTCATGAGGCCCGGCCCTTCCTCTGTGTCCTGGTGTGATGTGGACTGTGGTCACAGGGCCTGGCCCTTCCTCTGTGTCCTGGTGTGATGTGGACTGTGGTCATGAGGCCCGGCCCTTCCTCTGTGTCCTGGTGTGATGTGGACTGTGGTCACAGGGCCCGGCCCTTCCTCTGTGTCCTGGTGTGATGTGGACTGTGGTCATGAGGCCCGGCCCTTCCTCTGTGTCCTGGTGTGATGTGGACTGTGGTCATGAGGCCCGGCCCTTCCTCTGTGTCCTGGTGTGATGTGGACTGTGGTCACAGGGCCCGGCCCTTCCTCCGTGTCCTGGTGTGATGTGGACTGTGGTCACAGGGCCCGGCCCTTCCTCTGTGTCCTGGTGTGATGTGGACTGTGGTCACAGGGCCCGGCCCTTCCTCCGTGTCCTGGTGTGATGTGGACTGTGGTCACAGGGCCCGGCCCTTCCTCTGTGTCCTGGTGTGATGTGGACTGTGGTCATGAGGCCCGGCCCTTCCTCTGTGTCCTGGTGTGATGTGGACTGTGGTCACAGGGCCCGGCCCTTCCTCTGTGTCCTGGTGTGATGTGGACTGTGGTCACAGGGCCCGGCCCTTCCTCTGTGTCCTGGTGTGATGTGGACTGTGGTCATGAGGCCCGGCCCTTCCTCTGTGTCCTGGTGTGATGTGGACTGTGGTCACAGGGCCCGGCCCTTCCTCTGTGTCCTGGTGTGATGTGGACTGTGGTCACAGGGCCCGGCCCTTCCTCTGTGTCCTGGTGTGATGTGGACTGTGGTCACAGGGCCCGGCCCTTCCTCTGTGTCCTGGTGTGATGTGGACTGTGGTCACAGGGCCTGGCCCTTCCTCCCGCTGTGCCCCAGGGTCATGAGGACCGGAGGTCACAGTGCCCGGCCCTTCCTCTGTCCTGGTGTGATGTGGACTGTGGTCTCGGGGCCCAGCCCTTCCTCCCTCTGTGTCCTGGGCGGCCAGGTGTGGGCTGGACACGAGGGGAGGACATCACGTGGGCTGAGGGACGTGTCGTCCGTGCCTCGGTGCTGCCTGTGTTCTGCGAGCCGAGGGTTGTGAAGGGTGCTTGAGTGAAGTGGGCCAAGTGTGAGCCCCTGTAAATGGCTGTGACTTCCCTGTTGACCGTGCCCTTGTGTCCGACAAGGGGTGTTTGCAAACCCCTCCCAAGGCCGGGCACGGAAGCCCTTGGTCCAGCTGCTTCCTGGAATGGAAAACCCTCTCCTGCACTAGAAAATCCCATGACCCCGCGTTTGAGTTTCGAATATTTAGCATGGGGAGCACCCCTCCAATGGCTAGGAGAGACACCAGGCGGAGATAAAGGTTTGACTATTTACCAGTCCTGCATCCACGGCCGGCCTGCAGGCCCCACCCAGGCGGAGGTAAGGATTTGATTATTTATGGATCCCGGGTGCTGCAGGCCCCACCCAGGCGGAGGTAAGGATTTGATTATTTATGGGTCCCGGGTCCTGCAGGTCCCACGCAGGCGGAGGTAAGGATTTGATTATTTATGGGTCCCGGGTGCTGCAGGCCCCGCCCAGGCGGAGGTAAGGATTTGATTATTTATGGGTCCCGGGTGCTGCAGGCCCCACCCAGGCGGAGGTAAGGATTTGATTATTTATGGGTCCCGGGTGCTGCAGGCCCCACCCAGGCGGAGGTAAGGATTTGATTATTTATGGGTCCCGGGTGCTGCAGGCCCCGCCCAGGCGGAGGTAAGGGTTTGATTATTTATGGGTCCCGGGTGCTGCAGGTCCCACGCAGGCGGAGGTAAGGATTTGATTATTTATGGGTCCCGGGTGCTGCAGGCCCCACCCAGGCGGAGGTAAGGATTTGATTATTTATGGGTCCCGGGTGCTGCAGGTCCCACGCAGGCGGAGGTAAGGATTTGATTATTTATGGGTCCCGGGTGCTGCAGGCCCCACCCAGGCGGAGGTAAGGATTTGATTATTTATGGGTCCCGGGTGCTGCAGGCCCCGCCCAGGCGGAGGTAAGGATTTGATTATTTATGGGTCCCGGGCGCTGCAGGCCCCACCCAGGCGGAGGTAAGGATTTGATTATTTATGGATCCCGGGTGCTGCAGGCCCCACCCAGGCGGAGGTAAGGATTTGATTATTTATGGGTCCCGGGTCCTGCAGGCCCCGCCCAGGCGGAGGTAAGGATTTGATTATTTATGGGTCCCGGGCGCTGCAGGCCCCACCCAGGCGGAGGTAAGGATTTGATTATTTATGGGTCCCGGGTCCTGCAGGCCCCGCCCAGGCGGAGGTAAGGATTTGATTATTTATGGGTCCCGGGTGCTGCAGGCCCCACCCAGGCGGAGGTAAGGATTTGATTATTTATGGGTCCCGGGTCCTGCAGGCCCCACCCAGGCGGAGGTAAGGATTTGATTATTTATGGGTCCCGGGTCCTGCAGGCCCCACCCAGGCGGAGCTAAGGATTTGATTATTTATGGGTCCCGGGCCCTGCAGGCCCCGCCCAGGCGGAGGTAAGGATTTGATTATTTATGGGTCCCGGGTCCTGCAGGCCCCACCCAGGCGGAGGTAAGGATTTGATTATTTATGGGTCCCGGGCGCTGCAGGCCCCACCCAGGCGGAGGTAAGGATTTGATTATTTATGGGTCCCGGGTGCTGCAGTCCCCGCCCAGGCGGAGGTAAGGATTTGATTATTTATGGGTCCCGGGTGCTGCAGGCCCCACCCAGGCGGAGGTAAGGATTTGATTATTTATGGGTCCCGGGTCCTGCAGGCCCCACCCAGGCGGAGGTAAGGATTTGATTATTTATGGGTCCCGGGTCCTGCAGGCCCCGCCCAGGCGGAGGTAAGGATTTGATTATTTATGGGTCCCGGGTCCTGCAGGCCCCGCCCAGGCGGAGGTAAGGATTTGATTATTTATGGATCCCGGGTCCTGCAGGCCCCGCCCAGGCGGAGGTAAGGATTTGATTATTTATGGGTCCCGGGTGCTGCAGTCCCCACCCAGGCGGAGGTAAGGATTTGATTATTTATGGGTCCCGGGTCCTGCAGGCCCCGCCCAGGCGGAGGTAAGGATTTGATTATTTATGGGTCCCGGGTGCTGCAGGCCCCGCCCAGGCGGAGGTAAGGATTTGATTATTTATGGGTCCCGGGTCCTGCAGGCCCCGCCCAGGCGGAGGTAAGGATTTGATTATTTATGGGTCCCGGGTCCTGCAGGCCCCACCCAGGCGGAGGTAAGGATTTGATTATTTATGGATCCCGGGTGCTGCAGGCCCCACCCAGGCGGAGGTAAGGATTTGATTATTTATGGGTCCCGGGCGCTGCAGGCCCCACCCAGGCGGAGGTAAGGATTTGATTATTTATGGGTCCCGGGTCCTGCAGGCCCCACCCAGGCGGAGCTAAGGATTTGATTATTTATGGGTCCCGGGTCCTGCAGGTCCCACGCAGGCGGAGGTAAGGATTTGATTATTTATGGGTCCCGGGTCCTGCAGGCCCCGCCCAGGCGGAGGTAAGGATTTGATTATTTATGGGTCCCGGGTGCTGCAGGCCCCACCCAGGCGGAGGTAAGGATTTGATTATTTATGGGTCCCGGGTGCTGCAGGCCCCACCCAGGCGGAGGTAAGGATTTGATTATTTATGGGTCCCGGGTGCTGCAGGCCCCGCCCAGGCGGAGGTAAGGATTTGATTATTTATGGGTCCCGGGTGCTGCAGGCCCCGCCCAGGCGGAGGTAAGGATTTGATTATTTATGGGTCCCGGGTCCTGCAGGCCCCACCCAGGCGGAGGTAAGGATTTGATTATTTATGGGTCCCGGGTGCTGCAGGCCCCGCCCAGGCGGAGGTAAGGATTTGATTATTTATGGGTCCCGGGTCCTGCAGGCCCCGCCCAGGCGGAGGTAAGGATTTGATTATTTATGGGTCCCGGGTGCTGCAGGCCCCACCCAGGCGGAGGTAAGGATTTGATTATTTATGGGTCCCGGGTCCTGCAGGTCCCACCCAGGCGGAGGTAAGGATTTGATTATTTATGGGTCCCGGGCCCTGCAGGCCCCACCCACACTGGGTGGTGAGGAATGCAGCAGAGAGGGACCCTGGGCCAGCACCTTTATTGGGTCCAAGGTATTATCCCACCCTGTTTCCGGCTCGCAGTTGTCACGGGTGGTTGAGAGCCAGCAGGGAGGGTCTCTGAGAGGTGGCACCGTGCGGGCGTCGCCGGGAACAGAGGCACAAAGCTGGGAGCCCCGGACCCGGGTTTCAACAGCATGGGGCAGCCGCACGGCTCACGGGGCCTCAGGCCGGGCCGTGACGGGCTCAGAGCACACCTGCGTGAGCCGAGACCGGAGGCTACGTGATCTCATTCTGCAGGTGCGATTCCCGAAGCTGCTCTGTTCCGAGCTGCCTTGTTTAAAACCGTCGCCGGGCCGGGCGTGGTGGCTCACGCCTGTCATCCGAACACTCTGGGAGGCCCAGACGCGTGGATTGCCTGAGCTGAGCTCTGGAGTTCGAGACCAGCCTGGGCAACATGGTGAAATCCCGTCTCTACTAAAAAAAAAAAAAAAAAAAAAAATAGCCGGGCGAGGTGGCGGGTGCCTGTAATCCCAGCTACTCCAGAGGCTGAGGCAGAGAATCGCTTGAAAAGGGGAGGCGGAGGTTGCAGTGAGCCGAGATCGCGCCCCTGCACTCCAGCTTGGTCTCCGTCTCAAAAAATAAAAAATAAAAGTAAAGTCATCAATTCTGTTTTCCCCTGTCCTTGCCGAGAAGCAAAATGACATGAAAAGGATAGAGAATTGTGTCTCCGAAGCTGAGTCTTACCCCTTTACCAGAGAAAAGACACAACTTTGGGAGGCCAAGGCGGGCGGATGGCCAACATGATGAAACCTTGTCTCTACCAAAAAAAAAAAAATACAAAATTTAGCTGGGCCTGGTGGCACGCGTCTGTAATCCCATCTACCGGGAAGGCTGAGATAATCGCGGCTCACTGCAACCTCCATCTCCCGGGTTCAAGCGATTCTCCTGCCTCAGCCTCCCAAGTAGCTGGGATTACAGGCACCCGCCACCACGCCCGGCTAATTTAGTAGAGACAGGGTTTCATCATGTTGGCCAGGCTGGTCTCAAACTCCCGACCTCAGGCAATCCGCCCACCTTGGCCTCCCAAAGTGCTGGGATGACAGGCGTGAGCCACCGCACCCGGCCAGAGATACTGATTTTTATGAGCAACACGTATAGGCTTCCTAAATCACACCGCTGGAAAAAGTATTCTCCACGTCTGTAGCTCCTCTCTCTGCTGGTTTGGGGGTTCAGGAAGCAGGGCGCGATTTTGCATTATAAGTATCGACTAAAGAATGGTAAGGCTGGCTGGGTGCAGCGGCTCACGCCTGTCATCCCAGCAGTTTGGGAGGCTGAGGCAGGTGGATCCGTGAGGTCGGGAGTTCAAGACCAGCCTGGCCAACATGGTGAAACCCCGTCTCTACTAAAAATACAAAAATTAGCCAGCCATAGTGGTGAATGCCTGTAATCCCAGCTACTGGGGAGGCTGAGGCGGGAGAATTGCGTGAACCCAGGAGGCAGAGGTTGCAGTGAGTCGAGGTTGTGCCACTGCACTCCAGCCTGGGCTGCAATAGTGAAACTCCATCTCAAAAAAAAAAAAAAAAAAGGACAGGTGCGGTGCCTCACGCCTGTCATCTCAGCACTTTGGGAGGCTGAGGCGGGCAGATCACTTCAGGTCAGGAGTTCGAGACCAAAAATATAAAAAATTAGCCGGGTGTGGTGATGCTCACCTGTAATCCTAGCTCCTTGAGAGGCTGAGGCAGGAGAATCACTTGAACCCGGAAGGCGGAAGTTGGAGTGAGCCAAGATCTAGCCATGGCACTCCAGCGTGGGGGACAGAACCAGACTCTGTTTCAAAAAAACAAACAAACAAACAAAAAACAAAACAAAAAAAGAATGGTGAGGCTGCAAAGGACAGCTTTGTTTCTCATAAGGGGTTAGGCGCAGGGGAGCTATTCCTACAGCCTGGGAAGCAGAGTCAGAAGCCAGAAGCAGACACCTCCAGAGAGGGGCAGAAGGAACAGGAATCAGCCGGGCGCGATGGCTCACGCCTGTCATCCCAGCACTTTGGGAGGCCGAGGCAGGTGGATCACGAGGTCAGGAGATCGACACCATCCTGGCTAACACGGTGAAACCCCGTCTCTACTAAAAATACAAAAAATTAGCCGGGCGTGGTGGCGGGCGCCTGTAGTCCCAGCTACTCGGGAGGCTGAGGCAGGAGAATGGCGTGAACCCGGGAGGCGGAGCTTGCAGTGAGTGGAGATCGTGCCATTGCACTCCAGCCTGGGGGACAGCAATAGACTCCGTCTCCAAAAAGAAAAGAAAAGAAAAAAAGAAAGAAGAAAGAGAGAGAGAGAGAGAGGGAGGGAGGGAGGGAAGGAAAAGAAAGAGAAAGAAAAAAGTGCCCGTTTCCTCTGGCACAAGGGTGCCCGTGCCACAGCTGAGCTGGAGAAGGAAGTCAGGGATGAGGAGTGGAGTCAGGTATGCGGCCCTCTCACCCCTGATGCCAGGCGCACCTGCCCACCTGGTCCCATGCTAATCATTCATACTCCAAGTCCCCACGCTTAAAATTGTAACACAGCCCTAAATGTCCCAAAATGTCCTCTGATCACACACAGCAGGAGAATCACTCGACTTTGCATAGAGTTGTCAAAACACATACAAATATATGCTACCACACACCGGTATTGAACGTTAAAATCGATTACCATTTTCCACTGATCAAGTCAACAGAGATTGAAAAACCAGCACTTTTGGGAGAGGCCGAGGCAGGCAGATCGCTTGAGCCCAGGAGTTCCAGACGAGCCTGAGCAACATGGCAAGACCCTGTCTCTACAAAAAATATAAAAATTAGCTGGGCGTAGTGGTGTGCACTTGTAGGACCAGCTACAGAGACCTCTTCCCTCCTCCTGTAGTCCCAGCTACTCAGGAGGCTGAGGAGGGAGGATCACTTGAGTCTAGGAGGTCGAGGCTGCACTCCAGCCTGGGGGACACAGTGAAATCCTGTGTCTACCAAAAAAGGTGAAAAGAGAAACTTCTGTCTACAATATTGATGGTTCCTGAAGTTGCCTCCCAACATATTTTAAGTTCGGCCTAAAGATTTCTCTGTACATAGTGAACTGTGACGTAACAGGAGGTGTCAACAGACCAGAACCTACTCTTGTGGCAATCACTGAATCTCAGCCAAAGGCAGCCAAATGTTCCAACCGGGTTCAAACAAGGTAAACGCCAACCCACACCCAATGCAGCTGTTTCTCTGCTTTCTGTGTGTCCTGTCCTTTTCTTTCTTTCTTTCTATCTTTCTTTCTTTCTTTTTCTTTCTTTCTTTCTTTTCTTTCTTTCCTTTCTTTCTTTCTTCTTTCTTTCTTTCTTTCTTTTCTTTCTTTCTTTTCTTTCTCTCTCTCTCTTTCTTTTTCTTTCTTTCTTCTTTCTTTCTTTCTTTTTTTTTGTGGAAACAGAGTCTCGCTCTGTCACCCAGGCTGGAGTGCAATGGCGCGATCTCGGGTCACTGCCAGCTCCGCCTCCCGGGTTCACGCCATTCTCTGCCTCAGCCTCCTGAGTAGCTGAGACTACAGGCACCAGCCATCATGCCCGGCTAATTTTTTGTATTTTTAGTAGAGACGGGGTTTCACTGTGTTAGCCAGGATGGTCTCGATCTCCTGACCTCGTGATCCACCCACCTAGGCCTCCCAAAGTGCTGGGATGACAGGCCTGAGCCACCGCGCCCGGCCCACTTTATTTTATTTTTTATTTTTATTTTTCAGACAGAATCTCGGTCTGTCACCCAGGCTGGAGTGCAATGGCGCGATCTCGGCTCACTGCAACCTTCACCTCCTGGGTTCAAGCGATTCTCCTGCCTCAGCCTCCCAAAGTGCTGAGATTACAGGCATGAGCCACCGCACCCAGCCTAAGACTTATTTTTCTTCCACATCCCCAAAACTACAGCGTCTGCAAATCCACACGGGCGTTCCCGACCGGACCTGGATTCCCCACTGTCCCCAACCCTGCCCCTTAGAGGCGGTTCAGACGCCGCCGACCTTGAAGCCAACGACAGACACCTGTTGTTTCCACGCAGGGAAGAAGCCACAGCTCAGGGTACAAGAAGCCTGTGCTGGCTCAGGTTGATCTTTTTTCTTTTATTTTTGAGACAGAGTCTCACTCTGTCTCCCAGGCTGGAGTGCAGTGGCACGATCTTGGCTCACTGCAACCTCCGCCTTCCAGGTTCAAGTGATTCTCCTGCCTCAGCCTCCCAAGTGAGTACCTGGGATTACAGGTGCCCGCCACCACACCCGGCTAATTTTTTGTATTTTTAGCAGAGACTGTTTTTCACCATGTTGGCCAGGCTGGTCTCGAACTCCTGACCTCATGTGATCCACCTGCCTCGGCCTCCCAAAGTGCTGGGATTACAGGCGTGAGCCACCGCGTCCGGCCCCTGATTCAGTTTTTGACCACAGCTGGTTTCCTCTTTTATTTCAGGTATACAGGCCATATACACTGATTGTTGTAAAATATATTCCATCTTACTCTTCTTCATATACACATATATATATTTCATTTCCTTTTTTGAGACACTCCAGCCTGGGTGAAAGAGCGAGACTCCATCTCAAAAATAAATAAATAAATAAATAAATAAATAAATAAATAAAATAAAAAATAAAACTCCGCGGCCGGGCGCGGTGGCTCACGCCTGTCATCCCAGCACTTTGGGAGGCCGAGGCGGGTGGATCACGAGGTCAGAGGATGGAGACCATCCTGGCTAACATGGTGAAACCTCGTCTCTACTAAAAATACAAAAAATCAGCCGGGTGTGGTGGCGGGCGCCTGTAGTCCCAGCTACTCGGGAGGCTGAGGCAGAATTACTTGAACCCGGGAGGTGGAGGTTGTGGTGAGCCGAGATCACGCCACTGCACTCCAGCCTGGGTGACAGACCTAGAGAGAGAGATTATCTCAAAAAAAAAAAAAAAAAAAGATCCTGCCAAGCTTGTGACTACTAAATGCCACTGCAGTGCACACTTTGAAATGGGTAAGTTGACATTATATAATTTCACATTGAATGATTAAAAACAAAAATGCAAATTGTATGTAAAATTCAATGATTAATTAAATTGCAAATTGAATGATTACAAATAAGTATTGACTATGAATAGGTTACCTTTTCTGAAGAATAGGAGAGGTTAAAAAAGACATTTTTTCCTTTTTTACTTTATAAACATCTTTACAGTTGAATTTTTATTTTTATTTATTTATAATTATTATTTTTTGTAGAGACAGGACCTGGCTATGTTGCCCCGGCTGGTCTCTAAATCTGGGGCTCAAGCGATCCCCCAACCTCAGCCTCCCAAGGTGCTGGGATTACAGGCGTGAGCCACTTCACCGGCCTGTTTGCATTTTAAAAATAAGCTTGCATCACTTTTTAGATAAAAATTAACTACAGATAACCTCAACTGACCCTAGCAGGAACTGGAGTCTCTGCTCCTCCTCTGAGGCCCTCAGCTCCCCGTGGGTGGGGGCTCTCTAGGCAGCCCCCAGGAACAGGTGGGCCTCCTTGGTAACCCCCAGAGACCCCCAACCCTGGCATCCTGCAGGGTGGCCGGGCAGGGAGGGAGCTAGGGAGCTGGGCAAGGCGGGTCCCACAGGAAAGGGCTCTACTCCCTGAGATTGAAACCATTTTTGCAAAAACAATTTTTCTTTCTTTTTTTTTTTTTTAAGACAGAGTCTCGCTCTGTCACCCAGGCTGCAGGGCAGTGGCGCGATCTCGGCTCACTGCAACCTTCGCCTCCCATGTTCGAGCCATTCACCTGTCTCAAGCTCCTGGGTAGCTGGGACCACAGGCACCCACCACCATACTCGGCTAGTTTTCGTATTTTTATTAGAGACGGGGTTTTACCACATTGGCCAGGCTGGTCTCAAACCCCTGACGCTGTGATCCTCCCACCTCAGCCTCCCAGAGTGGTGGGATTACAGGCATGAGCCACCGCGCCCGGCCTGATAAAATTGTAAGTGAGAACATTAGGGCAGTGAAGGAGAGCTAACCTCACTGAGTCCGTCTTGCTTCGAACTTCCACGCTGTCTGCAAGCTGTCTCCAAGCTGTCTCCAAGCTGTCCTTCTTCACTCATGGGTGTCACCCACACTATCTTTGGGAGGAACTTAGTTTATAGTTTAGCTTTGACACGAAGATGATAATAGCCCTTTCCCAGTGCAAACCTCCTTCTTGCCTGGGGACTAGGCCGTGTTTACAGGACTAAGAGATTATCCCCTGGATTAGAAATGATGGTTTAGGACTCTGGCCTCTGGAGGCTGCAAGTTTCTGACCCTCCTCAAATTGCTCCTGCTCACATCGCTTTTGTGAAACCTACAATCAGTGCTGAGATATGTCACAGACCCTTCACTGGACGGATCAGCTGGCACCACCCAGATGATCAACCGGCTAATCTGGTCTGCGGCCCCCACCCAGGAACTGACTCAGCGCCAGACGACAGCTTCGACTCCCTGTGATTCCATCTCTGACCCAACCAATCAGCACTCCCCACTTTCTGACCTCCTACCCAGCAAATTATCCTGAAAAACTCCAGTCCCAGGGTCTCTGGGGAGACGGATTTGAGGAATAAGGAAACTCCGGCCTCCCACGCAGCCGGCTGGGATTGCAGCTTTGTGGTAGTGATAAATCACTCTGTCCACGCAGCCGGCGAGGTGAGCCCCTTGGGCGGTGACAGGAAGACCAAGGAGGATAAAGAAAAGCCAGCTCCTGGGGGCGCGAGGTCACAGCCGTGGCTCGGACGGGAACCCCAAGGTCAAAGGATAGCAGGGGCAGGAGGTGCCGGCCTTGGAAGGCAGCGGCAGATTCCACAGAAGCCTCTGGAGTCCTCGTCCCAGGCAGACGCCGTGCACCGCCTGGAGGTGGTGGGAAGAGCGCACACAGCTTGCAAAGGCCGGGGTACGTCGCCAGAGGGGCACAGGCGCAAGGGGGCCTGGCTGGCCCAGAAGAGGGGTCCCCGGAACCCCAGGTCCATGTCAGGGCCGGAGCCTGCCCAGATCCATTTTCCCTGCTGATTCCCAAGGTGCTCTGTGCCCCCAGAGAACTGCTTTGAAACCCACATACCTCACGGTGGGGCCCACCCCAAAAGCCCATCCCTGGGCTTCATGAGGTGTGGTTTGAGACCCTATATTTTTTTCTGTTTTGAGACGGAGTTTCGCTCTTGTTGCCCGGGCTGGAGTGCAATGGTGCCATCTCGGCTCACTGCAAGCTCCGCCTCCCGGGTTCAAGCGATTCTCCTGCCTCAGCCTCCGGAGTAGCTGGGATGACGGGCACCCGCCACCATGTCTGGCTAATTTCTTTTATTTTTAGTAGAGACGGCGTTTCACCATCTTGGCCAGGCTGGTCTTGAACTCCTGACCTCGTGATCCACCTGCCTCAGCCTCCCAAAGTGCTGGGATTGCAGGCTTCATTTTTTTTTTTTTTTTTTTTTTTTTGAGATGGAGTCTCGCTCTGTCGCCCAGGCTGGAGTGCAGTGGCGTGATCTCGGCTCACCACAACCTCCACCTCCTGGGTTCAAGCAATTATTTATCTGCCTCAGCCTCCCGAGTAGCTGGGACTACAGGCACCCGCCACCACACCCGGCTAATTTTTTGTATTTTTAGTAGAGACGGGGTTTCACCAGGTTAGTCAGGATGGTCTCGACCTCCTGACCTCGTGATCCGCCTGCCTTGGCCTCCCAAAGTGCTGGGATTACAGGCGTGAGCCACTGCGCCCCGCTATTGTTCTAAGCCTAAAGGGGGAAGGCCTTGTGAGCTGTGCTTCGTACTGGTTTTTTTTTCACATTACACCAGGTTCAAGCAATTCTCCTGCCTCAGCCAGGCTGGTCTCAAACTCCTGACCTCATGATCCGCCCACCTCGGTCTCCCAAAGTGCTCGGATTACAGGTGTGAGCCACCGCGCCCGGCCACAGTTAACCATTTTCACCGTGCCCGGCCAGAATTAACTATTCTAATGGGTCCATTCACTAGCATTTAGCACCTGTTTCCGCAGGGGCCGGGTCTGTGCAAACCACACCCCGGAGGTCGAGGAAGCTGAGAGCTGAAGGAAGAAGCTGACTAATCCAGATTCTCCGAAAGAAATACTTAGCAGAGATGTAAGAACAGAAGCCGTGTCTGCGAGGAGAGTGGATCCCGGTCGTCCCTGCAGACCCAGGGCTTCACCCCAGGGAGGAATATGCAGGAAAACGTTGGTGGGAGGGAGGGGGGCCCTCACGGTCAGGGAAGGTGCCTCAGGGACAGCCACGTGCACCTGCCCCAGGGCAGGGTTTATGGTCCAGGCTATTGAGGTCACATTGGAGAAAGTAGCAAAATCATCTTAGAGACCTTCCCAGAGCAGCGGTTGGTCAGAAGTGAACAGGTGGATCAGCATTCCAGATGGAGTTGCTCTCTCTTCCACAAACACTCACTGTCAGATGCAACCCCCACTCTCTCTAGCTACCCCCCCCAGCTACCCCCACTGTCTCTAGCTCCCCCCACTGTCTCTAGCTACCCCACCTCTCTCTAGCTATCCCCCCCTCTAGCTACCCCCACTGTCTCTAGCTCCCCCCACTGTCTCTAGCTACCCCCGCCTCTCTCTAGCTATCCCCCTCTCTAACTACTCCCCACCTCTCTCTAGCTATCCCCCTCTCTAGCTACCCCACCTCTCTCTAGCTATCCCCCTCTCTAGCTACCCCACCTCTCTCTAGCTACCCCCACCTCTCTCTAGCTACCCCCCCCAGCTACCCCCACTCTCTCTAGCTACCCCACCTCTCTCTAGCTATCCCCCTCTCTAGCTACCCCACCTCTCTCTAGCTACCCCCACCTCTCTCTAGCTACCCCCCCCAGCTACCCCCACTCTCTCTAGCTACCCCACCTCTCTCTAGCTATCCCCCTCTCTAGCTACCCCACCTCTCTCTAGCTATCCCCCTCTCTAGCTACCCCACCTCTCTCTAGCTATCCCCCTCTCTAGCTACCCCACCTCTCTCTAGCTATCCCCCTCTCTAGCTACCCCACCTCTCTCTAGCTACCCCCCCCTCTCTAGCTATCCCCACTCTCTCTAGCTATCCCCCTCTCTAGCTACCCCCACTGTCTCTAGCTACACCCCCTCTAGCTACCCCCACTGTCTCTAGCTCCCCCCACTCTCTCTAGCTACCCCACCTCTCTCTAGCTATCCCCCTCTCTAGCTACCCCCACTCTCTAGCTACCCCACCTCTCTGTAGCTACCCCACCTCTCTCTAGCTACCCCCCTCTCTTTAGCTCCAGCACATTCTCATGACTCCACAAGGAGACCATGTGTCAGAACCCCGTTCCTTTTCATGGCTGCATACTATTCCACTCTGTGGACAGAGCACATTTTGTGTGTCCCTTCCTCTCATGACGGCCTGTGCTCTCTCCTGAATGCACCATGCATGCAGGTGACGTGTGTGCAAAGCCATTGCCTGGCAGGTCCCAGAGACCCTCTGCTGGCTCCCAAGCAGGTCCCCTCCCACCTCACGGGTGACCACGCTGAGGTTCAGGACAGATGAGGCAGGTTGCTGAGATGAGGGGCAAGCCCAGCCCTGTGGGGGCCCAGCTGGGTGCCCGGGTGGCTCACGTCACCAGAGGGGCCTCCTGCTGCACCTTTGAGCCAATGGCACTGAGCATGGGGTGGGTCTCTATGAGCTGGTTCACACAGACACCCCCACACCCACCCCATGGATGTGGGAGCCTCCACCATTTCCCCTAGGGGTTCGCAGCCTCTCCCCAACTAGAGACCCCCTCCCTGGGAGTCCCTCAAGGGCTCCCCACCCCCATACCCATACACCATTGCAGTGTTGGCAGCTGGAAGCCCCCCAGGGGCCCTTAGGGACCTGAGGACAGGAATGGAGGGAGGAAGCTTCCCTGTGTGTGGTTCCTGTTTGCTCTGTGAGGTGAGGTGTGGACACCCACAGTCAGCAGGTCAGAGGGACCTGCAAGGTCAGGCAGCGTCTCCCAGGCTGGCCAGGGGCCAGGGTTAGGGTTGGAAGACCGGGATGGTCTGTGGAATCCCCATGCTCACCCCCCACCGCCGATTACCCTGGGAGGGCAGTGGCCACAGTCAGGTCCCAGCAGCAGAGCCCAGCTCTGGGGGTGGATGCAGGGGGTGCTGCAGGGGCCGGCTGTACCATCCCAGGCGGTCTTGGGGGGTCACGATGTCCCCAACACGGTGGGAGGGAGGCAGAGGCCCCCCTCAAACTCCTGACCTCAGGTGATCCAACCGCCTCAGCCTCCCAAAGCGCCGGGATCACAGGCATGAGCCACCGTGCCCGGCCACTTTCCGCTTATTTTTACAGCACTGATTTTGCAGAAGTCTTTTGCTTTAGGGCCCTGGCCCCGGCCCCTATGCCACCTCGCACCCCTCCACCCCTCTCTGCCCGGATCCTGGCCTCCCCGTACTCATCCAGGCTGCCCTCAGCCTTCCCATGCAGTCCTGGACAATACAAGGAGCTCCGTCCACACTGGCTCCGGCACGTGGAGAGGGAAACCTGGCTCCTCGGCTCAAGGAAAGTACTTTTTTTTTTTTTGAGATGGAGTTTCACTCTTGTCGCCCAGGCTGGAGCGATCTCGGCTCACTGCAACCTCCACCTCCCCGGTTCAAGCGATTCTCCTGCCTCAGCCTCCCGAGTAGCGGGAATTACAGGTGCCCGCCACCACGCCCAGCTAATTTTTGTATTTTTAGTACAGATGGGGTTTTGCCAAGTTGGCCAGGATGGTCTCAAACTCCTGAACTCAGGTGATCCACCCGCCTCTGCCTCCCAAAGTGCTGGGATTACGGGCGTGAGCCACCGCGCCCAGCCAAGCAAAGTATTTTTTAAAGCTCTGTCTTGTGGTAAATCTCACAGCAGGTGAAAGCATCTCGATTCATAGAATAACCTGGGCGTTGGCCTCACAGTTGCAGCAGCAACCAGCCGGGCCTCCCGTCGCAACTCCATCCGAGCTCCCAGACTCCCCACCCTCCTGTCCACCCTGCCTGGCTTGAGACAGGTGGATCACCTGAGGTCAGGAGTTCAAGAGCAGCCTGGCCAACACGGTGAAACCTCATCTCTACTAAAAATATAAAAATTAGCCGGGCGTGGTGGCTCACACCTATAATCCCAGCACTTTGGGAGGCTGAGGCGGGCGGATCGGGAGGTCAGGAGTTCGAGACCAGCCTGGCCAACATGGCAAAACCCTAAAAGAACAAAAATTAGCCGGGCGTGGTGGCGGGCGCCTGTGGTTCCAGCTACTTGGGAGGCTGAGGCAGGAGAATCGCTAGAACCCGGGAGGCGGAGGTTGCAGTGAGCTGAGTTTGTGCCACTGGACTCCAGCCTGGGTGACAGAGCAACACTCCGTCTCAAAAAAAAAAACACAAAGTGCTAATTATATATATATTTACCACAATTTGGAAACATTGTTCGCCGGGCGCAGTGGCTCACGCCTGTCATCCCAGCACTTTGGGAGGCCGAGGCGGGCGGATCATGAGTTCAGGAGATTGAGACCATCCTGGTTAACACAGTGAAACCCCGTCTCTACTAAAAATACAAAAAATTAGCCAGGCGTGGTGGCGGGCGCCTGTAGTCCGAGCTACTCGGGAGGCTGAGGCAGGAGAACGGCGTGAGCCCGGGAGGCGGAGCTTGCAGTGAGCTGAGATCACACCACTGCACTCCAGCCTGGGCGACAGAGCGAGACTCCGTCTCAAAAAAAATAAAATGCTCATTATATACATATTTACGCCAATTAGAAAACCTTGTTCATCCTATCAGTCACTTCTGGGCGGGGAGTTAGAATTCCGCAGAGACGCCTTCTGTCTCGCACAGATGACTTCTGGGAGGGCCGGTGAGCTTACGGGGCCATGAGGTGTGTAAGGGGGATCTGCACAGCCCCAGGCAGGACTTATGCCACACAGAGGCCCAGTGCTTGGTCCCTCGGCTGTGACTGACGTCCCCACGGCAGCCACAACCGAGCTGACTTTGAAGAACGGCTGCCTTTATTGCCCGCTGTGAACCCGACGCTGCTGCGGGAATGAGCGTGCGGGGGGCCGCTGACGCCGGCCCAGCACCCCCGCACGGAGGCCAACGCACGAAGCTGCCCTGGGAGCGGCTCTCGGCTCAGCCAGTGAAGGGGTAAACGGGGGCCTCCTCTCACCCCAAAGCCCGTGACCCCTGGATGGAGCCGGGATGCTGCGATCAGTTCCAAGGCTGTGGCCGAAACACCGTGTTACCGGCAGAGTAAGGCCAGAACAATGCTGGAGGCTTTAAAACCCACACGTTAAAAACACAATTTTTGTTTGTTTGTTTGTTTTGAGACGGAGTCTCGCTCTGTCGCCCAGGCTGGAGTGCAGTGGCACGATCTCGGCTCACTGCAACCTCCGCCTCCCAGGTTCATGCCATTCTCCTGCCTCAGACTCCCGAGTAGCTGGGACTACAGGCAGGTGCCACCACGCCCAGATAATTTTTTTTTTGTATTTTTTAGTAGAGACGGGGTTTCACCAGGTTAGCCAGGATGGTCTCGATCTCCTGACCTCATGATCCTCCTGCCTCGGCCTCCCAAAGTGCTGAGATGACAGGCATGAGCCACTGGGCCCGGCCTAAAAACACAATTTCTATCTAACACCCGGGGGCATAAAACCTTTGAAACTGGCCGGGCGCAGCGGCTCGCACCTGTCATCCCAGCACTTTGGGAGGCCGAGGCCGGCGGATCACCTGAGGTCGGGAGTTCGAGACCAGTCTGACCAACATGGTGAAACCCCGTCTCTACTAAAAATACAAAATTAGCCGGGTGTGGTGGTGCCTCCCTGTAATCCCAGCTACTCAGGCGGCTGAGGTGAGAGAATCACTTGAACCCAGGAGGCGGAGGTTGCAGTGAGCCGAGATCACGCCACTGCACTGCAGCCCAGGCAACAGGAGCGAAACTCCATCTCAAAAAAAAAAAGTTTGGAAACGTTTGTTTTCTAGGAAACAGAAACAATAACCTCCGTCTGTCTGCAGACATCGCCCACCCTGCCCGAGCTTCCCACCGAGGTTAAAGATGAGCTCTCGCCCGCGGCCCCAGGAGGGACTCTCGGCAGAAAACCCTTACGGAACCTTGAAGATGTGTCCAGCCCGGGGCTCCCGTAACAAGTGCTCCGGACTCAGGCGGTCCGCCGCGGAGGTCACGTAGAGGTTGTCGTAGCCGGGTCCCCGAAGCAGCAGGAGGTGACCCTGTACACAGGCAGCTCCACCGTGCACAGCACCTTCCCTGTGAGCGAGCGTGGGGGCTGAGCCTGAGCACCCCAGGCCGCCTGCCTGGCCGTTCCTCCTGACCCTGGGCCCAACCCCCGGGCAGCATGGGTGTCTCTGTGGCACCTGGAGCTGCCAGATTGGCACCTGCCTAGCCAGGCCCAGCCGCACCTGCTCTAGTGAGCTCTGTAGTCTCCCCAGATTCATGCCAAGTAGGATCTCAGAATGGGAAATTATTTGGAAATAGGGTGTTTGCAGAGGTAATTAGTAGGTCAGAGCAGGTTAGGGTGGGTCCTACATCCAATCACCAGTGTCCTTCTAAGAGACAGAAGAGCAGACACAGACACAGAGGAGGAGGCCACGTGGAGACGGAGGCAGAGACTGGAGTGATGCGGCCTCAAGCCCAGGGATGCCTGGAGCCCCCAGGAGCTGGGAGAGGCAGGAAGGACCCTCCCCTAGAGTCTCAATACAATTGAAGTGGATTGAACTGTGGTTCCCAAAAAGATCTGTCTACACCCTAATATCCACAACCTAGGAATGAGACCTTGTATAGAAATAGGGTGTTTCAAGATCTAGTTAGTGAAGGATCTTGAGATGAGATCATCCTGGAGTAGGGTGGATCCTAAATGCAATGACAGGTGTCCTTCTAGAGACAGAAGAGGAGACACAGACACAGTGGATGAGGCCTCGTGGAGACGGAGGCAGAGACTGGAGTGATGCGGCCACAAGCCCAGGGACGCCTGGAGCCCCCAGGAGCCGGGAGAGGCAGGAAGGACCCTCCACTACAGCTCCTGGAGGGAGTACGGCCCTGAAACTCCTCGGTCTCAGACTCCTGCTCTGCAGGACTGGGGGAGGTGACTTCCTGTTTCTTAGGCAGCCAGTCCTTGGTTGCGGCAGCCCCAGGACCTAGCACACCTGCAGAGGGAACCTGGGAGTCCGTGCCGTCGGGAAACGGAGGCCCCTTAGTCTCTACAAATTCGCGATTGCTGCCCGGCCCCGACTTCTGAAGCCAGAACGCTGCAGACGCAGTGGACACCCGATGTGGCCAAGCCTCATACGGCCCCGCCATCCGGCACACACCT
This sequence comes from Homo sapiens, assembly GCF_000001405.40. Taxonomy (NCBI): domain Eukaryota; kingdom Metazoa; phylum Chordata; class Mammalia; order Primates; family Hominidae; genus Homo; species Homo sapiens. The sequence continues at coordinate 253,874 of NC_000024.10, read as the reverse complement.
GTCTCGGGGTCAAGGCGTATCACCTTGCCTCTATCGACGCAGAGGCCACCCAGAGCTTCCCCGCAGCGTCCACGCACACGCCGGCCGGCATGCCCTGCTCCGGATGCAGCCGGTACAGGAGCCTCCGGTTCACTGCAATGAGAGGACCGGGATGGGCAGGGGCCTTCCCAGCCCTGGTGAGTGCCCTGCTGAGTGCCAGGAGCAGGCAGACCTCAGGCAGGCCCGTGACCCTCCTGGATGTGAGTGGAGCCTGGAGGAGGTGCACCTAGCTCGTTGGGAGCCTTGGACGTGGCTGGATCCTGATGCGTACAGACCCCGTTTGGCGAACAGCTGTAGGCTGAAAATTAATGTCCCCAAATACAGCTGACCAGGGCACACACCTCCTCAAACGCCGGCCCAAGGACATCACCCTTTAAACAGCATCCAATCTCTCTCCTAGTTCCCACCGAGGATTATGAACGAAGCCTTGATGTACACCTGTTGACTTTGTGGAAGATGGGAGACTTCTCTCCCAACCCGAAGCACTTCCAGCCCAGAAACCCCAGTGACACCTGGTCGAAGGCCTTGTACCTTGGCCTTTCTTTCCTCAGGTGGAAATGAGAAGAAAGAACATGGCCCCAAGGACAGACACCAGATAACTGGGGACTTGGCTGTCCACCAGCTGGGAACTGAGAGTTATGCCTGCTCCAGTGGCCCATCCTGCTAGAAAAAAGATGTCTTTACCAGGAAAACGGGATGTGGCAGTCCTCACCCACCCACAGGATGACCTGGTCCCCACCAACATCCAGGGATAACCTTGAACCCATCGACATCCAGGGATAACCTTGTCCCAGTCAACATCCAGGGATGACTTTGTCCCCACCCACATGTGGAGGTGACCTCGTCCCCATCAACATTCACCAAACATGCAGAGATCACCTTGTCCCCACCAACGTCCGGGGATAATCTTGTCCTCATCAACATACAGGACTGACCTTGTCCCGATAAGCACCCAGGGATGACCTTGTCCCCACTAACAAGCAGAGATAACCTTGTCCCAATCAACATCCAGGATGACCTTGTCCCCACTGACATGCAGAGATCACCTTATCCCCACCAACATCCAGGGATAACCTTGAGTCAATCAACATCCAGGATGACCTCATCCCCACCCACATGCAGAGATCACCTTGTTCCCACCAACATCCGGGGATAACCTTGAATCAATCAACAACCTTGAACCAATCAACATCCAGGATGACCTTGTCCCTATCAACATCCAGGACGACCTTGTCCCCACCCACATGCAGAGATCACCTTGTCCCCACCAACATCCAGGGATAACCTTGTCCCAATCAACATCCAGGATGACCTTGTCCACCACCCACATGCGGAGATGACCTCGTCCCCATCAACATTCACCAAACATGTAGAGATCACCTTGTCCCCACCAACATCCAAGGTTAACCTTGAACCAATCAACATCAGGATGACCTTGTCCCCACCCACATGCAGAGATGACCTCGTCCCCATCAACATTCACCAAACATGCAGAGATCCCCTTGCTCTCGCCAACGTCCGGGGATAATCTTGTCCCCATCAACATCCAGAATGACCTTGTCTTCACCAACATCCGGGACTGACCTTGTCCTGATAAGCACCCAGGGATGAACTTGTCCCCACTAACAAGCAGAGATGACCTTGTCCCAATCAACATCCAGGATGACTTCGTCCCCATCGATATGCACAGATTCTAGGGAAAAGAAAGAGAGATCAGACTGTCACTGTGTCTATGTAGAAAGGAAAGACATAAGAGACTCCATTTTGAAAAAGACCTGTCCTTTAAACAATTGCTTTGCTGAGATGTTGTTAATTTGTAGCTTTGCCCCAGCCACTTTGCCCCAACCTGGAGCTCACAAAAACATGTGTTGTATGAAATCAAGGTTTAAGGGATCCAGGGCGGTGCAGGACGTGCCTTGTTAACAAGATGTTCACGAGCGGTATACTTGGTAAAAGTCATCGCCATCCTCTAGTCTCAATAAACCAGGGGCACAGTGCCCTGCGGAAAGCCGCAGGGACCTCTGCTCTTGAAAGCCGGGTATTGTCCAAGGTTTCTCCCCATGTGATAGTCTGAAATATGGCCTCGTGGGAAGGGAAAGAGCTGACCATCCCCCAGCTCAACACCCATAAAGGGTCTGTGCTGAGGAGGATTAGTAAAAGAGGAAGGCCTCTTTGCAGTTGAGATAAGAGGAAGGCATCTGTCTCCTGCTCGTCCCTGGACAATAGAATGTCTCGGTGTAAACCGATTGTATATTCCATCTACTGAGATAGGGTAAAACTGCCTTATGGCTGGAGGTGGGACATGCTGGCGGCAACACTGCTCTTTAAGGCGTTGAGATGTTTATGTATGTGCACATCAAAGCACAGCACTTTTTTCTGTACCTTGTTTATGATGCAGAGACATTTGTTCACGTTTTCCTGCTGACCCTCTCTCCACTATTACCCTATTGTCCTGCCACATCCCCCTCTCCCCGATAATGATCAATAAGTACTAAGGGAACTCAGAGGCAGGTGCCGGCGCGGGTCCTCTGTATGCTGAGCGCCGGTCCCCTGGGCCCATTTTTCTTTCTCTCTACTTTATCTCTGTGTCTCTTTCTTTTTTCAAGTCTCTCGTTCCTCCTGATGAGAAATGCCCACAGGTGTGGAGGGGCAGGCCACCCCTTCAAGGATGCACATGGAAGGATGCACAGAGGAGGATGCACATGGGAGGATGCACATGAGTTGTACAGAATGGATGAGTCCCTACACACAGGAGACTCCTTCCTGTCACAACCTGAGACCCGCTCTTCCTGTCACGGCCCGAGACACCCTCTTCCTGTCACGGCCCGAGACCCCCTCTTCCTGTCACGGCCCGAGACCCCCTCTTCCTGTCACGGCCCGAGACTCCCTCTTCCTGTCACGGCCCGAGACTCCCTCTTCCTGTCACAACCTGAGACCCGCTCTTCCTGTCACGGCCCGAGACCCGCTCTTCCTGTCACGGCCCGAGACTCCCTCTTCCTGTCACGGCCCGAGATCCCCTCTTCCTGTCACGGCCCGAGACTCCCTCTTCCTGTCACGGCCGGAGACCCCCTCTTCCTGTCACGGCCCGAGACCCCCTCTTCCTGTCACGGCCCGAGACCCCCTCTTCCTGTCACGGCCCGAGACCCCCTCTTCCTGTCACGGCCCGAGACCCCCTCTTCCTGTCACGGCCCGAGACCCCCTCTTCCTGTCACGGCCCGAGACTCCCTCTTCCTGTCACGGCCCGAGATCCCCTCTTCCTGTCACGGCCCGAGACCCCCTCTTCCTGTCACGGCCGGAGACCCCCTCTTCCTGTCACGGCCCGAGACCCCCTCTTCCTGTCACGGCCCGAGACCCCCTCTTCCTGTCACGGCCCGAGACTCCCTCTTCCTGTCACGGCCCGAGACTCCCTCTTCCTGTCACAACCTGAGACCCGCTCTTCCTGTCACGGCCCGAGACCCGCTCTTCCTGTCACGGCCCGAGACTCCCTCTTCCTGTCACGGCCCGAGATCCCCTCTTCCTGTCACGGCCCGAGACTCCCTCTTCCTGTCACGGCCGGAGACCCCCTCTTCCTGTCACGGCCCGAGACCCCCTCTTCCTGTCACGGCCCGAGACCCCCTCTTCCTGTCACGGCCCGAGACCCCCTCTTCCTGTCACGGCCCGAGACCCCCTCTTCCTGTCACGGCCCGAGACCCCCTCTTCCTGTCACGGCCCGAGACTCCCTCTTCCTGTCACGGCCCGAGATCCCCTCTTCCTGTCACGGCCCGAGACCCCCTCTTCCTGTCACGGCCGGAGACCCCCTCTTCCTGTCACGGCCCGAGACCCCCTCTTCCTGTCACGGCCCGAGACTCCCTCTTCCTGTCACGGCCCGAGACCCCCTCTTCCTGTCACGGCCCGAGACCCCCTCTTCCTGTCACGGCCCGAGACCCCCTCTTCCTGTCACGGCCCGAGACTCCCTCTTCCTGTCACGGCCCGAGACTCCCTCTTCCGGTCACGGCCCGAGATCCCCTCTTCCTGTCATGGCCTGAGTTGTTTTTCAGGTTTCTTTGGGATCCCCTTGGCTACAAACAGGTCCACTCAGTCAGCTGAGGGGCTTAGAATTCTATTTTTGGTTTACCCCACTATCAGGAGGTTGTCTGAGATAAGCCAGCCCCTCCCACCCTTGCAGGCACAGTGTGCAAGCATAAGATCTCGTGCTGGCCGCCATTCAGGTGGCAGCCACAGGGATGGTCCAGACGTGGCTCTCCAACCGTCCTTAGACCACACAAAGCTTTAGGATTTCTGGGGTCCCAATGCAGACTCTAAAGGTTGCATAGTCTGGTCTCTATCTGCCCTCAATGAGACCTAGGCCCAGTGCAGACTCTAAAGGTTGCATAGTCTGGTCCCTATCTGCCCTCAATGAGACCTAGGCCCAGTGCAGACTCGAAAGGTTGCACAGTCTGCTCTCTATCTGTCCTCAATGAGACTTAGGCACAATGCAGACTCTAAACGTTGCACAGTCTGCTCTCTATCTGCCCTCAATGAGACCTAGGCCCAATGCATACTCTAAAGGTTGCACAGTCTGCTCTCTATCTGCCCTCAATGAGACCTAGGCCCAATGCAGACTCTAAAGGTTGCATAGTCTGGTCTCTATCTGCCCTCAATGAGACCTAGGCCCAATGAAGACTCTAAAGGTTGCGCAGTCTGCTCTCTATCTGTCCTCAATGAGACCTAGGCCCAGTGCAGACTATAAAGGTTGCACAGTCTGGTCTCTATCTGTCCTCAATGAGACCTAGGCCCAATGCAGACTCTAAAGGTTGCACAGTCTGCTCTCTATCTGTCCTCAATGAGACCTAGGCCAAGTGCAGACTCTAAAGCTTGCACAGTCTGCTCTCTATCTGACCTCAATGAGACCTAGGCCCAATGCAGACTATAAAGGTTCTACAGTCTGCTCTCTATCTGTCCTCAATGAGACCTAGGCCCAATGCAGACTCTAAAGGTTGCACACTCTGGTCTCTATCTGTCCTCAATGAGACCTAGGCCCAGTGCAGACTGTAAAGTTTGCATAGTCTGCTCTCTATCTGTCCTCAATGAGACCTAGGTCCAATGCAGACTCTAAAGGTTGCACAGTCTGCTCTCTATCTGTCCTCGATGAGACCTAGGCCTAGTGCAGACTCTAAAGGTTGCACAGTCTGCTCTCTATCTGCTCTCAATGAGACCTAGGCCCAATGCAGACTCTAAAGGTTGCACAGTCTGCTCTCTATCTGTCCTCAATGAGACCTAGGCCCAATGCAGACTCTAAAGGTTGCACAGTCTGCTCTCTATTTGTCCTCAATGAGACCCAGGCCCAATGCAGACTCTAAAGGTTGCACAGTCTGCTCTCTATCGGTCCTCAATGAGACCGAGGCCCTATGCAGACTCTAAAGGTTACACAGTGTGCTCTCTATCAGTCCTCAGTGAGACCTAGACCCAATGGAGACTCTAAAGTTTGCAAAGTCTGCTCTCTATCTCTCCTCAGTGAGACCTAGACCCAATGCAGACTCTAAAGGTTGCACAGTATGGTCTCTATCTGCCCTCAATGAGACCTAGGCTCAGTGCAGACTTTAAAGTTTGCACAGTCTGCTCTGTATCTGTCCTCAATGAGACCTAGGCCCAATGCAGACTCTAAAGGTTGCACAGTCTGCCCTCTATCTGTCCTCAATGAGACCTAGGCCCAATGCAGACTCTAAAGTTTTAACAGTCTGGTCTCTATCTATCCTCAATGAGACCTAGGCCCAATGCCGAATCTAGAGGTTGCACAGTGTGCTCTCTGTCTGCTCTCAATGAGACCTAGACCCAATGCAGACTCTAAAGGTTGCACAGTCTGCTCTCTAACTGCCCTCAATGAGACCTAAGCCCAATGCAGACTCTAAAGGTTGCACAGTCTGGTCGCTATCTGTCCTCAATGAGACCCAGACCCAATGCAGACTCTAAAGGTTGCACAGTCTGCTCTATATCTGTCCTCAATGAGACCTAGGAAAAGTGCCGACTCTAATGGTTGCCTAGTCTGCTCTTTATCTGTCCTCAATGAGACCTAGGCCCAATGCAGACTCTAAAGGTTGCACAGTCCGGTCTCTATCTGTCCTCAATGAGACCTAGGCCCAATGCCGACTCTAAAGTTTGCACAGTGTGCTCTCTATCTGCTCTCAATGAGACCTAGGCCCAATGCAGACTCTACAGGTAGCACAGTCTGCTCTCTAACTGCCCTCAATGACACCTAGGCCCAATGCAGACTCTAAACGTTGCATAGTCTGGTCTCTACCTGCCCTCAATGAGACCTAGGCCCAATGCAGACTCTAAAGGTTGCACAGTCTGCTCTCTATCTGTCCTCAATGAGACCTAGGCCAAGTGCAGACTCTAAAGCTTGCACAGTCTGCTCTCTATCTGACCTCAATGAGACCTAGGCCCAATGCAGACTACAAAGGTTCTACAGTCTGCTCTCTATCTGTCCTCAATGAGACCTAGGCCCAATGCAGACTCTAAAGGTTGCACACTCTGGTCTCTTTCTGTCCTCAATGAGACCTAGGCCAAATGCAGACTCTAAAGGTTGCACAGTCTGCTCTCTAACTGTCCTCAATGAGACATAGGCCCAATGCAGACTCTAAAGGTTGCACAGTCTGCTCTCTATGTGTCCTCAATGAGACCTAGGCTCAGTGCAGACTCTAAAGGTTGCATAGTATGCTCTCTATCTGTCCTCAATGAGATCTAAGCCCAATGCAGACTCTAAGGGTTGCCGAGCCTGCTCTCTATCTGCCCTCAATGAGACCTAGGCCCAATGCAGACTCTAAAGGTTGCACAGTCTGCTGTCTATCTGACCTCAAGGAGACCTAGGCCCAATGCAGACTCTAAAGGTTGCACAGTCTGGTCTCTATCTGTCCTCAATGACACCTAGGCCCAGTGCAGACTCTAAAGTTTGCACAGTCTGCTCTCTGTCTGTCCTCAAAGAGACCTAGGCCCAGTGCAGACTCTAAAGGTTGCACAGTCTGCTCTCTATCTGTCCTCAATGAGACCTAGGCCCAATGCAGACTCTAAAGGTTGCACAGTCTGCTCTCTATCTGCCCTCAATGAGACCTAGGCCCAATGCAAACTCTAAAGTTGCACAGTCTGGTCTCTATCTGTCCTCAATGAGACCTAGGCCCAATGCGGACTCTAAAGGTTGCACAGTGTGCTCTCCATCTGTCCTCAATGAGACCTAGGCCCAATGCAGACTCTAAAGGTTGCACAGTCTGCTCTCTATCTGCCCTCAATGAGACCTAGGCCCAATGCAGACTCTAAAGGTTGCACAGTCTGCTCTCTATCTGCTCTCAATGAGACCTAGGCCCAATGCAGACTCTAAAGGTTGCACAGTCTGGTCTCTATCTGTCCTGAATGAGGCCCAGGCCCAATGCAGACTGTAAAGGTTGCACAGTCTGCTCTCTATCTGTCCTCAATGAGACCTAGGCTCAGTGCAGCCTCTAAAGTTTGCATAGTCTGCTCTCTATCTGTCCTCAATGAGACCTAGGTCCAATGCAGACTCTAAAGGTTGCACAGTCTGCTCTCTATCTGTCCTCAATGAGACCTAGGCCTAGTGCAGACTCTAAAGGTTGCACAGTCTGTTCTCTATCTGTCCTCAATGAGACCTAGGCCAAGTGCAGACTCTAAAGCTTGCACAGTCTGCTCTGTATCTGACCTCAATGAGACCTAGGCCCAATGCAGACTATAAAGGTTCTACAGTCTGCTCTCTATCTGTCCTCAATGAGACCTAGGCCCAATGCAGACTCTAAAGGTTGCACACTCTGGTCTCTATCTGCCCTCAATGAGACCTAGGCCCAATGAAGACTCTAAAGGTTGCGCAGTCTGCTCTCTATCTCTCCTCAATGAGACCTAGGCCCAATGCAGACTCTAAAGGTTGTACAGTCTGCTCTCTATCTGTCCTCAATGAGACCTAGGCCCAATGCAGACTCTAAAGGTTGCACAGTCTGCTCTCTATTTGTCCTCAATGAGACCCAGGCCCAATGCAGACTCTAAAGGTGGCACAGTCTGCTCTCTATCGGTCCTCAATGAGACCGAGGCCCTATGCAGACTCTAAAGGTTACACAGTGTGCTCTCTATCTGTCCTCAGTGAGACCTAGGCCCAATGCAGACTCTAAAGTTTGCGCAGTCTGCTCTCTATGTGTCCTCAATGAGACCTAGGGCCAGTGCAGACTCTAAAGGTTGCATAGTCTGCTCTCTATCAGTCCTCAGTGAGACCTAGACCCAATGGAGACTCTAAAGTTTGCAAAGTCTGCTCTCTATCTCTCCTCAGTGAGACCTAGATCCAATGCAGACTCTAAAGGTTGCACACTCTGGTCTCTTTCTGTCCTCAATGAGACCTAGGCCAAATGCAGACTCTAAAGGTTGCACAGTCTGCTCTCTAACTGTCCTCAATGAGACATAGGCCCAATGCAGACTCTAAAGGTTGCACAGTCTGCTCTCTATGTGTCCTCAATGAGACCTAGGCTCAGTGCAGACTCTAAAGGTTGCATAGTATGCTCTCTATCTGTCCTCAATGAGATCTAAGCCCAATGCAGACTCTAAGGGTTGCCGAGCCTGCTCTCTATCTGCCCTCAATGAGACCTAGGCCCAATGCAGACTCTAAAGGTTGCACAGTCTGCTGTCTATCTGACCTCAAGGAGACCTAGGCCCAATGCAGACTCTAAAGGTTGCACAGTCTGGTCTCTATCTGTCCTCAATGACACCTAGGCCCAGTGCAGACTCTAAAGTTTGCACAGTCTGCTCTCTGTCTGTCCTCAAAGAGACCTAGGCCCAGTGCAGACTCTAAATGTTGCACAGTCTGCTCTCTATCTGTCCTCAATGAGACCTAGGCCCAATGCAGACTCTAAAGGTTGCACAGTCTGCTCTCTATCTGCCCTCAATGAGACCTAGGCCCAATGCAAACTCTAAAGTTGCACAGTCTGGTCTCTATCTGTCCTCAATGAGACCTAGGCCCAATGCGGACTCTAAAGGTTGCACAGTGTGCTCTCCATCTGTCCTCAATGAGACCTAGGCCCAATGCCGACTCTAGAGGTTGCACAGTGTGCTCTCTATCTGCTCTCAATGAGACCTAGGCCCAATGCAGACTCTAAAGGTTGCACAGTCTGCTCTCTAACTGCCCTCAATGAGACCTAGACCCAATGCAAACTCTAAAGGTTGCACAGTCTGGTCGCTATCTGTCCTCAATGAGACCCAGGCCCAATGCAGACTCTAAAGGTTGCACAGTCTGCTCTATATCCGTCCTCAATGAGACCTAGGACCAGTGCCGACTCTAATGGTTGCCTAGTCTGCTCTTTATCTGTCCTCAATGAGACCTAGGCCCAATGCAGACTCTAAAGGTTGCACAGTCCGGTCTCTATCTGTCCTCAATGAGACCTAGGCCCAATGCCGACTCTAAAGTTTGCACAGTGTGCTCTCTATCTGCTCTCAATGAGACCTAGGCCCAATGCAGACTCTAAAGGTAGCACAGTCTGCTCTCTAACTGCCCTCAATGACACCTAGGCCCAATGCAGACTCTAAACGTTGCATAGTCTGGTCTCTATCTGCCCTCAATGAGACCTAGGCCCAATGCAGACTCTAAAGGTTGCACAGTCTGCTCTCTATCTGTCCTCAATGAGACCTAGGCCAAGTGCAGACTCTAAAGCTTGCACAGTCTGCTCTCTATCTGACCTCAATGAGACCTAGGCCCAATGCAGACTATAAAGGTTCTACAGTCTGCTCTCTATCTGACCTCAATGAGACCTAGGCCCAATGCAGACTATAAAGGTTCTACAGTCTGCTCTCTATCTGTCCTCAATGAGACCTAGGCCCAATGCAGACTCTAAAGGTTGCACAGTCTGCTCTCTAACTGTCCTCAATGAGACATAGGCCCAATGCAGACTCTAAAGGTTGCACAGTCTGCTCTCTATGTGTCCTCAATGAGACCTAGGCCCAGTGCAGACTCTAAAGGTTGCATAGTATGCTCTCTATCTGTCCTCAATGAGATCTAAGCCCAATGCAGACTCTAAGGGTTGCCGAGCCTGCTCTCTATCTGCCCTCAATGAGACCTAGGCCCAATGCAGACTCTAAAGGTTGCACAGTCCGCTCTCTATCTGTCCTCAATGAGACCTAGGCCCAATAGAGACTCTAAAGGTTGCACAGTCTGCTCTCTATCTGTCCTCAATGAGACCCAGGCCCAATGCAGACTCTAAACGTTGCATAGTCTGCTCTCTATCTGTCCGCAATTAGACCTAGACCCAATGCAGACTCTAAAGGTTGCACAGTCTGCTGTCTATATGACGTCAAGGAGACCTAGGCCCAATGCAGACTCTAAAGGTTGCACAGTCTGGTCTCTATCTGTCCTCAATGACACCTAGGCCCAGTGCAGACTCTAAAGTTTGCACAGTCTGCTCTCTGTCTGTCCTCAAAGAGACCTAGGCCCAGTGCAGACTCTAAAGGTTGCACAGTCTGCTCTCTATCTGTCCTCAATGAGACCTAGGCCCAATGCAGACTCTAAAGGTGGCACAGTCTGCTCTCTATCTGCCCTCAATGAGACCTAGGCCCAATGCAAACTCTAAAGGTTGCACAGTCTGGTCTCTATCTGTCCTCAATGAGACCTAGGCCCAATGCGGACTCTAAAGGTTGCACAGTGTGCTCTCCATCTGTCCTCAATGAGACCTAGGCCCAATGCAGACTCTAAAGGTTGCACAGTCTGCTCTCTATCTCTCCTCAATGAGACCTAGGCCCAATGCAGACTCTAAAGTTTGCACAGTCGGCTCTCTATCTGCCCACAATGAGACCTAGGCCCAATGCAGACTCTAAAGGTTGCACAGTCTGCTCTCTATGTGTCCTCAATGAGACCTAGGCCCAGTGCAGACTCTAAAGGTTGCACAGTCTGCTCTCTATCTGCCCTCAATGAGACCTAGGCCCAATGCAGACTGTAAAGGTTGCACAGTCTGCTCTCTATCTGCTCTCAATGAGACCTAGGCCCAATGCAGACTCTAAAGGTTGCACAGTCTGGTCTCTATCTCTCCTGAATGAGGCCCAGGTCCAATGCAGACTGTAAAGGTTGCACAGTCTGCTCTCTATCTGTCCTCAATGAGACCTAGGCTCAGTGCAGCCTCTAAAGTTTGCATAGTCTGCTCTCTATCTGTCCTCAATGAGACCTAGGTCCAATGCAGACTCTAAAGGTTGCACAGTCTGCTCTCTATCTGTCCTCAATGAGACCTAGGCCTAGTGCAGACTCTAAAGGTTGCACAGTCTGCTCTCTATCTGCCCTCAATGAGACCTAGGCCCAATGCAGACTCTAAAGGTTGCACAGTCTGCTCTCCATCTGTCCTCAATGAGACCTAGGCCCAATGCAGACTCTAAAGGTTGCACAGTCTGCTCTCCATCTGTCCTCAATGAGACCTAGGCCCAATGCAGACTCTAAAGGTTGCACAGTCTGCTCTCTATTTGTCCTCAATGAGACCCAGGCCCAATGCAGACTCTAAAGGTTGCACAGTCTGCTCTCTATCGGTCCTCAATGAGACCGAGGCCCTATGCAGACTCTAAAGGTTACACAGTGTGCTCTCTATCTGTCCTCAATGAGACCTAGGCCCAATGCAGACTCTAAAGTTTGCGCAGTCTGCTCTCTATCTGTCCTCAATGAGACCTAGGGCCAGTGCAGACTCTAAAGGTTGCATAGTCTGCTCTCTATCAGTCCTCAGTGAGACCTAGACCCAATGCAGACTCTAAAGTTTGCAAAGTCTGCTCTCTATCTCTCCTCAGTGAGACCTAGACCCAATGCAGACTCTAAAGGTTGCACAGTATGGTCTCTATCTGTCCTCAATGAGACCTAGGCCCAGTGCAGACTCTAAAGGTTGCACAGTCTGCTCTCTATCGGTCCTCAATGAGACCTAGGCCCAATGCAGACTCTAAAGTTTGCACAGTCTGCCCTCTATCTGTCCTCAATGAGACCTAGGCCCAGTGCAGACTCTAAAGGTTGCACAGTCTGCTCTCTATCTGTCCTCAATGAGACCCAGGCCCAATGCAGACTCTAAAGGTTGCACAGTCTGCTCTATATCTGTCCTCAATGAGACCTAGGACCACTGCCGACTCTAATGGTTGCCTAGTCTGCTCTCTATCTGTCCTCAATGAGAACTAGGCCCAATGCAGACTCTAAAGGTTGCACAGTCTGGTCTCTATCTGTCCTCAATGAGACCTAGGCCCAATGCCGACTCTAAAGGTTGCACAGTATGCTCTCTATCTGCTCTCAATGAGACATAGGCCCAATGCAGACTCTAAAGGTTGCACAGTCTGCTCTCTATCTGCCCTCAATGAGACCTAGGCCCAATGCAGACTCTAAAGGTTGCACAGTCTGCTCTCCATCTGTCCTCAATGAGACCTAGGCCCAATGCAGACTCTAAAGGTTGCACAGTCTGCTCTCTATTTCTCCTCAATGAGACCCAGGCCCAATGCAGACTCTAAAGGTGGCACAGTCTGCTCTCTATCGGTCCTCAATGAGACCGAGGCCCTATGCAGACTCTAAAGGTTACACAGTGTGCTCTCTATCTGTCCTCAGTGAGACCTAGGCCCAATGCAAACTCTAAAGTTTGCGCAGTCTGCTCTCTATCTGTCCTCAATGAGACCTAGGGCCAGTGCAGACTCTAAAGGTTGCATAGTCTGCTCTCTATCAGTCCTCAGTGAGACCTAGACCTAATGCAGACTCTAAAGTTTGCAAAGTCTGCTCTCTATCTCTCCTCAGTGAGACCTAGACCCAATGCAGACTCTAAAGGTTGCACAGTATGGTCTCTATCTGCCCTCAATGAGACCTAGGCCCAGTGCAGACTCTAAAGGTTTCACAGTCTGCTCTCTATCTGTCCTCAATGAGACCTAGGCCCAATGCAGACTCTAAAGTTTGCACAGTCTGGTCTCTATCTGTCCTCAATGAGACCTAGGCCCAATGCCGACTCTAGAGGTTGCACAGTGTGCTCTCTATCTGCTCTCAATGAGACCTAGGCCCAATGCAGACTCTAAAGGTTGCACAGTCTGCTCTCTAACTGCCCTCAATGAGACCTAGGCCCAATGCAGACTCTAAAGGTTGCACAGTCTGTTCTCTATCTGTCCTCAGTGAGACCTAGGCCAAGTGCAGACTCTAAAGCTTGCACAGTCTGCTCTCTATCTGACCTCAATGAGACCTAGGCCCAATGCAGACTCTAAAGGTTGCACAGTCTGCTCTCTATCTGTCCTCAATGAGACCTAGGCCCAATGCAAACTCTAAAGGTTGCACACTCTGGTCTCTTTCTGTCCTCAATGAGACCTAGGCCAAATGCAGACTCTAAAGGTTGCACAGTCTGCTCTCTAACTGTCCTCAATGAGACATAGGCCCAATGCAGACTCTAAAGGTTGCACAGTCTGCTCTCTATGTGTCCTCAATGAGACCTAGGCCCAGTGCAGACTCTAAAGGTTGCATAGTATGCTCTCTATCTGTCCTCAATGAGATCTAGGCCCAATGCAGACTCTAAGGGTTGCCGAGCCTGCTCTCTATCTGCCCTCAATGAGACCTAGGCCCAATGCAGACTCTAAAGTTTGCACAGTCCGCTCCCTATCTGTCCTTAATGAGACCTAGGCCCAATAGAGACTCTAAAGGTTGCACAGTCTGCTCTCTATCTGTCCTCAATGAGACCCAGGCCCAATGCAGACTCTAAACGTTGCATAGTCTGCTCTCTATCTGTCCGCAATTAGACCTAGGCCCAATGCAAACTCTAAACGTTGCACAGTCTGCTGTCTATCTGTCCGCAATTAGACCTAGGCCCAATGCAGACTCTAAAGGTTGCAGAGTCTGCTGTCTATCTGACCTCAAGGAGACCTAGGCCCAATGCAGACTCTAAAGGTTGCACAGTCTGGTCTCTATCTGTCCTCAATGACACCTAGGCCCAGTGCAGACTCTAAAGTTTGCACAGTCTGCTCTCTGTCTGTCCTCAAAGAGACCTAGGCCCAGTGCAGACTCTAAAGGTTGCACAGTCTGCTCTCTATCTGTCCTCACTGATACCTAGGCCCAATGCAGACTCTAAAGGTTGCACAGTCTGATCTCTATTTGTCCTCAATGAGACCCAGGCCCAATGCAGACTCTAAAGGTTGCACAGTCTGCTCTCTATCGGTCCTCAATGAGACCTAGGCCCAATGCAGACTCTAAAGGTTGCACAGTCTGCTCTCTATCTGCCCTCAATGAGACCTAGGCCCTATGCAAACGCTAAAGGTTGCACAGTGTGGTCTCTATCTGTCCTCAATGAGACCTAGGCCCAATGCAGACTCTAAAGGTTGCACAGTGTGCTCTCCATCAGTCCTCAATGAGACCTAGGCCAAATGCAGACTCTAAAGGTTGCACAGTCTGCTCTCTATGTGTCCTCAATGAGACCTAGGCCCAGTGCAGACTCTAAAGTTTGCACAGTCTGCTCTCTATCGGCCCTCAATGAGACCTAGGCCCAATTCAGACTCTAAAGGTTGCACAGTCTGCTCTCTATCTGCTCTCAATGAGACCTAGGCCCAATGCAAACTCTAAAGGTTGCACAGTCTGGTCTCTATCTCTCCTGAATGAGACCCAGGCCCAATGCAGACTGTAAAGGTTGCACAGTCTGCTCTCTATCTGTCCTCAATGAGACCCAGGCCCAGTGCAGACTGTAAAGTTTGCATAGTCTGCTCTCTATCTGTCCTCAATGAGACCTAGGTCCAATGCAGACTCTAAAGGTTGCACAGTCTGCTCTCTATCTGTCCTCGATGAGACCTAGGCCTAGTGCAGACTCTAAAGGTTGCACAGTCTGCTCTCTATCTGCCCTCAATGAGACCTAGGCCCAATGCAGACTCTAAAGGTTGCACAGTCTGCTCTCTATTTTTCCTCAATGAGACCCAGGCCCAATGCAGACTCTAAAGGTTGCACAGTCTGCTCTCTATCTGTCCTCAATGAGACCGAGGCCCTATGCAGACTCTAAAGGTTACACAGTGTGCTCTCTATCTGTCCTCAGTGAGACCTAGGCCCAATGCAGACTCTAAAGTTTGCGCAGTCTGCTCTCTATCTGTCCTCAATGAGACCTAGGGCCAGTGCAGACTCTAAAGGTTGCATAGTCTGCTCTCTATCAGTCCTCAGTGAGACCTAGACCCAATGG
This sequence comes from Homo sapiens, assembly GCF_000001405.40. Lineage (NCBI taxonomy): Eukaryota > Metazoa > Chordata > Mammalia > Primates > Hominidae > Homo > Homo sapiens. The sequence continues at coordinate 238,686 of NC_000024.10, read as the reverse complement.
AGACTCTAAAGTTTGCAAAGTCTGCTCTCTATCTCTCCTCAGTGAGACCTAGACCCAATGCAGACTCTAAAGGTTGCACAGTCTGGTCTCTATCTGCCCTCAATGAGACCTAGGCTCAGTGCAGACTTTAAAGTTTGCACAGTCTGCTCTGTATCTGTCCTCAATGAGACCTAGGCCCATTGCAGACTCTAAAGGTTGCACAGTCTGCCCTCTATCTGTCCTCAATGAGACCTAGGCCCAATGCAGACTCTAAAGTTTCAACAGTCTGGTCTCTATCTGTCCTCAATGAGACCTAGGCCCAATGCCGACTCTAGAGGTTGCACAGTGTGCTCTCTATCTGCTCTCAATGAGACCTAGACCCAATGCAGACTCTAAAGGTTGCACAGTCTGGTCTCTATCTGCCCTTAATGAGACCTACACTCCCAGGAGTCTGCAGAACAGGGTGTGTGTAAGTTTTCTGGGGCCGCTCAAGGAAACGGGGGATTAAAAAATATTATCCTCACAGTGCTGGCATGTTGGCCTACACAGAGCCCTGCTCGCCGTGAACGTCAGGACTTCCTGCGTGATCTCTTCAAGTCCGATTGGGAGCCCTTTGACTCGCCCCCTGTCTGTGCTGGAGAATTCAGAGCCCACTGACTCATCTTTCTTTGTGGCCTGGGAGAGTTGTGGAGAACATGCCGTACCTTCGCGGTGCCGCACGGATCTTCCTGCTCCCTCCCTCGGGAGTCTCGCAGGGACCCCATCTCGTTTTAATGTTTTGTCAATACGGCACCCACGAGAACGTTGCAGGGAAGACACCACTGTGGCCGTAAACCACAGAAACTAGAGCTGAAGTGGCCCCAGGTGGCCTCCAGTCAAGTGGTATCCAAATTCTTCACCCTGAGGCCCTTTATTTATTATTATTATTATTAGAGACGGAGTTTCGCTCTTGTTACCCAGGCTGGAGTGCAATGGTGTGATATCAGCTCACCGCAACCTCCGCCTCCCGGGTTCAAGCAATTCTCCGGCCTCAGCCTCCCAAGTAGCTGGGATTACAGGTGGGCGCCACCACGCCTGGCTAATTTTTTGTATTTTTAGAGATGGGGATTCTCTATGTTGGTCAGGCTGGTCTCGAACTCCCAACCTCAGGTGAGCTGCTGGCCTTGGCCTCCCAAAGTGCTGGGATTACAGGCGTGCACCACCACACCCATCCCTATCTTATTCTTTTTCTCTCACCAGGGACCCCAAATTTGGAAGAACCATAATCATGTTTATTGACATCATGTTAAATTAAGGTTCCCACGTTTATTAATAAAAGAAATATATCATTAGCCTGGCCTTTTAAATTTTTCTTAATTTAATTTTTTTTTTTTTTGAGGCAGGGTCTCACTCTGTCACCCAGGCTGGAGTGCAATGGTACCATCATGGCTCACCACAGCCCCCCGCTCCTAGGCTCAAGCAATCCTCTTGCCTCAGCCTCCTGAGTATCTGGGGATTATAGGTGCACACCATCACACTCAGCCAATTAAAAAAAAATTTCTAGTAGAGATGGGGTCTCACCAAGTTGTCCAGGCTGGTCTCACACTTCTGAGCTCAAGTAATCCTCCTGCTTTGGCCTCCCAAAGTGCTCGGATTACAGGGGTAAGCTACCACATTCAGCCTTTATTTTTATTTTTAATGGAGGTAAAAGCCACATAACATAAAATTTACCCTTTCAACTACTTCTTTTTTTTAGATGGAGGCTTGCTCTGTTGCCCAGGCTGGAGTGCAGTGGCACAATCTCAGCTCACTTCAACCTCTACCTCCCGGGTTCAAGTGATTCCCCTGCCTCAGCCTCCCAAGTAGCTGGGATCACAGGCACCCGCCACCACACCTGGCAATTTTTTTGTATTTTAGTAGAGACGGGGTTTCACTGTGTTGGCCAAGACGGTGTCGATCTCCTGACCTCGTGATCCGCCTGCCTCGGCCTCCCAAAGTGCTGGGATTACAGGCATGAGCCACCGCGCCCGGCCCCTTTAAAGTATTTTTAAGGATACACTTCAGCAGTGTTCATCATATCCGCATTGTTGTATAACAGATGTTTACAACTTCTTCATCTTACAAAACAGAAACTGTGTCCACATCAAACCAGGGTGCCCCATTCCCCCGGCCCCTGGCACCCACCATTCTACTGTCTGTCTCTATGAATTCCACTCTTCCAGAGACCTCATAGGAGTGGGATCACACAGCACTTTTTTGTCTGGCTTATCTTGTTAACAACAGGTGAGTCCATGTGGTAGCCTGTCTCATCATTCCTTCCTTTTTAGGGCTGATTCATATTTCATTATATGGATGAACCACATTTTCTTTTTCCAGTCATGCTGTAACAGGATGAGTCACAGTCAAAACTCCTCAGACACCAGATTAAAGAAGGAAGAGGTTTTTTTATTTGGCCGGGAGATTCGGCAGACTCGTGTCTTAAGAGCCGAGCTCCCCGAAAAAGAAATTCCTAGCCCTTTTAAGGGCTAAGAACTCTAAGGGGTCTATGTGAAAGAGTCATAATAGATCAAGTAAGTGTGAGGAACGTGAGTGGGGGCTACATACATCAGCTAAGAGAACAAAAAGTTTTTATTTTTTTATTTTTTTTGAGACGGAATCTCGCTCTGTGGCCCAGGCTGGAGTGCAGTGGTGTGATCTCAGCTCACTTCAAGCTCCGCCTCCCGGGTTCACAGCATTCTCCTGCCTCAGCCTCCCCAGTAGCTGGGACTACAGGCGCCCGCCACCGCGCCCGGCTAATTTTTTGTATTTTTAGTAGACACGGGGTTTCATCATGTTAACCAGGATGGTCTCGATCTCCTGACCTTGTGATCCACCCGCCTCGGCCTCCCAAAGTGCTGGGATTAGAGGCTGGAGCCACCGTGCCCGGCCTGCACCCAGCTAATTTTTTGTATTTTTAGTAGAGATGGGGTTTCACCGTGTTAGCCAGGATGGTCTCCATCTCCTGACCTCATGATCCGCCCACCTCGGCCTCCCAAAGTCCTGGGATTACAGGCGTGAGCCACCGCGCCCGGCCAGAACAAAAAGTTTTACAGTGCTTTCTCATACAATGTCTGGAATTTACAGATAGCACCAGTAGTTTTGGTCAGCGGTTAATACTATTATTATTTTAATCACCAGGGCCAGGTGGTGGCACCAAGGTCGTCTAGCTATTTATCTTACTTTTGTTTCTTTCCAACTTTTTGCTTTCTCTCTTTTCTCTTGTCTTATAAACTAGGGAAAAGGGGAGGTTGGGGAGAAACTGGAAAGGACAACAGGAGAAGTGGTGGTGTCATAACATAATGCGATCATGGGCACCGGGCTGCTTCCATCTTTTGGCTATTGTGAATACTGCTGTAACGACCACGGTTGTGCAATAATCCCTTCCAGACTCTGCTTTCAATCTTTTTGGATTTAGTCGGAGAAGTAATGTGATTGCTGGTTCATAGGTGGTTCCATTTCTGGTTATTTATTTATTTTTTAAGAGACAGAGTTTTATATGTTGCCCAGGCTGGCCTTGAACTCCTGGGCTTCAGTGATCCCCTTCCCTCAGCCTCCCAAGTAGCCGGTAGTGCAGCTGCACATCACCACACCCAAGTGATTTTTAGTTGTTATTTTTCTGGTTTTGTTTTTGCGGAGATGGAGTTTCACTGTGCCGCCCAGGGTGGAGTGCGGTGGCATAATCGGCTCACTGCAGCCTCCACCTCCTGGTTCAGGCGCTTCTCCTGCCTTAGCCTCCCGAGTAGCTGGGACTATAGGCATCTGTCACCACACTCAGCTAATTATTTTGTGTTTGCTTCCCCCCACCCCGCCCCCCCGAGATGGAGTCTTCCTTTGTCACCCAGGCTGGAGTGCAGTGGCGCGATCTCGGCTCAATGCAACCTCTGCCTCCGGGGTTCAAGCAATTCTCCTGCCTCAGCCTCCCGGGTAGCTGGGATTCCTGGCACCCACAACCACGCCCGGCTAATTTTTTATTTTTAGTAGAGACGGAGTTTCACCATGTTGGCCAGGCTGGTCTCGAACTCCTGACTTTGTGATCCACCTGCCTCGGGCTCCCAAAGTGCTGGGATGACAGGTGTGAGCCACTGTGCCCAGCCTGATATTTAGTGCTTTTTTGAGGAGGCTCCATAGTGTTTTCCACGGTGGCCACACCATTTTCTAGTCCTACAGGCAATCCACGAGGGCTCCAATTTCCACACATCCTTGTTAACACTATTTTTGTTTCACTGTAGCATTTCATGGATGTGAGGTGCTATCACTGTGGTTTTGATGTGTATTTCTCTAATGATTACTGATGTTGAGGATCCTTCCATGTTTGTTTGCTACTTGTATATCTTTTCTGGAGAAATATCTATTCAGGTCGTTTGCTCATTTTTCAATCAGTTAACTTGTTTTTCAATTGTTCAGTTGCAGGAGCTCTTTATATGTGCTGGACGAATATCCGACGTACCAGACATATAATCTGCAGTTATTTCCTCTTATTCCATGTCTTGCCTTTCCACTGTTGTTTCCTGTGCAGAAATGTTTAACCTCGAAGTTGGACCATTTGTCTATTTGTGCTTTTGTTGCCTGTGCTTATCTGGGCTTTGGATAGGCCAGAGGTAAACGGCAGGTGTTACTGCACCAAGTTCATAAAATCGAGCCCAAAACAAAGGAGTCGACACAGTAATTAGCTGGTGTGTCGCCTTGGCGAGAATATATATGACTTTTGCTGAGAATTTTCATTAATGTTTATTTTCTATTTTTATTTTTTGAGATGGAGTCTCGCTCTGTCGCCCAGGCCGGAGTGCAGTGGTGCAATCTCAGCTCACTGCAAGCTCCACCTCCCGGGCTCACGCTGTTCTCCTGCCTCAGCCTCCCGAGTAGCTGGGACTACAGGCGCCCGCCACCGCGCCCGGAGAATTTTTTGTATTTTTAGTAGAGATGGGGTTTCACTGTGTTGGCCAGGATGGTCTTGATCTCCTGACCTCGTGATCCACCTGCCTTGGCCTCCCAAAGTGCTGGGATTACAGGCGTGAGCCACCGCGCCCGGCCATTAATGTTTATTTTGACGCAACTTCACAGTTACATTAAGGCAACAATATGGCACAAAGAATTCCTTCGTATCAGGCATTCACATTCCCCAAACGCTGGCGGTCTACACCGGCTTCATCCTGGATCAGAACCAAGTGGAGGGACTGCTGTTTCTGTGGGCTGGTTTCCTGGGGGCTGCCATAACCAGTGACCAGAAACCGGGTGGGTACGTCAACAGGAATTTATCATCTCCCAGTCTCGGATGTCGATGTTGAAGCCCTAACCCCCACTGCCTCAGAACGTGAGTGTATTTGGCCTCATAGTATTAGAACGAGGCTGTCAGGGTGGGCCCTAAAGCAACCTGCTGTTCTCATGAGAGGAAGTGTGGACACACACAGAAGAGACGATAGGGATACTTGTGCACAGTGAAAAGACCCTATGAGCGTACACCAGACGGCGTCCGCAAGCCGAGGAGAGGAGAAACCAGCCCTGCTGACAACACCTTGCTCTCGGACCTCAGCCTCCAGGTCTGTGGGAAGATAATTTTCAGTGAAGCCCTCCAGTCTTGGTACCTTATGGCGGCCCTGAACACTCATACAGACGGGTACATTTACTGTCCCTGTTCTTCTGCCGAGGAAATGGAGGCACAGAGACGTTTAGTGAGCTTGACCCATGCGGGAGGGCCAGGAGCGGTCAAGGTTGGATTGGAACAAACCACCCTTTTTGCAGCACTCACGTTCTTAGGCACGACGCCTGCTTCCTTAGGTGCTCTGCAAAGAGAATACGGCAGAGTGCACCCCGAACACGCAACGGTACAGTCACAAAGATGACACTGGCTCCAAGTGTCTTCAGCAAAATGGGAACGTGTCAGAAGAGTAGGGGGGTCGCTGCGGGAACAGGGTTGGCCCAAGGCAGCCGCCGGTCCCGAGCAGCATGCGCGATGCGGGCTGGGCAGGACCCCGTGGCCCCTCCGCCGCCCTCTCAGTCCGCGCGAGGGCCCCACTCGGGGCTCGGCCGGGCTCCGGGAACGCGGTCTGCGGTCCAGGGGCCGCGAGCCTCCGCCGCTCCTCGGCCTCGTGGGCCCGGGCGCTGGGTGGGGCCGCGGGTGGGCGTCAGGGGCCAGGCTGGGCGCCGAGGTCTGCAAAGGGGCGGAGAAGACGGCCTTGGGCTCCGCGCAGAACCTGCGAGTGGGCGGCGGTGCACCTCCCACCCGGGTCACCTCGGTGCCACCCATGCCTGCCTCAGTGCAGGCGGACCCACGGCCCTCCACGCCCTCCCTCGCTCGCGTGCTGCCCGGCTGGCCGCTGTTCGCATCCTCTCGCTAACTCCGTGGGGTCCCGCCCATTCGGGCGACTGCCCCGGCTGCAGCCCACCCGCTAATCTCGGCTATCTTCCCTCACTCAGTTCTTCGCCTCCACCAGCTTCGGCTCTTTTCGTCACCCCTCTTTACTCCCCGTTCCTCTCCGTCACTTTCCGTCATCTCCGAATAGGCTCGGCCGGCTGCATCTCACCATTTCGCTTTCCTCTTTGTCGCCCTCTGATAAATTTCGTGACTCTTCGTCACTGTCCGTCAGTCCCCGTCACTTTCCGTCAATTCTCGCCACTTTCCGTCGCTCTCCGCCGCCCTTCAGCTCCGCTCGGCTCTTCTCCGTCAGACATCGTCTACTTTCGTCACTCTCCGTCACCCTCCGTCACTCTCCGTCTGCTCCCTACCCCGCACTCCGGGTGGAGAAAGCCTCAGGGACTTTTCCTGCCCTTAGCCCTTTTCCGTCCCTCTCCGATCCTGCTGTCTGTCAGTCCCTGGTTATTTCTGGTCTGCTCGTGACTCTGTCCTCCTCCCTTCACTCCTGGGAGGGTGGCCTGGTCCCTCCTGAGAGGCCTCTCCCCACTACCCGGCCTGAATGATGGTGGTGAGCGGGAGGTCTCGAGGTGATCCCGAGGGAAGGAGCGGGGGTCTGAGGGTGGTCCCGAGAGGGACCCGAGGGGTGGAGCGGGGGGAGGGTCTGGAGATGGCCCCGAGGAGGTCCCGATAGGAGGAGCGGCAGTCTGGGGGTGGTGCCGAGGGAAGAAGCCGTCTGGTGTGGTCTGGAAAATGGGAGCAGGGGGTCTGGGGTGGTCCCGAGGGGAGGAGCGGGGGTCTGGGGTGGTCCCGAGGGGAGGAGCGGGGGTCTGAGGTGGTCCCGAGGGGAGGAGCTGGGGGTTCTGGGTGTGGTCCCGTGGGTAGGAGGGGGGGTCTGGGGATGGTCCTAAGAGGAGGAGCAGGGGGTCTGGGGGTGGTCCCGAGGGGAGGAGCGGGGGTCTGGGGTGGTCCCGAGGGGAGGAGCGGGGGTCTGGGGTGGTCCCGAGGGGAGGAGCGGGGGTCTGGGGTGGTCCCGAGGGGAGGAGCTGGGGGTTCTGGGTGTGGTCCCGTGGGTAGGAGGGGGGGTCTGGGGATGGTCCTAAGAGGAGGAGCAGGGGGTCTGGGGGTGGTCCCGAGGGGAGGAGCGGGGGTCTGGGGTGGTCCCGAGGGGAGGAGCGGGGGTCTGGGGTGGTCCCGAGGGGAGGAGCGGGGGTCTGGGGTGGTCCCGAGGGGAGGAGCTGGGGGTTCTGGGTGTGGTCCCGTGGGTAGGAGGGGGGGTCTGGGTGTGGTCCCGAGGGGAGGAGCTGGGGGTTCTGGGTGTGGTCCCGTGGGTAGGAGGGGGGGTCTGGGGATGGTCCTAAGAGGAGGAGCAGGGGGTCTGGGGGTGGTCCCGAGGGGAGGAGCGGGGGTCTGGGGTGGTCCCGAGGGGAGGAGCGGGGGTCTGGGGTGGTCCCGAGGGGAGGAGCTGGGGGTTCTGGGTGTGGTCCCGTGGGTAGGAGGGGGGGTCTGGGTGTGGTCCCGAGGGGAGGAGCTGGGGGTTCTGGGTGTGGTCCCGTGGGTAGGAGGGGGGGTCTGGGGATGGTCCTAAGAGGAGGAGCAGGGGGTCTGGGGGTGGTCCCGAGGGGAGGAGCGGGGGTCTGGGGTGGTCCCGAGGGGAGGAGCGGGGGTCTGAGGTGGTCCCGAGGGGAGGAGCTGGGGGTTCTGGGTGTGGTCCCGTGGGTAGGAGGGGGGGTCTGGGGATGGTCCTAAGAGGAGGAGCAGGGGGTCTGGGGGTGGTCCCGAGGGGAGGAGCGGGGGTCTGGGGTGGTCCCGAGGGGAGGAGCGGGGGTCTGGGGTGGTCCCGAGGGGAGGAGCAGGGGGTCTGGGGGTGGTCCCGAGGGGAGGAGCGGGGGTCTGGGGTGGTCCCGAGGGGAGGAGCTGGGGGTTCTGGGTGTGGTCCCGTGGGTAGAAGGGGGGGTCTGGGGATGGTCCTAAGAGGAGGAGCAGGGGGTCTGGGGGTGGTCCCGAGGGGAGGAGCGGGGGTCTGGGGTGGTCCCGAGGGGAGGAGCTGGGGGTTCTGGGTGTGGTCCCGTGGGTAGGAGGGGGGGGTCTGGGGATGGCCCTAAGAGGAGGAGCGGGGGTCTGCGTGTGGTTTTCAGGGGTGGAGCATGGGGTCTCCCTGTGGTTCGGAGGGTGGAGCAGGGGGTCTGGGGTTGGTACTTTTGGGCGGGACAGCGCTATTTCTCTTTTTGGTCCGGTTCCCATCTGCTGATCTGGGGGTCCTTGTGATCCTGACAGGTGGGGCCGAATGGGAGGGTCAAGGTGAGGGGAAGGAAGGAGTGGCAGCCTGGTCCCAAGGGAGCAGGAAAGGGTTTGTGGTTCAGTTCTGATGTGTGACCCATCCATAGGAGAATGGACACCTCAGACTCTCTCAATCCTGGCCAGTGGCAGGTCCCAGTAGCTGCCTTCCCTGGCTGTCCTTGAGGCTCACTGGAGGATACTTCTTTTTCATTCTGGCAAATTTTAAAAAATTCTTCTATAGATCTCAGTGAGTTCAAAGCTGCCTGTGTGCAGGCATAGATCCGTTCTTTGCTGAGCTTCCACTCTAGTCGGCTGAAAGGAAAGGGTAATATAGCTGGAAAAGGTATCCTGGGGTGATTAGAGGATTCTACATTTCATCTTAGAAAGGGATATTGACAGGAGACCAGAACTTCCAGATCCTCTTGAATTTCAAGAACTACTTCCAAGCCTGGACAATATCGGGAGGCCTCATCTCTACAAAATAAAAATTAAGAAATTCGCCACGTGCGATGGCACACTCCTGTAGTCCCACCTACTCTGGAGGCTGAGGCGGGAAGATCGCTTGAGCTTGGGAGTCCGAGGCTGCAGTCAGCTGTGATCATGCCACTGCACTCCAGCCTGGGTGACAGAGCAAGACCCTGAAAAAAAAAAAGGGAGGGAGGGAAGGAGGGAGGGAGGGAGGAAGGAAGGAATGAAGGAAGGAAGGAAATGGCTTAAGCTCAGAGAGCTGTGTGTGGCCCCCAGCTCCCAACCCCTACCAAAGGGCCTGCAAACCCACGGAGGGGCAGGTTGTCTTGAGCTGGAGCTACGGGGACGGGGGGACCTGAACTGTCGGGGTTAGGGTTAGGGTTAGGCTTTGAGATTTCGGGTTACAGAATATAGATGGGTTTGGTCCTGGGAAAATTCCAGGTCTGGGTTTTGCAGTTGGGGGTTGGTCTCAGGTGAGATGCGGCAGGTTTACAGTGTTTGCAAGGTATGTACAGATTTATATGGTGCTATTGCTTGAATGTGTTCTCCAGATTTCATGTGTTGGCAATTTTTTTTCTTTTCTTTTTGACATGGTGTCTTGCTCTGTCATCTATCACCCAGGCTGGAGTGCAATCGTGGGATCTCGGCTCGCTGCAACCTCTGCCTCCCAGGTTCGAGCGATTCTCACACCTCAGCCTCCTGGTAGCTGGCATTGTGGCAGGACAAGCCGCAGACAAAATTCCTCAGACACTGGGTTAAAGAAGGAAGGGCTTTACTCTGCCAGGAGCATCGGCACACTTGCGCCTGAAGAGCCAAGCTCCCCGAAAACGAAATTCCTAGCCCTTTTAAGGGTTTACAACTCTAAGGGGTTTACGTGAAAGGGTTGTGATAGATCGAGGAAGCGTGGGGAACGTGACTGGGGGCTACACGCATCAGATAACAGAACAGAAAGTTTTGCAGGGCTTCCTCATACAGTGTCTGGAATTTACAGATAACACAAGTAGTTTAGGTCAGGGGTTAATATTATTATTATTATTATTTTAACCACCAGGGTCGGGTGGTGCTGCCAAGGTCATCTAGCTATTTATCTTACTTCTGTTTTTTTTTTTTTTTAAGCTTTTTGCTTTCTCCCTTTTTCCCTGTTTTATAAACTAAGGAAGCGGTGTGGGGAAGGGAAGGGCAGCAGGAGGAGTGGTGGTCTCCTTCCTTAGGATTACAAGCACCGGGCCTCATTCCTGGCTAACGTTTTTTGTTTTTTTTTTGTATTTGTATTAGAGATGGGGTTTCACCATGTTGGCCAGGCTGGTCTTGAACTCCTGACCTCAGCTGATCGCCTGCCTTGGCCTCTGAAAGTGCTGGGATTAAAAGCACAAGGCAGCTGGGCGCGGTGGCTCAGGCCTGCAATCCTAGCACTTTGGGAGACCGAGATGGGTGGATCACGAGGTCAGGAGATCGAGACCATCCTGGCTAACATGGTGAAACCCTGTCTCTACAAAGAAATACAAAAAAAAAAAAAAAATTAGCTGGGCGTGGTGGCGGGCGCCTGTAGTCCCAGCTACTCAGGAGGCTGAGGCAGGAGAATGGCGTGAACCCGGGAGGCAGAGCTTGCAGTGAGCCGAGATAGCGCCACTGCACTCCAGCCTGGGCGACAGAGCGAGACTCCGTCTCAAAAAAAAAAAAAAAAAAAGCACAAGGCATCGCGCCCAGCCATGTGTTGGCAATTTAATCCCCGAATTCATGTCCTGATTGGAGATATGGCCTTTGGGAGGCAATTAGGATTAGATAATGTTATTAGGTTGGGTCCCCAGTCATGGGACTCGTGGCTTTATAAGATGAGGAAGAGAGACTGGAGCGGACACGCAGTCTTGCCCTCTCCTCCCTCGCCCGCACACTCTTGCTCTCCCCTCCCCTGCCATGTGCAGCCCTCCACTGGGCTGTGATGCTCTAGGCCTCCCCAGCCACCAGAACTTGCCCTCCCCTCCTCGGCCATGAGTGGACACAGACTCCCGCCCTCCCGCCATGTGCCGCCCTCCACTGGGCTGGGATGCTCTGGGCCATGTGCTGCCTGGGGTCCAGGGGCCGTTAGTCTCCGCCGCTCCTCGGCCTCGTGGGCCCGGGCGCTGGGTGGGGCCGCGGGTGGGCGTCAGGGGCCAGGCTGGGCGCCGAGGTCTGCAAAGGGGCGGAGAAGACGGCCTTGGGCTCCGCGCAGAACCTGCGAGTGGGCGGCGGTGCACCTCCCGCCCGGGTCACCTCGGTGCCACCCATGCCTGCCTCAGTGCAGGCGGACCCACGGCCCTCCACGCCCTCCCTCGCTCGCGTGCTGCCCGGCTGGCCGCTGTTCGCATCCTCTCGCTAACTCCGTGGGGTCCCGCCCATTCGGGCGACTGCCCCGGCTGCAGCCCACCCGCTAATCTCGGCTATCTTCCCTCACTCAGTTCTTCGCCTCCACCAGCTTCGGCTCTTTTCGTCACCCCTCTTTACTCCTCGTTCCTCTCCGTCACTTTCCGTCATCTCCGATTAGGCTCGGCCGGCTGCATCTCACCATTTCGCTTTCCTCTTTGTCGCCCTCTGATAAATTTCGTGACTCTTCGTCACTGTCCGTCAGTCCCCGTCACTTTCCGTCAATTCTCGCCACTTTCCGTCACTCTCCGCCGCCCTTCAGCTCCGCTCGGCTCTTCTCCGTCAGACATCGTCTACTTTCGTCACTCTCCGTCACCCTCCGTCACTCTCCGTCTGCTCCCTACCCCGCACTCCGGGTGGAGAAAGCCTCAGGGACTTTTCCTGCCCTTAGCCCTTTTCTGTCCCTCTCCGATCCTGCTGTCTGTCAGTCCCTGGTTATTTCTGGTCTGCTCGTGACTCTGTCCTCCTCCCTTCACTCCTGGGAGAGTGGCCTGGTCCCTCCTGAGAGGCCTCTCCCCACTACCCGGCCTGAATGATGGTGGTGAGCGGGAGGTCTCGAGGTGATCCCAAGGGAAGGAGCGGGGGTCTGGGGGTGGCGGCGAGGGGGTTCCGAGGGGAGGAGCGAGCGTCTGGGGATGGTTCCGAGAGGGACCCGAGGGGTGTACCGGGGGTAGGGTCTGGAGGTGGCCCGAAGGGGGTCCCGACAGGAGGAGCGGCAGTCTGGGGGTGGCGCTGAGGGAAGGAGCAGTCGCGTGGTCCGGAGGACAGGAGCAGGGAGTCTGGGGGTGGTTTCGTGGGGAGGAGCAGGGGGTCTGGGGGTGGTCCCGAGGGGAGGAGCGGG